>NC_000001.11:149434587-150059587 GCF_000001405.40 Homo sapiens | reverse complement strand
GACCGAGCCTGACCAACATGGAAAAACCCCGTCTCTACTAAAAATACAAAATTAGCCGGGTGTGATGGCGCATGCCTGTAATCCCAGCTACTCGGGAGGCTGAGGCAGGAGAATCGATTGAACCTGGGAGGAGGAGGAGGCGGTGAGCCGAGATTGCGCCATTGCACTCCAGCCTGGGCAACAAGAGTGAAACTCTGTCTCAAAAAAAAAAAAGAAAGAATATGAAAAGTGGCCAGGTGCGGTGGCTCATGTCTGTAATCCCAGCATTTTGGGAGGCGGGGGGGGGGGGGGTGGATCACGAGGTCAGGAGTTCAAGACCAGCCTGGCCAAGATGGTGAAACCCTGTCTCTAGTAAAAACTACAAAAATTAGCCAGGTGTGGTGGCAGGCACCTGTAATCCCAGCTACTCAGGAGGCTGAGGCAGAAGAATCGCTTGAACCTGGGCGGCAGAGGTTGCAGTGAGCCGAGATCACACCACTGCACTCCAGCCTGGCCAAGAGAGTAAGACTCCGTCACAAAAAAAAAAAAAAAAAAGAAAAGAAAGTAAGAAAGTATATATTTGCATTCAGTACCTTAATTTGTCAGTATTCTTTAAAAATGTCTAATACATAATATATTTACTTTAAAACACAGATTTGGTATATTTTGTAAGAAAATTATAAAATAAGAAATTTATTGTAAAAGAAATATTTTTTCCTAACTAGTCTCTGACAGATAAGCATAAAGAATACCTAAAATACCTTTTATACTGGATGTTTTATTGTGCTTTTCTCTTCTAAAGTGAGATTGAAAGGCTGTCTAATGAAATACCAAGCTACTTAAACCACCAATTTGGAGATTAATGTGGTATGACATATCTTATTGTTTATTTCCTTAAAACTCAATGTGTTTGGGAAATGTTGATCAAACTTTAATGTGCATGTACAAATCTCCTGGGGATTCATCAAGTGTGGATCTTGCTAAAATGAAGATTTTTTAGTCAATGGATCTGGGATGAGGTCTTATTACATCATGTATTTTTATTTATTTAATTTATTTACTTATTTTTATTTTTCAAGACAGGGTCACCCAGTCTCAAAAAATAAACAGCCTGTCACCCAGGCTGGAGTGCAGTGCTACAATCATAACTCGGCTTACTGCAACCTCAAACTCCTGGTCTCAGGTGACCCTCCTCCCTCAGCCTCCTGAGTAGCTGGGAGTACAGGGATGTGCTACCATGCCCATTAATTTATTTGTATTTTTTTGTAGAGACAGGATTTTTCCATGTTGCCCAGGCTGATCTCGAACTCCTGGACTCAAGTGATTGGCCCCGCCTTGGTCTCCCAAAGTGCTGGGATTAAAGGCACCAGCCTATATCCTTTGTTTTTAACTAGCTCCAGATGATGTTGGTGCTGGCGTTCCATGGACCACATTTTGAGTAGCAAAGCAGTAGAGGGTCAAGATTATTGGGGGCTGAGCGAATACAAGGAGATTGAGTAGTTTTTGTTCTCTTTCCGTTGAGCTTTAATACTATTCTTTACCCCTAAATCTTCTGTCCCACAATCCTTCATCCAATTCTATTAGTATTTGCCCCTTAAAATGGGCTCATAATTATGCTCCAAGGGCATTTGGGCAGTGCTTTCACTTGTCATACTTTTCTGCTTTAGGCTTGGTTCAGACCTTTTGAGTTAAGCTGTGATGTTAGCTAGCTATACATTTCTGTTTATTCATACTTATTGCCTTAGCACAGTCATATCTCTACATTCTTAGAGTAAGGATTACTGAGTCTACATGTTTAAAACATTATGATAATGAAAAGTACTTTATTGGACAAATCCTAACAGAATGCTGTTTCACTGTATATAATGTTTTAGAGTATCAAGACACAGAACCTCAGAATCATGGGCAATAATTTTATTTCATGATTAAAAACTAATGAACACCTCTAAGAGAAAAGACTGAATCCTTTCATTTTAAAATAGTTGTTCTTACTACTTACAAATACAAGATTATTGTGTATCGTCATCATCCAATCTCCTTACAGAAGCATGTAGTATATGGAGAAGACAGTTGACCCATGGAGAACTATTCTTAGCTCCTCTGCCAGTGACACTAGTCAACTCATGGGAGAACTTACCAATTTGGCCTCTCTGAGAATAAAGAGGAAGATAAATTAATAAGGTTTGGATTATAGATTTTAAGAAAATTGTTACTTTTTCAACTTCTTATTTTGAAATTTAAAACTTACAGAAAAGTTGCAAAAATAGAGAGTTCCCTTATACTCTTTACCAAACTTCCTTCAATATTAACTTCTTACATAACCATAGTACAAAGACCAAAACTGGGAAATTATCATTGGTAAAATACTATTAACTAAATTACTCTTTCTAAGCACACTGGTCAGTTGTTTCGTAGAATATCCGTCAATATGGGTTTATCTAATGTTTTCTCATTATTAGATTGAGATTGTGCATTTTTGGCAGAAATATCAAAAAAGTGATGTAGCCTTCTCAATATCATGGCATACATAATGTTGATATATCTTATCATTGGTGATATTAACTTTGATCACTTGGTTTACCTGGTGTCTGCAGGCTTTCTCCACTGTAAAATTACTATTTTTCTCCTTGTAATTAACATATGTCATATGGAGAGATGTGTTGAAGCTATGAAAATATTCTGTTTCTCATCATACTTTCACCTCCTAATTTTAGCTGTAATCCATTGATGGTTCTTGCCTGCAACAATTGGTGTTTATCTAATGGTGATTATTTTCTTCATTCCTTGTGTATGTATTGGAATTTTCTGTAAAGAAGACCTGTCCTGTCTTCCCCCATTTATTTATTTATTCAGTCATTTATTTGTGTCAGTTATAGACTCATGGATATTTAAGAAAATTGTTCTTTTTAGGTATTAGGAAAAATATAATATAGAGGTTAAGAGTGTAGGCTCTGGAATCAGTGAGCCTGGATTTGATTCTGTGTGTACTAGCTGCATAACTTGGCAAGTTATGTAACTTCTCTGTGTCACAGTTTCCTCATTTGTAAATGGAGAAAATAACGCCTACCTCAGATTGATGTGAGAATTGAGATAATACAAGTAGTCTTTAGCCTAGCTATAATTAATTTTTCATAACAAGTATTTTATACTGTGCTTAGTTTTACTGTTTATAAGTTTCCTCATCAACAAATGGAATATAAAAATATTTATCATGTGCTTGCCTCCTCCCAGAATTATTGCAATTCATGAGATGAATTTTAGAATAACTTATAATGTTAAGGAGATACAGAATAAGTTTTATTCCTTAAAAAAGATCAAACTAGATTAATTGCTAAGATCCCTTTTATTATCATTATTCTGTTTTGGGGCTGCTCTTGGTGTTAGATATGTAGATGACCATAAATGTGACTGAATTATTTTTAACATCTTAGATGATGTTTTAAGAGAACAGGCAAGCCATATGAAGTAAGTACTAGAAAATTCATATTCCTGTAACTCCTTAAATTTCATTGGTGGTAAAGGAGTCTTGAGTATAATAGTTTTTTCTTATTTATTTATTTATTTAAACTTTTATTTTAGGTTCGGGGGTACATGTGCAGGTTTGTTATATAGATAAACCCATGTCACAGGGGTTTGTTGTACAGATTATTTAGCCACCTGGGTACTAAACCTAGTACCCAATAGTTACTTTTCCTGCTCCTCTCCCTTCTCCCACCCTCCACCCTCAAGTGGGCCCCAGTGTCTGTTGTTTCCTTCTTTGTGTTCATTAGTTCTCATCATTTAGCTTCTGCTTATAAGTGAGAACATGCAGTATTTGGCTTTCTGTTCCTGCATTAGTTTGCTAAGGATAATAGCCTCCAGCTCCATCCATGTACCTGCAAAAGACATGATCTTGTTCTTTTTTATGGCTGCATAGTATTCCATGGTGTATACGTACATTTTCTTTATCCAATCTGTCATTGATGGGCATTTAGTTTGATTCCATGTCTTTGCTATTGTGCGCAGTGCTGCAATGAACATTCGTGTGCATGTGTCTTTAGGGTAGAATTCCTCTGGGTATATACCCAATAATGGGATTGCTGGGTCGAATGGTAGTTCTGCTTTTAGCTCTATGAGGAATCACCATACTGCTTTCCACAATGGTTGAACTAATTTACACTCCACCAACAGTGCAGAAGTGTTCCCTTTTCTCTGCAATCTCATCAGCATCTGTTATTTTTTTTTGTTATCAGTTATTTAATTAGATTCTTCTTAAGAAATTTAGAACACCAGGCCGGGCGCAGTGGCTCACGCCTGTAATCCCAGCACTTTGGGAGACCCAGGCGGGTGGATCACGAGGTCAGGAGATCGAGACTATCTTGACTAACACGGTGAAACCCCGTCTCTACTAAAAAATACAAAAAATTAGCCGGGCGTGGTGGTGGGCGCCTGTAGTCCCAGCTACTCGGAAGACTGAGGCAGGAGAATGGCGTGAACCTGAGGGGCGGAGCTTGCAGTGAGCCGAGATCAGGCCACTGCACCCCAGCCTGGGTGACAGAGCAAGACTCCGTCTCAAAAAAAAAAAAAAGGAAATTTAGAACACCAATTTGTAAGGATAAATTCCATTTGTCGGGGCAAACACAGATCAGAGGTAGCCCTGGAGCTGAGGAATAGCTTTGATTTTGGTTAAAATCTGTGAGTCCACAGCTTTTTGATCAATCTTGTGCTGCTCTGTAATCTCGTATTTCTCTTTCTATATGGAACATGTCACGTTCCTGGTGTCTGGGCTTCTGCAGCGTCTTTTTTTTTTTTTTTTTTTTTGAGACTGAGTTTCCCTCTTGTCACCCAGGCTGAAGCGCAGTGGCACGCTCTGGGCTCACTGCAACCTCTGCCTCCTGAGTTCAAGAGATTCTCCTGCCTCAGCCTCCCAAGTAGCTGGGATTACAGGCCCATGCCACCACACCCGGCTAATTTTTGTATTTTTAGTAGAGACAGGATTTCACCATGTTGGCCGTGCTGGTCTTGAACTCCTGACCTCAAGTGATTTGCCTGCTTTGGCCTCCCAAAGTGCTGGGATTACAGACATGAGTCACCATGCCCTGCCTGCAGCTTCTTCTTGAAGTAAGTATCAGTAAGATGTTTTGGGATTTTTACATTGCTGATATCAATTTTGGCTGAGGTGGCAATGACAGATTTCTGGTGTGTTCTTTGTAGAGGAACTTGATTGAGGACCAGAGGTCCAGTCACAAGTAACCAGCCACTAGCCAGCTGCTTCAGGAAAATCACCCTCTTGCCCCTGTGGCTTTCAGTGAGGATGATCAGAATGGTCTTGGGAGTGATCCTGGCTCACAGTTTTCTCATGTGCTGACTGAAGGGTTTTTTTCCTTGGCTCAACAGCTTTGAAAGCACATCTTCAGTAAGATAATATGTAGGCATTTTGCAAAGTTTAACCACCTGCGTACCACCGTTCTTGCCACCACCAGCTGGTTTTGTAATAGTTGCAGGAAACTTCTCCTTTTGCTTTTCAACCTTGGATTTCACAGCTGAGTACTTCCTCTTGCACGTGGCCTTTCTGGAATACATAGCAGATGGAGAATATCTGCCAATCCCTCTGACAATGACAGGATTTTGACTGCAATGGGGCTTCCTGTTCTTGGGCTTCTTAGCCTTGAGGTTACCCTTTTTCACCTTGCCACCAGCATCAGCCTTCTTGACTTCAGGTTTCTTCTCTTTAGTATCTGGCTTCTCAACTTGTTCACCCTCCATCTTGTAAGATGGAAAAGAGCTGACTTTTTAATAATGGCCATTCTGACTGGTGTGAGATGGTATCTCATTGTGGTTTTGATTTGCATTTCTCTAATGATCGGTGATATTGAGCTTTTTTTCATATGTCCGTTGGCTGCATATATGCCTTCTTTTGGAAAGTGTCTGTTCAGCCGTGCGTGGTGGCTCATGCCTGTAATCCAAGCACTTTGGGAGGCTGAGGTGGGTGAATCACTTGAGGTCGGGAGTTCGAGACCAGCCTGACCAACATGGAGAAACCTCGTCTCTACTAAAAATGCAAAATTAGCCAGGCATGGTGGCACATGCCTGTAATCTCGGCTACTTGGGAGGCTGAGACAGGAGAATCGATTGAACCCAAGAGGCAGAAGTTGCGGTGAGCCGAGAGTGTGCCACTGCACTACAGCCTGGGTGACAAGAGGGAAACTCAGTCTCAAAAAAAAAAAAGAAAAAAAAAGGGAAAGAAAAGTGTTCATGTCCTTTGCCCACTTTTTAATGGGGTAGTTGTTTTTCTCTTGTAAATTCGTTTAAGTTCCTTATAGATGCTGGATATTAGACCTTTGTCAGATGCATAGTTTGAAAATATTTTCTCCCATTCTGTAGATTGTCTGTTTACTCTGTTGATAGTTTATTTTGCTGTGCAAAAACTCTTAAGTTTAATTAGATCCCATTTGTCAATTTTTTGCGATTGCTTTTAGCATCTTTGTCATGAAATCTTCACCTGTTCCTAAGTCCAGGATAGTATTGCCTAGGTTGTCTTCCAGGGTTTTTATAGTTTTGGGTTTTATATTTAAGTATTTATTCCATCTTGAGTTGATTTTTGTATATGGTGTAAAGAAGGAGTCCAGTTTCAATCTTCTGCATATGGTTAGCCAGTTATCCCAGCACCATGTATTGACTAGGGAGTCTTTTCTCTATTGCTTGTTTTTGTCAGCTTTGTTGAAGTTCAGATGGTCATAGGTGTGTGGCCTTATTTTTGGACTCTGCATTCTGTTTCATTGGTCTATGTGCCTGTTTTTTTTTTTGTTTTTTGTTTTCGTTTGTTTGTTTGTTTGTTTTACCAGTACCATGCTGTTTTGGCCACTGTAGTATAGTTTGAAGTCAGGTAATGTGATGCCTCCAGGTTTGTTCTTTTTGGCTTTGCTATTTGGGCTCTTTTTTAGTTCCATATGAATTTTAAAATAGTTTTTCCTAATTCTGTGAAGAATGTTATTGGTAGTTTGATAGGAATAACATTTTATCTGTAAATTGCTTTGGGCAATATGACCATTTTAATGACATTGGTTCTTCCTATCCATGAGCATGGGATGTTTTTCCATTTGTTTGTGGCTTCTCTGATTTCTTTGCACAGTATTTTGTAATTCTCATTGTAGAGATCTTTCACCTCCCTGGTTAGCTGTATTGCTAGGTATTTTATTTTTTTAGTGACAATTGTGAATGAGAGTGCCTTTCTGATTTGGCTCTCAGCTTGACTGTTGTTGGTGTATAGGAGTGCTAGTGTTTTTTGTACATTTATTTTACATCCTGCGACTTTGCTGAAGTTATCAGCTGAAGGAGCTTTTGAGCCAAGACTATGGGGTTTTCTAAATATGGAATCATGTCGTCTGCAAACAGAAATAGTTTGACTTCCTCTCTTGCTATTCAGATGCCGTTTATTGCTTTCTCTTGCCTTATTGCTCTGGCCAGGACTTCCAATACTATGTTGAATAGGAGTGGTGAGAGAGGGCATCCTTGTCCTGTGCCAGTTTTCAAGGGGAATGCTTCCAGCTTTTGCCCATTCAGTATGATATTGGCTGTGGGTTTGTCATAGATGACTCATTATTTTGAGGTATGTTCCTTTAATGCATAGTTTATTGAGAGTTTTTAACATGAAGAGAGCATAATATTTTTATATTGAAATAATCTTTTAGAAATGGCTCATTCCTGATCTGTCAAGCATTTAATCAAGATCACTGTTTTTCTTAACTAGAAAGACTGTTTAATATTGTAAAAGTAAATCATAAACTTTTTTATTTACATATCTTTCCATTTGAAGCAAATAAAATGTCTTTAATGTAGGACACTATTATTTAAGATTATTCTCTTAATAATAGTAGTAAATAATAACAACCACCTTTCATTAAGCTTTTACTATGTGCTGAGACCTTTACAGATATCTGAATTAACCTTTGCAACTTTCCTTTAAGGTGGATATTATTTTTATATTCCAGATAAACTGAGGTTCAGAGAAGTTGAATAACTTCCTTAAAGTGGAAGCAGATGGAAAGAAACCTACTTTTTAGTGGGCATTTCACTATATATTTTTGTACACATCCTTTTTATGTGTCTTGTTTTAGAAACTAGACATAATAATAATAATAAATAACATGTCATTTATTAACAATGACATGTTAAATAAAGTACAGAGTTTTACATGGACAGGACAAAAAAAGAGAGCAATAAACTTATCTAGGTGACTCATGTCAATAATTTCATTGAATAATATGGAATAAATTTTGAGAAAAATATCATGGAATTTCCAAATTTCCAGGTAAATTACAGAGATGTAGACATGAATTTCTTGTGCTCTTGTAACAAATGACATGACATTTGTTGGTGGTTTTTTTTTTTTTTTTTTTTGAGGCGAAGTCTAGCTCTCGTTGCCCAGGTTGGAGTGCAATGGCGCAATCTCGGTTCACTGCAACCTCTGCTTCCTGGGTTCAAGCGATTCTCCTGCCTCAGCCACCCGAGTAGCTGGGATTACAGGCTCCTGCCACCACGCCTGGCTAATTTTTGTATTTTTAGTAGAGACAGGGTTTCACCATGTTAGCCAGACTGGTCTTGAATTCCTAACTTCAGGTGATCCACCTGCCTTGGCCTCCCAAAGTGCTGGAATTACAGGCGTGAGCCACCGCACCCAGCCGTTTTTTTCTTTCTTTTCTTTTTTTTTTTTAAGGACTATCTGCCAGCAGTGATTAAAGACAGGATCAATTTCATAGAACTGTTTATTAAGAATTTACTTGAAAGCATGTTTTTACATAGTTTTAAATTTGGGTTTGGATTTTTTCAGCACTCAGACAGAGGGCGCCCTTGAATCACCAAGAACAGGCTCTGTAACACTGGGAGCTGGCATACTGAGTAATTGTTATGTGAATGAGGGAAAATGCATTGTTTTGGCTAAAATAGATTGCAAAATGCTTGTTTAGTGTTGGATTTAGCCTGTTTATGGCTTTAAATTTATTGAGTCACTGCATGAGTTTGCTGTTACATTATTTTTTCATTTCTTAAAGACTAGATAAAAGTAATTGCTGTAAGATTCAAATCAACAGGTGTTCTGGACTTGGAAGATTTGTTGAATTACTATGAAGTCACATCTAAAGTTTGAAAGGTGAGAATCTGATTATGATTTCCATTCATGTCTGACTGCAATTGACAGTAGTGTATCTGTCACTATGAATATATATATGTGTTAGGCCATGTGCTAAGTACTTTCTGTGCATTTTTCTCACAACTCAAAGACATAAGTAGTAGTGCTATCTTCTTTTTATTGTTTAAATTTTATTCATTTATTTCTTTTATTTATTTTTACTTGATTTCCTGGGATATGAGAGATAAATATTTATTTTTAATTGGCAAAAATTGTAATATTTATCATGTAAAGCATGCTTTTTTTTTTGAGACAGGGTCTCCCTGGATTGCCCAGGCTAGAGTACAGTGGCGCAATCATGGCTCACTGCAGCCTTGACCTCCCTGGTTCAAGTGACCCTCCAGCCTCTACTGGCACGTAACACCATGCCTGGAGAATTTTTTTAAAAGTTTTGTACAGATGGGGGTCTCACTGTTCTGCCTAGGCTGGTCTTGAATTCCTGGGCTCATGCTACCTTCCTGCCTCAGCCTCCCAAAGTGTTGGGATGACAGGAATGAGCCATTACACCTGGCCTCATGTACAACATATTTTGAAACAATAACCTTTCTTTTTTAAAAATGAGAAAATAGGGCTGGGCACGGTGGTTCATTTGTGTCATTCCAGCACTTTGGGAAGCCAAGGCGGAGCCCAGTAGTTCAAGACCAGCCTGAGCACATGGTAAAACCCATCTCTATAAAAAATACAGAAATTAATTGCGTGGTGGTTTGCACCTGTGGTCCTAGCTACTCGGGAGGCTGAGGCAGGGGGATTGCTTGAGCCCAGGAGGTCGAGCCTGTAATCAGCCTGTCTCAAAAAAAAAAAAAAAAAAAGAAAGAGAGAGAGAGAGAAGGAAAATAAAAGCTTAGAGACATTAAGATAATGTCCCCTAATAAGTGACAAAACTGAGATTTGAACTTGGGGATGTGAACACCGGAATCCATGCCTATGCCCAGAAAATTATACTGTAAATGACAATTTCCTCTGTTCATGGCACAAAATATACAAGTCATAGTGAATTGGGGTTTTTTCTGCTTCAATTTTCAGTTATTATTAAAAGTATATAGCAACATCCTGACTAACCACGATTTAATTTAGGAATAATATTGGGAAGTTAGACTTTTTTATTTCCTGGTGATATAGTAGTTTCAACTCAGATATAGAGAATAATTTAATTCCTGGTCAAGAGAACACTCAAATTTAGAGAGCAGCATGACAGAATGAAAAGAACATTGAATTGAGAACCAGGTAATCTGATTTATAGTGTATTTTACTACTACTGTCTGGAAAAGCTTCAGAACTGATTTAAGTTTACTAGACCTCTAAGTAGACGGGGCATGGTGGCTCACACCTGTAATCCCAGCACTTTGGGAGGCTGAGGCAGACGGATCACTTGAGGTCAGGAGTTCGAGACCAGCCTGGCCAACATGGTGAAACCTCATCTCTACTGAAAAAAAAATACAAAAATTAGCCGAGTGTGGTGGCGGGCGCCTGTAATCCTAGCCACTCAGGAGGCGGAGGCAGGAGAATTGCTTGAACCAGTGAGGCAGAGGTTGCCGTGAGCTGAGATCATGCCACTGAACTCCAGCCTGGGTGACAGGGTGAGACTCCGTCTCAAATTTTTTTTTTAATGAAACAAAATAAGAAAATAGACTAGGAAACTTGAGTTATTAATCTATGAGTTTTATGTTTTGTACATGGAAATCATTTTCTTTGTTTATATCCACATACTGTGTATGTCTTGTTTAATTTCTGGAAGTAGTGTATTAATACAATTTTTTTTTTTAAGAGTCAAGGTCTTACTCTCTTCCCCAGGCTGGTGTGCAGTGGTACAATCATAGTTCACTGCAGCCTTGAACTCTTGGGCTCAAGCAATCCTTTCACTGTGCTAATTTTATTTATTTATTTTGTGTAGAGATCGGGTCTCACTATTTTGCCCACGCTGGTCTTGAACTCCTGTCCTCAAGCAGGATATCCTCCTGCCTTGGCCTCCCAAAGTTCTGGGATTACAGGTATGAGCCACTACACTCAGCCTTATTAATATAAATCTAATAATATTATGTCTCTGTGTTAGCAATGGTATGAAACCCCCCAAATGGTGTTAGATCCAGAGTCATTTGTCTCTGACATTTCTTAGGAAATGTTTTTCCTTTCTATCGATGAATGGGTTCCTACGGATAGCTTGTTCATTCTCTCTTTAATTTTGGTTAAAGCATTTCCGAAAGTGGGAGGATACGTCTCCTTTCTTTAACTTCTGGTGGAAGGGTGTGGAATTTATCAAAAATATGAGGGAAGACTGCATAAATGTAGGGGCAGAGTATTTATATTAACATTACCTTGTTTTCTTCTGTGGGATATTTAGGAACTATTTTTTTTTCTGGAAGTAGTGATGGCATCAAGGCTTAAAGTAGGAAAGAAGTAAAGAGAATAATTGTGTAGTTATTATGTGAATGTTTAATTGAATGCTCCCTATTTTTAATTAAGATGTTTAAATTAAATGAATTTTTTTTTTTAAACGTAGTCTCGCTCTGTCGCCAGGCTGGAGTGCACGCTGGAGCGCGATCTTGTCTTACTACAACCTCTGCCTCCCAGATTCAAGCGATTTTCCTGCCTCAGCCTCCCGAGTAGCTGGGACTACAGGGACGCACCACCATGCCCAGCTAATTTTTGTATTTTTAGTAGAGATGTGGTTTCACCATGTTGGCCAGGATGGTCTTGATCTCTTGACCTCGTGATCCACCCGCCTCGGCTTCCCAAAGTGCTGGGATTATAGGCATAAGCCACCACGCCTGGCCTGAAATTATTTTTCTATACAGTTCTTAGAGGAAGTGTTTGGGTCACCTACATAGGCATGTAGTTCTTGACACTGGTTACTAGAGGATTTATAGAGGATGTTCATATATTCAACAAGCATTTGTTGAATACCTATTAGGTGCTAGCCATGGAAATATGGGATTGAAAAAAACAGACAAAAATCCCTAATCTCTCTTACAATCTAGTGAGGACAATCAGACAGTACACAAAATAAGCATAATATATAGTAATCATGTGGTAGTAAGTTCTATAGAGCAAAAACAAGTTTAAAGAAGGAGGTTGGGGGGAGTGTTGAGATGCATAAGGTTTGCAGTTATAAATGTGGTGGTTAGGGAATCATTTGCTGAAAAATGAACATTGAGCAAAAACCTGAAGGATGTTAAAGGAATAAGATACATGTAATCCAGATGAAAGTTTTTTGGATAAAGGAAAGAGCAATTGCTAAATCCCTGAGGTGGGAGTGGGCTGTTCATAAGACAGCAAAGCAGCCAGGGTAGCTGAGTGATTGACAGCGGAAGATGGAAAATGGGGAATAGTTGGTGTAGGACCTAGTTGTGAGGATATTGACTTTGTTTTTTTTCCAAGACAGAGCTGTGCTCTGTCGCCCAGGCTAGAGTGCAGTGGCATGATCTTGGCTCACTGCAATCTCCGCCTCCCGGGTTCAAGCAATGCTCCTGCCTTAGCCTCCCCAGTAGCTGGGATTACAGGCACCTGCCACCATGTCCAATTAATTTTTGTATTTTTAGTAGAGATGGGGTTTCGCCATGTTAGCCAGGCTGGTCTTGGACTCCTGACCTCAAGTGATCTGCCCGCCTCAGCCTCCCAAAGTGCTGGGATTACAGGCGTGAGCCACCATGCCCACCCTAGGATATTTACTTTTATTTTGAATAAGGATGCCACTGGAG
This sequence comes from Homo sapiens, assembly GCF_000001405.40. Classification (NCBI taxonomy): domain Eukaryota; kingdom Metazoa; phylum Chordata; class Mammalia; order Primates; family Hominidae; genus Homo; species Homo sapiens. The sequence continues at coordinate 150,046,747 of NC_000001.11, read as the reverse complement.
GCCAGACGTGGTGGCTAACGCCTATAATCCCAGCACTTTGGGAGGACGAGGCGGGTGGATCACGAGGTTAGGAGATTGAGACCATCCTGGCCAACATGGTGGAACCCCGTCTCTACTAAAAAAAAAAAAAAAATTAGCCAGGTGTGGTTGCATGCGCCTGTAGTCCCAGCAACTCAGGAGGCTGAGGAAGGAGAATCACTTGAACCCGGGAGGTGGAGGTTGCAGTGAGCCGAGATCGCCCCACTGTACTCCAGCCTGGGTGACAGAGCAAGACTCTGTCTCAAAAAAAAAAAAAAAAAAAAATGCCACTGGAGAGCTTTGAGGAGAGGATCAGTCTGGCTACTGGGTTGGGAATTAATCATAGCAGGCAAAGGCAAAAGAAGTGAGGTTAGTTAGGAGGCTTTACAACAACCCAGATGAGAGATGGGAGGTTTTAGCCAGGGAGATGGAGATGTTGAGAGAGTAGCTGGACTCAGGATTGTGACAGTGGACTGAAGGAAAAGCAGGTTTTGGGGGAAGATTGCATTTCTCCCTTCAACTTCAGTTACGTAGATCACCCATATGCCACACAACTGCAACTCTGTAACAGCCAATTTTTAGCTTCTTCCTTATCTAAGCCATCCTGTAGGCCATAGGAATTAAAACTAGGTTGGATCAAGGAAAAGTGAATGCTAGATCCATACAAAACTATTTGGATATTTGCCTTTGTATTTTATTGTTTTGAAATTATTTTTAATGGTTCAATAAACTCTTACTAGAACTACAAGCAATATAATTATTTCCTCTGCTTTATTAGAAATGTTTTTGTAATCATGTTAATTATATTACTTTTAACTATATAAGGCTTGTGTCTCTTTTTTATAAATTGATGTTTATATCCTCTGTAAGATAAATATAAAGGCTTTTTGTTCATATGAGGATGTGCTGTAAGATTGCAGGGAGTATAAAAATTGGCAATGGAGTAGGTGACTTGTATTATTAGTCTGATCTTAATGTTGTAACATACTGATCATGCAAAATATATAATTAGTTTGTTTTTGCTATTTAATATGTGTAGGACTGTAACAAACAGACTAGAGAAGATGGCCATAAGTTACAAGAAAGCAAGTAAATTACTATCTAATTAAAAGTATTTGATTCTAATACTAGCAGAGTTCTGTCTAGAAAATAAATTAACTTTCTGTATGCTTTTTTTGGTCTCAATTTTCCAATAATTTCCCTCAACTCTGATATGTGTCTGTTGAATAATATTTCTGATGTTAAGAATTAAAGGGGGTGTAGATCAGTGGTAGGGCGCACGCTTAGCATGCATGAGGCCCTGGGTCAATCCCCAGCACCTCCACAAAGGTTTTCTGGCTGGACACGGTGGCTCACACCTGTAATCTCAGCATTTTGGGAAGCTGAGTTGGACAGATCACTAGAGGTCAGGAGTTCGAGACCAGCGTGGCCAACATGGTGAAACCCTATTTCTACTAAAAATACAAAAAAATTAGCCGGTCACGGTGGCACACACCTGTAATCTCAGCTACTTGGGAGGCTGAGGCATGACAATCGCTTGAACCTGGAAGGCGGGGGTTGTAGTGAGGTGAGATCATGCCACTGCACTCTAGCCTGGGTGACAGAGCAAGATTCCATCTCAAAAAAAAAAAAAAATTTAGTTTAAGAACAAATAATATTGTTTATTTTCATATGGGATTTGAAATCTGAATCTAATAATTATTGGTATTATTACTAATTCCCTTGCACCACTGAACAATTTTCTGTTTAGGGACGTTGGCTATAACAAGTATATAGACATAGTGATATATAAGTTTTCTGTTTTAAAACTGAGTTTCTTTTTTTCCCCTGCCAATTTAAAGGCACACAATCAGAGAGCTATTTTCACAGGTAACTAATACATCTTGTTTCTGCTTCATATTTTAAACTCTTATTTTTCACCCTTATGAAGTTGGAAGGAGTAGATGTGTTTATTTTATAGACAGACTATAATGTTGGGTTGTTGTAAGTGATTTTCTTTGCTACATATCCTTGAACTTTATTTTTATTTATTATTATTATTATCATTATTATTATTTTTTGAGACAGAATCTTGCTCTGTTGCCCAGGCTAGAGTGCAGTGGTGTGATCTCGGCTCACTGCACCCTCTGCCTCCTGGGTTCAAGCGATTCTCCTACCTCAGCCTCCCAAGTAGCTGGGACTACAGGTGTGCACCACCACCCCAGGTGGTGGGCTCATGCCTGTAATATAACAGGTGGCTCATGCCTGTAATCCCAACACTTTGGGAGGTTGAGGCGGGTGGGTCACTTGAAGTCAGGAGTTCGAGACCAGCCTGGCCAACATGGTGAAATCCCATCTCTACTAAAAATACAAAAATTAGCCAGGCATTGTGGAGTGCACCTATAATCCCAGCTACTTGGGAGGCTGAGGCAGGAGGACCACTTGAGCCTGGGAGGCGAAGGTTGCAGTGAGCCAAGATCATGCCACTGCACTCCAGCCTGGGCTATGGAGCAAGACTCCATCTCAAAAAATAAAAAATAAAATAAACCTTTAAAAACTCTTAAATTTGAAAAAAATATAATTGGGTGAGATTTTATTTACTCAGACCAGTTTTTATTTTATTTTATTTTATTATTTTTTTGAGATAGGGTCTTGCCCAGGCTGGAGTGTAGTGACCCTATCATGGCTTACTGCAGCTTTGACCTCCTGGGTTCAAGAGGTCCTCCTACCTCAGCTTCCTGAGTAGCTGGGACTACAGGCACGTGCCATCATGCCTGAATAATTTTTTAAAATTTGTAGGGGAGGAGTCTCTCTATGTTGCCTAGGCTGGTCTTGAACTCCTGGGCTCAAGTAATCTTGTAATCCTTTAGCCTCAACCTCTCAAAGTGCTGGGATTACAGGCGTGAACCATAGTGCCTAGCCTCAGGCTTGTTTTTATATACATTGTGTGAAATCACTAAATGTGTCTACATCCTTGACTATGAGGAAATGGGCTTCTAGTATCACCTGAAAAATGTTATAATAATTATAACCCATATTGAACTCATATTCCTAAAATTAGAGAATCTTAAGAATCCTGAGTTGCAAGGGAATGTAGTGATCAACTAGTTTGATGTAAAAGTCCCTCTTCAACATCTCTGGCATAAAGTCATTCATCATCTGCTTGACTATGTCCAAATAGGGGTGAACTCACGAATTCACAATAAGTCTATTCCATTTTTGAAGAGCTCAAATTGTTGGCAATCTTTTCCTTACATTAAAGCGGAAATCTATCTCCTTCTAATTTCTACCCTTTGAACTTACCCTCCAAAAACTGTATGGAATAAATCTAAAGTATTTTTCACATAAGTGGCATCTCTCATGTTCTGCCAACCAATTCTTTTTTATGTTTGTTTTTAGTACTAAATATCCTACGTTCCTTTAAAATTCTTTATATGACACGGGTCCTAACACCTTTTTACCTAGTTGATCTGCTCTGTACTTAACTGAAGCTTATCAGGGTATCACTTAGAGAAATAGTTGTCAAACTTCAGCGTGCTAGAATAAACTCATCTTGAGGGTGCTTGTTAAAAATGGAGATTCCTGAGCCCTCCCCCTAGAGATTCTGACTTAATAGATCTGAGATGGGGCTCAGTATATATACTTATAATAGTACCACTGGCGATGCTGGTGCAAAGGTCTCTGGACTTTGCTTTGAGAATCATTGTTGGAAATGTATCTCTGAATACATTTCTGAATGTATTTTATATGAAGAATTTAGTTTAAAAACAAATAATGTTATCTATTTTAATATGAGATTTGAAATGTGGATCTAGAAATTATAGATATTCTTACTAATTCCTTTGCACCATTGGACAATTTTCTGTTTAGGGACATTGGCTATAACTACTATATAGACATAGTGATATATAATTTTTCTGCTTTAAAACTGAGTTTCTTACATTTCTGAATGTATTCAGAGATACATTCTGAATTCCTTACCTTAGGGCCTTAGTGGTGGGAAAGATCTCTAAATTCCTTACCTTAGGGCCTCAGCTAAGTGGGAAAGACAAATGTGTAAAATGACTCTTACAAGAAGGAGCAGGGTGAAATGAGGGCATGCTGCTCATTAGCCCAGTGGATGGGGCCAGTCTTGGGAGTCTCAGCCCTAAAGTGGAGGACTAGTTCTCTGGGTGGAAATGAGTGTAAAGGGAGGAGTGGGAGGAAAAAAATATGTATAGTGCCAACAGGTAACTAAAAAGGTAACTATCTGCTTGTAAGGTAAAAAGAACTCTTGGGGCGGGTTGCGGTGGCTCAAACCTGTAATCCCAGCACTTAGGGAGGCTGAGCGGGGGCGGATCACCTGAGGTCAGGAGCTCGAGACCAGCCTGGCCAACATGGTGAAACTCCATCTCTACTAAAAATACAAAAATTAGCTGGGTGTGGTGGTGGGCGCCTGTAATCTCAGCTACTTGGGAGATTGAGGCACGAGAATTGCTTGAACCTGGGAGATGGAGGTTGCAGTGAGTCGAGTCCGCGCCACTGCATTCCAGCCTGGGCGACAGAGTGAGATGAAGGAAGGAAGGGAGGAAGGGAGGGAGGAAGGAAGGAAGGAAGGGAGGAAGGAAGGGAGGGAGGGAGGGAGGGAGGGAGGGAGGGAGGGAGGGTCTGCACCTCTGCATTCCAGCCTGGGTGACAGAGTGAGACTCTGTCTCAAAAAAATAAATAAAGAAAGAAAGAATTCTTGGGTTAAAGGGTAAATCAAAATGGAAATTAAAGACAATACTGAAAACATTACAAAGCAAAACCTATAGTGTACAGAAAGTGGCATTCAAAAGAAGATGTATAGCTTTAGAAATGCACTCAAAGAACATAAAAGATTGAAAATCAATGAACCAAACATTAAACTCAATAAGCTAGGCAAAGAACATTACAAACAACTCTTTTAAAAGTTGGGGGATGGAATTAAAAGAGATAAAGCAGAAATTAATGAAATAAAAAACAAACAATAAAAGGCACACTCAATTAGTGTACTAAAAATCTGATTATTTGATAACCAATAAAACAGACCAATCTTTGGCAAGTCTGATTAAAAAAAGAAAGATGGAGAAGGAGAGAAAATATAAAAATAGCATCAGGGCCAGGTGCAGTGGCTCACGCCTGTTTTCCTAGCACTTTGGGAGGCCGAGGTGGGTGGATCACTTGAGGCCAGGAGTTTGAGACCAGCCTGGCCAACATTGTGAAACCCCATCTCTACTAAAAATACAAAAAATTAGCCGGGTGTGGTGGCATGAGCCTGTAATCCCAGCTACTCTGGAGGCTGAGGCATGAGAATCGCTTGAACGCGGGAGGCGGAGGATGCAGTGAGCTGAGATGGCACCACTGCACTCCAGCCTGAGCAACAGAGTGAGACTCTGTCTCGAAACAAACAAACAAAAACAACAACAACAAAGCATTGGAATGAAAAGGACATATAATCACAGAAATAGTGAAGATTTTAAAAGCATACTAATGTATTGCATATTACCTTATAGCAATAAATTTAAAATTCGGGTGAAATTTATCTAAGTATATAACAAACCAAAATTGACTCAAAAAGAGGTGGGGAATCTAAGATATTAAAAAAAATTATTGAAGAAGAAAAAGAGCACAATATAGTTAACATGACTGAACTGTACACTTAAAAATTATTAAGATGGTAAATTGTATGTATTTTTTTAACTACGATGAAACAAATTTTTTTAATTAAAAAAAGGAAAAGAGGCCAGGCGCTGTGGCAAACACCTGTAATCCCAGCACTTTGGGAGGCCGAGGAGGGCAGATCTCTTGAAGTCACAAATTTGAGACCAGCCTGGTCAACATGGCGAAACCCTGTCTCTACTAAAAATACAAAAATTAGCTGGGCATGGTGGCGGGAACCTGTAATCCCAGCTATTTGGGAGGCTGGGGCAGGAGAATGGCTTAAACCCAGGAGGCAGATGTTGCAGTGAGCAGTGACTGCACCATTGCACTCCAGCCTGGGCAACAGAGTGAGACTCCATCTCAAAAAAAAAAAAAAGGAAAGAAAAGGTCTCAAGTCTAGGTGATTTTATGGGCAAGTTATAGATAATCTCTAAAGAAGAGACAAATTCATTTGTTACTTTCACATTTCCATAGCATAGAAAATAATGAGACATTTGCAATATATTTCTGTAAGGTAAATCTTAATAAGGGAAGCAAACAAGTATGGCACAGAAAGAAATACTTGTATCAATCTCATTTATAAATGTAAATATAAAAATATTAAATCAAAAATTAGCAATTTTAATTCAACAACAGGTTAAACAAAAAATAGATCATGGATATCTACTAGAATATAAGCTCCATGAGGGTAGGAATCATTGTGAGTTCCTTTAATACAAGCTAAGTGGCCAGAAAGCTGCCTGGCATATATTAAGTACATGAATATTTGTTGAATTGAATGAACTGAATTAACCAAGTAGGTTTGATCCAACTGTGGTTGACCTTAAGGAATATGTTCAGTATACTGAAAGAAAAATAATAAAAGAGATCATCTTTCTAAGATACTGAAAACCCTATTGATAAAATTTAACTCCCATTCCTGATAAAAGCTATTGTAAGCTAGGAAAAGGAAATTTCCTTAATTTGATGTAGGCTATCTATTTAAAAACTTAAACATCACAGTTTATTATGAAACGTTAGAAGGCTTTTCATGAATAACACAAAAAATGCCTGCTATAACTGCTGCTATTCAACAGTGTTCTAGAGGTCTTAGCCAATGGAAAAGAAACATAGAAATGAGTTAAATACTGGAAAGGAAGCAACAAAAATCATTATATACACAGGCAATAGAGGTAATCTAAGACAACCAATGAAGCACTAATTTGAATTAATGAGAGTGCAATAAAATGGCTCCGTATAAGGAAAACAAAATCAGTATCTGCTCTTATGCCACAATAACTAATGAAAAAATGTAGAGGAAAAAAATTACATTTATAAGAATAACAAAAGCCTAAACTGGACAAGAAATGTGTAACACTTATATGAGAAAGAAAGTATAAATATTTTCTGAAAGACACTTTAAAACATTTTGAATAGGCCAGGCGCAGTGGCTCATGCCTGTAATCCCAGCACTTCGGGAGGCCGAGGCAGGCGATCACGAGGTCAGGAGATTGAGCCTATCCTGGCTAACACGGTGAAACTCTGTCTCTATTAAAAATACAAAAAATTAACTGGGCATGGTGGTGGGCACCTGTAGTCCCAGCTACTGGGAGGCCGAGGCAGGAGAATGGCTTGAACCCGGGAGACGGAGCTTGCAGTGAGCCTAGATCGCGCCACTGCACTCCAGCCTGGGTGACAGAGCGAGAATCCGTCTCAAAAAAAATTTTTTTTTTAATAAATGAAGAGATAATATAATTTATGATAATATTCAGTCTTATGATTATGGTAATCTCTCAATTAATCATTAAATTCAATGTAATCTCAATCAAAACCTTGATAGGAATTTGACATATGAAGAGAGAATTGAGGATAGGAACTTGACATATGAAGAGAGAATATAGACAAGAACAGACAATTGTAAAAGTTTTTTCTTTTCTGTTTTTAAAGAGCAATGAATAGCATATAGGGCTGGAAGAACTTGCTCTATTAGATATTAGAAAGACAAGAGTAATTAAGATAGTTTAGTAATGGCAAAGGAAAGCTAAATAGATTGGAATAGAGTAGAATGTATCAAAATAGATCCATATATATGGAAATTTACTTAATAATAAAGATTACATTTCAAATCAGTGGGGAAGAAATGGACAGTATAAGAGGTGTTCAGACCATTAGTTATTTATTTGGACACTAAATAAAGGTAGATTCCCTCCCTGAAACCCTACACAGAAAGAATTATAGATGAGTTAATTACTAAAATGTACAGACAAAAATTATAAAAGTACTACAGAAAATAAAAATAATTTTTATTCTTGAAACTGAGATTAGCTTTTCTAAGCAAAACATAAAACTCAAAAATCATGAAGTGCCATAATTTTAGACTTTATAATTTAAGAATGCATAATAAAAATTAAGAATAACAACTTAGGCTGGGCGAGGTGGCTCATGCCTGTAATCCCAGCACTTTGGGAGGCTGAGGTGGGTGAATCATTTGAGCTCAGGAGTTCAAGACCAGCCTGGGCAACATGACGAAATCCCGTCTCTACTAAAAATACAAAAATTAGCCAGGTGTGGCGGTGTGTGCCTGTGGTTCCAGCTACTCAGGAGGCTGAGGTGGGAGAATTACTTGAACCCAGGAGGTGGAGATTGCAGTGAGCTGAGATCATGCCACAGCACTCCAGCCTGGGCAACACAGTGAGACCCTGCCTCAAAAAAGTAAAAATAAATAAATAAATAAACAATTTAAAGAATGAAAATAAAATGTAAAACTTGGATACTAAATAGAGGAAAGAAAGAATAAAGAAAACATAGTCAATCCAATAGAAAGCAGGAAGTGAAGAGAAAAGGGTATGGAAAAGAAATCTAAAAAGCAAAAAAATAAAGTGGGGGAAAATAACTCATTTAAATGTGTCAGTAATCACAATAATTAGGATAAATGGATTACAGCACCAGTTTAGCTGGGCCCAGTGGTTCACGCCTGTAATCCTAGCACTTTGGGAGGCTGAGGCGGGTGGACTGCTTGAGCACAGGAGTTTGAGACCAGCCTGGGCAACACAGCAAGACCCTGTCACTACAACAAAAATACAAAAATTAGGGTGTGAAGGCATGCCTGTAGTCCCAACTACTTGGGAGGCTGAGGTGCCCTGAGCCTGGGGAGGTGGAGGCTGCAGTGAGCTATGATTGCACCACTGCACTCCAGCCTGGGCAACAGAATGGGACTCCATCTGAAAAAAACAAACAAAGCTACCAGTTTATAAATATATTCGTTTGTTAGATTTAAAAAGAGATATAAAATAAATATTTTATTTAAAAGATATCAGAATGATTGAAACCCCGTCTCAGCTGAAAATACAAAAATTAGTTGGGCATGGTGGCATGCACCTGTAATCCCAACTACGCGGGAGGCTGAGGCATGAGAATCGCTTGAATCCGGGAGGTGGAGGTTGCAGTGAGCTGAGATCGCGGCACTGCACTCCATCCTGGGAGACAGAGTAAGACTCAATCTAGAAAATAAAAAAAGAAAAGTAGATACAAACTTCATCTGTAGTGAGAGAACAATACTGTCCAGATTATACCAGTCTTGAATTTTTCATAATTAGCAATTTTTAATAAAAAAGGAAAATATATGAAGAGGCTTGAAATTTATATAAGGTATCATCTGCCAAAATAGATACTTATTAGCCAACTTTCAAAATGTCGTGTATCTTTTCTCCCATTCTCTTTGTTCTTGGAGCTGTATGCCTTTACTGCCATTTTAGTGGGGTTTATACAAGGCAAATGCTTGTATTTGATTCACTATCTATAAATAGTCCTTTTCTTCAGATTAAGGAATGGGCAATAAGCTTTTACTTAAAAAAAAAAAAAGAGGGTATTTTGTGCGGCTTCTTGAACATTTTGTGATCTCTCCTATCAAGGACAGCCAGCATGCTTTCTTAGGAATTGATCTTCAGCATCACTTCCATTAGATAGAATGCTGAGTTGACCGGACTGTATCTGATCTAATTTTTGCTAGCTCTTATTTTCTCGTATATGCTTGAAAATTGCCCTAAATAAAGGACATGCCATATTTAAAAATTAACAGTTGTAGTTTTTGTCTATAGGATGAATAGGAGCAGTAAAAGAGCAGTTTACCATTATTTTAAAAGGGTTAGACAGCTGAGTGTTTATACATTGCTTCCATTTAGATCTTACTAGATGAATAATTCAATTCTAAGAATGAGTTAATGACATACATGAGCTCACATTATTCAATTTTGTGTGTGTGTATGTGTTGTTGTTATTAAGCTGTTGTGGAACAAAGATTTTTTTATTAAGTAAGAAAAACTAATGATTTTAATCAATATGGAAATGGTCTTAAAGTGTATCTTAATTTTCTTAATTTCATGATGTTTATTTCTAGATCCGCTCCTTTGTGGATCATTCTATTAAAACAAATTTTTCATATTCACTGTAGCTTTATTTATGATCATAAAAATTTCAGCAACGGAAAAATGGTTGATTACATAATAATGATAGCTTCACTCCTTGGAATGCTGAACTTCAAAAAAGTTACAATGGGCCAAGTGTGGTGGCTCAGCCTGTAATCCCAGCACTTTGGGAAGCTGAGGTGGGTGATCACTTGAGGCCAGGAGTTTCAGACCAGCCTGGCCAACATGACAAAACCCCATCTCTACCAAAAATACAAAAATTAGTTGAGTGTGGTGGCACATGCCTGTAATCCCAGCTACTTGAGAGGCTGAGGCAGGAGGATCACTTGAGCAGGGAGGTGGACGTTGCAGTCAGCCGAGCTCGCGCCACTGCACTCCAGCCTGGGCAACAGAGCAAGGCTCTGTCTCAAAAAAAAAAAAAAAAGTTACAATGAACTGGGCACGGTGGCTCTTGCCAGTAATCCCAGCACTTTGGGATGCCCAGGTGGGAGGATTGCTTCAGCCCAGGAGTTCAAGACCAGCCTGGGCAACATGGCAATACCCCATCTCTACAAAAAAATACAAAAATTAACCAGGTGTGGTGGCACGTGCCTGTGGTCCCAGTTAATTGGAAGGCTGAGGGGGGAAGATCGCTTGAGCCCGGGAAGGGGAGGTTCAGTGAGCCGAGTTTGCACCATTGCACTCCAGCCTGGACGGCAGACAGAGAATGTCTCAAAAAAAAAAAAAAAACAGTTACAATGGTGAAGACCACATAGTAACATGATAAAGTCTCACCAAAAAGCAATGTATGCGTAAGTAGCAGGCAAAGATATTTTATGGGAGAGGCAGTTGTGATGTCATTAAAAGATACTGACTTTGAACCCAAAGCAACTAGGGTCCCAATCTTAACTTTATCCCCTCACCAGTTGTGTGGCTTGACTCTCTGGGCATCAGTGTCCTTATCTGTCCCATGAGGATATTGTTAGCTACTCTGCAGGTTTGGTGTGAAAATAAGGATTATCCCCCTACCTAGCACTGTTCTTGGCACACAATGCTAATATTAACTGAGTACCTACTATTATTGCAACTGTAAAAATGACGTAAGCCTAAGGAAGACAATAGAAACATATACATATGGTAACCCTTGCATTAGGGTTGTGGTTGGCATATTGTTTTTCTCTTTTCTAGAGACTGGAACCCAGGCAGCTGATGGTTCTGTGTTAGAGGACATTAGATGCTCTAAATAGCACTGTATTTTGTCAGTGAGGGCATCCATGCCACCCATACCTGAACCCTGTGTTCCCCTCTCTGTCTCTGAGGCTTAGGCCTCCCGGACTCAGGCTGCCTTTTTCTCCCCTGCTGTTATGACCACTCGTTTCTTGGGCTCAATTTCTCCCAAGCCTAGCTCTGGATTGGATTACTGTATTACCAATATATCACTAATCAGAAAATATTTAAGTATTGGGAAGCTGTCAAGTGTTGGTCTTATGAAAAAAGCTGTTAAAATCAGTTATGCAGTGTACTGTATTAGTACTCTAAATCATACTGACCTTTTTTTTTTTTGAGATGAAGTTTCGCTCTTGTTGCCCAAGCTGTAGTGCAATGGCGCGATCTCAGCTCACTACAACCTCTGCCTCCTGGGTTCAAGCGATTCTCCTGCCTCATCCTCCTGAGTAGCTGGGATTACAGGTGCACACCACCATGCCTGGCTAATTTTTTGTATTTTTAGTTGAAACGGGGTTTCATCATGTTAGCCAGGGTGGTCTCAAACTCCTGATTTCAGGTGATCTTCCTGCCTTAGCCTCTCAAAGTGCTGGGATTACAGGTGTGAGCCACCGTGCCTGGCTCATAATGACATTTTTAAAGGCCCATAAGTAAACATAAAATAATAAAGCCGCAATGTTCAAAATATGCTATTTTGAACAAGTCAAAGCCTATGCATATATTTATATTTTTGGACAAATCTAATGGCATAACAATACCAAAAAATACTAAAAACACAGGCATTTTAATTCTAGCATCAGAAAACAGATTTCTAGATTATTCTGACAGAGTCCTATTCTGCTAAATGCCAGAGGGTTGAGCTGCTTCACATGTTTGCAGAAATGATTTCTTTTTTTAAAGTAGCTCTGTCAGCTGGGAGCAGAAACAGAGAAAGAACAAGCTTGCTGAATGAGGATGGGTTGGAGTTGGCCAGAACTCCTGTCATAATTCTGTCACTGGCATTCTTGCTGCAGCTAGCAGAAACTATGTGTGTGTGATATCTATAGGGCTGTCATCTACATCTAACTTAAAGTGCTTATGTGAGTAATTTTTGAGTTCTAACTGCAGGTATGGTGCTGGTTATGACCCTAATAGGCAGCAATGGACATGTGTTTATTATTATATTGGAGCAGACTTTGCCTTAGTTCCCTAATCTAGAATTGATCCCAATACCTTTAATCATATCCCACAGACTTATTAGGGCCAAACTATGTATATGAAAGTCTTTTGAGAAATTAAAAGTACTAAATGAAACAGATTTATTAGTAATAACTGCTTAGAGACATTCTAATGTCATGGTTTTGGAGTTAAACTAGCTTGGGCTTGAATCCTGGCTTTGCCACTTATCATGTAACTTTAAACAAGTCTCCTTAACCTGTGTGATCCTCAGTGTTGTCCATTATAATTCTTAAAATAATATTATTAGGCTGGGTGCGGTGGCTCACGCCTGTAATCCCAGCACTTTGGGAGGCTGAGGTGGGCGGATCATAAGGTCAAGAGATTGAGTCCATCCTGGCCAACATGGTGAAACCTGGTCTCTACTAAAAATACAAAAATTAGCTGGGTGTGGTGGCGCACACCTGTAGTCCCAGCTACTTGGGAGGCTGAGGCAGGAGAATCGCTTAAACCTGGGAGGTGGAGGTTGCAGTGAGCCAAGTTCGCGCCACTATACTCCAGTCTGGTGACAGCGAGATTCCATCTCAAAAAAAATTATTAATATGTATAGTACATACTAATATTGATAATATGTCATAATATTAGTATGTATTGTTGTGAGGATGAATGAAGGCAAAATGCTTGCTACGGTGCTTAAACATAGTAAAATGAGCAGTAGATGATAACTACTGTTACTGTTAACACTACATGGTAGAGATTAGCAGAGACTAAAAATATCCTATATTTTAACTCCTCTTTTTTACCACTGGCAAGTTCTTTGTGACATAAAGACACTGGATAATATTGAAGTGTTGATGTTAAGGATAATATTGATGGCTATAGTTAGGATTATTGCCTTCCTCCAACTATTTCACTTAGTTGTCTGGGCAGCAGGGAAAAGAATGAGTTTGGGAGGCTGGAGGGAAGAATATTTTGTCCTCAAAAGGCCATATTTAAAAGATGTATATTATTTTATTATTAGATTTTTTGGGCAAAAGTTTTAAAAGTGATAATACAGATATCAATAACGTCAGAAAAGTGGGCTGGTAGAAATGTACAGTAGTACAATTTTTTTATAAGGTAATTGAGCAATACATATTAAAGGTCTTAAACGCATTCAGACTTTGACCCAGCATTTTTATTTTTAGGAAAAGAGATGTAGAAAATAAGTATAACAAAGATTTATAGATGTTCTTCCCAGCATTATTTATAATAGTGGGTCAAAAAAAAGTTAAATGTCTAACAATGGAAACTGAGTAATTACAGAATGTCCTAGTCATGTAATAAGATAATATGCAGTTACTAAAAATTATGTTGGGGGTTAAAAACTCAAATGCCTTCAGTTGTTTAGCAAGTAAAGTATATGTGTGAAGACACTAGGGATTGGTGAGGACGGTGGTGAACTGGAGAGTTTATATTCCACGTGGAGGCATTAATTTACATTATAAAAGAATACTGTTTTGGCCAAGACACGATTAAATTCTATCCACAGGTTTACCAGTTTGAAACATCTACTGTTGAAGAATTTTAAAATGTGGGAAGATACTCATGGTATACTTTCTTCTTCTTCTTCTTCCTCCTCCTCCTCCTCCTCCTTCTTCTTCTTCTTATTCCTCTTCCTCCTCTTCTTCCTCTTCTTTTCTTCTTTTCTTCTTTTAACAGGATTTTGCTCTGTCGCCCAGGCTAGAGTACAGTGGCAAGATCATGTCTCACTGCAGCCTTAAACTCCTGGTCTCAATCAATCCTCCCACCTCAATTTACCAAGTAGCTAGGACTACAGGCATGCACCACCATACCTGGCTATTTTTTTTTTTTTTTTTTTTTCTGTAGACAGGTTCTTGCTATGTTGCCCAAGCTAGTCTCGGAACTCCTGGGCTCAAGCAGTCCTCCCAATTTAGCCGCCAAAAGTGCTGGACTACAGTCTTGAGCCACCATGCCTGGCCTCATGGTGTGCTTTTTTTTTTCTTTTATTTTTTTGAGACAGAATTTCGCTCTTATTGCCCAGGCTGGAGTGCAATGGCGGGATTTCGGCTCACTGCAACCTCCGCCTCCCGGGTTCAAGCGATTCTCCTGCCTCAGCCTCTTGAGTAGCTGGGATTACAGGTGTGTGCTACAATGCCCAGCTAATTTTTTGTATTTTTAGTAGAGACGGGGTTTCACCATGTTGGCCAGGCTGGTCTCGAACTCCTGACCTCAAGTGATCCACCCGCCTCAGCCTCCCAAAGTGCTGGGATTACAGGCATGAGCCACCGTGCCTGGCCTTATGGTGTGCTTTTAAGTGACAAAAGCAAATAAGAAAACATAGGTAAAGAATGGTTCCAATACTTTTTAAAGTATGTGTGTTTATAGTTATATCTCTTCTCTGTTGGTCTGTCTTATCTATCTGGAAGGATATTTGCCAAAACAATAATAGCAAATACTTAACATAGACCTTATTATGTGCCAGAGAGTGTTTTAAGCACTTCACATATGTTAGCTCATTTAATTCTCATAGCAATAATAGGTACTATCACTATCTCTGCTTTACAGATGATAAAGCTGAGACATAGACAGGTTAAGTCACTTGCCCAAGGTCAAAGAGCTGGAAGGTGGTAGAGCTGGGATTCAAGCTTAGGCAGCAGAGTCTGGGCTCTTAACTACTATGCTATATTAAAACCAAAATGTTATGACTTGTCTGATTTTTGTGTGTGTGTGCTTTTTATTTTCTATATTTTGGTGCTTAAAATTTTTTCAACAATAAAAATGTATTTTATAATTAGAAAAAGCACAGCGTTTTATTAAAAATGCACATTTATTGCCTAGGCATGTGCTTCTTTTGGCTTCTCCAATTACTGTTCTCTATTAATGAAAATTAGTTTGTCTGACTTGCTGGCTGAAATCTTAGACCCTGAGGAAATAAAAAATAGGACAGGTAAATTTTATGGCAGTAGAAGGGAAAGTAACAGGCTCTGTGGGACAGCAGAAGAGCACTGAGCCAGAAACAGCAAGATGAGGTTAATGAGGAGTATAATGCAGGTAGTTGTCACCAGAGAAAAGTTTTGTTTAGGCCTAGCCTTGTGCCTCATCTAAAATATGGTGGCATCGTGCTCTTTCATGTTACTTAAATTTTTCTTTAATTTATTTAACAAATATTCGTTAGATTTCTTCTTGCTGGGCACAATCAAGAATACAATGAAAAATCAGATAAGGGGATAAAAATAAAAATAAAAAATAGAGGCCAGGTGCCATGGCTCATGCCTGTAATCCCAATACTTTGAGAGGCCAAGGCAGGTGAATCACCTGAGGTCAGGAGTTCGAGGACCCAGCCCAGCCAACATGGTGAAACCCTGTCTCTACTAAAAATACAAAATTAGCCAGTGTGGTGGCGGGCCTGGGTGACAAGAGCAAAAGTCTCTCAAAAAACAAAAACAAGAAAAACTGTGCAGTAACTGCACAGACAAAAATTCAAAGCTATATTCAATGACAAAACAGAACACATAGGTAAACAATAGTAATCATGAAAGGGTGACAAGTACAGCTGCTACAGACATTTGCTAGAACAGTTTCAGTGAACTGGTGGAAATGGAAGCCCAATTCAAGTGGTTTGAAGAGCAAATGGGAGTTGAGGAAGTAGAGAGGAGAGATTTGGTGTACATTTCAAGAAGCTCATTTGTGAGGAAGCTCAGCAGTTTAAAGGAGACACAGGTTCCAACGAATGTTTTATGAAGCTGACTTTTGCTTTATTTGTTTTAAAATGAGGGTGCTGTGGGCTGTAGGGAGGAATCCAGGAGAGAAAGAGAAATGGAAAATATAGAAGATAAATGAAACATTAATGGCACAAATTCCCTGAGGAAGCAGAAGGGGATAAAACTATGAACAATAACGGGGAATGTTAACCTTGAACAGAAGGGGCATTTCGAAGGGGCATTTCCTCTACGCTAGAGGGAAGGGTTTTTGTTCAGAAACTTGTGTGAGATAAGGATAGATTCAGCTGTAAACAGCCTTATAAATGTAGGGCCTGGAGGGTAAGGAAATTCCTTCCCATCCACACCAAGGCCTCAATTTTCTAAGTGAACTGGGAGATTAGGTCATCTTTTGAGAAGGAGCAAGGTGATGGTCATAAAGGAAGATGGTGGTTAAAGTTTAGAATCGTGACTGAAGGAATGAGAGAAGCGTTTTCTAACTTAAATTTGATATTTAAAAATTTGTATTGTTATCAATCCACAGGTGTAATTTTCCCCAGCTGTACTTAGAATGCAGTAGCAGAGAAATCAGTTTGACTGATCCAACATTAGGAGTTCATGAATTATGTATGTAAGGACAAGAGAGAACCAGTGCATGAACAGTTTGACTATGGGACCTGGGCTCTTCTAGATAGACTCAGAGAAAATGAAGATATCTAGAACTTGAGCTGGCTGTGGTGCTAAAAGAGGGGTGTGGAGAGTATGAGGGGTAAACAGATGGAGGGATAGGAGATTTGTATAGGTTGTGGATTACTGGACTTTTAAGATTTCAGAGACGACAGCATCTTTGGAGAACCCATTGCACCTTCCCTGCTATATGACCTAGGGTGAGTTACTGAAATATTTTGGATCCTCTGTTTCTTATATGAAAAATGGGAAGCCAAGAGAATGCAACCACCAAATTGCTTGTCCTGGAGACTGTGGACTCTGAGAGAATGAACAACCTCTACTGGAGACAGTGGCAAATAAACGCTTTCCTTGAGCTTTCTTTGGGCTAAATTGTTGAAACTTCTCTTGGACCCTCCAGTAAGTTCATTCTTGAGCTATTGCTTCTAGAAATCTAAAGCATCCTTAAGCAATAGGGTCATAAATGCAGTTACTTACTATAGTTACTTATGTGCCAAACATAAGTCTTCTAAGTATCAAGAATGACCTCGCTTGAATCACAATTCAAATATAGATAGAATTGTTGGTGTTCCATAGCCTGCTGATATCAGAACCCTGGACAATGGGTTTAATCAAGCAACAGTTTGTGGGTGGATGGGTCCTTCTGTCAACATACCACAGTAGGGATTGTTGTTTTATCACTGAAACTTTCCTATTAAACTTATAACAATTTTGACAAAAATTATTCATCTAATTAACTGTATAGATAAATATATTCTCTCTGGTATCTTTTGAGATTTGGAAACAAAACTGAATTTCCTAACTCACCATCAATTCAACTATTTTTCTAGTATATTTATTGAATATAGCCGATACTAGAGATTATTAATATATAATTGTAATTCATAAAAACAGTACAGTTCACCAAATGTTCATCAGCATATGAATTGATAAAATATGCTATATATACACAATGGAATATTATTCAGCCTTAAAAAGGAAGGAAATTCTGACATATGCTACAATATGGATGAACCTTGAGGACATTATGCTAGGTAAAATAAGCCAGTCACAAAAAAAGACAAATACTATATGTATGATTTCACTTATTCAAAGTACCTAGAGCAACCAGGCGTGGTGGCTCACGCCTGTAATCCCAGCTTCTTGGGAGGCTGAGGCAGGAGAATCGCTTGAACCTGGGAGGCGGAGGTTGCAGTGAGCTGAGACTGTGCCATTGCACTCCAGCCTGGGCAACAAGAGCGAAACCCTGTCTCAAAAAGCACAAAGTACATAAAGCAATAAAAAATATAGAGACAGAAAGTAGAATGGTGGTTGCCAAGGGTTAGGGGGAACAGGGAGAATGGAGACTTATTGTTTAATGAATATAGTGTTTCAGTTTTGCAAAGTGAAAAGAATTCTGGAGTTGGATGGTGGTCATGATTGCACAACAATATTGATGTGCTTAATACCATTGAACTGTATATGGTACTTAAAAATGGCTAAGATACTGTAGTACATTTGTATTATGTGTATTTTACCACAATTAAAAAAAATGGAAAAAAAACCCACAGTGAAGTGTTTAATTTTTCTTTCACATTGCCTTTTCTCTTAATTTGGCTTTGCCCAGGTTCTCTTGAGAATCCCGAACCTTTTATTAGGCCAAATGATCTTGATTGTATTGAATCCAATGATCACTTTAGCTTGAGCTGGGCTCTACAGAACTTGTTAATGCTTGCTTGGCTCTATGTGTTTGGCTTCATGGTATCTGTTGTGTTAAGGATACTATTGACAACTGCATCCTAGAGCCTTGTCAAACCTGTTTGATTTAAATAAATAACTCTTTTGAGAAAAATAGTTATGTACAGATGATCTAGTGAAAACATAAGTATTATTGAATACCACCTACTATCTAAAAAGTTAATTTTCCTATTTAAGGGAATTCAGCCTAAAATTATGGTTTTGTGATTCAGATAGTGATATGTTATTTTGGATACTTCAGAAAGCTTTTTTAATTGTATTTTTTCCTTGTATTAAAAATGTCTGAGAAATTCATATGGTCTTGACTAATTAATCATCTCAATATTTTGAACTCACCAAATTAGTCAGTTTTTTAATTATTCTACTTAAAATCTCTCAGGATAAAATAGAATAGAATATAATTATTTCATAGGGAAATAATAAAGAAAAGAAATATTTCCAATTTGGAATTTTAAGAAAATACACTTTTTTTTTTTAGCAGTTATCCTTTTAGCACTAAAGGACACTAGCAGATTATTATAAGAAATCTTCTTTGGCAGATGAAGTTAGAAATGTCAAGTTGATCACTTCTGCTTTTGTGCCATTGATTATCTTATTTACTTATTTATTTATTTTTTGAGATGGAGTCTCACTCTGTTGCCTAGGTTGGAGTGCAGCGGCCTGATCTCAGCTCAGTGTAGCCTCTGCCTTCTAGGTTCAACCGATTCTCCTGCCTCAGCCTCTCAAGTAGCTGGGACTACAGGTGTGCACTACCATGCCCAGCTAATTTTTTGTAGTTTTAGTAGAGACGGGATGTCACCACGTTGGCCAGGCTGGTCTCAAACTCCTAACGTCAGGTGATCCACCCACCTCAGCCTCCCAAAGTGCTGGGATTACAGGTGTGAGCCACTGTGCCCGGCTTTACCTTTTATATTTCTGCATGGTATTATAATTATTTATTACCTCTCTGTATTCCCTATAGAAGATGAGGACCTTGAAGTTAGAGATAGTGCTATAATCTTATATCCCTAGAGCCTAGTTAACAGGTGCTAGGTTCGGTAGGTGATTGTTCAGAATCACCTGATATAATACAGCCCAATACAACACAACAGAACACAACACAGTACAATACAATGTAATACCTTTGATTTACGTTATCTGAAGGCTGAAAGTTGGAGACTATTTAGCAGGAACACATCACATGATTAATGGCTTCCACTGATTATGAATATAGTATAGCTTTAACTGTTTAGAAATTTCATTTCTAAGTATTTCTACAATTTATATAAATTCTAAATATAAATATACTTTTGATTGCAAATTACAGAATCCTAGATGGAATGAGCTTAAGCAGTAATCGGAGACATATTGGTTTATATGGCCAATCTGCAGAAAGGGTAAGGGTGGATTTATTTTTATGGATGACTGGCACCAAGAGCTTGGATATTATTCAGAAATTTCTCATTTCTCTCTCTTCACTTTTCACTTTTCTCTTTCCGTACTGGCTTTATTCTTTTAAGTTGCTGTCACCGTATCTCAACTATAGCCTTAAGTAGCCCTGGGCTTATATATTTATGACCTTGTAACCCGAGAAAAATTCAGTTAGAAAATCCCAGGAAAGGGCTCTCATAGGTCACATTTGGACTATGTGTTACCTTTGCACAAATCACTGAGGATAAGGCAGACGGAGGTATTATGCTTGAAACAAGCTGGGTTAGGAACTTATCTCTACCATCAGGGAAGTGGGATACTGTTATAGGCAAGTCCCTTCAAAATCACATGGTTGCAGAAGGAGAGAACCATTCTCTCCAAAGAATAAAAGTACTGTTATGATGAGACAAAATAATAAATAAATATTCATTGCATGGTCTATGATATATGTTGCTAGTTTTCTTCTAATTTCCATCTGGCCTTCTTTCTTAGTAAAAGAATTTTTAATTTTAACCTGGCAAATGGCCACCCAGAATAAATAATGCTCATATCAGCCTCCTTTGCAGCTGAGTGTGATCATGTTCTGATCCAAGTTCTGGCCAATGGATGTAAGCAAAATATTGTATGCACCTTCCAGGAAGTGTTCTTAAACTGAAGGGTCATGCACTTTCTCAGTCCTTCCTGCTCCCTTTGGAAAACACTGGAAGGCCTATTTCTCCATAAAATTCTAGGAATCTCCAAGGAATGCTTGTATTTTCTAAAATTCATATTGGTAGTCACTTGTCCTGTTCGCCAAGTGCCCTCACTCAAGGCCATTCAAGCTCCAGAGCTCTGCAGATCCTTCTTGCAACCTGACAAACAGACTATCAGAGCTCTGTGTCTCCTCTGCTCTTTTGTCTCAAGTATGAACAGAGCACCTGACCACATCTCTTTTTTCAGTTGTGTAATTCATGTGGGGGCTTATTTCCCTGCCACAATAATTGCTCTAGGGCTAGAAAACTGACCCAAACAAAATATTTCACTATCCCCTATATTAGACATAATGTATTTGTCTGAGGATGGTCACCTGACCCAATATGGTCTGATCAGAGCCTTTCCATCAGATTTTTGAATTCACACAGAGAAAGGTAGTCTTAGGTCCTTTCTGGTGGTGAGCACTGTAAGATGTGAGGCTCTGAAGTTGATATTCCCCTCTGGTGTGGAAGAAGTCAGTCTGTAGTGGGAGAGAATAATGCTCACATGCAGAAAGAAGTTGTAATAGAGGCTACAGAGAATTCTGGAAACATTTTAGCCCTGGGTTTCAGTCTTTCCTGAGGTCTATTTGTGTGTGTGTGTGTGTGTGTGTGTGTGTGTGTGTGTGTTTTGTTTGCTTGTTTTTGAAACAGAGTTTCGCTCTTGTTGCCCAGGCTGGAGTGCAATGGCACGATCTCGGCTCACTGCAACCTCCGCCTCCTGGGTTCAAGCGATTCTCCTGCTTCAGCCTCCCAAGTAGCTGGGATTACAGGCATGTGCCACCATGCCCAGTTGTATTTTTAGTAGAGACAGGGTTTCTCCATGTTGGTTAGGCTGGTCTCGAACGCGTGACCTCAGGTGATCCACCTGTCTCAGTCTCCCAAAGTGCTGGGATTACAGGCATGAGGCACCGCGCCCAGCCCCTGAGACCTATCTTATATTTTATCTTCTCTAACTCAGTTCAGATAAGGTTGTGGTGGGTTTTTTTGTTTGTTTTGTTTTGTTTTTGTTTTTGAGACAGAGTCTCACTCTGTCACCCAGGCTGGAGTGCAGTGGTGTGATCTCAGCTCACTGCAACCTCTGCCTCCTGGGTTCAAGTGATTTTCCTCTCTCAGCCTCCCGAGTAGCTGGGACTACAGATGTGTGCCACCACACCTGGCTAATTTTTGTATTTTTAGTAGAGATGGGGTTTCACCATGTTGGCCAGGCTGGTCTTGAACTCCTGACCTCAAGAGATCCGCCCGCCTTGGCCTCCCAAAGTGCTGGGATTACAGGCGTGAGCCACCACGCCCGGCTAATTGTGGTGTTTTCTAAAACTTCACTGAAGACTTTTAAAGAAAGCGTTGTTGAGAGGATTGAGTGAGAAACCATCAATTCTTTAGCTTTCCATGTGCTACACATATACCACATTCTAAAATGGCAGCTGCTATTAGTTCTATTTATTGAGGCATTTGTTCTCCAATATCTGTATTTATATATTTATAATTCTTGTTGTATATCTTAGGCTAAACTCCTAAAATATTAATTTCTCCAGTTTTTGAGAAGGACACTAAAAATAGCATGCAGATCAGTATCTTTAACCCTATTTAACATTCTTCATCAAGCCATCTGTTTCTAGGCTTTATCACCTTGTACTCAAATCCCTGATCCTCTTTATTGTTCTCTTCCTATTTAAGCTAATGTCCCCTCATAAGTCTGTGAGATCCTTCATTCCGGAGTGCAGAGGCGATAATCAGGAACAAGCTCCTGCCAGAAAAACTGTTACCTTGACATTATTATATGCCCTGGTCTCATTCTTAACAAAAAATGAAAATGGCTTTATTTGAAAGGACTTAAGAGTTGGTGATCTAAAACAAATCACAGGCTCTTAGAAAAGCTAAGGAGGAACTAGATTTAACTTGTGGAATGGAATATTTATTCCACCTTGTGCAGATAAGTGCTCAGAAATTGTTTTTGTTGATAAACTAAATAGTGGCACTCTATTGAGAAATAATTGTCTCTCATGTCCTTAGCACTGGCCACTATCTGATGTGTCAAAATTAGGAAGGTAATAGTACTGCTGCCAATTAAAGTGCTTGTTCAATTATGTCATTACTCATTAACATATGCAGGAGGAAGCTGGAATACCTTTAAAACTTTTTAAATTGACAAATAATGATTATATATTTATAAGGGTAAAATGTGATGTTTTTATATATGTATACATGTAGAAAGATTAAAATCAAGCTAACTAACATATCCATCACCTAGCCTACCTTTTTTGTGTGGCAAGAACATTTGAAATCTACTCTTTTAGCGATTTTGAAATATATAAAACCTTATTATTAACCAAGGTCGTCATGCTGCACAACAGATCTCTAAAACTTACTCTTTTTGTGTAACTGAAACTTTGTATCCTTTGACCAACATCTCTGCTTTCTCTATCCCTGCACCACAGCCTCTGGTAACCACCATTCTACTCTCTGTGTCTATGAATTCAACTTTTTTAGATTCCACATATAAGTGAGATTATACGGTATCTGTCTTTCTGTACCTGACTCACTTCACTTAGCCTATGTCCTTCAGGTTCATCCATGTTGTAAATAAGATTTCCTTCTTCTTCAAGGCTCTCTGGTATTCCACTGTGTATATATACCACATTTTCTGTGTCTGTTTATATGCTGATGGACATTTAGGTTGCTTCTATGTCTTGGCTATTGTGAATAATGCTGCAACAAACATGGGAGTGCGTATATCTCTTTGATGCACTGATTTCGATTTCTTTGGATATGTACTCAGAAGTTGAATTGCTGGATTTTATGGTAATTCTATATTTATTTTTTGAGGAACCTCCACACTGTTTTTCAAAATGGTTGTACAAATTTACATTCCCACAAACAGTGGGCTGGGTCCCCTTTTCTCCATATTCTTGGAAACACTTACCTTTCATGTTTTTGATAAAAGCTATTCTGGGTCGTCTAGTGACTAAGATTCACCTTTGTGCATCTGAAGTCAATACTTCTTAATTCTGCTTTCAGAACATATACCAGGTGAGAGGGATTTCTGTTTTTTCTAGTACCCAGTTCTACACTGCCAGTGATCATTTAATTGTGATAAATCTCTTGCCACAATGGTGGCAAACACTATGACCTTACTGGATGCTAATGCTGTTTGTTGCTGTGGTTGCTGTGGCTGCTGCTGGGTAAAGAGACTCCTTGGGCTCTTTAGTAAATAGGGCACTTTGAGATATTTCTTTTTTCTCTTGGGTTCTTAAAAATACATACCATTGGATATAAGATAAATCTGGTGGGATACTAAAGAGTTAAATAAAAGTAAATGGAGAGTGACTCTTAACTGATCGGCCCAGGTAAACTTCCACTTGTTGTAGTGGCTTGCAGAAGCCTGTTTTAGAGACATAGTGATGTCATTAGATGGCCTGTGGTGTCTCTTGATGCCCACAAGTCTCCTGTCTGCATTTCCAATGAGCTCCCAGGTGAGGCACTACCGCTAGGCTGGGAAACACACCCTGAAGCCGTGAAGTGTGTGCTCTGCACATGTGATCACATGTGGTTACGGCTCTTTTCAACAATCCCAGTTACCAACGGCTGGAGTTGCTCTCTCAGCCAGATCAGCTGCCTCAGACCTTCAGCATGTAGTTATTTTTTTTTTTTTTTTTTTTTTTTTTTGTAGAGAGTTTCGCTCTGTCACCCAGGCTGGAGTGCAATGGCACGATCTTGGCTCACCACAACCTCTGCCTCCCGGTTTCAAGCGATTCTCCTGCCTCAGCCTCCTGAGTAACTGGGATTACAGGCATGCGCCAACACGCCTGGCTAATCTTTGTATTTTTAGTAGAGACGGGGTTTCACCATGTTGGCCAGGCTGGTCTCGAACTCCCGACCTCAGGTGATCCACCTGCCTCAGCCTTCCAAAGTGCTGGGATTACTGGTGTGGGCCACCATGCCCAGCCCAGCATGAGATTTTACAGTATTTGACACAGCTAAAGACTGTGGAACTAGTCTTGACTTGACCCATTACTTCCATTAAAAGTTCCAGGCTCAGGCTGGGAAGCAGGAAGAATGATTAAGGAGAGAGAGAAAGGGAGAGTTTAGATTATTCTTCATGTTGGAATAAGAAGCTGTATTCTAAATGACTGGATTAGATGTTGTTTCAGTGGCAAGAGAAAGTCTGGAGTAACCACTGCATCTGTAATGTTAATGAATTTTAAATGTTAACATTCACACCTTTTTTCTCCCTTCTGCCTCTCTTTAGGAAAGCTGCTAAATTTGCTGGTGATATGCACATTTTAATGAATCTTATATATGCTTCATAAATCTTGTTGACTAATTAGTAAACCCATTTTATCATGCAAGAAGTATTCACTGAGCACTAGAACTTGGATTCCACTGGGCTGGTGCTGTCGTGTCTTCTCTCATTAAATCCAATGCGGACTTAGTTCAGGTTCACTCATCCCATACAGGGAGCTCTGGGGCTCCACCTGTTTCACTCTGTAGCACTGGTTCCTTTCACCTCATATCTGCTTTAACTACTGGACTTGGGTTTACTGAGTTCCTGATCTCTGACTTCATCTCCTATTTTTGGCTCTGAATTTGACCCTTGAACTTGGTAAGATGACAAGATCTCGTTTTTCCAGATTAATATTAACCTTTGCCACACCTCCCCAAATATAGTTTTACATTCACCCTCTGGCTTTGTTCCCTCCCAGCTGCTGTGTGTGAAAACCTGACTCCAGTCCTCCCAGCCTCTAGGACCCTGCCCAGACCTGGCCTACCTTCTTCCTCACCGCCACTGGAAAAAAACAGACGTCAAAAGCCTTAACAAAATACTGTCTGATATAGCAAAATGGAACATGTTTCCTACTAGAAGTATATGACCCGAAGGGGGAAAAATCTGACTCATTTTAAAAACAATTGTTAGGGGTGTGTGTGTTTTGAGAGAAAGAAATAGAAAAGGGCCAATGTATTTGCTATTAAAAAAATCTTCAAAATAACAGAAAAAATTTAAAACTATGTACTCAAAAAATGAATTGCTTTTGTCGTATTAGAAGTCTAGCCAACAGAAGTAAGGGGATGGAGACTGAACCAACCAGAGGAGAAAAGGTGGAAGGCGCTGCCCCAGCAGAGACCAGAACAGGGCCAGATAAAGTTAGGGTCAAAGATCCACACCCTGTTTGGAAACTAAGCAATCAACAAGTGTCAGTTGTTATTTAGGTGCACCAAACATTTTGGGGGGAAATGTGATTTCAGACACAGATAATTATATGATAGGGGCCTATTTGGCTTTCAGAGAAAATTTTCAAGATAAATCAGTAGCTTTAAATAAAAATCTAAGTTTGTAATCAAAGTTTTTCAGAAATAGCAGAGAAACATATTTTCCTTTAAGTAGTTCTCTGTTAATAGTCTCTAGTCTCAAGCAGTTTTAATTTTAAATAGGACTACCTCTAACTTTGTGGGGTCTGGGGCAAGGGTACAAATAGAGGCCCATACAGCATATACCTAGATATTTAATTTTTTGTTTGTTTGTTTTTTGAGATGGAGTCTTGCTCTGTCACCCAGGCTGGAGTGCAGTGGCATGATCTTGGCTCACTGCAACCTCCACCTCCCTAGTTCAAGCGATTCTCCTGCTTCAGTCTCCTGAATAGCTGGGACTACAGGTGCGCGCCACCATGCCTGGCTAATTCTTTGTATTTTTAATAGAGACAGGGTTTCACCATGTTATTCAGGCTGGTCTCGAACTCCTGACCTCAAATGATCCACCCACCTCAGCCTCCCAAAGTGCTGGGATTACAGGCGTGAGCCACTGCGCCTGGCCTGCCATTCCCTTCTTCCAATTCTATTAGGAGGCAGTGTGAAGAATTCTTTCCCTGCTATATGAATTACATCACCTACCTTAAAAGTAGGCAGCTACAGTTGGGGTTGATTGTGTTGTTTTGTTTTTGAGACAGGGTTTCACTCCGTCACCCAGGTTGGAATGTAGTGATGCGATCTCAGTTCACTGCAGCCTCAAACTCCCTGGCTCAAGTGATCCTCTCTCCTCAGCCTCCTGAGTAGCCAGGACTGCAGGCACATACCTGGCTAATTTTAAAAATTTTGTAGAGACAGTGTCTCACTACATTGCCCAGGTTGGTCTTGAACTCCTAGGCTCAAGTGATCTTCCCGCTTCAGCTTCCCAAAGTATTGGGATTACAGGCGTGAGCCACTGCACCTGGCCTGGTTGGGTTCTAAATAACAAGTTTTTCTTTCTCAGTTACACAATGATCCCAGAGCAATCTATGAGCTCTCTGAAATCATTTAGTCCCCTAGGGATGGATCGTGCCAACCACGTGAATAATGATAACAAAGATAATAATATTTACTATTATTTTTATTATTTGCAGTAGATAAATTTCCCTTTAAGGAAAATTGGGCCAGGGCGCCAGTGGCTCACACCTGTAATCCCAACACTTGTGGGGTGGGTGGATCACCGAGTTCAGGAGTTCGAGGCCAACCTGGCCAAAATGGTGAAACCCCATTTCTACTAAAAATACAAAAATTAGCCAGGCATGGTGCCCATGCCTGTAATTCCAGCTACTCAGGAGGCTGAGGCAGGAGGATCTCTTGAACCTGGGAGCCGGAGGTTGCAGTGAGCCGAGATTGTGCTACTGACCTCCAGCCTGGGCAACAGAGCAAGACCCTGTCTCCAAACAAACAAACAAACAAACAAACAAAACAAAGACAATTGGGGGCTTTTGAGCTGGGAAATGATGTGACCAGATCTTAGTTTCAGGCAGGGTGTGAAGAGTAGATGGGAGAAGAGAGACAGGAAAGGCAAGAGACAGTTGTGGAGTTACTTTACAATAGTTTACGTCAGAGGTAATGAGCTAGGGGATTGTAGCAACGTGAATTGAGAAAGGAATAGATATAATGATTCAATGTAGAGGTATTGGCAATGGATTCAGACCTTAAAACAAAAATGCTAACCTAGATTCTGAGCAGGGACACTAGTAACAACTGTGTCCACAGTGTAACCTAATTATTGTAGATGTGTGTATGTCTAGATCGGGGTATTCCATAGGAATAGGCTAGAGAAACATCAACTCACTAGACTGTGCTTTAATTTTAGGAGTAGCCACCATACTGTCTTGCTGAGTGTTAGAAGCTGTTTGCTGCATAAAGGCCTGCAGATATCATTCATATAGAGAAAGAGGGGAGGAGGAAACTAAAGGAAAGGAAAGTCTTGTAGGAAGTAGGAAACCAAGAACAGAATATGCTGTTGGGGCAGTAAGACTCAGCCCTTTCAGCTCCTTTCAGGGATGAATGTTTGCAGTCACAGGCTGCCTTGTCCTTTACACCTTTTGTCTTTTTTCCTGAATAAGATGAAAGATGTCAAGCAGAGAAGGACTTGGACCTCTAACTGCTAGTCTTCTTCATGAAAACTTCTTAAGGGCAATGATTGCATCTTTGCATGCTTTACACATAGTGGGTGCTTAGATACATCAGTAGAATTCATGTAATCGTCATTAATTCCCATTTTGCTGAGTATTTTTTGCTCATATAGAGGGTCTAGATAAGGAAGCAAGCAGTATGACACTAGCTGCAGCATCATATATTGGCAAGTAAGAGGAGAGCTGCCACTTGTGTGTGATCTGCAGCCCGGGGAAGGAGTGGAAGGGCACTGCCTGGGGGCAGCTAGTCTGCTTAAAAGGTGTTGCAGGTCCAGCATCCTTGATTAGCACTTGGGACCTCTTTCTGCCCAGTTTCATTATTTGGCCCCTCAGTTTCCCTTCCTCTTTCCTGCTATAGGCAGTGTTTTATTTTTAAACGTGCCTCAGTTCTTATATTTTTCCCTTGGGTGCTTCTAGAGTACTTTACTCGTATCCATGGATCCCTTCGTAGGTTTTGGTCTTGTTTCACTAATTTCTTTGGACCTCAGGATTTTATCTCTTTTTAAACTAGGAAGGTTACCTACGTAATGGTGACACTTTTCAATTCTAAATTTTTTTCCAACTGAAAATAATGACTTCCATTGACATCTCTATGGTTGTTGCTATGCTTTGCAGGCTCGTCCATAGACCATAAGCAACATGGGAACAGCCACAGTGCTGATCAGGACAGTAATATGGAAATGGAGGGCACGTCAGTGAGAGATTCTAGTAGATGCCAATTAGATATAGTCACTGAACCCCAAAGCTCCCTGATGTGGGGAGAAAAAGCATGTCTTTATAATTTAGGAAATGTTCTTAGTATGTGGTACCTGTTGAGGTCAACCTGGGCCATTAGTCACAAAGAAAAAAGGGGAGTTAATGACAGTGTCAAGTAAATGCCCCAAAGCAATAACCAGAGCCTGATGTAGTGTCAATCTTCTATCCCCTGAATGCTCTGTCAGTTTCCAGTAGCCTGAGTTTGGCCTCCCTCCTAGTGCTGACCTAGTCAGGGGCAGAGTGACTTTGTCATTCCATTCCCAGGCCTCTCCTCATTGCCTGAGCTAAAGTGTTGGTAGTCTTAAGTACATGCTTCCTCCAAGCCTGGGGTGTGTCACCTGTGAGGTGGAGATTAAGCTGACCCACCTGACCTGCATTCCAATTAGGTAAGGTAGCACTTGCTCTCCTCATAGCCTAAGGAACTGGCTTCTTTTCTCTACCTACTTGTTGCTAGGCCTGTAATGGCCTTAGAAGCCCATTCTTACATCCTCAGGGGATTTGTCAGGACCATACTAGAAACACACCCAATCTTGCCAAGGGCCCTTTTTTAATCTCTTAACCCAGCTCTCCTGGGAAACTGTTACTTGCAATAATTGGGAGCTGATAAATCTTATTTACAATAAAGCACCTCCAGTGATTTTAGGGCCTGGAGGCAGGGATTTTCTTCTTAGGAGTTCTCCTAATGCCTAATCCTAGGAACACTTTAGGGAGTGCAGGAAGGTAAGATGGTGTCACTAAACTCCTCTCTTTTGACATTTTTATTATTGCTAAGTATTTTTCATTAATTGATTAAGCGGTTCACTTATGAGCAAATACTTGTGAAAATTAACAATTCAAGGCAATTGCTAAATTCCAGTTGACTGATAAACACATTTATAGTTTAGGATTTAACACAAAGACTTTAAAAGGAGGTGATACAGATTGGGCCTTGAACTCTCTCCAGAGAGAAAACTTAGAGACAGGGGAGACAGTTGGGTGGTAACATGGTGGTTTGCTGGAGTTAGCTCAAGCTGTCTCTTACTGACTTGCTAGAGCCGACTGCACATTTCCCAGCTCCTTGTTCAGCAACATCACATTGGTAGCATGAACTTATCAGTGGTAGAAATATTTGCACCATGAAAATTAGTAACTGCTGGCTGGGCATGGTGGCTTACTCCTGTAATCTCAGCACTTTGGGAGGCCAAGGCGGGTGGATCACCTGAGGTCAGGAGTTCAAGACCAGCCTGGTCAACATGGTGAAACCCCGTGTCTACTAAAAATACAAAATTAGCCAGGCGTGGTGGTGGGTGCCTCTAATCCCAGCTACTCAGGAGGCTGGGGCAGGAGAAGTTTGAACCCGGGAGGCAGAGGTTGCAGTGAGCCAGGATTGTGCCACTGCACTCCAGCCTTGGCGACAAAAGCGAGACTCTGTCTCAAAAAAAAAAAAAAAAAAAGAAAAAGAAAAGAGAAAGAAAATTAGTAAATGTTACAAATCAGGGCTTTTTCACCCTGGAGAACCGGTTGTTAATATTTACTAGCACACCACTGGTGGTCAAGGAAGTAGAACACAAATGTAGAAATGGAAATGTAGAAATGGAGTTAAGACCAGGCTGGGTTCCCTCTTACAAAGGAGATTAAGGAATTTTCAGTTTATCCATTGACACTGAGGTATTGTTGATGACATTTTACTCGTTGGGATTATTTTGGTTACAAGCAATAGAAAGACTAAATTTGAAATGGCTCAAAAAATAAGAAAGATGCATTTATCCCATATAACAAGAATTTCAAGTTGGACCACTCTGGGATAGGTTAATTCAGCAGGGCACCAAAGACCCAGATTCTTTTAATATTTTTGCTCTGTCATCCTCAGTATGTCAGTCTGGCCTCTGACCAGCACAACATTTCCAAATCCAACAACTTTCAGCAGCAGAGGAAAATAATTTATTCTTTCTTTTCATCTCTTTGTAAGAGCAAAGAAGACTTTCCCAAAAGCCTCCAGCGGATTTTCTCACATCTCGAATTGGTCAGAACTCTATCACATGCCTAGATCAAGCACTGGCAAGGGGAAGGGAGCCCCATGATCCATTAGTGTTTCACCCGTGTTCCTCCCACTCAGCCCCCGCCCCCTCTACTGAGGCCAATCTCCCCTGAAGCCATGTACAGCAGGCTGGTTACTTGAACCTAATCAAGGTTCTATAGGCATGGAGGAAGAAGGAGGATGGACATTGGTTAAGCAACCAACATGTTTGCTAGAGTTTTTGAAAAGAGAGAAAACATCCATGAAATAATTTAGGAAGTGGCCGGGCATGGTGGCTCACACTTGTAATGTCAGCACTTTGGGCTCACGCTTGTAATCTCAGCACTTTGGGATGCCGAGGAGGGTGGATCACTTGAGGTCAGGAGTTCAAGACCATCCTGGCCAACATCTCTACTAAAAGTACAAAAATTAGCCACGCGTGGTGTCACGTGCCTGTAATCCCAGGTACTCTGGAGGCTGAGGCACGAGAATTGCTTGAACCCGGGAGGTGGAGGTTGCAGTGAGCCGAGATTGCACCACTGCACTCCAGCCTGGGTGACAGAGCCAGACTCCATCTCAAAAAAAAACAAAAAAAAAAAGAGAAAGAAAAAAAGAAATTTAGGAACCATAATCTTAGCACTGGTGTGCAAGCAGATAGAGGGCCTGGGATTAGGGAGGCTCAGCTATACTATTACAAGATACTAAATATGAAATAATAATCTACCAAAGCAATGCTTTCATTTGCCAAATGGCTGCCAATTCATTCATTCATTCATTCACTTAATAGATATTTAATAAATGACTGTCGTGGGTCAGATACTATGCTAGGTACTATACACAAAATGGTAAACTTAGCTAATGGAGTGTCAGAATCTGATGGGTGAAGTAAATATCAATCAAATAATCCACAAGTAAATGTAAATGTTTAACCTGGTTAAATGTTATCAAGAAACCCTGGATTTTTTTTTAATTGAGGCAAAATTCACATATAGTGATCTTAAGTATACAATTTGATGTCTGTGTGTAACAGCCATCCTTATCAAGACACAGAACATTCTCATCACCTCAGAAAGTTCCCTCATGTCCCTTCCTATTTGATCTTCACCTCCCTCTAATAGGTAACCACAGTTCTGATTTTTATCTTCAAGATTACGTTCGCCTGTTCCTGAATTTCACATAAATGGCTTTTTTTGCACCACAAATGAGTCCAAGATTCATTCATATTGTTGTGTTTAATGATCATTTGTTTTTTAAATTTGTACTCCATTGTAAGAACAATATAAGTAATTTTCTGTTGGTGAACATTTAAAATGTTCTAGTTTGGAGCTATTATGAATAAAGCTATAGTGAACATTCACGTATAAGTTTTTTGTGTACACATATATTTCATTTCTATTGGGTAAATTCCTAGGGAGTGGAATTACTAGGTTTTAGGGTAGGAATGTGTTTAACATTATGAAACTTCCCCTCATACAGCTTTTTTTTTTTTTTTTGAGACACTTTCTCTCTGTCACCCAGGCTGGAGTGCAGTGGTGCAATCATGGTTCCCTGAGCCTCGATCTCCCAGACTCAAGTGATCCTCCCACCTTAGCCTCCCTAGTAGCTGGGACCACAGGCATGCACCACCATGCCTGACTAATTTTTTTTTATTTTTGTAGAAATGGGATCTCCTTATATTGCCCAGGCTGGTCTCAAACTCCTGTGCTCAAGCCATTCTCCTGCCTTGGCCTCCCAAAGTGCTGGGATTTCAGGCAGGATCCACCATGCCTGGCTGAGCCCCTACTATATATATATATATATATATACACACACACACACACACACACACACATATATATACACACACATATATACGTATATATACGTATATATGTGTGTGTATATATATGTGTGTATATATGTGTGTGTATATATATGTGTGTGTGTGTGTGTGTGTGTGTGTATATATATATTATTTTTTTTTTTTTTTGAGACAGAGTCTCACTCTGTTGCCCGGCTGGAGTGCAGTGGCGCGATCTCGTCTCACTGCAAGCTCCGCCTCCCGAGTTCACGTCATTCTCCTGCTTCAGCCTCCCAAGTAGCTGGGACTACAGGCGCCCGCCACCTCGCCTGGCTAATTTTTTGTAGTTTTAGTAGAGACAGGGTTTCACCGGGTTAGCCAGGATGGTCTCAATCTCCTGACCTCATGATCCGCCTGCCTCAGCCTCCCAAAGTGCTGGTATTACAAGCGTGAGCCACTGCTCCCAGCCGAGCCCTAGATATTTTTTTAAAAAATATGGATTCATGGTCTTCAGTTCCAAGAAAGAATTCTGCGTCAGTCTGAGGTTCCTAGGCATGTATAATATGTAGTTTTTAAAAACTCCCCAGAACCAATGGTCTAAATTATATTGGTGGCGGTGGAAAGGAAGTTATTTTGGTTTGGTTTTCTTTTCCACCACAAAAGCATATAAATGTAAATAGTTTTTTTCCCTGCCTAGCTACAACCTTTCTCTGAACATTTTCCCCAACTCTAGCCATTAGCCCCAGTATTGAAATAGTCTCTCTTTTTAGTTTCTCTGGTGAAATGCAAAGCTCTGGTTTTTCTGCTCTTGCTTAAAGTGATGTAAAAGCTCAGGGAGCTCCTTGAAGCAGCCCTTAGAATTGCTAAGACGAGTAAACAAAAACAGATCTCTAGGGTGGAAAAGAACTTTGGACAGAATAGCAGTTGAGGGTGTGTGGCCCTGTGTACACCGGTAGGATTTTGTCTGGTGCTTTTACCTTTTTTCCCTTACTATTCTACCTAGCAGCAAGAAATAGTCAACTGTGTTCTGGCTGCTGCCAATGTCTACATTAAACAGCTGCCTCTGAGCATCCAACCTAGTGCCAGCCTAAATGGCTGCATATCACTAGAGAAGAAGCCTCTAGTTTCTACGCAGAGAAACTGAGACACAGGAATGGGAAGGGAGTCACTTAATGGATTAGGGACTGGTTGAGCTGGGACCAGAACCCAGGTGGCCTGGCTCCCAGCCCAGCTGACCACACTGCTACCCACACAGCCTGGGCTGACCAAAGACAAGCAGCCCATTGAGCAACTGCACAAACAACAATGAATGATGGATGGTCAGAGCAAGAAATAGGCACAAAGCAACTGTGACCCCATCACTTCCTGGCCCCTAAATTTCCAGGCAAGCCTATAAAGTGTGGTCACTTAAATGACTTTGACCAGCAACTTGGCCCAGCTTTCAAATCTGGAGACCTTCTATGGTCACTGCCAAAAGAAAAAGTCTTATATTGAGGGTAGAGTGCCTTTGAGCTCCACGCCTGGTTCTATTAAGTCTGTGGCAGTGGCGTTAAGATTAGAAAGACATATTTATATGGGTATAACCTGGTTCTGGACAGCTGTGGTGAAACAAGGCAACTTTCAGATTTTGAGGCTCCTCTTCTACAGATCTGTGCTCCCATCTCAGATTTAACTAGCAAAGGGTAGGTGTGGTCAGTGATTGTTGTCACAATCATTCCAGAATGTTTGTGTAGAGTTACTAGAATTTCAGTCTTTTCATTCTAAAGTATTTTCATCCCTCTCACCTTTCTAGAACGACACCCTTTTCAGCTCCTTTCCAACGGCTGTAGCCAACTGATTCTACCCCAGAGTCCCAAGCGTCCACCCCCGTACCCTTCCAGTTCAGTTCAGTTAGAGTTCAGTTAGAGTCAATTTAGGTGACCAAATCTCATCCTGCTCTCCTCCTTAAATTTACCACTAAACGGTAGCTAAAATTTGTGGTCCCTTATACGCTTGAAGCCCACGCCAAATGACTTTACTTGTCAACCTCTATTGTATGTCTTGGATATGCCCCCATGCAAGGCACTCTGACTTGTTTGGCCTTAGCATGTGTGGACAGCCTTGGGCCCAGCCCTAAATTTTCGATTGTAAACCCAGGTGTATCCCTAAGAGATATAGCTGTCTAGGAAGTTTCCCTGTTTCAGGTGTCAGTTTCCTATTCTGAGCTAGACAATTCTAAAATGCCTATGCCCCACGCCTCCCCTTTAGAAACTGAGGAAGAAGTGAGGGGAAAGAAAAGTTGACTAGAGTATTTGTTTTTACATAGGCATAATGGGCACAATTAGGCAATACATTATTTTGAATATGCAGACCAGGTGCTATAATGTTAGGAATCTGAATTAAAATTTCAAATGTCTTTTGTTAGAGTATAGCCGGGGTTGGCATCGTTTTGTGTTTGTCATAAAGAGGTATTTACTAAATGGCCTTTCTTTCTTGAAACAGTCCACACAGGCCTAATACTTATTCATTCATTCAACAAATATGGAAGGTCTACTATGTGACAAGGATGGCTTATTATGTTCTCATAGCCATAGCTCATTGTCACTCAGGTAGGACACATACAAGTTCTGCTACATATAATATAGTTTTATGTATTTTACTAAATTGTAAAACCTTTGATGTCTGGGATTATGTCTTGTTAATTTTTGTATCCCCCTGTATCACTGAGAGCAGTGATACACATCACAGGGATACAATACATATTTGAATTATGCCATAATGTTTTAAAAGACATAACAAACGCACTAGAAGACATAACAAACGCACTATGTAAGTTTTTTTTACTGTTAGCAGTCTAAAGCAGATGTATCAACAGGGTATCACTGTTATGCAAGTAAATAAATATTAAGTGTTTACAGAGAAGGATATGTTCACTTCAAGAGTGAAGGAACAAGAGAAATATATAATTGGGTGGAGACTGGTGTGGAAGAAGCTAATCTTCCTCCGGTCACTCCAGAATGATTGTGTAGAGTTACTAGAATGTCAGTCTTTTCATTCTGAAGTATTTTCATCTCTCTCACCTTTCTACAACTACTCCACCCCTTTCAGCTCCTTCCCAACGGCTGTAGCCAACTGATTCTACCCCAGAGTCCTAAGAGTCCACCCTGTACTCCTCCAACTCCTGTTCAAGAATGCTCCAGACCAGGAGCTTTAGGGACTCGGGTCGGGAAAACACGGGGTCACGCGCGGGGCAAGCGCCAAACTGGCCGCAGCCTGGGGAGCGGCGCTAAAGGCGGGGCTGCGACGGGGCGGAGCGGGAGGAGGCCCGGGGGCGGCCTGGGTGTCACCACCAACCCGCTCCGGCCGGAAACTGGCGCCTGTTTCCGGCCGGACAGCAGAAAGCCACCGATCCTGAACCAGCCGCCGGAGCCGGAGTGGCGACCGGGTGCGGAGTGGGCAAAAAGCCACTGGGGGAGGCCAGTCCCGATCAGTCCTTTCTGGCTCCAGCTCCAGATCCCGTGCGGAGCAACAGCTGCGGTCGCAGTCTCCACCACCGCCTCCACCTCCATCGCCGTCGGGGGAGGGGCCGGCCGGACCCCGGGGTCACTGCCGAGGAATGAAGAGAGGCGGCCGGGCCCCGCGCTCCGCCCCGGCCTAGGGCCTTGCCCCGGGAGCCCGCGAGGGTAACGGAGCCCCCCGTCCTGACACCGTCCCCCGTCTGCTCCCGCCCCTCCCGGCTTCTCAGACTCGCAAACTCTGCTCCTCAGATCGCCACTGTCCCCTTTCTCCTTTCTGAATCTGTTTCACCCGAAGCCATCTCCCCTCGGCACTCCTTTCTCGCCCTGACTGCTCCTTGCTTCGTCCCGATCTTTCCTCCTCCCTTTCACCTGCGTCCTGCGTTCCTACCCCGCGCTCTCCAGCTCCCGGCCTCCCTTCCTGAGCTGTGCTGGCCAGTTTGGACGGTCCCCCCTTGTCAGCTAGACTTTCGGGAGGGATGGTGGAGTTTTAAGGTGATTAAGATGCAGTGTATTATCCCCACAGTAGGATAAAGTTCATTTAAAATCTCAATATAATACTAAAATGAAAAGCAAATAAGCTTATTCTTCCTATTGATAGCCAAACTAAGGTGCATACAGTAATGGAGGAAAGGCGAGAAAAAGGTGTGTGTGTGTGTTTGTGTGTGTGTGTGAGAGAGGGAGAGAGACGGAGGTTGACGGATTCTAGGGCAGTCTTAAGAACTTTAGAAAAAAGAAAAGTTGCCATGAGCCGATGGAAACTTTAGAAGCTGATGATGAGTAAGCCGGGGGCTGCGTGATCTCACTCTTCTCATAATTACTAGGTTAACGGTGTGGCTCCGGTCGGGATGGAATGGGATTTGTTTACTGGGCCGGCGTATTTTTAGCTTGTCGGCTCACAAGGACCAGCGCTCAGAGTCTCTTTCTCCCCGCTCGTGGTAGTCTTTCTTGTCTAACCTAGGTGGCTTCTCTGGGCACAATAAAGATGTAAAAATTTGAAATTAGAAACTGACTGGTGGAATTTTATGGAAGAAGTTCCCCACAAACTTTTCAGGCAGCTTTTCACGAATGCAAAGCCTAGAATTAGCAGGACGTTGACTTTTATTTTCCTTATCTTTTTATACGTACTACGTAACGCTTTGCTTAGAAATTCACATGCTGCTAATTTTTCAGTCTTTGGCCTCTAGTACTGTATATTTAGGAGATTTTTGAGGAGGCTGGATCCCTTTGTCTTTCAGAATCTATTTCAAAGGTGGAAAAGGACAGAGTAGAGAAAGAGGTGGCGGTAAGACTGGCTCCAAAGAGTTGCTAACCCCTAAATATTTAAAAAAGTTTCTATGCTATGTAACTTCTGAAAACATGTAGAAAATTTTCTTCCTACTAAATGAGATTGCATTCCTGATGGGGAGAAGACTTCAGGGACGGAAGCTGGGTGGCTAGGGAGAATCAGAGGTAGTTAAATATTTGCTGTGTATAACTTACAAATACATTATGCGCAAACAATGAAGAATTAATTATACGCTTTGTCTTCATTGTTTTTCAAGTAGTTCTTTTAACGTTCAGTAACCAACCTGCTGTGCTAGTCTATTGATATTTTGAAGGCTGAACAAAACTGTAAAATAAATGAACTTGATGTTGCTCCTCTGCAGGCTGAATACCCCCGACCGTTCTAATTTCCACTATTGACCCAGCTTGCCTCAGAGCACCTCCCTGACAAAGTGGCCAGTTACTATGTACTTAGAGATTGCAAATCAATGCAAATATTAGCTCATACTAGGAATAATTAAGAAGGTAAATATGCTGAAAACATATATTCCAAAACCAAAATAGATTTTTTCGATTTTACCCTCATTTTTGATTATCACCACCTTTCTGCCAATAATTATCCGTTAACATGAATAATTTAGAATTGAACAGATATCTGCTTTGGACATTACACTTTCAAGATAGAAGGAAAGATGGAAGGAAGATAGTGCCAAACTAATTTTTTATTGTCATTGCCTTATTTGACTTATTCCTTGCTTTTAATACTGAAGACTCCCTCGGAAAAAAATGTAAAACTTTGCCAAAGCAAGAGCTGGCTATCTACTGACTTGTATAAGGCCCGGTGACTGGTAATGAATGCTAATCATTAGGTGGCCTTTAGTGGCCTTATGTTGCCAACAACTTGGAAAATTTCCCAAAGCTTTATTTGTTTAATCTTTCTTTTGAGACCCCTATTTAAAAAACGACTTAATTTGGAGACGAAAATCTAATTTTTAAAAACCACATACACCTTTCCCAGAATCTGTTGATGATCAATAATTGTTTTGATCTGTGTGAGTTGATTGGTGCCAATATTAGTGATGATATCTGGGTAAATTCTATTTATATCTGCATCTAGCAACTCCCTAAGTTGAACTGCATACTTTATTCCAGGGCATGGGGATCAAAGGGGTTGAAGAAGCCTAGGAATGAGTGGAGAGCTGCCTGGTAGTCCACCACTATTCCTAGTTCTCAGGAGGCTTTATTTGCAATTTTGAGATTCAATGTATGTAACCAAAATAAGTATTCTGATTGTTATGAGGGCACTAAGTGCCACTTGTCAAAGTTTTGGAGCTCCTGAGTATCTTAAGCATGCTAAAAGACACTGGCCATTATAGTGTGGGTGTATGTGTGTATGAGTAGCACTCTCCTTACCCTAAACACTCATCCCACCAAAGGGAAAATCCTTAAACAGCGCTTTGAAATGTGACCTCAGCAGTATCTTTCCTATGGGAACTTAGGAGCTGTGGAATAGCAGACTGTGGAATCTTTTTTGTAGCCTCTGATAAATTCAGGTAATTAAAAATTTGTGTAACTGGAAGATAGATACAGGGCAGTTTTTCTCATGAATGCCTGAATTCAGTTGACTTTTTAATATAATAGAAGAGAGTTGTTTGTTTGTTTTTAAATAAGACATCCTTGCTGAGTAATGATTGAACACTTCTCTGGATAAAGCAGTCTCCATGCTCCAGTGACAGGCTTTAGGGAGGTATAAAAGATGTAAAGACATGTGTCTTTGCTCTTGGGGTTGAGGGTGGATGGGAAAGGTGGTGTATAAATATGGGAAGGCAGACTATTATGAGCTTTAACATTTAGGAAACAACATATAGACAAAAGCAAATTTAACGTGCTGATAAGTATGTAAGGGCTGAGAAGACTTAAAGTAACAAAGTAAGAATCAGTGAAATAAATTGGGGAGATTTCTGAGTCAGTAAATTTTGAAATGGACTTGGGAGGCTATGGATGAGTCATAAAGAGGTATGGGCTATTGAGTTAGATGGGTCTTCGTTCAGACCTTGCGGCTATTTTTTACCATGTGACCTTGGACAAGTTAACTTCTTTTCCTTATCTGTAAAATGTGAGCATTCAAGTAAATGAAATAGTTACTGTGTTGGGAATAAAAGAAAAGAAAGGATCTTCCAAACAGAAAGTATAGAATGTACAGTGTGCAATGATGATATGAATGACTAAGTTGTGAGTGGGGGGAATATATGAGAGTGACTGTAGAGAATGTGGGTTGGGCAAGTCATGAGTAGAGCAGGCAAGAGGGTGGAGGGGACTCAGAAGCCAGACTCTGTTGGGTGTTGATAGAAGGGTCAATAGAATCATTGTAGGTCCTTGAACAAAGGACGGATTTAATGAGAAATATTGAGCCCTTTGGTTCAGGAACTCAGGGACAAGGAATCAGGCAGGCATCCGTACATTGTGACTCTTATTTTCTGTACCATCCTAACCTGAAGGGATACAGCCAGGAGGCATAAGATTCCTTGTAGAAGTTTTTGTGTTTACACACCTTACTATGCTGAGCCTGCTTGTTCCTGTCTCGTAGTGCACCAACCTGTGGGGAAGTCTCAAGACTATGGCCGGATTCTCCTCAAGAGCTTATAGTAAGGACAGCATTATGTTTCAAGTGCATTTAACTCTCAGTTGTCTCTGCTAATGTAGGGAGCACTGTTGTAGGTAATTCAGAACTTAACAAAGACATTTCCTGGTTATTTTCAACTGTGTTTTTTTTAGGATTATACCTTATCCCTTTATTTCCTCTAAGAAATAGTTTTAGATAAGAAAAATTACTAAACTGTTATTTGTAGTGACCCACTATGAGTTTAATTCTTTGCTAGGTGCTATGGAGGTTTAGGAAAAATGACAACTTTGCTCCCAGACTGAAGTACAGTGGCGCAATCTCAGCTTACTGCAAGCTCTGCCTCCCAGGTTCATGCCATTGTCCTGCCTCAGCCTCCCGAGTAGCTGGGACTACAGGCGCCCACCACCACGCCCGGTTAATTTTTTGTATTTTTAGTAGAGACGGGGTTTCACCGTGTTAGCCAGGATGGTCTTGATCTCCTGACCTCGTGATCCGCCTGACTCGGCCTCCCAAAGTGCTGGGATTACAGGCGTGAGCCAGTGTGCCGGGCCGAAAATACATTATTTTTTAAACTAGATTTATTTTCATTTTTGGGGATCATACTAATATTGAAATAAATTTGCATTTCTAAGCTTATATTACCTGATGGTGGGGAGAGTACACTGATGATGAAGAACAGTCATTCTTGCATTAAAGATTTGGCCTTAGAAATCCGTAAAATGAATAATCCATTTGTAGATAATTAAGACTAGACTACACTGAATATGTTGATAGACCAATTTCTTTTCAAAATCTGTATGGATCCAATGTGGCCTCCTAGGCTGTCTGTCTTATGTCTGAGAATGACTGGCAGGTGATGCTTGTGTTCCAGCCAGAATGAGCCTTCATTCACAGTATCTGGACGAATGCCACTACATTATGTTGTGTTGTTGAAGATTAAGCCGGCTTTCTCAAAGGACTTGTGCTTTGTAGAGGCTCTTCCAGATATCAGCTTCATTGAAAATCTGTCAGACTTTTCCTCCTGTAGGAAAGTTGTTTGAAAGTATGTCCAATTAAAAAAAAAAGGAATGGGCAGAAGTGTCCACATTTAAGAAGTAAACAAAATCACATGCCATTCTTTCATCCCTTTTTTTTCTTCTCCAGTTGACTTGCTTTTCTCCATCCCTGCCACTCTCCCCCACCTCTTTATAATCATTACCAAACTGATGTCACGAGCACAGGATTATTATTTACTTCTTGAGTCAGGAGATTGTAGTATTTCTGAGCTAGAAATCAGGTGGAAAAGTCAGGAATCTTATTTTATACAACTAGATAGGGATTATTTTCAACTGTGCTTTTTTTAGGATTATACCTTAGCCCTTTATTTCCTCTAAGAAATAGCTGTAGATAAGAAAATTACTAAACTGTTATTTGTAGTGACCCACTATGAGTTTAATTCTTTGCTAGGTGCTATGGAGGATTAGGAAAAATGACAACTTTGTGTCCTTGAAGAGTTTACAGTCCAGTTGGGAGTAAGAAGAATAAAAAGGAATGAATACTTGCTGAGCCTCTTAATATGCCACACAAAATTTTAAAATGTGAAACTATATTGTTAGTTGCATAGTGCAGACCTCATACCGTAGGTATTTGGGGAGAGGAGTACTCAGGTAGTTATGTCACAGAGGAATTATAACTCATTTCAGATCTTAATAAAAAAATAGGCCAGGCACAGTGGCTCACGCCTGTAATCCCAGCTACTCAGGAGGCTGAGGCAGGAGAATCACTTGAACCCAGGAGATGGAGGTTGCAAACAGCCGAGATAGCACCACTGCACTCCAGCCTGGGTGACAGAGCAAGACTCTGTCTCCAAAATAAATAAAAAAATAAATGAATAAGTGTTATTGTA
The DNA here is from genome assembly GCF_000001405.40 of Homo sapiens. Lineage (NCBI taxonomy): Eukaryota > Metazoa > Chordata > Mammalia > Primates > Hominidae > Homo > Homo sapiens. The sequence goes on along the minus strand of NC_000001.11, from coordinate 150,004,841 downwards.
TTAGGTACAAGGGATGAAGATGAAGAGGATAACAAAACATTTCATATTGGAGCTGAAAGGGATCAAGCGAAAGCCTGGAAACAGGACTATACCTGAGATGTTCTTGGGGCGGTGAGGAGACTAACCTGAGTGGCAGTGAGCAGTAGTGAAATGAAGGTGGGTAGGTTGGTTTGGAGCTATGTTTATAGAGGGTGTTAAAAAGCTAGGCTTATAAGTTTATATATATATATAAAATTTATTTATTTATTTATTTATGTATTTATTTATTTATTTTTTTGAGACAGGGTCTTGCTCTGTTGTCCAGCTCAGGCTGGAGTGCAGTGACACAATCTTGGCTGACTGCAACCTCCGCCTCCTGGGTTCAAGTGATTCTCGTGCCTCAGCCTCCTGAGTAGCTGGGATTACAGGCGTGCACCAGCATGCCCAGCTAATTTTTGTATTTTTAGTAGAGACAGGATTTCACCATGTTGGCCAGGCTGGTCTCAAACTCCTGACCTCAAGTGATCCGCCCACCTTAGCTTCCCAAAGTGCTGGGATGACAGGCATGAGCCACCGTGCCCGGTCAACTTTATATTTTAAATGGTAGAAGATTTTTGAATAGAATAGCAGTATGATGATACTAATACACAGGTTGGCTGGGAGGGAATGGAGATTGACACTGGGGGTGTGTGAAGTGATGAGGCCCGAGTTAGAGTTGTGGAGGGTAGGCTAAGGAGAGGAAAGAGTGAAAAAGAGACTGTGAAGGAAAAATGGAAATTAATGAGGGGTGGATGTGGGAGATGAAGAAGGGTGATGAGTCAACTACAACTGTGACACGTTGTGCCTGGGTGTCTGAGACATTGAGTGAAATAAAGAAGTTAGGAAGCTTTCCTCATTTTGGGGAAATATGATGAGTATAATTTGCGATGTGTTGGATTTAAAGTGGCAATGAAATGTCCAAATGAAGGCTGTCCTGGGTGTGAGCTGGAGTAAAGATGGGGGTAGGTTTGGAAATGCAGTTTTGCAATTCATGGCCTAGATGTGGTAGCTGTAGCCAAGAGAATTAATAAGCTCTCTGAGGACTAAAGTTTAGGGAAAGAGCAGAAGGGCAAAGAAAATGGTACTGATAAACCTAAACACGTCTAAACCTAAACATGTCTCCTATCTTGTAAACACCATCCTAGGCACTGAGATGGAGGTAAGGGAGACAAGGAACCCACGAGGAGCGTATGGGTCTAGTGGGAGGAGACAGATATGTAAATATATAGATAGAATGAAGTGTGATAGATGCTGTGATAGAAGTATGCAGCAGGGAGAGTGGGAGCCCAAGGGTCAGTTCTGCCTTGGGCATGCTGAGGTTGGAAAGAGCCTCCCTGAGGAGTTAGCATTTGAGCTGAGTCTTGAAAGATGAATTAAGGATATACTCTACAGATGACAAGAATTACATTCCAGTCTGAGAAAATACCATGAACAAAAGCTTAAAGGAATGAAGGCCAGACTTCTTCAGGTAACTTTTACTTAATCATTATGGCTGGAGGATGGGATGGAGGGCAGGCTGAAGAGGTAGGCAACGCTGGATCATACAGAGTTTTTATCTTTTTTTTTTTTTTTTTGAGACAGAGTCTTGCTCTGTCACCCAGGCTGGAGTGCAGTGGCACAATCTCAGCTCACTGCAAGCTCCGCCTCCCGGGTTCACGCCATTCTCCTGCCTCAGCCTCCCGAGTTGCTGGGACTACAGGCGCCCGCCACCATGCCCGGCTAATTTTTTGTATTTTTAGTGGAGGCGGGGTTTCACCATGTTAGCCAGGATGGTCTTGATCTCCTGACCTCGCGATCCGCCCGCCTCGGCCTCCCAAAGTGCTGGGATTACAGGCGAGAGCCACCACGCCCGGCCTGGAGCTTTATCTTATACTGCAGTATATCAGGAGCCATTTAATACGTTTCACATCCTAGAAAGATTATGTCAGTGGTGTGTAGGGTGGATTGGAGATGGAGAAAGCAGAATTCCTTTCAATAACTTCATTATACTGAACACATTTATTGAGAGTGATCATATTTACAGATTCATGGAATCAGACAACTGGCGGGGCTGCGATGCTTTCTTAGTTTTCCTCATTCATTTTCAAATAGAATACCTGAGGTTTACTCAGGATCACAGAAGTGGTTCTGTGATAGCTTAGTCTAGAATTCAGTCTTCAGCATGTACTAGGTGATTAATAAAGGTGAATTCACCTCTCTCTTCTCTCCCAAGTCCCATTTCAGTGTTTGTGTCATTCTGCCACATTGCATTGTACTAGCAGATAGAAGGACTTAACATCATTCCATTCTACCGTCTTTTTTTAACCAGTCCAAAGTGAATAGAGGTATTTTCCTAGGTCTGACTGAGAAAGATGTTCCCTGAGAGTACCATTGGGAAGAGGGGCAGTTCGGTGCCCTGGACTGGGCTGAATGAGGTGTTAGGATTTTTCAGCTGTAGTGATTCAGATGTAGAAGAATGTCAAGGTATTTGTTTTGTTGCATGTCTTTATCTCTGCCACTAAGCTCCCTTTAAGTTGTTTTCTTTTAAACTTAGTTTTATTTGTGCCACTGAAACTTGTTAAATAAGCTATGATAAATTGGGCACTGATTAAAAGTATATTTATCTAAAAAAAAAAGAATATCTAAACAAAATTTAGAAAAGTTCAGGGAAAAAACCCAAACAGAAACAATTTTGAGCCTACATCCCAAATTTGATGGACATTAACATTTTGTCATATTTGTTTTAGATGTCTTACTCTCTTTAAAATATTAAATACTCAGATTCTGCATCTTCCCTGTATTTTCATTTTCATTGGATTTTTGTGGAGGGAAATTGTTTGGTTTTAAAGTGCTAAGTGAGAGTTTGGATTTTGTGTTTTAGTCACTTTTGCTGGAGGAGAACAGAACAGGGTAGAGGGCATCCTCTAAGTCCTTAGATTCCCCTGGGAGAAATTGGGACTTAAGGACGTGTGGAAGGATGGATACCTTCCATTGATAGGCCTTCCTCAAAACTTGTCTGAGTTGTGATTTTTAAATTCTTTTCTCTGGGCTCTGTCAGCATCTTCCCCAGAGAAGGGCCTTGGTTTGGAAGCTGTCCACTTAAGCAGAGCTGCCAAGTCTTAATTCTTTCTCAAGTGGGCAAGGGTACATTTTGTTTTTGTTTGTGAGTATTTGGGAGAAGGAAGGGGTGGGTAGAAAGGAGGCACAGAATAGCTACTCACAGTGAGTACTTATCTGAATTCCTGTGTAACTGGAAGCTTTCTTGGCTGTTTTAGGGGAGATAACTTGGTTACACTAGCATTTAAATTATGTGGGAAGGTGGTTTTTCACTCCCCTCTGCTATCTGATTTGAGATGGCAATAAACCTTCTTGTCCATTTTTGTCAGTCCTCACTCTACCCTGTTCTAAGCGCTGCTGTTTGAGGGATGTGAAGGCTCCTCTTCAGTCTAAAACTGAACAAGTCAGATATCTCCTTATAGTTTTGGGAAACCATTCTGCTCCTGACTGTTTTTGTGTTGACTCCTCTATTCATCAAATCACCTGGCCCTTTATTAATTTTACAATTTTGCATAATGAGATATTTCAAACATTTAGAAAAGTTCAGGGGAAAAACTCAGGCAATTTTGAGTCTACAACCCCAACTTGATGGACATTAACATTTTGTCATATTTGTTAGATGTCTTACTCCCTTTAAAATATTAAATGTTATAGATATAGCTGAAGTTCCACCCTGCATCCTTTCCTCCTTCCTCTTTCTCAAGAAATGACTACTGGCCTGAATTGATGTGTTCATTCCTTCATGTTTTATACTTCCTCTGCCCCGCCACATCTTTATTTATTTATTTATTTATTATTTATTTATTTTTGAGATGGAGTCTTGCTCTGTCACCCAGGCTGGAGTGCAGTGGCACGATCTCTGCTCACTGCAACCTCTGCCTCCCGGGTTCAAGCGATTCTCTTGCCTCAGCCTCCCGAGCAGCTGGGATTACAGGTGCGTGCCACAGTGCCCAGGTAATTTTTGTATTTTTAGTAGAGACGGAGTTTTGCCCTATTGACCAGGCTGGTCTTGAACTCCTGACCTCAAGTGATCTGCCCACATTGGCCTCCTAAAGTGCTGGGATTACAGGCATGAGCCACCATGCCTGGTCCCACATATGTATTCATAGGCAACATACAGTTTTGTTTTGAAATTTTACATAAATAGGATCATGTATGTATCCTTTTGTAACTTTTTTTCTCAACATTGCTTTTCAGATGTGTCTACAGGTAGATCTAGTTCATTCAGTCACCTAAATTTTAAACCTGTTTTCTCCATTGCCCTCCCCACTTGTCCTGTTTTTTTGTTTGTTTGTTTTTTGTTTTCTTTTTTTAAGACAGGGTCTTGCTCCGTCACCCAGGCTGGAGTGCAGTGGTGCCATCTTTGCTCACTGCAATATCTACCTCCAGCGTTCAAGTGATTGTCCTGCCTCAGCCTCCCAAGTAGCTGGGACTACAGGTGCGCGCTACCACACCCGGCTAATTTTTGTATTTTTTAGTAGAGACAGGGTTTCCTAATGTTAGCCAGGCTGGTCTCGAACTCCTGACCCCAAGTGATCTGCCTGCCTCAGTCTCCCAAAGTGTTGGATTACAGGCGTGAGCCACCATGCCCAGCTCCCACTTGCCCTGTTTTGTTTTGTTTTGTTTTTAAACTTACCCATTCTTAAAGTCCCAGTGTAAACTATCTCTTCCACAAAAACGTTCCTGATTTTCTTTTTTCTCCAGCAGGATATAATCTTTCCCACAACTGGCTTAGAATTCTTTATAAGCCTTTTATATTAACTAATCAAAGTTGTATCCAGGCTACACTCTACAGATACCTACTTAGAGAATATTATAGATAGAATGCAGCTTTGAAAGTGCCAGTGCTGTGTTCTAAAATAGTTCTTTGAAAAGTCAGGGTCATTTTAAATGAGTTAGTCTACTAGTGCCTTTTGAATCATTAACAGCTAACATCAAAAGAAAAGGAAGAGCGAATTCCTCTGAGGCTTTAGTGTTAATTAATATTGATATTTACATGAAGGTAGTCGCATGTGAAGAATTAAGACACGACAGTGGGAAAATACAATGATGCTAACTAACAAAAATGTAGTTTGTTTATTTATTTATTAGGGACAGGGTCTCACTATGTTGCCCAGGCTGGTCTTGAACTCCTGGGCTCAAGCCATCCTCCTACCTCAGCCTTGTGAGTAGCTGGGACTATAGGTGTGTGCCACCATGCCTAGCTCCAACAAAAATATATTTTAGAAACTTATCTCCTCTTATGTGTTCCATTGTGAGCATCTGCTTTTGCCTCCCTTGAACTGGTAGCTCACCTGGCTAAGTATGAAACCATCAATTTCCTGAAAATTTCTATCAGTTCTAAGGGACAGGATTCTCTGACATGAACAATACTTGGTCCCTGTTGTTTACTGACATGAATAGAGACTTTCCATACCCCTTCTTAGAACTCTGAAAATAGAATTTGAGAGTTAGACTTAAGAGTTTCTGTGTCCTAGCTTCTTTGCTTGCCTAAAATAAATTCCTGGCTATTTGGCACAAGGTGTCCTGTCATTTTAACAACTTTAAGTTCCTTCTTTCTCACATCTTTGTAATTTTGTATAATATACTAGTTCATTATGAAAATTGAGATTTAAATCATCTGTGCAAATTTCCCTTGATGTTTGCTGCTTGATTGAAACTACAAATTCCTTTCCACCGAACACTTGGCTGTGCACTGGAATCTGGGGACAATGCACTAAGGAGATGCCAAGGAGGAGTTACCCAGTAAATAAATAAGCAGGAGGAGAACTGGCCCCTTGGGAATTTATATTCTGGGTTACATAGGACATGGTTACATACAGATAAATGCATATAAAGAAAAAAAATGTGAGAAACAAATACAGGCTATGTAGCAGTATATCTAATATCATATAGCATTTTAGAACTGAAAAGAGATTTACATATTGTCATTTTCTAGGTGAGGAAAATGAGACCCAGAAAATTTAAATGACTTGTCTAAGGTAGTAGTTACTGTCAACAGTTTATTGGATATCTGTTCTCTGAAAAGTTAGGCTTCCAGTATATTATAGAAACAGTCAAAGTCATTAAGAACTCACTAATTATTTGTGAACACTGAATATTTGCATAAATAGATAAATAGTAATACAAGTCCAAGGTACTAAGTACCAAGTGAGGAGTACAGTTACATAGCTATATAGAAGTTTAAAGGGAATAGATAGGGAAAAGTTTTACCTTTATGGTAATCTAGACCTTAGAGAAGAGAGAAATATAGCGGGGAAACATTCAAGGTGGAGAACCAGTGAGCTGAGCTCACCTTGTTTTGGGGGCAGGAAAAGTAGTTTGTAGCACAGTGTTTTACCTAGGAGGGCAATAAGATCAGTAAAGTTAGTAAAGTTAGAGAGTTAGATAAATTGGAGTGAGACTTAAATCTCAGCCAAAGGAATTTGGTTTTTATACTTATACTGAAAAATCTCTGAGTAGGGAATTGTATTGTATGAATTAGTATTTTAGGAAAACTGATTCAGCCTTGTGGTATAAAATAGAGGAAAGGATACCAGTTAGAGGACTGTTATAATAGTCCAGGAAAAAGACTGTCTACAAGGGTAATGGTAATGCAGAAAGGGGGAGAGATTTGAGTAATTTGAAGAGAGATAAGGGGAATTTGGTAACTGATTATCGTGAAAAAGGTTAGGTAAGAATGATCACACATTTTCAGTCTGGGTAATAGCAATAAGGAGAGCTGGGTTTGGTGGGTTTCTGATGCCTCTCCGAAGTGGGGTACCTTGGTAGACAGCTTTGAAAGGTACTGAGTCTGGCTCAGCATTCTCAGTGGATACTGAATTCAGGGTTTAAGTAACTGGTTTATGTTTGCATGCCTAGTAAGTAGTAGGACTTGGTGTGTATCGTCCGTTCTTTTGATTGTTGTTTAGTGCTCTTTCTACTAGATCACATTGCTTGAGAAGAGATGGGTCAAGTGGTTAAAAACAGAACAATGCCTGGAAAACAAAATGGGAAGTTGAAGACCACATTATGGTGAGGTTTAACCACAAGCTGTTTCAGTTCCGTATGGGTTTTCCTTATATTTAGACACAAAATGTGTGTACTTAGTCTATCAGGCTCTTAATGCAATAGTGGCCTGGGTTTCTTAGAGCTATCTTCTGAGATTCAATTCGTCATATTCAAGGGGAAAGATTTCTTTAGATTTTGGATTTAAGTGCATAGTCTCTCTGACTCCCAATTTGAAGATACAATTAGTGTCCCCCCACTCTCCCTGCAAGAAGGTAGGCTTGCTTGAGTTGAAAGCTGTGGGTGAAGTAGCCTCAAAGGCCCATTAGTCTTTTTTTTAGTAAAAGGAAGAGAGCTTTAGACCCAAATCTTTGAGACTTATTTACCCTGTCAGCAGTTAAAAACAATTTACTGACATAGATCTTATTACCTGAAAGGGAGAGTAAATACTATAAATCAATTGAGTATTTTTGCTAATAGGAGATTTTTTACAGCGTTGAATAGCCTTAGATCTTTTGTATTTGCTTTTAAAATACATAGTCAGGCATATTTAAGATGTGACTCGTTCCTACCCCTTTTCTTGTTTTCTTCTTTTGCCAGACTTTTATCTATGTGATAACAGATACTTGAGGATTGAAAATACAATTTTCTGAATCAGCTAACACTTGTTATGCACCTACCGTAAGGGACTGGCACTGTTATTTAATTTCGTCTGCCAAGACTAAATATTCTCGGATTTTTTGACTAGGAACTCAGCTGCTTCCTGGAACTCAGCTCCTTGCTGTCACAGTTTTAAGCATTTTTAAATGTTTTCTGCTAGGTAATGCTCACAAGAAATCCTTGTGCCTGTTATTAAGCTTCTAACTCCAGAATAAGCACCAGTCATCCTAGGTATGGCCCATGATGATAGTAATAAACATCTTCTAATGCTTGGCTTCTTCCATGCTTATCCTATCTTATTCGTGGCCACAGCTCGTCTGTCATAACTTCTGACCTGGCTGGAGAATAAAGGGAAGAAAACTTTACTCTTTAGTAGCAAGATCCTAGCCTGAGTTATACTAAACATTTTATATAACACCTCATTTATACTCATAGCAATGCCATAAAATAGATACTGTTATGCAACCTTACAGATTAATTCATTCAAAGTATGTATTAGTGTGATTTAGGCACTGTTTAAGGTCCTGAGGATGCTATAGTGAATGTCAGATGAAGTATCTGCTAAGCAATAGAGACGTTAAATAATTTACCCAAGGTCACAAATCAAGAAAGTAACAGGTAGGATTTAGATATAGCTCTAACGGATTCCAAAAGGAATGTCTGCAACCATTGTTACATTATGCCACTGTTTACATATATTGGATGTTCTCTGTGAATATATAAAGGCATAAAAATAGGTGGAACCCCAGTTTTTTTTGTTGTTGTTGTTAAAAATGGTCTTGATGAATCCAAGAAAGAAATGTGTCTTGGTGCTGAAAAGCATACTTGCACAATAATGCTTTTCCTCTCTTCCCCTTGCCTCTCCCTTCTCCCTCTCCACTCACTTGTACCTGGGTATAAACTGGACAGTGTGACCTGCTTTGGCATTTGAATGAGTTTGTGCTTTGAGAACTAGGAGAATGTTGTTTGCTTGTTTCTTTTTGGCTTCCTGAAAGTTCGTGCCTGCTTGCAGGTTCTTTCTTGTAGCACAATGGTGAGTAATGTGTTGTTAACATTGTAATGTGGTCATGCGAGTTGGAATTTTTTTTGTTTTCCCTCAGTTCTCTCTGATGAGTATGCAGGTAGGGACTCTTGAGTCAAACTTGCCTGCTCAATTCATTCAAATAGAAAAAGCTTTCTGTATTCAGAGGACTAGAAAAGAGTTTTGAGGTTGGAAACAATACCAAGATCCAATGTCTTTTGCCCAGCTGAAATTCAGTTTTGTTAGCATTCTAGGTTTATTCTTTAGCTTGTGCTATCTAAGAGAGGACTTGTTTTAGATTACGGCCACTATTACCGTGTGCCATACCTGGGATGTGTGGTCTTTACTCTGGAGTTAGCATCTTCAGAACAGGTGCAAGGATTTATTTTGAGCATTATCTCGTAGAAAGCATAAAAAAAATGCTGAAGACTTAGAGCGAGTAGCTGAGTTCCAGTAGGAATTGAGTTCCAGTTAAGTTCTAAGGATTAATTAGGTGGGATCAAGGTTGCCAGTGTTTTTTTTTGTTTTGTTTTGTTTTTTTGAGGTGGAGGTTTGCTTTGTCACCCAGGCTGGAGTGCAGTGGCACGATCTTGGCTCACTGCAACCCCTGCCTCCCAGGTTCAAGCGATTCCCCTGGCTCAGCCTTCCTAGTAGTTGGGATTACAGGCACGCACTACCATGCCTGGCTAATTTTTGTATTTTTAGTAGAGACAGGGTTTCCCCATGTTGGCCAGGCTAGTCTCTAACTCCTGACCTCAAGTGATCCACCTGCTCAGCCTTCCAAAGTGCTGGGATTACAGGCATGAGCCACTGCGCCCGGCCAAGGTTGCCAGTATTAGAACTGTCTGGTATTGGAAAGCTAATCAATTTAGTATTGGGGATCCAGGAGTATCTGGGCATAGTTGATGAGGTTAGCGAGATGATTTATGTGGATGTATCTAACCCACAAGTAATGCATGGTACTTGGATTAGGTGCACAATAAACGTTAAATCTTCAAAAGGTCCTTGAATGCTAAATGTTGTCAGTTTGTCTTTCTAGAGCAGCTTCTTTATTGTTAGTATTCCTTCTGTAGAAGAATATTTATTAAGTATTTAACTGTGGGTAAAGCATTTGGGAAAAAGATTGAGGTAAACAAAGATTTATAGTGTCAAATTCTTGCTGAGACTGTAATCTTAACATTTATACACTGAATCAATTAGACCTAGCATTTAAGGGGATAATTTACAGGGAAATTTTTTCTGTGATGTTTGCATTGCTAGAGTCAGTCCAATGCTTTTTTGATAGAAATAACTTCTTGAATTGAAAATGCTTGCTCTTCAATTCCAGTTAAATTGGGTTTGATTAGCCAGGCATGGTGGCATTCGCCGGTAGTCCTAGCTACTCAGGAGGCTAAGGCAAGAGGACTGCCTGAGCCCAGGAGTTTGAGGTTACAGTGAGCTATGATCGTGCCACTGCGCTCCAGCCTGGTTAATAGAGCAAGACTCTTGTCTCTTAAAAAAACAAAAAATTGGGTTTTTTTTTTTTTTTTTTTTTTGAGATGGAGTCTTGCTCTGTCACCAGGCTGGAGTGCAGTGGTGTGATCTCAGCTCACTGCAACCTGACCTCCGCCTCCCAGGTTCAAGCGATTCTCCTGCCTCAGCCTCCCAAGTAGCTGGGTTTACAGGCGCATGCCACCACACCTACCTAATTTTTGTATTTTTAGTAGAGACGGGGTTTCAACATGTTGGCCAGGATGGTCTCGATCTCTTGACCTCGTGATCCGCCCACCTCAGCCTCCCAAAGTGCTGGGATTATAGGCGTGAGCCACTGCGCCCGGCTGGGTTTTGTTTTTGATGTTTGAGATAATTGCCTATGATATTTCCTTTTATCCCCTCTTCATTTTTTTCAGTGAATGAGGTAATAATACATTTGAAAGTATTTTATGAACTGCAAAGTTAGCACTTGTTATCACCACCACCACTACCAATAATAGTGTTAAAAATAATAATGGGATAGGACTCACTCTTAGAAGGGTTGGTTTCTTGGATTAATTTCAAGAAGGCTCAGAACACAATGGATGTTTACCAGATGGCTTGTGTACTAATTGATACCTTTTGTAGTTTTTGTGGAAAGGAGAAGGAAAAACAGAAACCTTCACTGAAAACTTGGCCTATGTAATTGTGGTCATTGTGAAGCATTGCCCATACTACTTGTACCCACTCAGTATGGGGCAAGAAAGTTTAAACAGGATTTACATGTTTGACCCTAGAGGCTTAGAGTACATTCTATTGGAAGCATCTGTCTGCACAGGAAGCAACTCATCCCAGTTTTGGTAAGATCAACCACATTCCTATAATACAGATATTATATAATAGATATTTTAAAATGTATCGATGTAGATCAGTATCTGCTTGTTTTCCCAGATTAGTAAGATTAAGGAAACAGTGCCTTTGACCAAAATATTTGGTTAGATATTATCATAAAAAAACCTTTACAGTCAATTTCTGATGATTGACATTCTTGGAGAGGAACACATGACTTTAATAATCCAAAGGAGTAAATTGTTTAATAAATTTGTTTAGTAAATTGAAAAAGCCTCTCACCTTTTAAAATTTCCTCTTCATCTTTTTCTGTCTCTGGTCTGGCACTTAATAAACCTTTTGTTAAGAAAGTTGGCTGATATCTATCTTGGGGTTTTCTCTGGAACCAGTCCATTAGATGAACTTTTAGAAAGCAGAGATAACGACTTATTGGCTGATGCATCCCCTTCACTTAGCAGCCTGCCTGGCATTAAGAATGCTTTTTGAATGATTGAGTCAGGATGTTAAGGTTTTCATCAGGAGAGAATTGCAGTGACCTGGGCACTACTGTACTGATGGTGGGCCTTCCTCAGGGGAAGAGGAAATATTGCCTCCCTACAAATAAACTTGAATAAATGTGAATGTGAGGGAAGTTATTGCTTTGATGCTTTCAGGCTGTATACTTTCTTTTTTTTGAGACAGTCTCTGTTGCCCAGGCTGGAGTACAGTGGTGCGATCTCAGCTCATTGCAGCCTCCACCTCCCTAGTTCAAGCGATGCTCCTGCCTCAGCCTCCCTTGTAGCTGGAATTATAGGCACGTGCCACCATGCCTGGCCAATTTTTGTATTTTTAGTAGAGATGGGGTTTCCCCATGTTGGCCAGACTGGTCTTGAACCCCTGACCTCAGGTGATCCACCCATCTTAGCCTCCCAGAGTGTTGGGATTACAGGCGTGAGCCACCATGCCCGGCCAACACTTTTGGCTAAGGAGAAGTAATACAGTATGTTAAAAGTTGGTGGTTTATTTCTCTCTTGGTTTTATGTTTTGTCCTGTTCAAAATTTAGCTATAGGCCAGCCCGGTGGCTCACGCCAGCAATCCCAGCACTTTGGGAGACTGAGGCGGGTGGATCACTTGAGGCCAGGAGTTTGAGACCAGCCTGGCCAACATGGCCAAACCCCGTCTTTATGATACAAAAATTAGCCAGGTGTGGTGGTGCACACCTATAATCCCAGCTACTTAGGAGGCTGAGACATGAGAATCACTTGAACCCGGGAGGCCGAGCTTGCAGTGAGCCGAGATTGCACTACTGCACTCCAGCCTGGGTGACAGAGTGAGACTCTGTACTAAAAAAAAAAAAAAAAAAAAAAAAAACACATGCACACAAAACAATTTAGATATAGCTGTGATTTCTGGATGGTGTATGATAAGTAGCTTCAAACTATCAGTAGAAGAGAAAAATTATCCTGATGTCACACATAATCTTGTCCTACCCTCTTGCTACAAAATAGTTATAACATTAGAAGAATACTTACAAATTCAGTTATACCTTTAGTAGTGATGAGCAAAACATAAATGATTATTTGGTTTTGGCATGACTTCATGATTTTCTTATTTTGAGACGGAGTCTTGCTGTGTCGCCAGGCTGGAGTGCAGTGGCGCCATGTCAGCTCAGTGCAACCTCCGCCTCCCGGGTTCAAGTGGTTCTCCTGCCTCAGCCTCCTGAGTAGCTGGGACTACAGGTGTGCACCATGCCCAGCTAATTTTTGTATTTTTAGTAGAGATGGGGTTTCACCATGTTGGCTAGGATGGTCTCGATCTCTTGACCTAATGATCCGCCTGCCTTGGCCTCCCAAAGTGCTAAGATTACAGGCATGAGCCACCGTGCCCTGCCCCATGATTTACTTTATAGATGATTTCCTTTCCTAAATATGGCTTGCTTAAGTGATTAAATTTCCTAGGTATACATCTTTTTCTTTGGTATACATCTGTAGGAGTAAGAGATTTAGCTGGGTGGCTGGGGAAAGGCAGTTTTTGTGAATAAATCCACAAAGTAGATCCCATGGAAAATTGAGGGCTAGTGGTACATGTGAAGTCAAGGAAAGATTACTGGAATGGGAGTAAGCAGATTTATATTCGGTACTCAGTTTTACTATAGTTAGCTCTTTGAATTTGGACAAGTCACTTAATCTCACTCTCCTGGTTCTGTGTGTTGTCATCTGTAACTTGAGGGTATGGAATAAAAATAATCTCTGATGTTCTAGTTCTAAAAGTTTATGATTCTAAAGTGTCAATCAGGAAAACAGACTGACTTTCTGTACCTCACCACCAGGTTTGTTCTACATAAGACCCAAATGTGAAATATTAATTATATAAATGAAGTATATATTCTATGTTCCCAGGTAAACTAGAACTATCAGATTGTGTTATATGCTTGTAACTAATTTTATGTGCATAAATAAAAGAGACTTGGTTTCTTCTAAAAGAAAAATTATTATTATAAAAGGTACGATCAGTAGAAATGAGAGGGCCAAATAGTGCCCAGGATACACTGGGTTAGAGTTTCTGCTTTTTAACACCAACCTGGAAAATGTGTGTGTGTTTGTGGGGTTGGTGGGAGGTGGGGAGGGTAGTAGTGGCTAGGAGACAATGTAGTGAATATGGATATTATTTTAAAAAACAAAATAGTAAGAGTTATTTAGCCTGTGGGGTTTGCACATCTAGACTGATCTGGTTTTGCTATAAATCCCTAGAAAACTGATATGAGCCCCGCATTCTAAGTCCGAATACATAGGCCCAACCTCTGTGCTATCTGGGTATCATTTAAGCTTTGTAAACTTTTTTTTTTTTGCGACGGAGTTTCGCTCTTGTTGCCCAGGCTGGAGTGCAATGGCGCGATCTCAGCTCACTGCAACCTCTGCCTCCCAGGTACAAGCGATTCTCCTGTCTCAGCCTCCCAAGTAGCTCGGATTACAAGCATGTGCCACCATGCCTGGCTAATTTTTTGTATTTAGTAGAGACGGGGTTTCACTATGTTAGGCTGGTCGCAAACTCCTGACCTCAGGTGATCCACCTGCCTCGGCCTCCCAAAGTGCTGGAATTACAGGCATGCGCCACCGCACCTGGCCTAAGCTTTGTAAACTTTTCTATGTGTATATGTTTTCCATCAGAATAGATGGGATTAAAAACCTCAAAAAGTATTTAATTTGAAAAATGTTTATTATGAGGTTATTTATGAAAGTGCTTTAAAAACAAAAAATTATAACAGAGAAGCTATTAGTGAACAGACAGCTATACAAATATAAGTTATATTTATTCATATAGACCTATTTATACATCTTGATGGGACAAATTTGAAACCAGTATGTAACTCACAAGCCTATTTTAGGTGTAGATAACTCTCAATTATCCACATATACGGACTAGCATGAATAGTTTAGAACCACAAATATTTGCTAGGCATCTACTATGTGCTAAGCAATGTGTTAGGCCTGTTTAGAATGTTTTCAAGTATAAAAGAAAGGTGCAGACTTCAAGAATCTTACTTCTGTCTTGAATGTATTCTTGTCCTCCATCCTGGTGAGCTTTTACACGTCCTTAAAGGCTTGGCTAAAAGTTTAGAAGCTTCCCTAACCCACCTGGGTAAACTGGTTGCTTCTATATCTCTTCCTATCCCAATGGGCACTAATAACATGTTTATATTTCTCTCATCAGATCAGAGTGCCTTGAAGGTAAGACTGGGATATCTCCAGGCCCCATGGCAGTGCCTGGTAGATGGTAGACCAACTTGGTAAATTTTGAATGAATGACTGATAGTCAGATTGGAGAGTTAAAATGTGAGTATCAGGAAGGTCAACTAGTATCACAAGACAGTAAATAATAACAGCAGATGCCAGGTGGATGTTTTGAATACTGGGCCTATAGATCAAATGAGATTTAAGTATGGCTAGCAAAGATGGAACTATGGAACTTAAAGATGGAGAATTTTAAAAATGACGATAGTAATAAGAAGTATCCATCTTTTAACTGAATTATATAATTTTATAAAAGACAAATTTCCCTCCCTCCCCCCGCCCCCCACCTTCTTCTTCTTCTTTTTTTTTTTAACAGGGTCTCACCCTGTCACCCAGGCTGGAGTGCAATGGCACTATCATAGCTCACTGCAGTTTTGAATGCCTGGCCTCGATTGATCCTCTTGGCTCAGCCTCTTGAGTAGCTGGGTCTACAGTGTGTGCCACCATGCCCAGCTAATTTTTGTGGGTTTTTTGTTTGTTTTGTTTTTTGTAGAGATGGGTCTCACTGGGACTACAGGTGTGTGCCACTGCACCTGGCCCAAATTTCTAATTGTTCTGAGGCTTTTTTTTTTTTTTGGACAGAGTCTCACTCTGTCACCCAGGCTGGAGTTCAGTGGCACGATTTCGGCTCAGTGCAAACTCTGCCTCCCAGGTTCAAGCAATTCTCCTGCCTCAGCCTCCCGAGTAGCTGGGATTACAGGTGCCCACCACCACGCCTGGCTAATTTTTGTATTTTTAGTGAAGACAGGGTTTCACTGTGTTGGCTAGGCTGGTCTTGAACTCCTGACCTCAAGTGATCTGCCCACCTCGGCCTCCCAAAGTGCTGAGATTACAAGTGTGAGCCACCACGCCCGGCCTGTTTTGAGGCTTTATAAGAAATTAATTAGTACTTGTATGCTGAGGGAAATTAATTTACCAGAAGAAATTTATGAAGTGGATTAATTTCCTGTGGATAACCAAGAGTAGACAGTATAGTAATTTGAATTTTTTTCTTCTATTTCTCCCCTTGAATGGAAATTCTGTAATTTATAGTGAAATGACTAAAGAAATCAAGAAAGGGAGAGAAGATTGTCAGCTACTGAATAAATGTTTGAGAATTGATTCTAGAGAGATAGTGTGTTTTGCTATTAGCCTAGTCTCTTGATTTATAGTGTTTTTTTCTCTTGTGTGAAAAATTCAATGATTAGAATCTTTAATAGGTCAAGTAGAACTTTTGTTTTTGCAGGTTATTCTTTTAAAAGTTGAATTTGTTGAGAGCCCAAACCTTGGACTATCCTTGGCCTTAGTTGAAAGGAATAAAACAGTTCATTGTGTGTTGCAAATAGACATGCTGGTCTGGATCTAAAAAAAATAAACATTGACATGATTCTTGTTTCTATTTAAGCTACTATTGTTGTGCCAATATTATAATAACAGACTTTCTGTATGACTCTCCCTGCCCCCATTTTCCCAAAGATTACTTCCCTTTTGCAAGTCTTCCAAATTATTAAATTTCCCAAATAACTGTAATTTAAGGAGCCTTTATCAGTAGCACTGAAGAGACAAATGCCAATTTCCAAGTTCTCTGTTCACTAGTCCCTGATCTTTATATTACCCTTTGGTTATTGATGGGATTTGTCTGTTGGAGTTTTATATCAGGCCTGCTGTTTGTAGGCCTGATACAAAACTAGAAATTCTTGAAAAAATAGTTAAATTTTTTTCTGACACACACACATACTAGTGGTAGTGATGAAGCCACCAGGGACTAGTTCCTGAGACCTTAATGTTGTGTATCCACAATAGCATATGATAAACAAATAAATTGTTTTGGGAGTGGTTATATGATTGAGTTGAGATTTTTTTTTTTATTCCATGTTTGACTTAGGGGGAGAAAGTAGACATTCCCAAAGTATATCCTGCATTAGAGGTAGAAAACAACCCAGAAGTATGCAGGGTGAGTAGAAGGATATGTAAACATTTCCTTCCAATAATCAAAAAAATAGATAATATACATGAGATTAAGAGACTATTACAAAATCTTTGAACCTGGAATGAGTAGAAGTAGTAAGAGGTACAGGTGGGGGAGGTAGGATTGGTAGATTAAGACATTGGGATTCCAGTAAATATGTATGAAATTGCTGTTCCTGGAGATTTGGGAATGAATGAGCTATGTAGCTGTGTACATCTAGGAAGGGACAGACACTTTTCTTTTGCTGTTATTTTTGAGAGACCATCTGGTGGAAGGTACAACTAAGGGACCCCCTTTAGGGTATTTTCTTGAAGGCTTGAGTTGAAAGACACTGGATTGGAAATGATGGGCTGGGCACTGTGTGTATGTGTCAAGACTCTGTTTTGGAAATGGTCGTGGGACTGAAGGGTTTGTTTGGGAGGGGTAGAGGAAGCTTTTAAAGGAAAGATACAGGGAGGGGGCTATGTTGGGCACCAGTGGAGTGAGAGTGTATGGAAATGAATTGGGCAGAAAGAAGGCAACTGACAATTGTTGAGGATTTATTGTATATCAATAAGCTGCCCTAAGGCTTCACGTATGTTATTTAATCCTAACAGGAGGGCTGAAATGCATACATTTCCCCCATTTTATACATGAAGAATCTGAGGCACAAAATGGTTATATTACTTACCTATGATTACACAGCCCTTAAATAGTAGCTCTGGGATTGGAACCAAGATCTGTCTGAATCCAGAGCCAGTTCTTTCTTCTGATGTGGAGTTGAGAGGAGTTGAAGCAGTGAGGGTGGACTTCCACATGGTGGACTGCCCGTGTTTTCTTAGTCCTCCTCCCTGGACAAAATGTGGCATTGTATGTGAGCGTATGTTCTCTGGAGTCAGCTGGGCTGGGTTGATAAAAATCCTGGGTCTGCCACTTTTACCTGTGTTGCCTTGGGCATATTACCTAACCTCTGTGAGCTTTAGTATCTTCATCTGTGATGTGGAGTAACAATACCAAGTTCTCAGAGTTGTTTGGAAGTTTAAATGAAATAATATCTAAAGCTTTAAAACATATTACTTTCTTTCTCTTCTTACTTTGAGACTCATCTTGTTACTTCTGGATTGTAACATTTAGTGTTATATAGATCCCTTTAGAGTAGGATTGGTCTGGATTCAGGACTAGATCCACAGATAAAAGAAAAAAGAAAAAATATAGTAAAATTGGTCATATTTTCTAAGAAGGTTATATTTTGTTTCTTTGACTTGAAGGACCCATATTAACTAAAAACAAATTGCCAAGACAATTATTCATCTCTCCCTCCCACCTAATCAAGAATTATGTGAAAGTTCTAAGTGCCTCTGTCCCTCCTCTTTCTCTCTGTCTGGATTCCTTGGGACTGACATCATAGACATGGAGGAGTCTCTGACTTTTTAAAGTTTTTGACAGTCTTGAATGTTGTGGTTTTCCAGTGAGTTATGGGAAGAGTTGGAGAGGACTCAAATGCAGCTCTAATGCTTCAGTGGAATCAGGAGACGGTTAGAGAGTGAAACTCTGGAAGCTTTGGGGGATGTTGTAAATGAGAGAATGTACGGTCAGTAGTTTCTCTGGCATTTTAATAGAGGGTTATTATCCATGGTCTTTAATTTTGGGTCATTTTTCTCTGTTATTAAGTAAGTTGGACACTTGGAATATGCAGACTGATTTTAATATTACTCTGAGCTAAACAATGTTTAGGAAGAGAAATTTGTTGCAAATAAAGTCGTATAACAATCTTAAACATATGTCTTTGAGATGAGTTACTGTTTTAGACTTGTCTGTGTACAACACTGATAGACTATCAACAGTACTGTGTGTGTGTGTGTGTGTGTGTGTGTGTGTGTGTGATGGGGTACCATACAAATATACTTCAGTTCATCTGAACAAAAATTGCCTGCTGTGCTTGGATGCTGGGGAATATTGGATGAACAAGCCAAGATTCCTGCCCTCAAATTGTTCCTGGTTTAGTGGGGAGACAAACATGTAAATAAACACAACTACCATGCAGGGTGATAAACATTATGGTAGAAGTAGCATACAGGGTGCAGTGGGGGCACCAAGAAAGAAGTGGGCAATTTAGGAAGTCAGAGAACTTTTGCAAATGAGGTAGTACTTAAGTTAGTTTTAAAGAAGAGGTGAGAATTCACCTGCTACACCTAGGAGTTACTCCAGTTAGAGGGAACAATATGTGCAAAGGGACTGAGATTTGAAGCACATAGTACACTTCGGGAACTCCCAGTACAAGGAAGGGAATAATGGGAGGTAGAAAAGGCTGGAGAATTAGGTAGAGCCAGATCATGAAGGGCCTTGTTTGTCCTGTATAGATTTTTTTTTTTTTCATACAGGGTCTCACTGTGTCCCTCAGGCTGAGTGCAGTGGTGCCATCATGGCTGACTGCAGCATCAACCTTCTGTGCTCAAGTGATCCTCCCACCTCAGCCTCCTGAGTAGCTGGGACTACAGGAGTGCACCTCCACACCCGACTAATTAAATTAATTAATTAATTTTTTTGTAGAGATGGGTTCTTGCTACATTGCTCAGGCTGGTCTTAAACTCCAGGACTCAAGTGATCCTTCCTCCGTGGTCTCCCAAAGTGCTAAGATTATAGGTGCAAGCCACCAGGCGTGAGCCAGCATGCCCGACCCTGTATAGGAATTTGTTTTTTTGTTTGTTTATTTTGAGATGGGGTCTCGCTCTGTCGCCCAAGCTGGAGTGCAGTCGCATGATCCTGGCTCACTCAACCTCCACCTCCCAGGTTCAAGTGATTCTCCTGCCTCAGCCTCCCGAGTAGCTGGGATAAAAGGCACACACCACCACGCCTGGCTAATTTTTCTATTTTCAGCAGAGATGGGGTTTCACCATGTTGGCTAGGCTGGTCTTGAACTTTTGACCTTAAGTGATCTGCCCGCCTCGGCCTCCCAAAGTGCTGGGATTACAGGTATGAGCCACTGTGCCTGGCCTCTGTATAGGAATTTGAGTCTTAGGCTTTAGCCATTGAAAATCCATTGAAGAATTTAGAACAGTGGGATGTAATACTATAATACTGGCATTTTAAATTGCTCATAGTGGTTGCCTGTGGAGGCCAATCAATTGACGGAGAGAGGTAGAGGGAGGAGTTAGGGAGCTATTTCCTGGGGTGCAGGTTATGAAAACCTGAGATAGAATAAAAGAGCTGTAGCCTGTGGAAGGTTTTGCAGGGATTTGAGAGATATTTAAGGTAAAATTAGTAAAACTTAGTGAAAGATTATTTGTGTGGATAAGGCAAGAGAGAAGTCCAGGGCGGCTCCCTGGCTTGTGACTTGGATGATTGGGGACTATTTGCTACAATAGGCAGTACTGGAAGAGGAATAGTTTGAAAGGATGGGAGACAGAGATGAGAGAATAAGCTCATGTTTTTATATACTGAATTTTAAGTGCCTGTATGATTCCCAGGTGAGGTGGAAAGAATTTGGGGGTGCAGATACATTTGGAGTCATGAACATTTGGGTGCTTAGGGCTGTGAATGAAGTTTCAATGAGAAGATGGAAGGCCTAAGGCTAGAATGGTGGGTGCACTAAGTTTGGTTCAGTCACAGAAATGGGAGTCCACAAAGACGACCAAGACACAGGGCCAGAGAAGCAGGAAGAGTGGTCAGTAAGTGTCAAATGCTACAAAGAGAGCAGAAGTAAGGATGATTGTGTTCATCTTATATATAAGCCAGTGCCATTCTCTTTCTGCAGAAGCCTATTTTTGTAGGTTGAGGACAAGGAGATTTGCAGGGAAGAGGAGAGTAACCGCCAACAAATAGGAGCAGGGGAGGAAACCTAAAGGAACCCCTCTTGCTTTGCTTTGTAATTTTTTTTTCTGTGAAGTAGGAGGCAAGGTCATTTGACAGGAGTAAGGGGAGGTGATGTGGCTTGGGTGGGAGGCTCAAGGAGCATGGTGAAGGTATGGGATAGTAGCTCAGAAGATTGATTGAGGTACTAAAGCAAAGATAGCAGTGTTTCAATAAAAGCAAGGTGGCTGAATAACATGTTAGTAGTCATATTGCTCTGCAAGGTTAGCAGGGAAGTTAGAATGTGGGATCCATCCAAGTTGGACAGATGAAATGGATAAGGAAACTAAATTTTCACAGGAAAGTAAATTAGGTGATCAATTATTGGTTTTACTTTGTTAGGTAAGAAGAGATAAAGTGGAATCTATCCATTTCCCTCAACCTTCACTGCTTTTATCCTGGTTTAGCGCTATTTTGCAAGAATTTTCTAATCAATTCTCTCCCTAAATCCACTGTGCTTCTTCCAAACTCTTCACATTGTAACCAGGGTGATCTTTTAACAATTCACATCTGATTATGTTCTACCTCTGCGTGCAACCTTTCAGTGGCTTCCCATTATATTTAAGATAAGATCTCAAATCTTTAACAGGGTCCACTAGGCCCTCTCTTCATCCTCCTGTAGCAACATTCTCATCTTTATGTTCCTTCCTGCCACGGAAGTTTAGCGCATGTTTCCTCTGCTTGGAGCGTTCTTCCTTTCCCAATTTGTCTCTCCAATTGCTGCTTAATCTTAATTAATCTTAATTCATAGATGAAACATAATTTCCTTGGGGAAGCTTTTCCTGACTCCCTATAGGAGATAACACTCCCTTCTCTAACATTGCTTTATTATAATTGTTTGTGAAAATATTTGAAAAGATTATGAAAGGCAGAAATGTTAGATGAATTGTGCAGGTGGTTGTTGAAATTGCTCAGGAAGATGGTAGGATTTTGTGGTTTTTTCCTCCATGCTGGAAGCTTTTGAGGATAGGGATTGTGTCTAGTTCACTGTTGTGTTTTTACTCATGAGCATAGTGCCTCACACAAAGGCACTCCAAATACTTCTGTTGAATTAATGAATAAGGTGGTTAAGAGACTGGATGTCTTAGTGAGCAGGCAGGTTTAAAAGTACAGAGGAGGCCGGGCGCAGTGGCTCACGCCTGTAATCCCAGCACTTTGGGAGGCCAAGGCGGGTGGATCACGAGGTCAGGAGATCGAGACCATCCTGGCTAACACGGTGAAACCCCCTCTCTACTAAAAATACAAAAAAATTAGCTGGGTGTGGTGGCAGGCGCCTGTAGTCCCAGCTTCCCAGCTACTCGGGAGGCTGAGGCAGGAGAATGGCGTGAACCCGGGGGGCGGAGCTTGCAGTGAGCCGAGATCAGGCCACTGCACTCCAGCCTGGGAGACAGAGCGAGACTCCGTCTTAAAAAAAAAAAAAAAAAAAAAAAGTAAGAGAGGAGAAGCTGGAAGGAGATGAGGTTGTGGCCAGAGTAAAATGTTTGAGTTTAAGATTTAGAGGTGGAATGGTTTCAGGACATGGCAGGGTCCAGGTTTGAGTTGTTGTTGTGGAGGTGGTCTTAGTATTAGAAGAGATAATGAAATTCTAAGGCAGAAATGTTAGGCGAGTTGTGCAGATGGATACTGAAATTGCTCAGGAAGATGGTAGGATTTAAAGTTATTTAAGTGCCTTTGGTCCTAGCTACTCAGGAGGCTGAGGTGGGAGGACTGCCTGAGCCTGGGGGGTGGAGGTTGCAGTGAGCCAAGATCAAACTCCTGCACTCCAGCCTGGGTGACAGAGCTAGACCTTGTCTCTAAATAAATAAATAAAGTTATATAAGGCAGGTGTTTAAGTCTTTGATAAATACGAGAGATAGGCACAACCTTTTCCTATGGTGAACAAATTAAATGGGCAAGAATCAGGGGAGTTCCAGGAATCAGTAATGCATCCCCTAGTATGGTACAGTGAAAGAGCATGGGTTCAGACTATCTAGGTTCAGACTTTTGGCCACCTACCTGACTTTTGAAGTCTTTTTTTTTCTCTGTTTATAAATTGGGAATAATGAGACCTGCTGCAAGAGTTTTGTCATTAATGAGTAAGAATGTTTTTATTTTTTATATTTATTTATTTATTTATTTATTTAGAGATGGAGTCTCGCTCTGTCGCCCAGGCTGGAGTGCAGTGGCGCGATCTCGGCTCACTGCAAGCTCCGCCTCCCGGGTTCACGTCATTCTCCTGCCTCAGCCTCCCGGGTAGCTGGGACTACAGGCGTCCGCCACCACGCCCGGCTAATTTTTTGTATTTGTAGTAGAGACAGGGTTTCACCGTGTTAGCCAGGATGGTCTCGATCTCCTGACCTTGCGATCCACCTGCCTCGGCCTCCCAAAGTGCTGGGATTACAGTCGTGAGCCACTGTGCCTGGCCGAGTAAGAGTGTTTTTAGAAGTGCTTAACTAATATTAACTTGTTAGTTTTTATTCTTGACTGCGTCATTACTTCAAGATGGTCTGGAAGTGGAAGTAGGGGTGAGAGGCAAAGATAGCAGAAGCGAATTTTGAACAACATAATTTATTCAGCCTGTTAAGTTTATACAATGAGGTCAGCACAAATATTTATGAATGAATATAGGTACAAGCAAGTACTGATATAAGACAGGATTTTGTAAAATAAGGCCACTGTTTGGCTCATAACAACATCATGATGCTGATCTACAACAAATGTTTATGTAAAGAAATGCTTTGTCTAACAATTTTGCATGAAAATTCCATCATCCTTGGGAAGTAGATTTTATTGTCCTGGAGAACAGAATCAAAACCGGTATGTGAAAGTTATAGTTGGGGTGTGAGGCTGGTGATAGCTTTTGTTTTAGTTTAGAAAAGCATTTTCTAACAGTTAAAGCTGTCCAGTAATAAAGTAGACATTATAGCAAAGTAATGAGGTCCCTGTCAGACCTTGTATCCAAGTGGAGACTATGTGATTTGTCAGAGATGTAATAGAAGGATTCTTGCATGGGGGCAGGTATTTGGATTACGTAATTGCTAAAGTCCCTTTCAGTTGGAAGATGATGCCAGGTGAGAGCTGTCTTTACACCATTCAGTTAACAAATAGTTGAAAACCTCCTCTGTTTTATTTGAAAGGTTGAAAGCCACTGCTTTTCTTCTTCTCCCCCTCCCCCTCCTCCTCCTCTTCCTCCTCCTCTTCCTCCTCCTCCTCCTCCCTGAGACAGAGCCAAAAACTGTGTGTTTGGTTTGCTTTTTTTTTTTTTTTTTTTTTTTTTTGAAACAGGGTCTCACTCTGTTGCCCAGCCTGAAGAGTAGGGGCACAGTTGTCGCACACTATATAGCCTTGACCTCCCAGGCTCAAGCAATCCTCCCACCTCAGCCACTCACGTGGCTGGGACTACAGGCACACACGACCATGCTTAATTAGTTTAAAAAAGGTTTTTAGAGACAGGGTCCCACTGTGTTGTCCAGGCTGGTCTCAAACTCCTGGGCTCAAGTGATCCTCCTGCCTCAGCCTCTCAAAGTGCTGGGATTACAGGCATGAGCCACTGTGCCCAGCCCAAACTTTTTGTTTTTTTCGAGACAGAGTCTTGCTCTGTCGCCCAGGCTGGAGTGCAGTGGTGCCATCTCAGCTCACTGCAACCTCCACCTTCCTGGTTCAAGTGATCCTTCTGCCTCAGCCTCCCTAGTAGCTGGGACTAGCCACCACACCCAGCAAATTTTTGTATTTTTAGTAGAGACAGGGTTTCACCATGTTGGCCTGGCTGGTTTCAAACTCCTGACCTCAGGTGATCCACCCTCCTCGGCCTCCCAAAGTGCTGGAATTACAGGCGTGAGCCACTGTGCCCGGCCCAAACACTGTGTTTTAATCATTGGTTTGATATCTCCATTTGGAATTTGAAAAGCTTAAGCAAGGTATTAGTGGTGATGTAACAAAAGCTGTTGTTCTCACCTGTTGGGTGGGGTTAGGTCAGGGTCCACAGCATGCACCTGGAGACATCAAATGTAAGAATGTGCTGTTAGGAAGTTTGGCTTAGTGCTTCAAATTTTTGCTAAAGAGCAAGGCATTCTAGATAATGTTGAACCTCTAAATTACTTTGTTAAAATGTTTTTTGAGAAGAATAGCCTGTGTGCTGTGTTGACATGTGAGATCTATGATGCCATAACACTAGTTTTCATTCACTTCTCTCACCCAGAAGACTGTCTGGCTGTGAAATTGCCTGTATGCCTATGGCTTAGTCAACTCTTTTCCTTTTTGCTGAGCACCTGTTTGTGATTACTATTTTGTGTACTTATTGTATATTTCTCACATTCTTTCAGAAAGTTATTAAAATGGCTTTACAGTTGCGTTGCTTTTTTTTAAAGAGAGAAGATTGAAATTTATTTTGCAGCTATACACTTGGTTTTGGATTATTCATGTGTATAAGTTATTTGAGCTGCTACCACTTCCTCTGACCTAAGGCTGTGGCTAAAATGGGTTTGGAGAAGAAATTCTTGCCTGTACTGGGGGGTAGGGGGAGGATTCATTCATCTATTAATTCTGAAGGAATTTAATTCCTAATTCCTGAAGGTAAGGGACTTGACATTTTGAATTTGAATTTGACATTTGAATTTGACATTTTGAATTTGACATTTTGAATTTGAGGTATCTTAGACCAAAAGTTCTTTATGTATTAGTAATTCTTTCTGATAATTATGATGTTGAAACTCAGGTAAATTTAAAATTGACAATATCTAGAATGATAGTCAAAGATCATAGATCATGAGGCTATAGTGAACTGAAGAAGTTTATTTTTTAAACCTTGAAAGTATCTTATGAGTCATCTAATACAAGTCTAGATTATAGAAGAGACAACTGAAACCCTGTAAGTAATTTGACCAAAGTCACCTAGTTAATACATATAGGTGTATGTAGGTAAACTCATGTAGTGTGAGGGAGGTAAGAGTTGTGACAGCATGGTTGATGTCCCTTTGGAAAGGAGAGTTTTTAAAACTTAGAAATAGAATGGTGATAAGAAGTGCCGTAGAATTTCTGATCTGCTAAGCTTCAAATTGGTTGGTTTGTTGGTAGCTGATGTGGAAATTGGCTTAGTCATTGAATCATTTATTCATCAGGCATTTGACTACCTACCATATTATAGATGCTACACTAGATGTTGGAGTTACAAAAATGAAGAAATCGTGTCCCTGCGCTCATGGATCTCTTGTACTATTAGAACAGGACAAGAGAGAAAAATTTCTATTTTGCCATCTTTCTCTGTCTCAAAAAAAAAAAAATCCAGTGTTAGCAAGTTAGTGACCTGCTGGTTTTATAACCCACAAATCTTTTTTGTTTATTTGCCTTGCCACTTTTTGCCTTCAACAATTATGCTTTGACCTTTCCCAAAAGGCAGGGGATTGGTGGGTATGGTAGGGCAAGTGTACCTGGCAACTTAATGAATGAGTCTTCTATAGAAAGCTGTAAACTTGGCAGAATTTGATCAGAGATTGTTCTTTACTCTGTTATTGCTTCCCTCTGACTTTTAACCTCAGAGGAATGTTGGATTGGTGCCAGGCTGTCAGGTTAGGGACATAGTTTCTGCCAAAGTCTGAAAGAAGAGATCTTTTTCAGTTGAACTTATTTGACAGTCATCTGTCCTGTGTGGAGAAAGACGTGTTTGGAGTAGATGTGTTTCCTGGGTTCAAGAGGTTAATGGACAGAGATTGAATCTTGTTATGAACCTTTTGGGTCCCCACTCTGCTTTGTGGAATAACTTATTCTTTAATTTAATTTAAGTTAGTTTTTTGAGACAGTCGCTCTTTTGACCAGGCTGGAGTGAAGTGGTGTGATCTCGGCTCACTGCAACCTCTGCCCCACGTAGGTTCAAGGGATTCTCCTGCCTCAGCCTCCCGAGTAGCTAGGATTACAGGTGCCCGCCATCATGCCTGGCTAATTTTTGTATTTTTAGTAGAAACAGGGTTTCGCCATGTTGGCCAGGCTGGTCTCAAACTCCTGACCTCAGGTGATACACCTGCCTCGGCCTCCCAAAGTGCTGAGATTAAAGGCGTGAGCCACCGCACCTGGCCTAATACTGTATTTTGAGTAATTTTAGCTATCAGTTTACTCCTCTGCTAGCATCAAAACACTAGTCAACTCTGAAATTATCCAGTGTATAGTAATTGTTCATTCACTCAACAAATATTTATTGAGGGCCAGTGTGCCTAGCACTGTGCCAAGTGATACGTGCAGGGGATACATTAGTGAAGGAGACATACAAGTTTCCTGCTTTCAAGAAACATATATTAGAGGAGATGGCTAGACAGCAACTAATTAAAATAATTTGAGAGTATTCAAGTGCCAGTAAGGAAATACACAAAGGTGCCATGTTAGAGACTATTGCAGGTGGGGAGTTCTTTAGGGTGGTAGCCTGTTGCTTCCTTCTTTAGTTTGGGTAAGCAAACTCATGGTAGAAAAGCAGTACTCAGGAAAAGTACAGGAAAAGCATTTTTCAGAGTGGTATTACAGGTTCCTGGTTAATGTAGATGTTGAGATGTTAATGAAGAGTTAGGAAATAAAATGTTACTCTTCATAATTTTAAAGTGCTGTATTTTAAAATTCAACTGAAATGAATGAGCTAGGATAGTTTCCCCATTTGGTTAGGAAGCTGCTGACATGGGACTGTGATTATCCTGTTCCAGTGTAATTTGAGCCTTATGTATTTATTTATTCCTCAGGTGGAGGCCTGAATTTTGATCTATGTTCTACCTACATCCAGCTGGCTGAAAGTACTTGAGGATCACATGACCCTGGACATGGATGCTGTTCTGTCAGATTTTGTCCGTTCCACAGGAGCAGAGCCAGGGCTAGCGCGAGATCTCCTAGAAGGTGAGGAGTTGTAGGGGAGAATGAGAAAAGAGAAAGTAAAATGTGGTATTTATCATTAGGATGATTTGGACCATTTAAGGTGATCAGGAAGATACTTTGTGTAGGTTAGGCCCTATAGTTAATTCTAATGATATACTTTGTGTATAACCCGTCATAATTAGAAATTTTAAAATCCCTTTTTCACCTTGAACTTACTGGGGTAGTTTTCTCCATTGTCAGTTTATGCTCAGGCAATGCAAGTGAAATTTTATATTAGTCCATTACAAACATAATTTTATTTTATTTTATTTTATTTATTTATTTTTGAGACAGAGTCTCGCTCTGTTGCCCAGGCTGGAGAGCAGTGGCATGATCTTGGCTCACTGCAGTCTCTGCCTCCCAGGTCCAGTCAATTCTCCTGCCTCAGACTCCTGAGTAGCTGGGATTACAGGTGCCTGCCACCACACCTGGCTAATTTTTGTATTTTTTAGTAGAGATTAAGTTTCACCTGTTGGCCAGGCTGGTCTTGAACTCCTTACCTCAGGTAATCTGCCTGCCTCGGCCTCCCAAAGTGCTGGGATTACAGGCATGAGCCACTGTGCCCGGCCTAAAAGCATAATTTTAGATCTGTAAGACTTCCTCTTTATATAGAAGTGACTTTAGGGTTTTCATGATGGGATCATCCATGGTTTTGTTCTTTCCTTACATAACATACATTATGGGTAATTCTATGTTGAGTGAATCAATTTAATGTTTTCATTTTGCTGCTTTTGTTTACTTATATCTTTATACACATAAGTTTGAATGTTCTAGTATTTTTTTTTTTTTTTTTTTGTAGACGGAGTTTTGCTGTTGTTGCCCAGGCTAGAGTGCAATGGTGCGATCTCGGGTCACTGCAACCTCCTCCTCCCGGGTTCATGCAATTCTCCTGCCTCAGCCTCCGGAGTAGCTGGGATTACAGGCATGCACCACCACACTCAGCTAATTTTGTATTTTTAGTAGAGATGGGGTTTCTCCATTTTGGTCAGGCTGGTCTCGAACTCCCGACCTCAGGTGATCCGCCTGCCTCGGCCTCTCCCAAAGTGCTGGGATTTCAGGCATGAGCCACCATGCCTGGCTGAATGTTCTAGATTTTAAGGTCCTGAAGGGTTAGAATCATGTCCCTAGGATTCTGTTTAGAGTCACAAATAATAGATGAAAATATGTAATGACACAAACAGGCAGGCCTATGGGGAAGGGGCAAGTTCTTAGCATACATAGGTAATATTTTAAATTGCCAGCCCTTAGCAAGGTGTGACAATTAGACATTTGCTTGGCTACCCGTGAGGAGAGCATGAGTTTGGAAACAGAAGATCAGGGTTTAAATTCCAGTTTAGTAATTTAGTACAACTTTGTCCTTAATTTGCATTTCTTTTTTTTTCTTTTTGAGACAGAGTCTCACTCTGTCGCCCAGGCTGGAGTGCAGTGGCGCGATGTTGGCTCACCACAACCTCCGCCTCCCAGATTCAAGCGTTTCTCCTGCCTCAGCCTCCCCAGTAGCTGGGACTACAGACGCGCGCCACCATGCCCGGCTAATTTGTGTATTTTTAGTAGAGATGGGGTTTCACAATGCTGGCCAGGCTGGTTTCAAACTCCTGACTCGTGATCTACCCACCTCAGCCTCCCAAAGTGCTGGCAGGCATGAGCCACCCTGCCCAGCCTAATTTGCATTTTTAGTTTCTTCTCCTACTACTTTTCCCTATACTTCCTATGCAGCCAGGCCTGACTTGTCACCTCTTGGTGATCATGTTAGGTTACTTCCTCAGTCTGGAGCATTTCTTTCCTCTATTCTCCTCATCCTTCAAGATTCAGCTCAAATGTTTCCTCTTTCATAAAATCCTTAACCTTTCTGCATTCCTCTTATAACATGTGTTGAACACTTATGAGTGTTCAATATGTGCAACGTACTTGAGATATGTTATTTTATTCTCACAACCACCATACAATAAAGTTTTATTATCCTGGAGTTAATAATTTTAAAACCTGAGGCTCAGTGAGGTTTAAGTAGGATTTGAATCTAGGCAATCTGGTTTCAGAGTATGGCTGTAAGCAATTATGTTACAAATTATTGCTAGCATGCTCACATGTGTGCACACACACATACACTCATGCTGTGAAAGAAACATTGAGGGTGCTGTGAGAGTGAAGAAAGAACCCTAACTTAGATCTAGAGTGCAGGAAGGCCTTTTCCGAGGAGTGATTTTTAAGCTGAGCCCTGAAGGACAAGTAGGAGCAGCAAGACAAAGGGATGTAGAAGAGAGTGTTTATGCAGAATAAACAGTTTATGCAAGGGCCCTAAGGTGCAAGAGAGTTTGGCACATTGGAGAAACTATTAATAATGAGGTAGTAAGAATGGTGCAAAAGTGGTAGGAAGCTGGTGAGATAGGCAGGAAGCAGAAAATAGGGGCTCTAGCCAGGTGTGGTGGCATTCACTGTAATCCCAGCTACCTGGGAGGCTGAGGTGGGACGGTCGCTTAATTAAGCCCAGGAGTTTGAGACCAGCCTGGGCAACATAGCAAGACCTCATCTCTTAAAAAAAAAAGAAAGAAAAAGAAAGAGGCTGGGTGCAGTGGCTTATGCCTGTAATCCTAACACTTTGAGAGGCTGAGGCAGGCGGATCACCTGAGTTCAGGAGTTTGAGATCAGCCTGGCCAACATGGTGAAACCCCGTTTCTACTAAAAATACAAAAATTAGCTGGGTGTGGTGGCGGGTGCCTGTAGTTCCAGCTGCTTGGGAGGCTGAGGCAGGAGAATCTCTTAAACCCGGGAGGCAGAGACTGCGGTGAGTCGAGATTCTGCCACTGCACTCCAGCCAGGGTGACAGAGTGAGACTCTGTCTACAAAAAAAAAAAAAAAGTTAACTAAGAAAAAAAAAGAAGAAAAATAAAAGAAAAAAAGAGTGTAGGGCCTTTGTAGGCCATGACGAGGAGTTTAAATTTTATTCTAAGTTCACTAGGAAACTGGTGAAGGATTTTAATCAGGGGAGTGACATGATTGGATTTGAGTTTTTAACAATGTACTTGTAGAGAACACTCTGGCCAGAGAAGAAATGATTAAAACAGTTAGGAATATTGCCTTAGTTCAGGTGACAGATGATGATGTTGCAGACTATGGTGGTAGCAATAGATAGAAGGAGGTGGAATTAAGATAATTTAGAAGGAAAAATACAAAAAACTTAGGTGGGCGTGGTGGCACATGCCTGTAATCCCAGCTACTCAGGAGGTTGAAGCGTGAGAATCGCCTGAACCCAGGAGGGCAGAGGTTGCAGTGAGCCGAGATTGCACCACTGCACTTCAGCTTGGGTGACAGAACGAGACTCCGTTGAGTTCAAGACCAGCCTGGCCAAGATGGTGAAACCCTGTCTGTACTAAAAAAATAGAAAACTTGGCCGGGCGTGGTGACGCGTGCCTGTAATCCTAGCTACTCGGGAGGCTGAGGCAGAGAATTGCTTGAACCCAGGAGGTGGAGATTGCAGTGAGCTGAGATCATGCCACTGCACTCCAGCCTGGGCAACAGAAAGAGACTCCATCTCAAAAAAAAAAAAAAAAATTAGAAGGGGCATAAAAGGACCTCATCCTCATTTTCTCTCTGTTGCTTGTTTTTTCTTTTAAAAGTTAACTGAGGCCAGGTGCGGTGGCTCACACCTGTAACCCCAGCACTTTGGGAGGCCGAGGCAGGTGGATCACCTGAGGTCAGGAGTTCGAGACTAGCCTGGCCAACAGGGTGAAGCCCCATCTCCACTAAAAATACAAAAATTAGCCAGGAATGGTGGCACGCGCCTGTTATCCCAGTTACTCGAGAGGCTGAGGCAGGAGAATTGCTTGAACCCAGGAGGAGAACGTTCCAGTGAGCCGAGATCGTGCCACTGCACCCCAGCCTGGGCGACACAGCAAGACTCCATCTCAAAAACAACAATAACAACAACAACAACAGTTAACTGATTGTATTTCAATAGGACTATTTGATTTTTGTTTTGTTTTGTATGAGATGGGGTCTCACTCTGTCACCCAGGCAGGAGTGCAGTTGTGTGATCTCAGCTCACTGCAACCTTGGCCTCCTGAGCTCAAGTGAGCCTCCCATCTCAGCCTCCTGAGTAGCTAGGACCACGAGCACACACCACCACACCTGGCTAATGGGACTGTTCAATACTGATAATTGAAAATGAGAGAAAGAAATCAAAAGTAAACTATCGTATTATAAAGAACAAATTAGAAAGGAAAGAGATTAGGAGCAGAGAGACCAGATAGAGAATTCCTTCCTAAAAGACCAAAGACTAAGTAAAGATTATGAGGACCTCAAATGGGGCAGTGGCAATAAAAATGGATAATAAGAAATGGATTTGAGAGATGTTTTAGGGGTACAAATTGACTTGGTGGTGAGGGAAGAGGAAGAGTGCAATCTGAGGAAACTTGAGGAGCTAAAAATGACTGAAGTTTCAGGGCCTGGAGGGATTGTGATGCCATTACTGATTTAGGGAACATAGGAAGAGGAGAAGCAGCAAGTTTTGGGAAGGAAAATGATGGATACTCAATTTGGCCATGTGGATTGTTAGGAAGACCTGATTTTAAGGAGATTTGCAGACAGTTGGAAGTATAGATCCGATGCTCAAGGCAGATGTCACTCGTTCATGCATTGATTCAGGAGAAGAGTTATCCATTAATTCAACAAATATTTATTGAGTGACTACTGTGTGCCAGGTACTGTTCTAGATGCTCCAACAAAACAAAACAAACAAAAATACCTGCCTTCATGTTCTAGCAGGAGAGAGGGTCAATAAACAACAAATGTGATAACTAAGTAAATTATAAAGTATATTATAAACTGTTAAGTGCTATGGAGAAGAGTAAAGGGAATGATGAAGTGGGTTGTGATTTTTAAGTCAGGGTAGGCCTTACTAACAATGTGATGTTTAAGCAAATACCTAAAGCTAATGAGGAGTTGTCTGTGTGGATATATTGGGGAAAGAGCCTTCTAGGTAGAGGGAATAGTCAGTGGAAAGGCCCTAGAGTGAGAGTGGACTTAGCATGTTCTAGGAACAGCAAGGTCAGTGATGACTGGAACAGAGTGAGCAAAGGGAGTCAGAACAATTGGCTAATGTAATGATTTAGAAGTAAAATCATCAGTAATGATTTAGACGTAAAATTGTGAGTAAAACCAACCACTATTCTAAGTGCTTTCAACTCATCTAATCTTCATAACAGCTCTATGAGGTAGGCACTGCTACTATCATCTGCATTTTCACGGATAAGGAAATTGAAGCACAGAGAAGAGGCCAGAAAAGTAGGCCAGGACATACAAAGCCTTGAGTATCAAGCCAAAGAGCCTGAGTTTTATTCTGTAGGCAGTGGTAAGCCATTAAAAATCTCGATTATGGAACTAAAATGATCACAACTGTGCTTTAGAAAGATTAATCTCATGGGATTCTTTGGAATGGATCGGAGGTAGGACAGTAGGTGATAGGAATTGAATTAAGGTGGTAGTAGATGGAATACAACAGAAAGAAATGTGAGCAATTATACAATGCATATTTGTTGAATAATTTAGCTGGAGAAAGCATCAGAAAAATCCATTATGACAAATCTTATCATTTAAGGTCATTTCTTTAGTAGAATGGTGATTCTTAAATTTGGGGGAAACACTGTTTCCTTTGAAAAGCTGATGACAGCTATGAACTCTTTCACTAGAAAATGCACAAGCCCATGATCTTATATGCAGGTTTAGTGGTTTAGGACACACTAGAGTACATGTAGGCTAAGAACCTCTTTGGATCTCAGAATTAGGAGACCTGGGCCTGAGTCCTGCTGGGTCTGGTGTGAACTAGCTGTGACTTTGGGCAAATAATTTACTTCTCTAGACTTTATCTGTAAAAGGAAGTTTTAATTTTCGGTTACTAGATCTTTAAGGGCTCTTTTAGTTCAGAGGGACAAAGTTTCTATTTTCATGGCACTTACTTAGGAAATAGACAACAAATAAGTAAGTAAAGACATTTGATAAGTTAGATTGAAGTGTTATAAAGAAAATTAAAGCAGGGTAAGGAAAAGAAGAATGATTATGTGCATGCGTATTTGCATACTGGTTTTGATAGGATAGTTAGTGTGATCTTTGTGTCTCTATACTATGGTTGCACAGTTTGCTTTTTGCTTTGTCTCCTGACAGGAAAGAATTGGGATGTGAATGCCGCCCTCAGTGATTTTGAACAGCTACGTCAAGTCCATGCTGGAAACCTACCCCCATCCTTTAGTGAGGGGAGTGGTGGCTCCAGGACCCCTGAAAAAGGGTTTTCTGACAGAGAGCCTACTCGCCCTCCCCGACCCATCCTCCAGCGGCAGGATGACATCGTTCAAGGTACTGGGGTGACTGGAATGTTTCCGTATATGGAGTAGGAAGGGAGGGGATTGTTAAATGGAGTCATAAAGTCTAGTGATCCATTGGAGGTGATTCCATTTCTTCCCCTTCTCCCAGCCAAACCCAGACTGAGGTGGCCTCAGTCTGCCCAGGTGCTGCAGTCCCTCACTGCGTCTCTGCATCTTTAGTGTTATCCTGTATAAAAGCCTTCCTCAGATACTGTGAAAGAAATAGAGGAAGGAGGATAACAATCTCCTTGTTGATATAAAGTTCACATAAAGGTAGAATTGAAAGAGTCATTACCTCTTTGGGGGGTAATTTGTTAATATTTGCCAATATCTATCAAAATTAAAATGCATATGTACTCTGACTTAGCAATTTCATATCTAGCAATTTATCATATATGTGTATGTGCACATAAGTATTCTCTAAATAAATACATAAGGCCAGGTGCAGTGGCTCACACCTGTAATCCCAGCACTTTGGGAGGTCGAGGTGGGTGGATCACCTGAGGTCAGGAGTTCGAGACCAGTCTGGCCAACATGGTAAAACCCCATCTCTATTAAAAATACAAACATTAGCTGGGCGTGGTGGTACATGCCTATAATCCCAGCTACTTGGGAGGCTGAGGCAGGAGAATTGCTTGAACTTGGGAGGTGGAGGTTGCAGTGAACTGAGATTACACCACTGCACTCCAGCCTGGGTGACACAGTGAGACTCTGTCTACAAAAAAAAAAATAAATAAATGAATAAAAATTAAAAAAAGAAATACATAAATGCAGCATATAAGGATATTCACAGCAGCATTATTTTACAATAATTAAATCTTGAAACTTTTTTTTTTTCTTGAGGCAATCCATCTGACTTGGCCCCCCAAAGTGCTGGGATTACAGGTGTGAGCCACTGCACCTGGCCCTGAAAACATTTAATGTCCATTAGTAAAGGAATGGTTAAGTAAATTGTAATCATCCATGTTGTGGAATACTCTGCAATCATTAGAAAGAATTAGGCAGAACTTGGTGTACTGTTTTGGAAAAATTTCTAAAATCTATTCAGAAGGGGGCTGGGCATGATGGCTCACACCTGTAATCCCAGCACTTTTGGAGACCAAGGCTGGTGGATCACCTGAGGTCAGGAGTTCGAGACCAGCCTGGCCTACATGGTGAAACCCTGTCTCTGCTAAAATTACAAAAATTAGCTGGGCATGGTGGTGCACACCTGTAATCCCAGCTACTTGGGAGGCTGAGGCAGGAGACTTGCTTAAGCCCAGGAGGCAGAGGTTGTAGTAAACCTCTTAGATTGCACCACTGCTCTCCAGCCTGGGTGACGGAGTGAGACTCCATATAAAAAAATATATAATTTTTTTCAAAAAGGTAAGACACAATGCAATGTATGTAGTATACTCTCATTTGCGTTTTAAAAGATGATTTTAAAAGCTGTACATGCATTTTTAGTGGAGATGGGGTTTCACCGTATTAGCCAGGATGGTGTCGATCTCCTGACCTTGTGATCCACCTGCCTCGGCCTCCCAAAGTGTTGGGATTACAGGCGTGAGCCATCGTGCCCGGCCAAAACCTGTATATGCTTCTGTATGCATAAAAATTTCTAGAAGGATACAAAAGTTTGCCTCTGGGGAAGGGATCAGGAATTTTGAATGATAAGAAGACTTCCTTGTGAAATCATTTTATACCTTTTGATGGTATATTGATTTTTTACCATAGGCACATGGTACTGTTTTTGAGGCAGGGTCTTGCTCTGTCCTCCAAGGCTGGAGTGAGGCTGGTGGAACACAGCTCACTACAGCCTAAACCTCCTAGGCTCAAGGGATCCTACTGCCTCAGCCTCCCAAGTAGCTGGGAGCATGGGCACGCACCACCTCACCTAGCTAAATTTTTGATTCTTTGTAGAAATTAGGTCTCACTCTGTTGCCCAGGTGGTCTCGAATTCCTGGGCTCAAGTGATCCTTCTACCTTGGCTTCCCAAAGTTTTGGGATTACAGGTGTGAGCCACCATGCTCAGCCTACGAATACCTAAAAAATATTTTTAAGGTGGGTGTGGTGGCTCACGCCTGTAATCCCAGCACTTTGGGAGGCCAAGGCTGGCAGATCACCTGAGGCCAGGAGTTTGAGGAGAACAGCCTGACCAATGTGGAGAAACCCCGTCTCTGCTAAAATAAAAAAAAAAATTAGCTGGGTGTGGTGGCGTGTGCCTGTAATCCTAGCTACTCAGAAGGCTGAGGCAGGAGAATCCCTTGAACCTGGGAGGCAGAGGTTGCAGTGAGCCGAGACTGCAGCACTGCACTCCAGCCTGAGCGACAGAGCGAGACTCTGTCTCAAAGAACAAAAACAAACAAAACTAAAAAATATTTGAAAAATAACATCACTATAAGATAACTTTAGACAACTCAGTTTATTTTGTGTATCATATCTGGCAAATGTTGTATTAAGAACAGCCCAACATGCTTTTGAAATTTTGCCCCCTTTGGATCATCATTAAATCATTACATAATTGAAGCCATACAAATGAACTGTAATACTACATTGAGCAAATTATAATCACAGTGGAATATCTGCTTGGGAATTACAAGTGTCATGTATTCAAAACAAATGAAATGATGTGGGGTACTATCTACATTATTGTTCTCTATAGACTGTTAAGAATTGACTGTCCCTATAAATTTCTGATAAATATGGGTATTGAGAGTAGTTGTAGTAAGCAATATAAATTAATGTTATTGATGTAGGAAGAAAGTTCCCAAATGTGTAAGATTTGTTGTTGATTGTCTTTTTTTTTTTTTTTTGAAACGGGGTCTTGCTCTGTTGTCAGGCAGGAGTGCAGTGGCACAATCTTGGCTCACTGCAGCCTCCGCCTCCCAGGTTCAAGCAATTCTCCCACCTCAGCCTCCCGAGTAGCTGGGATTATAGGGGCACACCACCATGCCCGGCTAATTTTTGTATTTTTAGTAGAGACAGTGTTTCACCACGTTGGTCAGGCTGCTCTTGAACACCTGACCTCAGGTGATCCACCTGCCTTGGCCTCCCAAAGGATTTTCTTTTCTATAATGGATTTCTTTTATAATCTTTCTAGAATGAAAATACCCTTTAGAAAAGGTATTTCCCAAGACCCTGAGAATTACCAGAGAGGTTATTTGACTAACTCTAGTCTAGTGAAACCTCACTTCCCTTATTCCCTCTCCTCCCACCAAACAATGACCAAATTGCTAAATGAATGGGTCCCTATCACACTGGGAAATATGGAAGTGGAGGAAGACAGTCAGAGGGAGGGGAAGATCAGGCAAATTCCAAACAAGGGCAGAAAGAGGAATGAATAATTTGGTGCTAATGTGAGTGCCTACAAAAATACTGTCTCTATTTCTCCAATTGTATTTGGCTTCAGAAAAAGGGTTCTGAAATTCAGTAGTCAGTTAGACTTAGTTTTTCTCTGACTGTAAACCCTGTTGAGAGGTAACTATCACCACATCAGTGTAGAGTTCTCCAAGTGGGCTGTGTATGTTCTAAGGTGACTCCATTTCTCATTGCAGAAAAACGCCTGTCTAGGGGCATCTCCCACGCCAGCTCCAGCATTGTTTCCCTGGCCCGGTCCCATGTCTCCTCCAATGGTGGGGGTGGGGGGAGCAATGAGCACCCCCTGGAAATGCCCATCTGTGCCTTCCAGCTTCCAGATCTCACTGTATACAATGAAGACTTCCGCAGCTTCATAGAGAGAGACCTCATTGAGCAGTCCATGCTGGTTGCCTTGGAACAGGCAGGTCAGTGAGTGCTTCCTCTCCCACACTCTTCCCTCTACTCTCCACCTACAGGCAGCCTTGTGGAGGGGCTGGACTTGATCGCTAGCTTCCAGTTTAAGTGTGTTATCTGATTGCAAAGTCAGGAGTCAGTGGGATAAACTTGTGCTGTCAAAGAATGGATACAGATTAGATACTTTACTCTGGGAATTTCCTGGTTGATGGAAGAGAAACCAGATACACATGTGAAAAGGCCTAGGAATCAATACCTCGAAATCAATACATGAAAAAAATACAACTAATTATAATTGGCCCTGGAACACCCTTGTGAACAGAAATGACCAATGCTGTAGATGATGCACAGTAGTGAACCTATCCCCCCAAATGTATTTACGTTTGTAATTGTGTTTATCTTAAATTATTGTTAAAATTAATTCTTATCATAGGGTGAGGCAGCTGGGAATTTTGGAAAAGCTAATCAGGCATTAAAATGCTTGTGTGGGATAAGAACTGGAGTTAGATGAGGGCATGGAAAGGAAGCTTTTATTTTTCATTTTGTAACCTTCTATATTAACCATATACATCTATTTGTAATTTTTTTTTAAGTTGGTAAATTATCTGGTCTGGGGAGTTTATAAGCCAGTTTTTCATTCAGTAGTTCAAAAACTATGCTCCACAGTAGTTCAAGAAAACTTATGCATCACTCATAAGATATTTTCCTCATGTAAATAATGGGTTGGCAATTGTGGGATGACTGCATGGAATTAAGACTTATTTTCTTGGATATTTTATGTACTTTATCTTATTGCTCATTCCTTTAAAGTCACACCCCACACGTGATGACATGCTGTCATATATGCAGATGATACTCATAAAACACCTTAAATACATGCTTTGAGTTGTTTTTGTTTTGTTCATGATGGATTTTTGCTGAGCTTTGTTGCTGTGATACATACTGGTCTCCTGAGTGGAGGGAAGGAATCAGGGCCAGTCCAAGCAGTCAACAGTTTCAACTTATGTCCTTGGCCTCGTCATTTAACCCAGGGTTTCTCAACCTTGGCACTATTGACATTTTGGTCTAGATAATTCTTTGTTTTGCAAGCTGCCTTGTGCATTATATCATGGTTAGCAGCATCCCTGGCCTCTACCCATTAGATACCAGTAGCATCCTGCTACCAGTTGTGACATGCAAACATATCTTCAGTCATTGCCAGTGTCCCTTTGGGACAAAATTGACCCTACTCACTGATCTAACCAATTGTGCTCACAAGATTCTGACTGACTAGATATAAGTGAGGAAGATATAAAGAGTAATCAAGTGATGGTTTTATTCTGGGTAGGCCTCCTAGAGGAGGCTGCTTTGGAGTCTGTTTCAGAAATAGGAAGGTGGAAGGGCTTCATGGATAATCTCCTTTTCCTCCACTATCTTGTTTCTACAGGGCGTTTGAACTGGTGGGTGAGTGTGGATCCCACCTCTCAGAGGCTGCTTCCTTTGGCAACTACTGGAGATGGGAACTGCCTCCTGCATGCAGCCTCCCTTGGTGAGTCTTGAAAGCAGTCCTCCATTCACCTGCAGAAAGGAAGCAGTTGAGTCAAATCTCATGTGTAGGACTTGATCCAGATAACCTTGATCTTAGGCGGAAATGATGGTTCAGAGCGAGATTGTGCATGCTTACGTGTGTGTCTGTGTGTTTATGTTGGCACAAGAGGAAATGGGAGTGAGCCCTACCTTTGCTAGTGAGATAGTGAAGAGAGCACAGATATTAGCTTGGGCTGGCTTTGAAAGCTGACCCCAGGAGTAATGAGTAGGAGTAAGCCAGCAGTGTATAGCTAGATGTGTGTATGTGTACAATTCTACTTAATATTTATTCTTTTGTTGTATGAAAAAGGTATGTTTTTAGCAGTCCTTTGTAACACACACTTACTTTATTTTATTTATTTATTTAGTTTTTGAGACGGAGTCTCACTCTGTTGCCCAGGCTGGAGTACAGTGGTGTGATCTCAGCTCACTGTGACCTCCACCCCTGGGTTCAAGCGATTCTCCTGCCTCAGCCTCCCAAGTAGCTGGGATTACAGGTGGGAGCCACCATGCCCCACTGTAAATAGGCTTAATATTTAAAGTAAGGGCTGGGCTCAATGGCTCACGCCTGTAATTCCAACACTGTGGGAGGCCAAGGTGGGCAGATCACTTGAGGCCAGGAGTTTGAGACCAGCCTGGCCAACACGGTGAAACCCCATCTCTACTAAAAATAAAAAAATTAGCTGGGCATGGTGGCAGATGCCTGTAATCCCAGCTACTAGGGAGGCTGAGGCAGGAGAATTGCTGAATCCGGGGGCCAGAGGTTGCAGTGAGTGAGCCGAGATCGCACCACTGTACTCCAGCCTGGGCAACAAAGCAAGACTCTGTCTACAAAAAAAAAAAAAGGTCAGGCGTGGTGGCTCACGCCTGTAGTCCCAGCACTTTGGGATGCCAAGGTGGGTGGATCACCTGAGGTTGGGAGTTCGAGACCAGCCTGGCCAACATCGTGAAACCCTGTATCTACTAAAAATACAAAAATTAGCCTGATATGGTGGTGGACACCTGTAATCCTAGCTACTCGGGAGGCTGAAGCAGGAGAATCTCTTGAACATGGGAGGCGGAAGTTGCGGTAAGCCAAGAACACACCATGGCACTCCAGCCTGGGGGACAGAGTGAAACTCTGTCTCAAAAAAACCAACCAAAAAAACCCATAAAAAACCAAATAAACAAAAAATTAAGTCAATTTACAACTTAATATATTATTTGCAGCCTGGTGCCATGGCTCACACCTATAATCCCAGCACTTTGGGAGGGTAAGGCAGGGGGGTCACTTGAGGCCAGGGGTTTGAGACCAGCCTGGCCAACATGGTGAAACCCCATCTCTACTAAAAATACAAAAATTAGCAGAGTCAAGCTGAGGTATCTTACCATTATGCTTTTTTGCCACAGGAATGTGGGGTTTCCATGATCGGGACTTGATGCTGCGGAAAGCTTTGTATGCACTGATGGAGAAGGGAGTTGAGAAGGAAGCGTTGAAAAGGCGCTGGAGGTGGCAGCAGACACAGCAGAATAAAGAGGTGGGAGAGCGTGGGTGGGAGCGCCTTGTTTCCTAAAGTTACCAAGCTGCCAAAGTCACTGGGTGCCTGCCAGTAGAAAATATTTCCAAGTGTTTAGGTCAGTGTGACTCCCCTTATGATCCTGAAAATTGGAGAAAATGCAGTTAACACCAATGGGGTAAATGCCTTCTGATGTGGTCATGAGAACTGGTGGTGGGCATGAGACCTACAGAGAGGTTATCTAACATTGTGCTTTTCCCCCAGTAGGTGCTTTATAGCTTTTAGTGGCAGTGTTTTGCAAAATGAGTTATGACAATTCCATAGGATTTTTGTATTGTTTTGTTTTTTTGCTTGTAATAAGGCTAGATCAATTTTTAAAGACTTATGTTTTCAGCCCCTATAGAAATGTGAATGGTTAAAATCTTTTAGGACATATATACCATTTGTTTTTCATATACTCAGTTTTAGTTTATTTTAAATTTTAAAAAGCATAAGGAACCAGCATTCTAATCACACACACACACAAAAAGCATACCTATTTAATTGAGTCTGAACAGTACTTCTCAGGAGTTTGTCAAATGTTGAGGCTGCTGTTATATAAGGCAGTAACAACAGATTGTTTGTACTTGCCCTCTCCAAAACGGGTTGCGCAAACTATGGCTATTTTGTAAGAAAAAAAAAAACAAAAAAAAACAAAAACAAAAAAACCTTTTATCAGAATACAGCCCTGGGCATTTCTTGGATGTTTACACGTGTAACTGCTTTCTTCCTCCAGCAGCACAGTAGTAACATGTGGCCTGCACAGCCCATACTTACTGACTACCTGGCCCTTTACAGAAAAAGTTTGCTGATTACTTCCCTTCAATAATGACATTATGCCTTTACATAAAAATAATGAGGCTCCCTATTTCCTTTTCCTGTGATTCTGTGCTATGTTTATATCTCCTGCTCTTTATGTATATCTATTTTTTTTTTGCCATGTTATGGCTGGATCTTTCTGGCATTTAGTATGGCAATATCTCTTCAGAAACTTTCCTTTTTCATCCACCTTTCTTTTTTTCTCATTTTATTGCTGTCATAACTTGACAATATAGAAGAGTTTTTTTGTTTTAGTTATTTAGAATTTTATATCCTGAAGATTTAATATGTAAGTAGAACATGCTATGTTTCTTCCTCAAAAACAAATAATCCAGTTGTTAAAAGTAGATGATATTAAGATCAGAATCCTCTCCTTGAGCAGCCAGTCTTCCCCAGAAGATTCCTGAGGGAAATAAACCCACAGGGGCAAGGCCACATAAGTACTTGACATTCTTTTTTAGCACCAAAAGCTTGGCTGGATCTCGTGGAAAGCTTTTGCCTGAGCTAGAGCTAGCCTAGAATTTAGAATCCAGAGCAAATCAGTAGTCAGTTTTGTGGTAGTCAGCTTTGTCCTCTTCACTGTTGAGTTCAGATAATACCGGAACCTTAACCACTGCAGAGGCAAGAAAAGGCCAAACCAGAACATGCCAACTATTAAGTAGAAATGACAGCAACACCCAGAAAATTAAGTGTGCCCAATTCCAGTTATTAAAGCAATTAGTTATTATTCTAAAGATGGGGTTAGATTATAATGGTATTTAGCCAGGAAACCCAGAAATACCCACGTTCTATCCTTGGCCAGCCAGCCTTTCCCTCTCAAAGTCAGCCTTTCCATCTGAAAGTCCCCAACATGCATAGAGAATAGTGGCTAGTAATGGAGCAATAGTTTTAGTCCTTTTGCTCAGCACAGTGAAAGTTCATACTGAAAATGTGGCTTTCATAATTGTCTTAGCTTAGACCATTCATAGCATTATTACCCACCTTGGGAGTGGGAATGGTAGGAGGAGGATAATGAACTGGGGAAGCTTCCTTTAGCTCCCCAGTACCAAAACCACACTAAATAAGTTTTGATTTCCTGGGCTTCCTTGTTTTATGTTGAAATTGGTGGTGAGGCTCAGTAATAGTTTCTTAAATGTTAAGGCTAGAAGTTGTACACCACCTAGTGGCTGTGTACATTAAAACAGGAAGCAGAAACCGGCCAGGAAGAGGGAGCCGGATCTGGATGTGTCTATTGGAGTGACTGCAGCACTCCATATAGAACCTGGGCATTGCTCTCTTTATTTTTAATTGAAGTAAAATTTGTGATAGCATTTTACAAATTGAAAATAGCTGTGTCATTTAAAAAATTCCCATTAAATTTGTTCCCAGTACCCCTCATGTTTCCAGTGATTTCCTTCTACTCTGTCAGTGTGCGGTTAAGCCGTATAGACTCATTTTAATACTAATGTCAGCCAAATAAAATTAATAAGTTAAACTTATTTCCCTTATCATTATATACATCCTAAAGCCAATGTATTTTAAAATTGCTTGTACCATTGCCTGCTCTCCTTTGATAAAAATTGTAGTTTCACTTAGCATATGTTTATTGATTATAGTCACAAAATAGACCTTGGGTGTATTGCATAAAACATGATCCTAGCATAGAGGAGGAGATGGACATGTAAATACATAATTGCAACAGGTTATAACATGTATGACTCTTACAATAGACGTCTCTATAGCAGTTAATGCTGGCCGGATGCGGTGGCTCATGCCTGTAATCCCAGCACTTTGGAAGGCCAAGGCAGGCGGATCACCTGTTGGTAGTTCGAGACCAGCCTGGCCAACATGGTGAAACCCCGTCTTTACTAAAAATACAAAACTAGCCAGGCATGGTGGTGTGCACGTGTAGTCCCAGCTACTCCGG
The DNA here is from genome assembly GCF_000001405.40 of Homo sapiens. Lineage (NCBI taxonomy): Eukaryota > Metazoa > Chordata > Mammalia > Primates > Hominidae > Homo > Homo sapiens. The sequence goes on along the minus strand of NC_000001.11, from coordinate 149,961,478 downwards.
AGGCTGAGGCAGGAGAATTGCTTGAACCTGGGAGGTGGAGGTTGCAGTGAGCCAAGATCATGCCACCACACTCCATCCTGGGTGACAGAGCAAGACTTTGTCTCAAACAAACAAACAAAAAAACAACAACAACTCTATAGCAGTTAGGGAGAGAGGATACAAAGGAAGGAGTGGTTGATCTGCCAAGGGAGATTTAGAAGACTATTTGGAGGAATGATACCTGAGTTCTGTCCTAAAAGTTGAGAAATTGTTCACAAGGTTGACAGAAAGTGAGCTACTCCAGGCAGAAGGAACAGCTTAGACAAAAGCTCAGTGGTATAAAACAACATGGTATATTTCAGGAACTACAGCTGATTCAGTGAGATATATCTGACTAGAGAAGTGGGTAGGGGCCAGAAAGTAGGCTTTGTATGCAGCACTTCTACTTGGGAGGCTGAGGCAGGAGAATTGCTTGAACCCGGGAGGTGGAGGTTGCAGTGAGCTGAGATCGTTCCACTGTACTCCAGCCTGGGCGACAGAGTGAGACTCTGTCTCAAAAAAAAAAAAAAAAAAAAAGAAGGTATCCAGGTGTGGGGTGGGTGAAAGAAAGAAAGGAATATTAGATAATTCCTTGGTTTTGAGCTTGGATGTTTGGGTGATAGTTGGTGCTATTCACTAAGGTAGGAAAATAGGAAGAAGAGTGGGTTTGGGAAAAAACAGGAGTTCTATTTTGACTTTACAGAGTTTGAGGTAGCCATGGGCAGGTGGCAGTCTCCAGTAGGTAGCTGGATATATGAATATAGAAATTAAGAAGTCTAGGCTGAGTGCAGTGCCTCATGCCTGTAATCCCAGCATTTTGGGTGGCTGAGACAGGCAGATCACCAGGTCAGGAGTTCGAGACCAGCCTGGCCAACATGGGGAAAGCCCGTCTCTACTAAAAATACAAAAATTAGCTGGGCCTGGTGGTGGGTGCTGTAATCCCAGCTACTCGAGAGGCTGAGGCAGGAGAAGCATTTGAACCCGGGAGGTGAAGTTTGCAGTGAGCCGAGATTGTGCCATTGCACTCCAGCCTGGGTGACTCTGTCTACAAAAAAAAAAAAAAGAAAAAAAGGAAAGAAAAGAAAAAGAAAAGAAATTAAGAAATCTGGGCTGGAGATAGATGGTATATACCATACAGATGGTAGTGGATGAGATTATGGCAGTAGAAGAGATCACCCAGAGGGAACCAAGGTGAAAATCATTGACACACCACTAGTATTTTGGGGGCAGACAGAATTTAGAGGAATAGAAAGTAATTTTATGGACGCTAATGGCAAAGAAAATTTAAAGAGGAAAATAACCCATGTGAAGGCTAAGATGGGAACCAGGGTCCACTGAATGTGGCAATTAGAAGGTCATTGTTCTTTGCCAAAATCAGGTAGGTGAAATGTTATGTGGCAGGTGGGTGAGCAGGATGGAGGGCAGAAATGGGACAGATTGCAGTAGGTCAAAAAGAATGGATGATAAAGAAGTTTAATAGTCATAGACTATTAGTTCATGGATCTTGACTGTAAAAGAGATAAGAGATTTGACTTTGTAGTACAATTTGTAAACCAAGTGCTAAGGGATTAGGGAGTAAGTAACAGTGAATAAGGTGGAATAGGTATTGCCTCTTAGAACCCAGCCTCTAATTGCCCAATGTCCCCTGCCTGTCCTTCACACAGTCAGGGCTGGTATACACAGAAGATGAATGGCAGAAGGAGTGGAATGAACTGATCAAGCTTGCCTCAAGTGAACCCCGAATGCATCTAGGTACCAATGGAGCCAACTGTGGTGGGTAAGTATGGCTAAGTAGGGGAGGAGGAAACCTGCATAGAGTCCTCACTGGGCTTCCACAGCCCAGTGTCTAGAGAGCTCTGTGCTAAGAGGATATTAGAAGGAAAGAGGGGAACTATGCTAAGGGCACAAAAGTGTGTAACAACATGATATGTTTAGGAACTACAGGTAGTTCGGTATTGAACTGGAATATAAAGTAGCCCATCTAGACTTTGGAAACTTCAGGACAAATGACCCAGTATCTTCAGTAAGTAAACTGCAAGGAAAATAAAAAGGGACCAGGAACTTGTAGGTTTAAATGGACTAAAAAGACATATCAGGCCGGGTGTGGTGTCTCACACCTGTAATCTCAGCACTTTGAAAGGCTGAGGCAGGAGGATCGTGTGAGCCCAGGAGTTCGAAACCAGCCTGGGTAACATAGTGAGACCCCCTTTCTTTTTCTTTCTTTTTTTTCTTTTTTTTTTGAGACAGAGTCTTACTTTGTTGCCCAGGCTGGAGTGCAGTGGTGTGATCTCTGCTCACTGCAACCTCTGCCTTCAGGGTTCAAGTGATTCTCTGTTTCAGCCTCCCAAGTAGCTGGGACTACAGATGCATGCCACCACGCCCAGCTAATTTTTGTATTTTTATTAGAGACGGGGTTTCACCATTTTGGCCAGGGTGATCTCAAACTCCTGGCCTCAAGTGATCCACCCACCTTGGCCTCCCAAAGTGCTGGGATTACAAGCATGAGCCACCATGCCTGGCCAGTGAGACCACATCTTAAAAAAAAAAAATTAGCCAGGCATGGTGGTGCATGCCTATAGTCCCAGCTACTTGGGAGGCTGAGGTGGGAGGATTGCCTGAGCTGGGGAGGTCGAGGCTGCAGTGAGTTGTGACAGCACCCCTGCACTCCAGCCTGGGTGACAAAGAGAGACCTCTGTCTCTAAAAGAAAAAAAAGACATCAACCAGTTGGGATGTGTGGACATCATAAGACAATTAAGGAAATGTGAACAATGTCTCTGTGTTTGATTATTGTTAAAATTATAAAATGTGATATTAATGGTATAGTGGTTGTTTAAAAAGGTAGTCCTGGCCAGGCGCAGTGGCTCACGCCTGTAATCCCAGAACTTTGGGAGGCCGAGGTGGGCGGGAATTCGAGACCAGCCTGGCCAATGTGGTGAAACCCTGTCTCTACTGAAAATACAAAAAATTAGCTGGGCGTGGTGCTAGGCGGCTGTAATCCCAGCTACTCGAGAGGCTGAGGCAGGAGAATTGCTTGAACCCAGGAAGCAGAGGTTGTAGTCAGCCGAGTTCGTGCCACTGCACTCCAGCCCTGGCGACAGAGTGAGACTCCATTTCAAAAAAAAAAAAAAAAAAAAAAAGGTAGTCCTTTATGTTTTTAGAGATAGAAACTGAAATAAAATAAAAATGGATGAAATTATATAATGTCCAGGATTTGCTTCAAAATTCTCTGGTGGTAGCCCCGTGATGGGGGAGGTAGGTAAATAGATCTGAGGTGTAGTAAAACAAGATTGACCAAGTGTTGAAGATGGCCAAATAGGAACAGCTCCAGTCTACAGCTCCCAGCATGAGTGACGCAGAAGAGGGATGATTTCTGCATTTCCAACTGAGGTACCGGGTTCATCTCAGTAGGGCTTGTTGGACAGTGGGTATAGCCCACGGAGCGTGAGCCGAAGCAGGGCGGGGCATTGCCTCACCTGGGAAGCACAAGGAGTTGGAGAATTCCCTTTCCTAGCCAAGGGAAGCCGTGACAGACGGTACCTGGAAAATCGGGACATTCCCACCCTAATACTGCCCTTTTCCAACGGTCTTAGCAAATGGCACACCAGGAGATTATATCCCGTGCCTGGCTCGGAGGGTCCCATGCCTGCGGAGGCTTGCTCACTGCTAGCACAGCAGTCTGAGATAGAACTGCAAGGAGGCAGTGAGGCTGGGAGAGGGGCGTCCGCCATTGCTGAGGCTTGAGTAGGTAAACAAAGCGGCCGGGAAGCTCGAACTGGGTGGAGCCCACTGCAGCTCAAGGAGGCCTGCCTGCCTCTGTAGACTCCACCTCTGGCGGCAGGGCATAGCTGAACAAAAGGTAGCAGGAACTTCTGCAGACTTAAACGTCCCTGTCTGACAGCTTTGAAGAGAGTAGTGGTTCTCCCAGCACGCGGTTTGAGATCTGAGAACGGACAGACTGCCTCCTCAAGTGGGTCCCTGACCCCCGAGTAGCCTAATTGGGAGACACCTCCCAGTAGGGGCTGACTGACATCTTATACAGCCGGGTGCCCCTCTGAGATGAAGCTTCCAGAGAAAGGATCAGGCAGCAACATTTGCCGTTCTGCAATATTTGCTGTTCTGCAGCCTCCACTGGTGATACCCAGGCAAACAGGGTCTGGAGTGGACCTCCAGCAAACTCCAACAGACCTGCAGCTGAGGGTCCTGACTGTTAGAAGGAAAACTAACAGAAAGGACATCCACACCAATACCCCATCTGTATGTCACCATCATCAAAGACCAAAGGTAGATAAAACCACAAAGATGGGGAGAAACCAGAGCAGAAAAGCTGAAAATTCTAAAAATCAGAGTGCCTCTTCTCCTCCAAAGGAACGCAGCTCCTCACCAGCAACAGAACAAAGCTGGACGGAGAATGACTTTGACGAGTTGAGAGAAGAAGGCTTCAGACGATCGGTAATAACAAACTCTGAGCTAAAGGAGGATGTTCGAACCCATCGCAAAGAAGCTAAAAACCTTGAAAAAAGATTAGACGAATGGCTAACTAGAATAAACAGCATAGAGAAGACCTTAAACGACCTGATGGAGCTGAAAACCATGGCATAAGAACTATGTGACGCGTGCACAAGCTTCAGTAGCTGATTCAATCAAGTGGAAGAAAGGGTATCAGTGATTGAAGATCAAATGAATGAAATGAAGTGAGAAGAGAAGTTCAGAGAAAAAAGAGTAAAAAGAAACAAACAAATCCTCAAAGAAATATGGGACTATGTGAAAAGACCAAATCTATGTCTGATTGGTGTACCTGAAAGTGACGGGGAGAATGGAACCAAGTTGGAAAACACTCTTCGGGATATTATACAGGAGAACTTCCCCAACCTAGCAAGGCAGGCCGACATTCAAATTCAGGGAATACAGAGAACGCCACAAAGATACTCCTTGAGAAGAGCAACTCTGAAATACATAATTGTCAGATTCCCAAAGTTGAAATGAAGGAAAAAATGCTAAGGGCAGCCAGAGAGAAAGGTCGGGTTACCCACAAAGGGAAGCCCATCAGACTAACAGCAGATCTCTCGGCAGAAACTCTGCAAGCCAGAAGAGCGTGGGGGCCAATATTCAACAGTCTTAAAGAAAAGAATTTTCAACCCAGAATTTCGTATCCAGCCAAACTAAGCTTCATAAGTGAAGGAGAAATAAAATCCTTTACAGACACGCAAATGCTGAGAGATTTTGTCACCACCAGGCCTGCCTTACAAGAGCTCCTGAAAGAAGCACTAAACATGGAAAGGAACAACCGATACCAGCCACTGCAAAAACATGCCAAATTTAAAGACCATCGATGCTAGGAAGAAACTGCATCAACTAACGAGCAAAATAACCAGCTAACATCATAATGACAGGATCAAATTCACACATAACAGTATTAACCTTAAATGTAAATGGGCTAAATGCTCCAATTAAAAAGACACAGACTGGCAAATTGGATAAAGAGTCAAGACCCATCAGTGTGCGATATTCAGGAGACCCATCTCAGGTGCAGAGACACACATAGGCTCAAAATAAAGGGATGGAGGAAGATCTACCAAGCAAATGGAAAACAAAAAAAAGCAGGGGTTGCAATCCTAGTCTCTGATAAAACAGACTTTAAACCAACAAAGATCAAAAGAGACAAGGCCATTACATAATGGTAAAGGGATCAATTCAACAGGAAGAGCTATCTTAAATATATATGCACCCAATACAGGAGCACCGAGATTCATAAAGCAAGTCCTTAGAGACCTACAGAGAGACTTAGACTCCCACACAATAATAATGGGAGACTTTAACACCCCACTGTCAACATTAGAGAGATCAACGAGACAGAAAGTTAAAAAGGATATCCAGGACTTGAACTCAGCTCTGCACCAAGCAGACCTAATAGACATCTACAGAACTCTTCACCCCAAATCAACAGAATATACATTCTTCTTAGCACCACATCACACTTATTCCAAAATTGACCACATAGTTGGAAGTAAAGCACTCCTCAGCAAATGTAAAAGAACAGAAATTATAACAAACTGTCTGTCAGACCACAGTGCAATCAAATTAGAACTCAGGATTAAGAAACTCACTCAGAACTGCTCAACTACATGGAAACTGAACAACCTGCTGCTGAATGACTACTGGGTACATAATGAAATGAAGGCAGAAATAAAGATGTTCTTTGAAACCAATGAGAACAAAGACACAACATACCAGAATCTCTGGGACACATTCAAAGCAGTGTGGAGAGGGAAATTTATAGCACTAAATGCCCACAAGAGAAAGCAGGAAAGATCCAAAATTGACACCCTAACATCACAATTAAAAGAACTAGAGAAGCAAGAGCAAACATTCAAAAGCTAGCAGAAGGCAAGAAATAACTAAGATCAGAGCAGAACTGAAGGAGATAGAGACACAAAAAACCCTTCAAAAAATCAATGAATCCAGGAGCTGGTTTTTTGAAAAGATCAACAAAATTTGATAGACCGCTGGCAAGACTAATAAAGAAGAAAAGAGAGAAGAATCAAATAGACACAATAAAAAATGATAAAGGGCATATCACCACCGATCCCACAGAAATACAAACTTCCATCAGAGACTACTGTAAACACCTCAATACAATTAAACTAGAAAATGTAGAAGAAATGGATAAATTCCTGGACACATACACCCTCCCAAGACCAAACCAGGAAGAATTTGAACCCCTGAATAGACCAATAGCACCTCTGAAATTGAGGCAATAATAGCATACCAACCATAAAAAGTCCAAGACCAGATGGATTCACAGCCGAATTCTACCAGAGGTACAAAGAGGAGCTGGTACCATTCCTTCTGAAACTATTCCAATCAATAGAAAAAGAGGGAATCCTCCCTAACTCATTTTATGAGGCCAGCATCATCCTGATACCAAAGCCTGGCAGAGACACAACAAAAAAAGAGAATTTTAGACCACTATCCCTGATGAACATCGATGCAAGAATCCTCAATAAAATACTGGCAAACCGAATCCAGCAGCACATCAAAAAGCTTATCCCCCAAGATCAAGTTGGCTTCATCCCTGGGAGGCAAGGCTGGTTCAACATACGTAAATCAATAAACATAATCCATCATATAAACAGAACCAAAGATAAAAACCACATGATTACCTCAACAGATGCAGAAAAGGCCTTTGACAAAATTCAACAGCCCTTCATGCTAAAAACTCTCAATAAACTAGATATTGATGGGACGTATCTCAAAATAATAAGAGCTATTTATGACAAACCCACAGCCAATATCATACTGAATGGGCAGAAACTGGAAGCATTCCTTTCGAAAACTGGTGCAAGACAGGGATGCCCTTTCTCACCACTCCTATTCAACATAGTGTTAGAAGTTCTGGCCAGGGCAATCAGGCAGGAGAAAGAAATAAAGGGTATTCAATTAGGAAACGAGAAAGTCAAATTGTCCCTGTTTGCAGGTGACATGATTGTATATTTAGAAAACCCCACTGTCTTAGCCCAAAATCTCCTTAAGCTGATAAGCAACTTCAGCAGTCTCAGGATACAAAATCAATGTGCAAAAATCACAAGCATTCCTATACACCAATAATAGACAATCAGAGAGCCAAATCATGAGTGAACTCCCATTCACAATTGCTTCAAAGAGAATAAAATACCTAGAAATCCAACTTACAAGGGATGTGAAGGACCTCTTCAAGGAGAACTACAAACCACTGCTCAATGAAATAAAAGAGGACACAAACAAATGGAAGAACATTTCATGCTCTTGGATAGGAAGACTCAGTATCGTGAAAATGGCCATACTGCCCAAGGTAATTTATAGACTCAGTGCCATCCCCATCAAACCACCAATGACTTTCTTCACAGAATTGGAAAAAACTACTTTAAAGTCCATATGGAACCAAAAAAGAGCCTGCATTGCCAAGACAATCCTAAGCCAAAAGAACAAAGCTGGAGGCATCACGCTACCTGACTTCAAACTATACTACAAGGCTGCAGTAACCAAAACAGCATGGTATTGGTACCAAAACAGAGATATAGACCAATGGAACAGAACAGAGCCTTCAGAAATAATACCACACATCTACAACAATCTGATCTTTGACAAACCTGACAAAAACAAGAAATGGGGAAAGGATTCCCTATTTTATAAATGGTGCTGGGAAAACTGGCTAGCCATAGGTAGAAAGCTGAAACTGGATCCCTTCCTTACACCTTATAAAAAAGTTAACTCAAGATGGATTAAAGACTTAAATGTTAGACCTAAAACCATAAAAACCCTAGAAGAAAACCTAGGCAATACCCTTCAGGACATAGGCATGGGCAAGGACTTCATGACTAAAACACCAAAAGCAATGGCAACAAAAGCCAAAATAGACAAATGGGATCTAATTAAACTAAAGAGCTTCTGCACAGCAAAAGAAACCACCATCAGAGTGAACAGGCAACCTACAGAATGGGAGAAAATTTTTGCAATCTACCCATCTGACAAAGGGCTAATATCCAGAATCTACAAAGAACTTAAACAAAGTTATAAGAAAAAATCAACCCCATCAAAAAGTGGGCGAAGCATATAAACAGACACTTCTCAAAAGAAGACATTTATGCAGCCAACAGACACATGAAAAAATGCTCATCATCACTGGCCATCAGAGAAATGCAAATCAAAATCACAATGAGATACCATCTCACACCAGTTAGAATGGTGATCATTAAAAAAGTCAGGAAACAACAGGTACTGGAGAAGATGTGGAGAAATAGGAACACTTTTACACTGTTGGTGGGACTGTAAACTAGTTCAACCATTGTGGAAGACAGTGTGGCGATTCCTCAAGGTTCTAGAACTAGAAATCCCATTTGACGTAGCCATCCCATTACTGGGTATATACCCAAAGGATTATAAATCATGCTGCTATAAAGACATATGCACATGTATGTGTATTGTGGCACTATTCACAATAGCAAAGACCTGGAACCAACCCAAATGTCCAACAATGATAGACTGGATTAAGAAAATGTGGCACATATACACCATGGAATACTATGCAGCCATAAAGAAGCATGAGTTCATGTCCTTTATAGGGACATGGATGAAGCTGGAAACCATCATTCTGAGCAAACTATCGCAAGGACAAAAAACCAAACACCACATGTTCTCCCTCATAGGTGGGAATTGAACAATAAGAACACTTGGACACAGGGTGGGGAACATCACACACCAAGGCCTGTTGTGGAGTTGGGGGAGGGGGGAGGGATAGCATTAGGAGATATATCTAATGTAAATGACGAGTTAATGGGTGCAGCACACCAACGTGGCATATGTATACTTATGTAACAAACCTGCACATTGTGCACATGTACCCTAGAACTTAAAGTATAATAAAAAAAAATTAGTGCAGGAGCAGCAAGCAGTTCCCATGCTACTCTAGATCTGAGGAGTAGCTTTGGGTGCATTCCTGAAAGTGCAGGCTAGAATCTGTTTATTGATCAATTTAGTACTGACACAAGCCTGTAATATGCTGTAATAAACTTTCTGTTTAAAAAAAAAAAGGTTGACCATGTGTTTATAATTGTTAAAGCTGGGTGATGGATACATGAGTGTTTAGTATATTATCATTTCTAGTATTGAATATGTTTAAAATTTTGAAATTTTCCATAATGGTTAAAAATTATAACCTATGCAGATTTTATTGTACATAAGAATAATCTGGGAGAGTTATTTAAAAAGCTGATTTCTGGACCTCCACCCCAGAAAAGTCCAGTTGAGTTGGACAGAGGTAAGGCCCAGAAATCCTTGTTTGTAATCAGCATCCAATATTGAATAAAATTGCTTTAGGGGGTGGAAGCCATTGAATATTGAGTATGTGAATGACAGGAGCAAATTTGTCCCTCCGTATTTGAACACGCTGACTCCAGTGGATAATGAAGTGGAAAGGAGTGGGATAAGATGCAGTTGTAGTAATCCAGGAAAGGGCCATGGATGAACAGTGTGGTAGACTAAAGATAAGCCCGGGAGACAGATAAAAGAAACACACAGGAAGGCCAGGCGTAGTGGCTCACACCTGTAATCCCAGCACTTTGGGAGGCTGAGACGGGCGGATCACGAGGTCAGGAGATCAAGACCATCCTGGCCAACACGGTGAAACCCCGTCTCTACTAAAAATTTAAAAAATTGCCAGGCACAGTGGCTCACGCCTGTAATCCCAGCACTTTGGGAGGCCGAGGCGGGCGGATCACGAAGTCAGGAGATCGAGACCACGGTGAAACCCCATCTCTACTAAATATACAAAAAAATTAGCCAGGCATGGTGGTGGGCACCTGTAGTCCCAGCTACTCGGGAGGCTGAGGCAGGAGAATTGCCTGAACTCAGGAGGTGGAGCTTGCAGTGAGCCCAAATCGCACCACTGCACTCCAGTCTGGGCGAAAGAGTGAGACTCCATCTACAAAAAAAAAAAAAAAAAAAAAATACAAAAAGTACAAAAAATTAGACCGGGCGAGGTGGCGGGTGCCTGTAGTCCCGGCTACTCGGGAGGCTGAGGCAGGAGAATGGCGTGAACTTGGGAGGCAGAGCTTGCAGTGAGCCGAGATCGCGCCACTGCTCCAGCCTGGGGGACAGAACGAGACTCTATCTCAAAAAAAAAAAAGAAAAAAAAACAAAAAACACACGGGAGATGGAATTGGTTAAATCACGTGACTACTGGAAGGTGAGAGATAAAAGCACAATAAATATTTCCAAATTTCTGATTATGCTACTGGATAGATGGTGAAGCTGTTCTTTCAGTGAGGAAAGGAACATAGGAAAGGAATTGTGTTTGGCTGTTTTTGTAAGACATGAGTGTGATGTGTGGGTGGCTGTAGTATATAAAATAAGTAGGATGAAGCTATGCAGTTGTGTATTGAGCTACTGGATGAAGAGAATGGAGAGAGGCTATTGAACAGGAAGAATATTAAGAGATAGGGATTACCTCCAAATTCCTAACACTGCTTTAACCCTAGAGCCTTCAAATCTCTTTTCTTGGATTTCCCCATCTGTGAAAACGGAGGTAGAAACAGCCATGGTAGCATAAAATAATCAGCTATATCAGTGGCAGCCTTAAGATTGGAAAACCAGGAAAGGACATTCTTCTTTTCCCTTTCTGCAGAACTGGTCTTCAGGGTCTCCTGTTTCTACTCTCTCATTTTTACTGCACCCTTTTCACTCTCTCCCTTCCCGTCGTTCCAGGGTGGAGAGTTCTGAGGAGCCTGTATATGAGAGCCTTGAAGAGTTTCACGTCTTTGTCCTTGCTCATGTGCTTAGGAGGCCCATAGTCGTCGTGGCAGACACCATGCTGAGGGACTCCGGAGGGGAAGGTGAGTCAGCCAGTCAGTCCTCACTCCATGCTGAGCACCCCCTTTTGCAAAGCCTTAGGCTAAGCATTGGAAGGAAGGCAGGAAAGGGGATATATAGACCCTTGGGGAAAAAGCAAGTTATCAATTAGAATAGTGCAAAATTCTCAAGAGATTCTGAGTAAAGCAGTTGGGATTAGTTGACAGGGCTTCTTAGGAAAGAATTATTAAACATGTTGGAATGAAAGCAGGGAGGGACTCAGTTGGCAGAGTGGGATGTAGGGATTGTCCACTAGGCAGAAACACAGCCTTCATAATAATCTTCATGGCTTCCTGCAGCATTTGCCCCTATTCCCTTTGGAGGAATCTATCTGCCTTTGGAGGTCCCAGCCAGCCAGTGTCACCGCTCCCCTCTGGTGCTCGCCTATGATCAGGCCCACTTTTCTGCACTCGTGTCCATGGAGCAGAAGGAGAATACCAAGGAACAAGGTGCTGAATGACATGTCTTTTGGTCTGCATTATTTTCACTTGAAAAAATTGAATGAGATCTAATGTAGGAGGAAAGAATTAAGTGACATGCAAGCCCAGACAGCACATGTTGATACTGTTTTATTAAGCCAGAAGTTACGCCAGAGTTTTCAAATTAAAAAAAAAAGGGTTGGGAGAAAAGCAAGACCTATATACCCTCTTCTGGAGTAAAGGCTTATGATTAAGGTGTAAGAGCTTCTAAATGATGCTTTTCTAATTTGTCTTAAATTATGACTGAATTCTCTGAATATACATTAACTGGAAAGAACATCATGAGAGTTAGTTGACTGACTGGTGGGGACTCAGGGAGATTTGTGGCCTAAAACATATGCTGCGTGGTAGCGGGAAAACTAGCCAATTAGTTTTAATACCGGGGTAATTCACGTGTAAGAATTGAGAAGTGACTACAATTAAAGACCTTAGTATGATTTTAGTGAAATAAGTCTGTGTTCAGTTACCTTTCTCTCTTAAGGAGATTCCTTGATGATATGTTTCTTCCTCTCCAGCTGTGATCCCACTTACAGATTCAGAGTATAAGCTGCTGCCCTTGCACTTTGCTGTGGACCCTGGAAAGGGCTGGGAGTGGGGCAAAGATGATAGTGACAATGTCCGATTGGCCAGGTAAGCCAGGCCTAGTCTTTTCATCTATTTTGTGCTGGGATTTCTTCCACATGTGGCATCCATCTCCCAGGGATTTTTCCTCAGCTCAGGCAAGACAGTCACAAGCTAAGATGAGTTTTGGGAAGATGGGGAGGTAGAGGAGAGGTTGGGCACCAGGACTCTTTCATGGTGCAGCTGCTTTTTCTCCCTGTGAAAGAGATGGGAATCCTAGCATCTCAACTTGTTCTTTTCTTACAATAGGAAAAGTGTTCATACACTGATTCATCTCTAAAACATTGATCAGAAAATCAGGATAATCAGGCCGGGCATGGTGGCTTATGCCTGTAATTCCAGCACTTTGGGAGGCTGAGGTGGGTGGATCACGAGGTCAGGAGTTCGAGACAAGCCTGGCCAATATGGTGAAACCTCGTCTCTACTAAAAATACAAAAATTAGCCAGGCGTGGTGGTGCGTGCCTGTAATCCCAACTACTAGGGAGGCTGAGGCAGGAGAATCGCTTGAACCCAGGAGGCAGGGGTTGCAGTGAGCCGACATCGTGCCACTGCACTACAGCCTAGGCAACAGAGTGAGAGTCTGTCTCAAAAAAAAAAAAAGAAAGAAAGAAAATCAGGATAATCAAATCACATGTCTTAGCCCAAGTGAGAGGAGTTTTAAAGAGTTGATCAAGGCTGGGTGCGGTGGCTTATGCCTGTAATCCCAGCATGTTGGGAGAAACCACCATCAGAGTGAACAGGCAACCGAGGCAGGCAGATCACCTGAGGTCGGGAGTTTGAGACCAGCCTGGCCAACATGGAGAAACCACATCTCTACTAAAAATACAAAATTAGCCAGGCGTGGTGGTGCATGTCTATAATCCCATCTACTCGGGAGGCTGAGGCAGGAGAATAACTTGAATCCAGGAGGCGGAGGTTGCAGTGAGCTGAGATGGTACCATTACACTCCAGTATGGGCAACAAGAGTGAAACTCCATCCAAAAAATAAATAAATAAATACGTGATAAAAATAGTTTGCTCTGAGTTTTTGCCTTTCTGGAATTTAATAGCAAGAAAAATATGTTCCCTACCCTCTCAGCCCCCACTCTACCTCCCTGTGGCTTGTTAAGCCTTCCTTCTGCCTCCTGCATCAACTTCCTGATGGAGAGTGTATGAATGCAAAAGCTCCTCCCTTAGCACTTACCTAGTGCTTCACTCTCTGGGCTCCTGCCACTGGGTCCCAGCTAAGAGAGTTTGATTTTAAAATCCAGAGTTTATGGCTTTTTAAAAATAACCTCTCACCTATTTATCAAAAGCTCCTTCTAAATAATATTTACAACAACAACAATGATAATGGCTACTATCTAGTATTTCCCATTTTCCAGACACTGTGCTGGGCTCTTTCCAAACACTGTTTTAATCTTTACAACAACCCTACAGGATAGATATTATCTATACCCATTCTCAGCTGCAGCTGAGTTTCAGGGAGGTTGAAGTGACTTGCTCAAGGTCATAAAGCTTATTAATTGGTGGAGAAATAGTTCAAACCCAACCCTATTTGAGTCCTAAGCCATGTAGCCCTCTCCCACCCTTTCTCCCAACTATATCAAATTGCTTTGCTTTTAAAAGGTGACAGTAATTTGTTTTTTCTCTTTTTCATAGTGTAATTCTGTCCCTAGAGGTCAAATTGCATCTGCTGCATAGCTACATGAATGTGAAGTGGATCCCACTGTCCTCTGATGCACAGGTGAAGACTTCTCCCACATCTACCCTGGTGTGTCTTCATTTCATTTTCAGTGACAGAACAAGGAGATCTGGGATGGTTTCCTTCTGAATCTATTCTGAGTGGTGGCTTACAATTCAAGGTTAGAAGTAACTAGAAGATGTCAGATAAGTTCCAAAGACAATTTTTCCTGTTTTTATTGTATTTTTTATTTTTATTTTTGAGATGGAGTCTTGTTCTGTCACCCAGGCTGGAGTGCAATGGCACAATCTTGGCTCATTGCAACCTCCGCCTCCTGGGTTCAAGCGATTCTCCTGCCTCAGCCTCCTGAGTAGCTGGTATTACAGGCATGCGCCACCACGCCCAGCTAATTTTTGTATTTTTAGTAGAGGACAGGTTTCACCATGTTGGCCAGGCTGGTCTCGAATGCCTGACCTCAGATGATCTGCCCGCCTCAGCCTCCCACAGTGCTGGGATTACAAGTGTGAGCCACCGCGCCTGGCCTTTCCTGTCCTTTTTTTTTTTTTTTTTTTCAGAGGAAGTCTTGCTCTGTCAGCCAGGCTGAAATGCAGTGGCACAATCTTGGCTCACAGCAACCTCCACTTCCCAGGTTCAAGTGATTCTCCTGCATCAGCCTCACGAGTAGCTGGGATTACAGACGTGCGCCACCACACCCGGCTGATTTTTGTATTTTTAGTAGAGACGGAGTTTCACCACGTTGGCCAGGCTAGTCTCGAACTCCTGACCTCAGGTGATCCACCCACCTTGGCCTCCCAAAGTTCTGGGATTACAGGCATGAGCCACCACACCCAGCCCTTTCCTGCTTTTTAAAAACCGTTAGTCTCCTGTTTTCCACATCTCCTCTCCAGCCAGTCTCTGTTATCTGATACTAAAACATATATATATTTTTTGAGACGGAATCTTGCTCTTGATGCCCAGGCTGGAGTGCAATGACACGATCTCAGCTCACTGCAACCTCCACCTCTTGGGTTCAAGCGATTCTCCTGCCTCAGCCTCCCGAGTAGCTGAGATTGCAGGTGCCCGCCACCATGTCCAGCTAATTTTTCTATTTTTAGTAGAGATGGGGTTTCGCCATGTTGGCCAGGCTGGTCTTGTGATCCGCCTGCCTTGGCCCCCGAAAGTGCTGGGATTACAGGCGTGAGCCACCGCGCCTGACCTAAAACATATTATTATTATTATTATTATTTTTCTTTGAGATGGAGTTTCACTCTTTTTGCCCAGGCTGGAGTGCAATGGTGCGATCTCAGCTTATTGCAACCTCCGCCTCCTGGGTTCAAGCGATTCTCCTGCCTCAGCCTCCTGAGTAGCTGGGATTACAGACATGCACCACCACGTCCGGCTAATTTTGTATTTTTAGTAGAGATGGGGTTTCTCCATGTTGGTCAGGCTGGTCTGGAACTCCCGACCTCAGGTGATCCACCCACCTCGGCCTCCCAAAGTGCTGGGATTACAGGCATGAGCCACCGTGCCTGGCTTAACATATTCTTTAAGAAAGGTTTTCTGGACTGTTTGTTGAACTTGAGATGATCATTATTTCGTCCAAAGTCTTCTGTAGATAGACCTCTGTTTTGGGCACTAGGAGACGGAGTAGCTTAAAGAGCTCCTAATTCAGTGGGCTCTGAGTTAGAACAGGAGCACAGGAGTAGGGTCAAATTGATAACTCCAATGCAGAATGTATAAAAGTTGAGGGGATGCAAAGTGGCTAGACTTGGTTAGTTTTGATTAGTCAAGACTTTCTTGAGATTAGTTTCGAGCAGAATTTGGCATAGAGAAATGTATAATAAAGAACATTCTAATGTCTGGGCCTCTCACCCGGAAGCCACGTATCATATGGTTGCTCATTGTTCTAAATGAACAGTAAGGCTTTATTCTACTATCTCCTTATTACAGAAGGGAGTCAGATTGCAGTGGGGGAGAAAGCTGACTGACTGGAACCCAGGAAGGACAGTGCCATCCTGGGTGACCCTTCCCTCATCATGACAGAAGCCCTTCTCTGGAGCAAGGCAGTCACTAGGCAATCACTCAGAGGACGGAGTTCATAGGTGTCCATCCTTTTCTACCTGGCTAATTTCTATAGCCATGGCTGCAGGGAGCTCCCTGAGCCAGATGGATGGGCTAGAGGTCCCTGGGGGATTCCCCCACCCCAGGCTGCTGGGATAACTGTCAACAGTGTTCTTGTCTCTTCCAGGCTCCTCTGGCCCAGCCTGAGTCCCCCACCGCCTCAGCTGGAGATGAGCCCCGGTCCACTCCTGAGTCTGGAGACTCAGACAAGGAGTCAGTTGGCAGCAGTTCCACCAGCAACGAGGGCGGCCGGCGGAAGGAGAAGTCAAAGCGAGATCGGGAGAAGGACAAGAAGAGAGCAGATTCTGTGGCTAACAAACTGGGCAGCTTTGGCAAAACCTTGGGCAGCAAGCTCAAGAAGAACATGGGGGGCCTGATGCACAGCAAGGGTTCAAAGCCTGGAGGGGTGGGGACAGGGTTGGGAGGAAGCAGCGGCACTGAGACACTGGAGAAGAAGAAGAAAAACTCACTGAAGAGCTGGAAGGGTGGCAAGGAGGAGGCAGCTGGGGATGGGCCTGTGTCTGAGAAGCCCCCAGCTGAGTCTGTTGGTAACGGAGGGAGCAAGTATAGCCAGGAGGTGATGCAGAGCCTGAGCATTCTGAGGACTGCCATGCAAGGGGAGGGGAAGTTTATTTTTGTTGGAACCCTGAAGATGGGTCACCGTCACCAGTATCAGGAGGAAATGATCCAGCGCTACCTTTCTGATGCTGAGGAGAGATTCCTGGCAGAACAGAAGCAGAAGGAGGCAGAGAGGAAGATCATGAATGGAGGAATAGGGGGTGGCCCTCCTCCAGCCAAAAAGCCAGAGCCAGATGCTAGGGAAGAGCAGCCGACCGGTCCCCCAGCAGAGTCCAGGGCAATGGCATTTTCCACTGGCTACCCTGGGGACTTTACTATCCCTCGGCCGTCTGGGGGCGGAGTCCACTGCCAGGAACCCCGGAGGCAGTTGGCAGGGGGTCCATGTGTCGGGGGCCTACCACCATATGCCACCTTCCCCAGACAGTGCCCTCCTGGGCGACCCTACCCCCACCAGGACAGCATCCCTTCTCTGGAGCCAGGCAGCCACTCTAAGGATGGACTTCACAGGGGTGCCTTGTTACCACCCCCCTACCGAGTGGCTGATTCCTATAGCAATGGCTACAGAGAGCCCCCTGAGCCAGATGGATGGGCTGGAGGTCTCCGGGGCCTTCCCCCAACTCAGACCAAATGCAAACAACCGAACTGCAGCTTCTATGGACACCCTGAGACAAACAACTTCTGTTCCTGTTGTTACAGGGAAGAACTGAGGAGGAGGGAGCGGGAACCGGATGGGGAGCTCCTGGTGCACAGGTTCTGAACGGGTGGAACACTGAAGGGCAAGGAGGCTAAACAAAGTTAAGCTCAACTAATTGGCTCATCAAGAACACAGTCCCCATGTTGAGGGGGAAAATGCAGTAATGTTTGTGGGAGCCTGGCTGGAAACTTTTAAGTGTGTGCACACAGGAGTGCTGCCAGGCTGGCAAGAGCAGGTCGGGGCTGGATGGCACCTCAGGGGCTGTACTATTCCTCTGCAGAGCTTGACTTGATGAGGTTTGAGGTACAAGGGGAAAAGATGGCGATTCTGTCTTATAACCTCCTGGGTCCCATCCAGGGACCTAAGAGAAAGTAGCAGGGGAAGGTTTGGTGTGTGGGGGTGGGAGGTGGGCAGAAGTCTTGGGGAGGAATGGGCAAAGGAGGTTCTCAGTCAATAAAACCAAAGTTCTTTAGGTTGGGAAAAAGCACATGGTGGAGTGAGAAGTGTGGAGGGGAAGTGGGAAATTGGACACATTTGCTATTGATTTGAATTAAGCTAGAAATTAAGGTTGGATAAATTCTTCCCCTTGAAGGATCTGGAAAGACAAGGCAGTAATGTGTCCTCATGGGTGCCTGTTAGGAGGTGGGGGTAGTTTAAATCCGTTTGTTTAGATGGGAAAGGGAGGAACTTAAGAGGGAAATCCTTTTCCTCTTAAGGTTTATTTCCTTCCAAGCAGTCATATGTCATCTGTTACAGTTTGAGAAGAGATTGCTGATTACCCCCTGTCTTTTCCTCATCTAAGTCTTTAATTGTATTTGTTTAAAGGGAAGAGTGTGGTGAGAACAGCCGTCATGTGTGTTGCATTTTCTCCAGGTGAATTGGGGCAGAGCTGATCTATTTTTTAACCACAGCAATAACCATACGTTGGGGTTTGAGTGCACCTTGGGAGGGGTGGGAGGACAGACATTTTAGCCAGAGGCTGTTTCAAACAAAACCAAAAACCTAAGTAGAGCATTACAGGCCTCTGTGGCTGCTGCGTTTCTGTAGAAAGCAACTTATTTTATTGACTTTTTTTTTTAAGGAAAAGAAATAAAAAGACCCCAGCAAGCAAAAACATTTAAAAAATGATTTTTTTTCCTCCTACTTAAGTGGTTCTTTCTCCCTTTGCTCTACTTTTGGAGAATGAACTTAACATCCCGGCTTCTTTTGTTAAGCCATAGCTGACCTTAATCTGTGGTTAGTTTATTAAAATAATTAAAAATACTTTCTAAGAAGAGATATTTTTGATATTAGGACTGATGTTGAAACATATAGGGGCAATTTATAAAAAGGTAGTTAGAGAAATATATTTTAGTGAACTATAACCACAGAGCACAGATGACTCCCAATGAGCTGATCTGTCTTTAGGTTTCTCCCTTTCCCTGACCCTTCCCTGTTCTCTAGGGGCTGGGAGTGGGGATGCGGACACAGTAGGGGGAGCTCCTTCGCATTTTGCACAAAGCACAAGTCTGAACAGCCTATGCTCTGGCCAGAGCCATTTCTAAGAGCTTTAAACCGGAAGACCTATCCTGGGCCAATTTTCCTTTTTCTTTATATTTTTTTCCGGGAAAAAAAGTCAACTATGCAATTGTATACACTCCCGGGTGCATGTGAAGAAGGGGAATAAGTGTACTTATGTGTCCAGAGTATTAACTGGGGCTGTTTTTCTGTGTTTGGATTTCTCTTTTGAGGTATGTACTCATAACCCATCCCTTGGAACGTAATCCCCACATTTGATCTAAAGCACTTGAGCGTGCATGCATGTGCGTGCGTGCATATGTGTGTGTGTTTTCCTCCTCGGTAGCCAGTCAAGATTGTCCTTGTTGGAAATGCTCACGGTTTATAAAGGTTATTTTCTCCTCAACAAACTCAGAAGTCACCTATTTTCCAAATCTGATTTAATAATTTCCTATGGCTATTAATTCTTAGGGTTTTCTTTGAAAATAGATTTGTGTTAAGGAAGCAGTGAGATTCCAAAGGAAGGGATGTGTATATGTCTAGGCAGGTCTGGAACCTGGTATGAGATGAGCACTCCCCTAAGTTGCAAAATTTAAGGGTTACTATAAAACTCATTAATCAAGATACTATAAAAAATGCAGTATTTAAAAAAATTAATGCAAAAAATTTATGTTGGATAAAATAGCGAAATCTTACAGGATCTGACAGGACTGAGATTAGGAGGAGGGAAGTGAGGCTGAATTGAATAAGTATGGGGATGAATCCTTCTTATTTAAATTTTTGATACATTGTCCATCATAGACTTTTTACATTAATTGTGATTTTTTAAAAATGTTGCATTAAAATAGTATTTATCTTGGTTACTGGGTTTTTTGGCACTCCTTAAATTTTGTGCCCAAGGTGAGTGCTTTGCTCACCTCACCCTAGTTACGTCCCTGTTTCTGTGATTTGAACACTAGCGAGAACACCACTGTGTGCGCCTCCACCCCCATCACACACCAAACAACAGGTGGCTCAGACACCCTGAATTTGCACAGCTCACCTAGCTTTCCTAATTTAGGCCTTCATATCATAGAATGGTGGCCTGGACCAATAGGAATGAAAACAGACCAGGGGTTTTCCCAGAGAATAAAGCCGGAAAAGTTTTGATTCTCCACTGGACTGCTGTGTTTGGATTTGATCTGTTGTTAGATTCTAGTTAACACTTTTGTTTTTAAAAACTAAGGACAAATGAACAAAAAACCTTGTATCATGTTTGTTTTTATTTATAAGTTAGCCAATCCCAATTCCGTTTGCTTTATTTTCAAATAAAAAAAGATGGAAATTTTGAGGGGTGGTCTAGGGGTGAATATGGTAAAATGGGGCTTTAGGCCTTATAGCTTTTTATTAAGAAATAAATTATTTTTTTTATTTGGGAGGGTAACTATTTATTGAGGCATTGAAAAACCTCTCCATTCTAAGGATGAGAGACCCTGAGACAATGGATATTTTTTATAGGAGATAGTGAAGTTTGTTTTGCTTCATTCTTTCGGGGAGGGTCTTGGTGGGATGGGGGGAGGTGAAGGAATAATGCCTGGGAAATTAATATAGATTCAGCTTGGTTTGTGGTATTTTGGGAAGATGAGGGAATAGAAGAGGCAAGCCCATGTCGTTACTGGGTTGGGGAGAAGGAAAGAAGGGGCATATGGCCTGCACTCGAAATGGGCAGAAAAATTCCTTAGTTAAGGAGGGGTGTGTGAGTGAAGGGGGAAGGTAGACCCTTTAACCCCAAGTGAGGGATGATATCATCTCTCAGGCTTAAATTTAAGTGCACTTAGTTCCTTTAATCCAGGGCAACTGGGGTACCTACTGAAGTTTTTAATGGAGAGGGGAGATTTTCAGGGTTCTTGTTTTTCCCTTTTTGATGTTAGACAGTGCTACTCCCTCCCTGCTGTGCTCTCTGCCCCATCTCCAATGGAGTAAGTATTACTGTAGGATAGGCCTCCGCTTCTCCCTTAACCTATGCTGCATTTATTGAAAGTTACAAGATTTAACCAGAAGTTTTTCCTCCATACTGGTTTTTATCAACAAAATAAAAAGATTATATCCAAAGATTTTTTAAAGATTCAGTCTTTTTAAGGAGTGGAGATGGTGTTAAACTCAGTGCTGTAGAGGGCAGTGGAAGGGAAGTACCTTCCCTCTATTAGCTCAGTTTTTTTTTTTCTATCAAGCGAAACTAAGGCCCACAGACAAACAAGAATTAGCAGTGACTTCGTGTTGTATATCTGCGGGGTGATACTGAGCCCAAAAGAATAAAGCTGGTTTTGAATGTGTTCTGAGAACCTAGCTTTTGCCATTCTTAACTCCTTTTAGCCATGTGTCCAAGGTTCCAGTCACATTTTTTTTTCTCAATAAAGAGTATTTCAGAGATGATTGTCTCTGAATTACTCAGACACCTCTGGACTCTGAGTCTTCTTTCTTTTTCCTTTTTCTTTCTTTCTTTTTTTTTTGGTTTGAGACGGAGTCTCGCTCAGCTGCCCAGGCTGGAGTGCAGTGGTGCAATCTCGGCTCACTCCAACCACCGTCTCCTGGGTTCAAGTGATTCTCCTGTCTCAGCCTCCCAGGTGGCTGGGATTACAGGCACCCGCAATCATGCCCGGCTAATTTTTGTATTTTAGTAGAGATGGGGTTTCACCATGTTGGCCAGGCTGATCTTGAACTCCTGACCTCAGGTGATCCGCCAGCCTCGGCCTCCCAAAGTGCTGGGATTACAGGCATGAGCCACCGCGACTGGCCTCTGTGTCTTCCTTCTCCAATGAGTCAGTGCCCCAGACATATAGCCACAGGTGAGAAGACAGAATTAGAAGCCCCTTCCCGGCCTGGAATCACCTGCACTCCAGATTTTTCTAATTTCCTTCTTTCCCTCCAGGCCTTTCAACTATAGATCTGGATGAGTCATGCAGGCATTCTGTCTCTTCTACTTTGCAGACAGCCAGTCTGCAAATCACAGGGTATTTTGCCACCATACATCAGTTGGGTAACAAAATATTACGATGTCCCCATGTAGACTTTCTCTGTGCCATCTCTTGCATTGGCCAAGTGGGTAAGGGGCAGTACAAAAGAGCAACGGAAGCTGGCTGGCAGCAGTTAAGAGGAGTAGGGGTGGGAAGGACCTTGGCCTCTTTCTGTGCTTATAACTGGATCTGTGACTCATCTTGTGAGTCACTCAGCTCCACCTCCCTCCTCCGGCTGCCCCTCCCAGCAGCCTTTACTCCTGGCACAAACCTGCAGCCAGAACAGGATTCTGAAAATGGAAAAATCTGATATAGCCCCTTGCCTCTCCACCCTTCCCTTCATCTAGTGCTTCTACTGGGGGTGTGTGGGGTGGTGAGAGGCAGCCTTAACCCTCAGCTCCTGCCCACTCCATTCCTGGTTAAGTATTGATCCAAATCGCCCAATTCTTTTCTCCTCCTGATTTCCCCCCACCCCGCTTTTTTTTTTTTTTTTTTTTGAGACAGAGTTTCGCTCTTGTCGCCCAGGATGGAGTGCAATGGCGCGATCCCGGCTCACTGCAACCTTCGTCTCCTGGGTTCAAGCGATTCTCCTGCCTCAGGCTCCCGAGTAGCTGGGATTACAGGAGCCTACCACCATGCCTGGCTTAATTTTTTTTTTTTTTTTTTTTTTTAGTTAGAGTCGGGGGTTTCGCCATGTTGGCCAGGCTGGTCTTGAATTCCTAACCTCAGGTGATCCGTGATCCACCCACCTCAGCCTTCCAAAGTGCTGGGATTACAGGCATGAGCCACCACACCCCTACCCCCCGATTTTTTTTCTCCGTGTTCCTCCACTGTCTCCACACCTCAAAGTGCTAAAGAATAGAATGAGGCTCTTGAATGAAGGATGGTGGTGAGAAGGAAAGTGGATAATGGGATTTAAAAGTTATGGTACACACCTCTTCCTATGTCTTTTTTTTTTTTTTTTTTTTTGCGATGGAGTCTTGCTCTGTTGCCCAGGCTGGAGCGTAGTCATTAGATCTTGGCTCACTGCAACCTCTGCTTCCTGGGTTCAAGCGATTCTCCTGCCTCAGCCTCCCAAGTAGCTGGGATTATAGGTGTGAGCCACCACGCCTGGCTAATTTTTGTATTTTCAGTAGAGATGGGGCTTCATCATGTTGGCCAGGTGGTCCTGAACTCCTGACCTCAAGTAATCTGCCTGCCTTGGCCTTCCAAAATGCTTGGGATTACAGGCGTGAGCCACTGCGCCTGGTCCCTATTTTCTTTTTACAACAGACCTTGGGAAATATTTTCTTCCCCCAAGAGGTTGAGGCCCATGGAATGCATTAGGGGCAGGTGGGGTGGTGGTGCTCTGTAGCCTTTAGGACTTCTAGAATCAGGCTTCTGGGCCACCTTCTTAGCAGGTGTATACCTCTTTGTTCCAGACTGACTTTCTGTCTCACAATATCTTCACTATTTCCACAGTTGCAGCCAAGACAGGAAACTGAAAGCTGAGGCCAGAAGGGTGGTGTACTGGGGGGAGGGGAAAATTGAGTGTCACTTTGGAAAACTGGGGCCCCCATCTAAGGATTGCTGCCTCTGTAGATTCAAAAGCAATAAAACAGCAGCTCATTAACTCTTATTTTGTATTTTATTTTCTGTCTTTTTCATGTCTAAATAAAGATTTTTGCTTTGCTGTCCCCAAGTCCCCCTCCTTTAAAGGAGCTGCAGCTCCTTCTCTCCTTGTTCCCAGCTTTCCTTACCCATCTTTGCTTCTAGGGTTGCAGATGGGAGGGACGGGGGATGGACTGCTGAGCTGAAGAGAGGTTTCCAGCCCTCACCTGTGAAAGTCCTGAACATGAATCATTCATTTGGAGATCTGGTGTCTGGGTTGGAGGGGTGGAGTCACATACGGGAATGGGCACTTATTGCCTATTGGTTGTGTATCTACGTGATGGGCAAGATTAACTGGTAAGATCTTTTTGTCCCACCCACATCCCCAAGACTTGCACACAAACTGTACTTGTGTCTGCATCTTGGACACATTTCCATCTCTTTTTATACTTCTCCACTGCAGTCTTCACATGATGTCTGTGTCATGCCCTCTAGAGAAAGATATGCAAAACCACTTTAACCAGTTTCCCTGCTTCCTCACCTAATTCTTGGGCCTCTGCTGACAAAAATCCCCCCAGGTCTAATTTTCATTTTCTTCTGGAAGAGGCGGCAAGGAGGCTTGAACCACTTTCACATTCCTACCCCTCTCCCCGCCCCAAACCCCTTTGAGAAGACAAAAGAACGGAGCTTTTAAGGGAAGTCATCACTGAGACACTCCAGACAGGTAGCCCAGATGATTCCAGCTTCATAATCAATAGAACTGCTCCCCTCAAACGGTCTCCAGTACTCATGAACAGGAAGAGAACAGGGTCTGGGATTGGGGTAAAGAAGGGAGTCGTTTTTCTCTCAGTCCCCATTTCTTCCCCACCCGTCCGTCTCAGACTCCACCGTTTCCTCTCCACTTTTCCAGAATTGTGTGTATTCTCCTTTAAGGGGTTGGGCATCTCTCCCGCCCTCTCCAGAGTCGACTGAAGTTTCCGAGGAGACTTCTCAGGCTGGGCTGGACACACCTTTCCAAGGACCCCCAAACTCTGCTCCGTGCACGTCAAATGCTCCTTTCCCTTGTGTCCAACCCCCTACCCCTCTCCCTAACACCCCTCTTCTCAACAAGACTCAGCCTCTCCCCGAGGTGGGTGAGCATCCTTGAGGTTTCCCACCCTTAACTGCTGTGTCCCCGGATGGAGCCAGAGAAATGTGGTGGGGGGGCCGGGGCCAGAGTTTCAACATTGCCCCCCAGAAGGAGGAGCCAGAGATGGGGGTAAGGAGAAGGAATTTGGGGGGTGTCGGCAAGAGGGTGAGAACGGGGATGAGGTGGAGATAAAAGGGGGAAGCAAAGGCTCTAGAGGAGGAGGAGGAGGGTGTGTCTGTCTATCAGCTTCTGCTGATGGAGCCTGGTCCGTCTTTCTCAGTCTCAAGTTCGTTGTCTCATTATCCATTAACCAGCCCCTCCCTTTACTGTTTACCAGCCCTGTTAGGTCTGGAGCTCCCCACAGACACTGATCTCAGTTTCCCCCGAGAGTGTGAGTGTAGGCCTCTACAGGCAGCTGCCTCTGGGGAGTTGGGGAGCCTAGGGGTTAACTCTAGACCCCCCTCAACCCTCTGGACCAAAGTCTGTCCAGGAAAATAGGATGCCGGAGCCCAGGAGTCGTCAGCCTAGCAGTTGCCTGGCCTCCAGATGCCTCCCAGGTAATAATGCCCTATCACTCTCCAAAGACTTCCAAATTTCATCCTACGCCAATCTTGTTTCATGCCCTCACCAAAGATACCCCTGTGTTCCTCTCGTGGCTCGAAGTACGTCTGCCTGAGGCTCGCTGTCCTCCCTGACAGCCTCTAGAGCTGGCTGAGAGCTGGACCTTGACATTCCTTCTGTTTCCTTGACCCTGTTACCCCTTTTCAAATTTACTTATTCGATACATAGTTAGTGCCTGCTATGTGCCAGGCCTTGTTCTAGGCTCTGTTCTAGTTACAGAAATTAAAAAACATTTATCTTTCCTCATAAGCTTACATTGTAGTGGGCTTTGGGGAGGATTTTAATCTTCCCTATTTAGATCTCCCTTTCTTGGAGGGGTGGGTGTATCCAAGTGTGGGCAACACTGGGAACAGTCATAACAGGGCTTCCCTTCTTCCCCTTTAGGGGAGCAGATCCTAGCATGGGCCCCAGGGGTGAGGAAGGGCCTGGAACCAGAATTGTCTGGAACCCTGATCTGTACCAACTTTAGGGTCACCTTCCAGCCCTGTGGATGGCAGTGGAATCAGGTGAGATGGTTGGGGCCACAGAAATGACAGCTAGTGGGAAATGGGTAGGGGAGTCTAGCAGGATTTAGACAAACATTATGGGTTAAGGGCTGTCTTTTGAATGTATCATTGATAATCAGTGGGAACTCTCTCTAGGGTTGTTGCCCCCTAGAAGGGGTTGGGGCTGCCAGGGTAGGAAAATGAGGGCGATTTCAGATGTCTACCCAGTCACGTGTTTCGTCTAGGACACTCCCTTGAACAGTGAATACGATTTTGCCCTGGTCAACATTGGACGATTAGAGGCTGGTAAGTTGGGGGGGGGTTTGGTGAAGGGGTTCACTGGGGTTGTTGGAACTCCCTCCTCATCCTTCCTCTGTTCTCAGAAAACAGCAGGGATGGAGTGGGATGGGCTGCAAGAGTCCCTTCTGGAGAGACTCTGGTCCATGGTTACACTGTTCTGTACCTCTTGACTTCAGTGAGCGGCTTGTCCCGAGTCCAGCTCCTCCGTCCAGGGTCCCTGCATAAATTTATCCCTGAGGAGATTCTGATTCATGGCCGAGACTTCCGGCTGCTCAGAGTTGGTTTTGAGGCTGGAGGCCTAGAGCCTCAGGCTTTTCAGGTAAGAGGCCCCTAACCTGAGGCTTTCTCCTCACCTCAGAACCTTGGGATCCTCTCCCTGACAATTTCTGAGACTCCTCCAGCCCCTGGGATCCTCTCATCATTCCCCCTGCTTCTCTCAAGGAAAGGCTAAAAGGCTGGGATAAATGATTGCGTGATGAGAGTAAAGAGCCTGCGCTCTAGCCTTACTCTATTAATTACCAGCAGTGTGACTGTGGGCAAGTTTCCTCCTCTGAAAAACCAGGATTCCTCCCAGAATCATCATTCTAGGATTCTGTGGTTCCAGATTTGTTCTCCCGACCCCAGTCCCCATGACCTGAGGAAGCCCCCTTCTCTAGGGACTGTCTTCACTGTTCTTCTTCATTCTTGGCAAAGAGAGTGGAGCAACACATGGGCTCCATTTCCTTCTTTTCACTTACTCAGCCTAAGCCAAAAGGATGGAATGTCCTTTCCTCTGCAGGTGACCATGGCCATTGTCCAAGCCAGAGCTCAGAGCAATCAAGCCCAACAGTATTCGGGGATAACCCTGAGCAAGGCTGGTGAGTGAGAGTGCTTTAGGGTAAGGAAGAGTCTGAAAAAGCAGAGGATGGCTGATGACAAAGAGCTGAGAAGCTGTCTCTGATTTTCTCCTTCCTCCTCTATGTCTCACTCCTGTTCTAGGCCAGGGTTCTGGCTCCAGAAAACCACCAATTCCTCTCATGGAGACAGCGGAAGACTGGGAGACTGAGCGGAAGAAGCAGGCAGCCAGAGGCTGGAGGGTCAGCACGGTCAACGAGAGGTTCGACGTAGCCACCAGGTGATCCCCCAGTGCACCCCAACCCTGCTGCTCTCCCAATCTTCCCTTAGTTCCTTGATCCTCTAAAGCTAGGACTTCCCACAAACTCCAGCCTCCTAGGACACCCACAAAGCTATCTCCCTTGCCTCCTAGATCCCTAAACCTGAAATCCCTTGGAATGGTCCCTCTGAAGCAGCTTCCTTGTAATAAGAGCTTTCCATTATAATGAAGTCACTGAGCCAAACTGTAATATCACTCTCATTTCACAGCCTCCCCCGTTACTTCTGGGTCCCTAACCGAATTCTGGACAGTGAGGTCAGGAGAGCATTTGGCCACTTTCATCAGGGCCGTGGACCGGTCAGTGTGATGGTTAGGGTAATGGCTGTGGATTAGAGGGTCATGTGGGCCAGGGACATCGTGGAGGGAGGAACCTCTGTGAGGTCAGTGTGGGGGCAAGGGTAGCGTGGAGCTAGGCATTTCTCCCACAATGACCCTCTTCTGCCCCATGTGAAGCGCTTGTCCTGGCATCACCCTGGGGGCAGTGATCTTCTCCGCTGTGGAGGCTTCTATACAGCCAGTGACCCTAACAAGGAGGATATCAGGTGAGGGAGGCTTGATGAGAAGAATCAAGGGTTAGGTGCTCAGGGTAGACTCCTTATTTCCTGACTCCCTCCCCTCCAGAGCAGTGGAGTTGATGCTCCAGGCTGGGCATTCAGATGTTGTCCTGGTAGACACTATGGATGAGCTGCCCAGCCTTGCAGATGTCCAACTTGCCCACCTGAGGCTGAGGGCCCTCTGCCTGCCTGGTGAGAATAACCTTTGACCCCTAACCCTCACCCTCACCCCTAGGTCTGCTGAGCCTAACCTGGTTTACCCTTTGCTTGCTGTAGATGAGTAGCTCTTTAGTCCAATGAGCCCGTTTTCTTTTCTTTTCTTTTTTCTTGAGACGGAGTCTCGGCTGGGCATGGTGGCTCACGCTTGTAATCCCACCACTATGGGAGGCCGAGGTGGGCAGATCACTTGAGGGCAGGAGTTCAAGACCAACCTGGCCAACATGGTGAAACCCCGTTTCTACTAAAAATACACACACACACAAAATTAGCTGGGTGTGGTGGCCGATGCCTGTAATCCCAGCTACTTGGAAGGCTGAGGCACAAGAATCGCTTGAACCCAGGAGGCGGGTGAACTGAGAATGTGCCATTGCATTCCAGCCTGGGCGACAAGAGTGAAACTTGTCTTAAAAAAAAAAAAAAAGGCAGATGAGACGGAGTCTCCCTCTGTGGCCCAGGCTGGAGTGCAGTGGCGTGATCTCGGCTCACTGCAACCTCCAACTCCCATGTTCAAGCGATTCTCCTGCCTCAGCCTCCTGAGTAGCTGGGATTACAGGCGCCTGCCACCATGCCTGGCTAATTTTTGTATTTTTAGTAGAGACGAGGTTTCACCATGTTCCCCGTGTTAGACTAGGCTGGTCTCAAACTCCTCAGATGATCCACCCACCAAGGCCTCCTAAAGCGCTGGGATTACAGGCACAAGCCGTCGTGCCCGGCCAGTGAGACTGTTTTCTACTCACCTCCCACCTCTCCCACCTCTCCCACAGACTCACTGGTTTCCTGTCTTCTTGACCCCAATTTATTCTTTAAACAGCTTTATTGAGACATAATGTACATACCATAAAATTTACCCTTCACTGAAGTATACAATTCAGTGAGTTTTATTATATTTACAATGTTGTACAACCATCACCACAGTTTAATTTTAGAAACCATCCTGGCCATTTACAATTACTTTTCATTCCTGTTCTTAACCCAGCAGGCTATCAACCTGAATCCTGAATCCTGAGTTCTAATCTCTTGCCCTTCTGATCTTTCTACCCTCTATCAGATTCATCTGTAGCTGAGGATAAATGGCTTTCAGCCCTGGAAGGAACACGATGGCTGGACTATGTCAGGTACTCCCTCGCTTCTTCTAGCCATCATTTATAATTCAACCTTCCTCAACCTTCTGTTAACTTGGGGTCCTAAATGGCCTTTCTTTAGTTCTTCTCCTCGGTTTCCCAAGAAGACTGCCATTTTCTGCTCTTTAGAAGGAGGAGGGGTAGGATTTGGAGTCGGCCTTATTCCATCCCATGACCCATCAAAATCACTCCATTCCCCTAGGCTTATCATTCTTCCTCCCTCTTCCTCACCTGCTCCTCCAGGGCTTGTCTTCGAAAGGCCAGTGACATTTCAGTATTAGTGACATCCAGGGTTCGTTCTGTAATACTTCAAGGTGAGTTCCTTGGTTAAGCCCATTCCATTCCTTGCCTCTTTTCTTTACCCACCTGACCAGATTGCATTCAGGGAGGGAGACCCATAAGGCTTCTTCCTCTCCTGTTCCTGGGAACTACCTGCGAGCTCTACTCTCATCCTTCAGTGCTACCTCTGCCTCCCCATCACAACTTGTGGTCCCTGACACTAGGATGGTCTTAGCCCCTTTGTTCCTTTCCTTCCATCAGCGGATGGAGACTGGGGTTGGGGTGGGAAGGGCAGTGTGGAAGCTGGTTTGAGAATTGTGATTCTGCCCCTTACATGTGAAACTGGGTATTTCTATCCGGGTGGAGTCCAGGAAGTGAATCATTCAAGGTCTTTGTTTTCTCTTCACTTCTATGTGCTTTCTCAATCCTCCTACCCCAAACCTTTCCCCTCTGTGCCTCTCACTTCTCCTTGCCGTATTTCTCTTCTCATTCTCTTCTGCCCTAGTTTCTTGGACCCCTCTTCTTTGTCCCTTCTTCCTCTTTATCACCCAGAGCGCGGTGATCGTGATCTCAATGGCCTCCTCTCTTCACTCGTCCAGCTGCTTTCAGCCCCCGAAGCCCGAACACTGTTTGGCTTCCAATCACTAGTACAGCGAGAGTGGGTGGCAGCTGGACATCCCTTCCTGACTCGGCTTGGGGGAACTGGGGCCAGTGAAGAGGTGAGAATGATTCGGGATGGCATCGGGGGCATATTACTAAGGAAGTAAGAGAATGAGAAATTATTTTGTATAATCCATTGGAGGTGAATCCGGTCAGAAGGGCCCCGAGGTTAGGCTGGGACGAAGATCCTGATGAGTGAGGCCTTACAAGCCCCTGCTACCCTCAATTCAGATTTTCATTCCCTGACTTCCATAAGTTCCCCCTATTCCCTGTGTTCCCCATTCCCTTATCATCTCGTCATCCTCCCTCTTTGGGTCCCAATAATCCCTTCCAACCTCTTAATTTCTTTTCAGGCTCCGGTGTTTCTCCTCTTCCTTGATTGTGTCTGGCAGCTCCTCCAGCAGTTTCCAGCTGATTTTGAATTCTCTGAGTTTTTCCTTCTTGCTCTTCATGA
This sequence comes from Homo sapiens, assembly GCF_000001405.40. Classification (NCBI taxonomy): domain Eukaryota; kingdom Metazoa; phylum Chordata; class Mammalia; order Primates; family Hominidae; genus Homo; species Homo sapiens. The sequence continues at coordinate 149,930,864 of NC_000001.11, read as the reverse complement.
CAGTGTCAGGGTTCCTGACACCCTTACCTTCCTGAGAAATACCCCCTGGGAGCGCGGAAAGCAGAGCGGACAGGTCAGTGACTTCTATTTTTGACTCGTGTTTTTTTTTCCATTGAGATGTACTCTCTGAAGTTTGGTCTTGATTTGTTTTATGAGAAGTGAGGTCTGTGAGTGGGGAGGGGGAGATTTATTCTCATTTTCAGGACGAGACTTTTGCCCTACATCTTTCCTAGAATAAGAGGTGAGAATCTCATGATTTGTCTCTAGATGTGGGAGGATTGTGTGTAACCATCCTTTTTCTTGCTTCCTCTGTCCAGTTAAACTCCTATACACAAGTCTACACCCCAGGATACTCCCAGCCTCCAGCTGGGAACTCTTTTAACCTGCAGCTGTCTGTCTGGGACTGGGATTTACGTTATAGCAATGCACAGATACTACAATTCCAGAATCCTGGCTATGACCCAGAACACTGTCCAGATTCCTGGCTCCCTAGACCACAGGTGAAGTGTCTAAACTTCCTAAATTCCCTTGACGTTCCCACAGGCTCATGCTACTAGACAGTGAGAAGTGAAAGACAAAATGTCTTGAGTTCCTTAGGGAAAGCTACTCCACTACTCTTCTGCAGCTGTCACTTATAGTCCCTGGGTGTCCCTAGGAAGACAGAAGACCTAGAATAGCACAGAGGGCACCCTTTTTGTCCTTCCTCAAGTCTGTTTACTCATCTTCCTGTCTCGTGCACACATAAGGTGCCCTAAAATCAACCTTAATCAGTCCCGAGGCCTAGTTGAAGCCTAATGAGGAGGGTAGAAGAGTTCTCATGGGGAGGCTTGTAGTTCTAGTCACCAGTGCAGTGAGTGGGTGGCAGCAGGACACCCTGTCCTGATCCAGATTGGGGAAACTAGGGTTATCTGGTCTCTCTGTTGCCAGTTGATTTTCTTTTCCTTTTAGCCAAGCTTCATGGTTCCTGGACCCCCCAGTTCTGTGTGGCTCTTCTCTAGAGGAGCATTGACCCCCCTGAATCAGCTCTGTCCTTGGCGGGACAGTCCTTCCCTGCTGGCAGTCTCTTCTCGTTGGCTCCCTCGACCTGCTATCTCCTCTGAAAGCCTGGCTGACCAGGAATGGGGTCTCCCCTCACATTGGGGAGCTTGCCCTTTACCTCCAGGGCTGCTGCTGCCTGGGTATCTGGGACCCCAGATCAGGCTCTGGAGACGCTGCTACCTGAGGGGAAGGCCTGAGGTCCAGGTAAGAAGGGAAAATAGACTGGGAGTGGGACAAGGGACTTGACTCTGCTGAACCAGATGAACAGGAGCTGGAAAGGCAAGGAGCTGAAGCCTCTGGGAGTCTGGGAAGTGAAGTTCTACTCCTCTTGGCATCAAACAAGGTTTGGGAGTGTAGGAGGTGCGGGAAAGTGCTTGTGGCTTAGATTAAGTGGAATTTAGGGCATAGCTGAAAGGGGAAACAGAATTAAAGACACCAGAAGTAGCAGAGAAGCAGGGGGCCAGAGCTACAACAGTATTCTTCTCTGTTCCTCTTTGCCTCCTCCCCAGATGGGCCTCTCAGCTCCCACAATCTCTGGCCTCCAGGATGAGCTATCCCATCTTCAGGAGTTATTACGGAAATGGACACCAAGAATATCTCCTGAGGATCACTCCAAGAAAAGAGATCCACATACCATTCTCAATCCCACTGAAATTGCTGGCATTCTCAAAGGCAGGGCAGAGGGGGATCTGGGGTAGAGGAGGGTTCTGTCTAATCTTTTTTTTTTTTTTTTGTATCTGCACTTGCAGCCTCAGCTTTCACACTTCAGCCCTTAAGTTCACTAAGAAGGTCTGAGTTTCTGCTGCAGATAGTGGTGTTAACTGCTCCAACTCTTGTCTTGCTTAGTTTCTACAAATATTTTTGCTTCTTGTCATTTGAAGGATTAAGAAACAAAAACAATCCAGAAATTGATCGGTTTTTTTAGGCCAATCCCATCCCTTCTGGATAACCAGATGTTAAATCATGAGATCAGAGATGCTGTTCATCAGTCCCAACAAGATGGCCTAGAAATCGCATTCTCACCTCGCCTTGCTGCTGCTTTAATTCCAAGTTCTATTTCTTCCCTTATAGTTTTCTATGGGAATGAGGCGGATACAGGAAACACCCTATCTCCTCTGTATTTTTGTAGTGGAATTTCTATTTAAGGGGCTCATTAAAGCATAGTATTTATACACATTGCTGGCATTGTTTCTTGTGTTTGAATAAAGGATTCTCCTAGGTAGGAAAGTGGTGGGTAAAAGGGGTGTATGACCCAAGAGAGGAAGGCATCCACCATATTATTGCTAAGGAAATAGGGGAACTGGGTTTGGTGAGGCTCTGCAAAATTCAAGTGCAATTTGGGGAAAGGGTTCTCTTGTGTGTGTCTCCCATTTAGAGGCAGATGGGGCCAGAGTGTTCTAGAGATCCAGACTCTAGAGCTCCGATCCCATCCACCCCTCAGCTGTGGTCACACACCAACGCGGAGCAGCCCTCACCCTCCCCATGCAATTAGGACGAGGTGAGCGCAGACGTCACTCTAAGCTCAGACATTTCGCAGTCTCCTCCCCTGAGGGAAAACCAAATACCTCCAGCCCAAATCAGGGTTGTGAGGCCAAATCTGCAAGAAGGCTGCAGGCGAGAGGGAAGGCTCCCTCTGCGCCTGAAAGCCCCCAAGTCCTCGGGTTGGGGGGAACTCTTCAGCACATCCTTCTCTGGACAACAGAAGAAGAATCACTGTCCACAAAATATATTAAAACTGAAATTTTTGTTCTTTTAGCTTTCGAATTTACACTTTTGAGAGCAGTGTGATTCTTTCAAGTCTAGCAGTGCATTAAGAGGGCCTGAGCGTTTCCGTTCCGCCCTCCTCGCTAAGACAACTAGCAGCGGCACCTCAGGACGCGAGCCGAGGACTCTACCGCCCGACCCAGGTTAAGTTTCGGAGGCTCCTAAGATGGCTGCAGCCGCTTCCAGGCACCTCCTCTTCCGCGGCCCCGCCCACCGCTACGTCCGTCTTCGCCCCGGAAGTGGAAGTCGTGCTGAGGTCAGAAGGCGGAACCGCTGCTGGGAGACGGCGGGATCTCTTTCGCCATGGCTGCCGGGCCGATCTCCGAGCGGAATCAGGGTAACTGGAGGGGGAAAGTCTGGAATGGGCTCAGCGTGGCTAGGAGGCCCCGACTACAGCCAGCAGTGTCTCTGCAGGGGTGGGAGACTGGACTCCTCCCTTCCCCAGAGGGCGCGAGACCGGCCCTCTGCCTGTTGGGGGCGGGGTGGCCGGGTGCTGGCTGAGGCCTCTGGGTGTGATACTTAAGTCCGGTCCCCTGCTGACTTCTCACTCAAAAAATCAAAAAAACCCACTCACAATACTAAATTAGACTTCAGAGGATTCCCGAAGTCCTGGGAAGAGAGAAGTTTAAGGGTTTAAACTTTTTTTTTTGCTCCTGTCCCCTACCGCGGTCCCCAGTTCCCCTGGTTGGGTTCCATCTTCATGTTTCCATCACTTCCTTCCTTCCCGTTACACTCTCACGCTTGCTCTTTTTGCTCCCTCCCTTCAAGATGCCACTGTGTACGTGGGGGGCCTGGATGAGAAGGTTAGTGAACCGCTGCTGTGGGAACTGTTTCTCCAGGCTGGACCAGTAGTCAACACCCACATGCCAAAGGATAGAGTCACTGGCCAGCACCAAGGTGAGTACATGACAAGGGGCGAATTGCTCCCGGAGGGTCCCAGCAGTATTCACAACTGTTTTGGAATAACATGAGCAACCTAAAGATTTTTTTCTTTTAAGCCTCTCTTCAGTTTATTTCTGGAACCATTCTTAAGTAAAGTGATGTTGTTTCTTTCTTGTTCTTTGTGATTAGAGGGTAGATGAATTTTACCCCATTTTCAGTCTCTTTACTTACGTTGTTAACCTCCTCTTCTCCACTTTTCCAGGCTATGGCTTTGTGGAATTCTTGAGTGAGGAAGATGCTGACTATGCCATTAAGATCATGAACATGATCAAACTCTATGGGAAGCCAATACGGGTGAACAAAGCATCAGCTCACAACAAAAACCTGGATGTAGGGGCCAACATTTTCATTGGGAACCTGGACCCTGAGATTGATGAGAAGTTGCTTTATGATACTTTCAGCGCCTTTGGGGTCATCTTACAAACCCCCAAAATTATGCGGGACCCTGACACAGGCAACTCCAAAGGTTATGCCTTTATTAATTTTGCTTCATTTGATGCTTCGGATGCAGCAATTGAAGCCATGAATGGGCAGTACCTCTGTAACCGTCCTATCACCGTATCTTATGCCTTCAAGAAGGACTCCAAGGGTGAGCGCCATGGCTCAGCAGCCGAACGACTTCTGGCAGCTCAGAACCCGCTCTCCCAGGCTGATCGCCCTCATCAGCTGTTTGCAGATGCACCTCCTCCACCCTCTGCTCCCAATCCTGTGGTATCATCATTGGGGTCTGGGCTTCCTCCACCAGGTAAAGCTTTTGGTTAAAATATGTTTGTCTTAAGGTTGGGGGAGAGGGTCAGGAGGAAGAAGAAAACAAGTCTGAAAGGGGGACAGGGGACATTGAGTCAGTGAGTTGATGGGAAGAGGACTGAGGGGTGATGGTAGTGGTGAAGAAGAAAGTTGTTGGGTTTCTTTAGGAGGGTGAAGTTGGTTGACTTTTCTAACATTGCTTTTGATTTTAGAGCACTGGGAGGAGGGGGAAAGAGCTCACCCTGCCTGGAGAGGCCAGATCAGGACAGGCTCTTTAAAGACATTTTCTCCTCACTACCATTAACTCTTCCTTTTTCCATTTCCTCTATAGGCATGCCTCCTCCTGGCTCCTTCCCACCCCCAGTGCCACCTCCTGGAGCCCTCCCACCTGGGATACCCCCAGCCATGCCCCCACCACCTATGCCTCCTGGGGCTGCAGGACATGGCCCCCCATCGGCAGGAACCCCAGGGGCAGGACATCCTGGTCATGGACACTCACATCCTCACCCATTCCCACCGGGTGGGATGCCCCATCCAGGTAGGTGTGCTTTGTTGGGAAAGGGAGGGAAGAGCTTGGTAGAGCATCTCTGTTACCACTCACCCTGCTGCCCTTTGTTCCTCAACAGTAACAGTTTCAGAGTTTTCCTTTCCTTCAGACATTCTATTATAAAAACATACAAAATGCTCTCTAACATCTACCACCCTGAATCCATTTCTTAAGTTTTTCTGACAAGTAGACTCTACTTGCCAGTTTTTATTTCTTTAATCTTTAGTTCCATTCTCTTCTCTGACTCCACCTCAAAGTGGTGACCTAATTGCCAAATCTCGGGGACGCTTCTGCTCCTTATCTAGTTTGACCTCTGATATACTTGAAACTAGTTGTGTCCTCCTGTTTGAAATTCTTGTCTCTTTTTGCTTTTGCTTTTCTAGATCCTCCACCCCTCTCTCTGACTTCTTAATCTCAGCTACCGTGATAGACTCATGTCTACTTGTGCCTAGATTTTTGTGCTTGTTTCTCTTTTCTGCATATATCTATAGTTTTAATTGGGTATATACTGATGCCTCCTAGGTCTGTATCTCTAGTCCGTAGCTGTTGATATTCCAGATCCTTGATGCTGCTGCTTAATAGATAGCGTCATTTTTCTATCCCTCTCCTTCAAATCCATTCTTCTTCTAGTGTTCTTTTTTTTCAGGTGCTTAATTCATGAATCTGAGAGCTATGTTTGACTGCTCCCTATCACCCCACTCTTAATACCAAGTCTTATTTGTATCAGTGGCATCTCTCCCCATGGCCAGTGCCCTAGTTCAGTCTCTCATTGCCTCATTATTTTACACTTAATTTGTTGTAGTAATCTCTTGCCACTTTGACTCCAGTTTTCCCTAACTTTGATCTACTTTCACAGTGTAGGTCTTTTAAGACACAGATGTGCACACACTTGCTCAGAATTCCTCTGTTGCTCCCTTTGACCTACAGAGTAAAACCCAAACTCATTACCATAGCATTCACAGCTCTTTATGATCTGGCCCCTGCCCCTCATTTCTATAACTGCATTTTGCTCCTGATTACTGAGTTAACTGGCATTTCCTGGAACATACTGTGCTGTTTGCCACACCTGTGACTTGCACATGGTAATCTTTCTGCTTGGATGCTTTCTTCCCATGATCTTATCCTCCTGAAGTATTCATCCTTTAGAATTAGATCTTTGCTTAGACAGTTATGTCCTCTGCTACTTTCTCAAATCCTATCAACAGAGTTATTACTCCACTTGTTATATACTTCATCATTACTATTACAGTACCTAAATCATGGAAGAAGCAAGCAAATAGGGTAAGGAGTTGATTGAGTAATTGGTTGATTGGTTGGTTTGTGCTGTTGGAATAGGGTCAAGGATAGGGAGCACTTTTTACCACCCTTCTTTTTTTATTTTTATTTTTTGGTGATGGGGTCTCACTCTGTCATCCAGGCTGGAGTGCAGTGGCGTAGTTTTGGCTCACTGTAGCCTTGACGTCCCAGGCCCAAGTGATCCTCCCACCTCAGCCTCCTGAGTAGCTGGGAATAGAGGCACACACCACCATGCCTGGCTAATTAAAAGTATTTTTTGATAGAGCTGGGGTCTCACTATGTTGCCCAGGCTGTTCTTGAACTCCTGGGCTCAAGTGATCCACCTAGGCCTCCCAAAGTGCTGGGATTATTGGCATGAGCCACTGTGCCCAGCCAGCCTTATTTTCTATACCCTTTTTTCTATATAGTTCTCTTTCTGATGTCACTTTCTTTCTAATTTTGTTTTCTTCCTTTCTCTATTTTCTTTGCCTCCTTCTCTTTGTCTCTTTTCTTCTTGTGTCTATTTTATTTTCATAGGGATGTCTCAGATGCAGCTTGCACACCATGGCCCTCATGGCTTAGGACATCCCCACGCTGGACCCCCAGGCTCTGGGGGCCAGCCACCGCCCCGACCACCACCTGGAATGCCTCATCCTGGACCTCCTCCAATGGGCATGCCCCCCCGAGGGCCTCCATTCGGATCTCCCATGGGTAAGTCGGCTCTAGCCACCTCCCTCATCTGCACTTATCATGTTCTTACAGCTTCCTGTAGGCACACCCCTTGTCCCGTGCCCTTACTAACTTTTCTTTTACTCTTTGCAGGTCACCCAGGTCCTATGCCTCCGCATGGTATGCGTGGACCTCCTCCACTGATGCCCCCCCATGGATACACTGGCCCTCCACGACCCCCACCCTATGGCTACCAGCGGGGGCCTCTCCCTCCACCCAGACCCACTCCCCGGCCACCAGTTCCCCCTCGAGGCCCACTTCGAGGCCCTCTCCCTCAGTAAATTCACATTTTCCTTCCTCCTGTTACATTTTCCCAATATCTTTTCTATTCCTTGGACCAATCAGAGATGCTGTAGCTCCTTGGGGCAAAGGTACTAATCCCTTTCAGCACCCCCACTCCATTCCCCTTTTTAATGTAACTTTTTCCACAGGAGGTATTTCTTTTTTATGTTGGTCCTGAGTATTTTGCAAATGCACAGAGAAAATAAAACTAAACTCCTTGTTTATTTGTGGTGTTTTCCTTGACAACAGTAACTTTTCTCTTTTTCTTTTAAGAAGAGATGTCAGTATCATGAAAAGAATGGTAAGGTAGGAGTAGGAGCAAGGGTGCTTACTCCACATTTTAAAGGCTTATTCTGTAATGTGCTGTTGCAGTTGCTGAGCTTTGCTGTGCACTAGAGTAATTGTTTCCTTACGTAGAGCTTATCTTCTAGTTTGGAAGATAGGGACCCAATATATATAGCATAGGATCGTCATTTTTTTTGTTTCTTTTTTTTATTTGGAGACACGGTCTTGCTCTGTTGCCTAGGCTGGGGTGCAGTGGCACGATCATGGCTCACTGCAGCCCCAACCTCCCAGGCTCAGGTGATTCTCCCACCACAGCCTCCCAAGTAGCTGGGACCACAGGTGTGTGCCACCACACCCAGCTAATTTTTGTATTTTTTGTAGAGGTGAGATTTCGGCATATTGCCCAGACTGGTTTTGAACTCCTGGGCTCAAGCGATCACCCCTGCCTCAGCCTCCCAAAGTGCTGGGATTACAGACGTGAGCCACCTCACCCAGCCGGACTATTGTTTTAAAGTGAACAGATGTATCTGGAGATAGTCTGGCAAAAATGAAGTAACATGCACTATGCAATTCATTGCAGCACTGTTATAATGGCAGTAGATTGGAAACTCACATCTCCATCAGTAAAGGGACGGTTGAATAAACTGATAAATTCATGCAGCAGAGTACTGTGCAGCTGTAAAAAGGAATGTAAAAAAAGCTTTAAAAAGGATCTCCAAGTGAAGATCTCTACGTACTGCTGTGGAGAGATCTCCAAGTGAAGAAAATAATGTGTGTAGTGTGCTACCTTCTCTAAGGGTAGCATATATATATATATATGTATTAACGTTTTTAAAAATGGGTAAACCAGCTACTCAGGAGGCTGAGGCAGGAGAATCACTTGAACCTGGGAGGCGGAGGCTGCAGTGAGCCGAGATCACGCCATTGCACTCCAGCCTGGGCGACAGAGCGAGACTCTGTCTCAAAAAAAAAAAAAAAAAAAAAAGGATAAACCAAATACTAATGGAAATTGATAACACTGGGGAGGGAGTGGATATTGAGGGAAGCTGGATTCTCTGAGTATACTGTGTTAATGTGTTTTTCATTTGGAACAATATAGATGTCTTACATAATTACAAAACAAAATGAGTAAATGGAGACAGTAAATGTTCCATACGTGTTCCATTTTGTTCTGTTCCTACAGATGTCTGTAAACAGTCATCTCAGATAAGGAGTTTGTATTTCAATTTTTTTTCTCATTTCTCAGTCCTTCCAAACTTGATTTTCATCACGTGTAAATCTCAGTTTAAAGACTTTTCAGTAGACCAAATCCAATGGCCTTTTTCTCCCCCATGTTCTTTGCCACATTAATCCTGTTAAGTCACCCCTTCCTTGAAGTGCCCTCTGGCTTATGTAACTGTGAACTTTACTAAATTCTAGGCAAGAAGTGAGCATGGCCCCCTTGTTCTCGTCCATCATTCTCATTAACATTTTTATGGTACCTGCAAAGGATGTCTGTTGGTGGCAGCTGAGGATTCAAAGATAAGCAAGGCAGTTCTGCTGTCAAAACTGACACATAAGAGATTGTTAATGAAACAAAATATTTTGAGAGCAGGAAGAAAGTTACCTATTCTGGCATGAAAGTCCAGGAAAACGGCCAGGCACAGTGGCTCACGCCTGTAAGCCCAGCACTTTGGGAGGCTGAGGCGGGCAGACCACCTGAGGTCAGGAGTTCGAGACCAGCCTGGGCAACATGGTGAAACTCCGTCTCTACTAGAAATACCAAAAATTAGCCAGGTGCAGTGGTGGGCGCCTGTAATCCCAGCTACTCAGGAGGCTGAGACAGGAGAATCGCTTAAATCTGGTAGGTGGAGGTTGCAGTGAGCCGAGATCAAGCCATTGCACTCCAGCCTGGGCAACAAGAGCGAAACTGTCCCCCACCTCCCACCTTAAAAAAAGAAAAGTCCAGGAAAACTTCCTGGGAAAAAGGTGATACCTGCATTTAATCTTCAAGGAAGGATAGACCTTTCCCAGGCAAGGAGAAATTCAATCCAGGTGGATGGGATGTTTCTGAGGAGAAACAGATTGATAAATAGCATGGTGTATAATGCACTAGAGCTGTTTGGGATTGGAGGCAGGCTGAGGTCAGAGCCAGTTAGGGAGCTCCCAAAAACCATTTTTCAGCCCTTTTTCACATCATGGCAGGGAACCATTTGAAACAAAATTGAGGTAAGGGGAGGCAGCTGCTTCAGCCTGGAGGCTGTTGGCTCGGAAATTCTAGCTGCCCCAGTTTGATATGCTTATTAGATGTTCGTGTGGTGATATTGAATAGACAGAGATTTTGAGTCTGGGCTTGATGGGAAGGTCTGGACTGCAGATATAAATGGGAATCATCAGCATATAGGCAGTATTAAAGTCGGGACTGCCTGTGGTGAGCAAGAAGAGAGTAGAAGGCTTCCCGCCCCTGGGACTGAGCCCATAGGAACTCTAAAATTAAATGGCCCCAGCAAAGGGGACTACAAAGGAGTGGTTGGTGGGACAGGGCACTGGCACCTGGGGGAAAATGATGAGGTCTTCCCTCAGAACTTGAAAATATATACAGTCATTTGTGTATTCTCAAGGGATTGGTTCCAGGACCCTCCACAGATAATCAAAATTCACAAATGCTCAAATCTCTTATATAAAATGGCACATTTGCATATAACCTAGGCACATCCTCCAGTGTGTTTTAAATCATCTCTAGATTACTTGTGACACCTAATGCAGTGTAAATACTATGCAAGTAGTTGTTATACTGTATTGTTTAGGAAATAAATGTCAAGAGGAGAATGTCTATACATGTTCAGTACAAATGCAACCATCATAGGCCTAACTACATTTTCCATCCACAGTTGGTTGAATCCATGGATGCCAAACCCATGGATATGGAGGACTGATGGTATAAGTTTTCACTCTAAAAGTATGCAAGATTTCTATTTTAGCAAATAAGGTATCAGTGGAGAGTAGGCAAAGTCACCTTAAAGGGAAGAAATGGCTCCCTGCTGGCCAAATGCTCTCCTGCTGGACTTGGCTATAACCTAATTGAAAATGTTAACATATTTGGCTGGGTGCGGTGGCTCACGCCTGTAATCCCAGCACTTTGGGAGGCAGAGGTGAGTGGATCACTTGAGGTCCGGAGTTCGAGAGCAGCCTGGCCAACACGGTGAAACCCTGTCTCCATTAACAATACAAAAGTTAGCCAGGCGCAGTGGCTCACGCCTGTAATCCCAGCACTTTGGGAGGCTGAGGCGGGCGGATCACAAGGTCAGGAGATCGAGACCATCCTGGCTAACACAGTGAAACCCCGTCTCTCCTAAAAATACAAAAAATTAGCCGGGTGTGGTGGCGGGCACCTGTAGTCCCAGCTACTCGGGAGGCTGAGGCAGGAGAATGGCATGAACCCGGGAGGCGGAGCTTGCAGTGAGCCGAGATTGTGCCACTGCACTCCAGCCTGGGCGACGGAGCAAGACTCTGTCTCAAAAAAAAAAAAAAAAGTTAACTGGGTGTGGTGGCTCGTGCCTGTAGTCCCAGCTACTGGGAAGGCTGAGGCAGGAGAATCACTTGAACACCGGAGGTGGAGGTTACAGTGAGCTGAGATTGCGCCACTGCACTCCAGCCTGGGCGACAGAGTGAGACTCTGTCTCAAAAAAAAAAAAAAAAAGAAAAAGAATGTGTGTTAACCTGAAGACGGGTCAGCAATGAAAGTCTAGTAAAGGGAGAGTCCCTGAGGCCAGTCCAAGCACCATCCTGGAAAGCCGTCACATTCAGAGTAGTCCAGGAGTGCTGGCAAGGCTGCCAATAGCAAAGAGGTGGGGGTAGAAGATTGTTGCCAAGAAGAGTTTTCTGGACCCATTGGCATGGCTGCTTATTGCAGATGGCCAGATGCCATTAAAGATACAAATCCTCCAGTAATGTCATTGTGCATTTATACATTGACATTATGATTCTGATTTGGCTTCAGGGAGAGAATGTACTAGACATGTAGATATGAGTTTTCAGTCTGAGTGACAGTTAAATATTTATGATAAATTAATATTTATGTATTATGGCTTTATATTTCAGAAGATTGTGAACTTTGTTGGCATGAATGATTATTTCCAAGATCCAGCTTTGGAGTCTGCAAAGCCCAGGCCCGTGTCCCTGTCAGAGGTAAATTCAACCTGGCAAATGTTACCTGTGTGGTCTCTTCGGACATAGCCTGTCAGCCTTCTCCATGTATATATATCAGCATTCTGAAGCCTCCACATTTAGTAAGGCAGAATCACACGCTATTAGATCTGAGAGGGACCTGATGCAGTATCTAGTCCAAGCCCCCCTTTTCCAGATGAGAAACCTGAAGTTCACAGATGTGGAGAACTTGACCAAGAGTTGACAGCTTGTTAGCAGTGAGAACCCAGGTCCAAGCCCAGGTCAGTGCTGTCTGGAAGGTCCTGACCTTATCTGGCATAGACACATTCAGGATGTATTTCCCCAAATCACCATATTCCCTCTCACTCCTTCGGCAGGGATGGTCATCAAGTGTCACCAAGTGGCATGTCTTGGATCTCTGAGTCCAGGTTATTGATGCAAGAGCAAAGGAAAGATGAAGGGAAAAGCTGAAACAATTTACTTCTTCCTGCCCGGGAAGTACAAGTGTGTGGAGGGGAGGGGAGGGAGGTAGAGGAGAGTAAGAGAAAATGGAGAAGGGTATTGAGAGGATCCTTTTTGAGTCATTGGAGCAAATTAATGGAAGGGGAACTGTCCGGTTGGTCAGGTCTGTAAAAATCCCTCAACTTCCCCAGTACTTCTGCTACCACCAACTGAATGGACAGGATGAGGAGGTGTCCACTGTAAATAAGTAACCTGGACTGTTTTGTGAGGAAAGAGATGGAAGGAATCCAGGGGTCTCTGACTCTGGCAGTTCAGGATAGAAACCACACCTTGTTATCTCTGCTTTCTCTAAAATGTCCAGGTAAACTTGGAATAGGAGCACTCTGGATTTGGGAGACTGTTGTGAAAAAGGAGTTTGAGAGCAGTGGAGAAGGCAAGGGAGGTGTTTTGAAGGCAGCAAAAGCCCCTGAAATTATTGGGTCCTGCCATACTGAGACTGGGGTGCTAAGGAAGGGGCTGCCACATTCCCCATCTCCCTGTCTTCCCACTTGTCTTCCTAACATCACTGTTTTTTTCTTTAGTTCCTTCTATCTTTTACTAGGAAGGGCCTGGGAAGGGCTGGGTGCCATTTCCAGCTGTTCTTGTGACAACCTCCGGCCCTTTCATCATTTCTCCCCGTGCCCTGACTCCCTCCCCATCCTCTTTTCTCCTCTCCCCACCAATGGTCTCTCCCGATGCTCAGTGGCGCGGGGTAGGGGGGGGCGGAGGCGGGGCTGGAGTGGTGGAAGGGGGGTGGCAGGTCTGCATTGCCGCTTCCCTGGTGCCGGGAGCAGTCGCCGCTGCCGCCTCCGCCCGCGGCCGGGACCCCCGTCCTCGCCCGGGACTCCTTACCCGGGGAACCTAGACCAGGTGAGACCCCTTTCTCAGTCGCTCACCTCCTCCCCGCCCCTGGCAGAAGCATCTTTGCCTTGCCTTGCAGCCATTTTATCCTCCGATGCTTTGCTTATGGGGAGGGTGACGATCCCCTCTCTAGGGGTGAGGGGGGTTGGTGGGTTGGTGGTGGTTTGGGGATGGACATTTATTTCAGTTGTGCTCTTCAGGACACACACACACACACGCATATGTATAATATTGGTGAATGGGGAGGAGGGGTGTTTTTCTCTACCTTAACCAAGTCCCCACTATCCCCTTCGGAGATTAACGTGGTGGTGGGGTTGTGAGGTGGGATGAGGTTCCCTCAAACTCCTATCCCCTCCTCACCTTGACGTCCCCCCACCCCCAGGATGAATGATAAATGACCTTGGCTGGGGCTGGAGAATGGATGCTGCCTCAGTGTGCACGCCTGGACTTGGGTGGGTGGGGGGCAGGGGAAGAAGGGCAGGTGAAGGATGGAGGGAAGGGGAGTGAAGAATGGAAATACTGGGGAGACAGAGATGTAGAGCCGCCAGGTGTTGGGGGCATGGATGGCGGGGGCTGGCGGCAGTTGCTCCGGGGTGGGGGGAAGGGATGTTGAGTGAAGGTGGACACTTGTCTAGCAGCAGGACCAAGGGTGGAGGAGGTGCTCAGAGCAGGGATTTAGTCAGTTCTGGGGGCTTTTCCCTTATTCCGGAGCTGAGGCAAGATGGGGTGTGGGGGGGTCGCTGCAAATGCTGATAGGGGCGGTCTCTATGTCTGTGCATGCGGAGGTCTCTCCCTGCGTCCCCCTCTCTGCCTCTCCGTATTCCTCAGTGTGCATTCTCAGCTGACACCCTCATTTTTATCCCTCAGAACTGTGGGTGCTCCTATCTTCCTAACCTTGGTAGGATGTGGGGAGGGGAGGCGCAGTCTTGATGGTCCTGGGTGGGGGCTGAAGTTCGATGACCGGGCTGTCATGGGGAAGGGGTGCTCCCGCACCTCCCACATTCTACCCCCGCCCCCGCGGACGTTTTGATAAGTGATTGCTTTTTAATGACCTTGTCACCTGAGCTAGGAAGGCCTGGGGATCTGGGTGGACCCCAAAGTCAGGGGCTTTGACTGGGAGGGTGGGGGGTTCTGGACCCAGGGCTGGATGAGCTGTTCTGAAAGAAAGCATTTGCTCTGGAGTCCCCTGCCTGTCTCCACCCTCTGCAGAAAATCTCCTGGGCACATTTTTTCCTGTCAGGTGAAGTCAGCCAGCCTAGGACCTTGTAACCCTGAACCTTGTCTCCTTTAACCTCCACCTCTCCAAGTCTTGTCTCACTCCCCCAGGCTTAGCCACCCTGTGCTGTTTTGGGGGCTAAAAATAGCACCACTTCCTCACCAGCTCAAAGAATTTGTCTTCTTTCTTTCTCTCCTGACCTCCTGGGCTTGCTGGCCCTGAGGAAGCTGGCTGTTGAGACCTCATATCCTGCTGTGGTTGTGGAAGGCTTCCCTGCCCTACGTGCCCCTCTCAGGGGGAAATAGGGTCAACAAACATAGAGTATGGCTCCTGGTGGGTCCTGCCTCCTTCAGGGCTGGAGGGGAGATCCTGGTTAGGAAAGAGAGGAAAGCTAGCAAATTGCCATGCGCTGAGGGGATTCCGCAGTTCCAGCTCTTTCATGGGGGATGGTTGGGCCCTGAACCATGAAGAAAAGGTGACATAGGGGTCACTGCTTCTGGTCACCGTGGTCCACTGCTTACATCTGTCCTGAGGGGATAAGGCGCTGCTTGCCAGTGCTTCTCTCTGAACCACATAGCATTGCTTACCGTCTTCTACCAGGGCGTGTGTGTGTGTGTGCGTGTGTGTGTGTGTGTGTGTGTTTTAATGAAGGCCCTGGATGGGTGGGAGCACCGGAGGCAGGATATTTTTAGGGGGATGATTTCTGATCAGAATCTAGGCCTGCTTCCTCTGCTCCTATGAAGGAAGGGGGCTATCCCATGCCTTCCTCTGGAGAATGTCTTTTTTGGGGGGACACCCAAACCCCCTTTATTCTACATCCGCCTCCTACGCAATGCGGTGTTTGTGGACTCCTTCTTCCTTGACTCCTGGAGGAGGAGCAGAAAGGATTAAGGGGGATTAGGAAGGGAGGCCCTGGAGGGATGGGATGCAACTGTAGGCCTTAGAACCTCATGTTGGAAATGTATGCATTTGACAGTCATTTCCATTCTCACCCCCATCTGTGGAAAGGGGGCCTATCTATGACATTCTGAAGCAAGGTGGCAGTGGACAGTCATCACCTCTTTCTTAGCTTTCCATCTTTCCTCCACTTTACTTGGGTTCCAGGTCCCCCTTTTCTGGATCTTCCCTTGTTCTTCTGGAGGTAGTTAATGTGGGCCCAGCTACTGGAATTAGTTGAAACATAGATAGGGGTGTCTTGGGACTCTGTTTGCAAGGATGCTGGGCAACAGCATCTAAGTATGACCCCCCTGTTGTCCCTTGCTGCTTCCTGTTTCTTTCCCACTTTCAACATCATAGGAAGGAAGAAAACTAACATAGAGTATCTACTGTGAGATTACATTCTCACATCAACTCCAAGAAACAGTCTCCCAATTTAATTATCCCCAGTTAAAATAGATGGACACTGAGGCTTAGGGAGGTTAACTACCCTGACTGAGATCAGTTAGTAAGTGGCAGAGTTGGGATTTCAACTTAGGTCACCCCTAACAGTCATGTGCTTTGCCCTGAACCAGGATTCTCCTTGCCAGTGTCCCTTCCTGCTGCTCACCCTAAAGAGCATCCAAGATAGCTTTCATCTGGGGACCTTATGAGGTAGTATAGGGCATTTCACTATATTACTGTCACCACAAAATTAATAATTAATATTTATTCATCATTTTTATGTGCCAGGTGACTTATGGTAAGGAGCATAGATACATTATATCATTCGACCCTTACTTTCCCCTTTTTAAACAAGAAGAAACTGAGGCTTGGTCCCTTAGCTAGTATTTGCCAAAACAGGAAGTCAACCCCATGTCTTTGTGACTCTGGAAGCTGAGCATTTACCCATTAGACTATGTTGAGAGAAAATCCCTCCTTGTTGAAGCCTGTAAACATGGGACCTGAGGGAAGGACAGTGGAAGCCCCTGCCTTCAGATGCCATCAGAGGAGGGAAGGCCACAGGTTGGAGGGCTTGTCCTCTTACACATCCTCCTCAACTCCACCCCTAGTAAGAAACCCAGGCAAGACTAAAGAAGGGAATTCTGGTTTCTCATATTTCCTGTTTAGTTCTTTGCAGATTGGTGATAAAGCAAGGGCTGGGGTGGGTTTGGGGGTAGGTGACTGCGACTTTGGAGCAAATTCCACAGGCCAGGCCTCCAAGGTCAAAGTAAGGGGACTTCTATGTGAGTGACCCGGTTAGCCCAGATAGCCATCCCTTTTTAGTGTGTGGATGGGAGCCTAAAGCGAGAAGACCATCTCTGCACCACATGGTCCAGATGGGGCTCTGGGTTGAGAGGCTTTATACTGGCCTTCTTCACCACCTTAGGACTCACAACTTCCTTTTGCTGTCTGTTATTTTTTCTAGGTCTCCAGAGGCTTGTGGAAGAGAAGCAGGCGACCCTTCCTGAGTTATCCTGGCTTAGCCTCCCAATCTGGCTCCCCTTCCCCTTCCCATTCCCCTGCTCCCCCTGTCCCTTCCCCATCCACCCAACTGAACTGGGTATAGGTCAAAGCTCCTCTCCTTCCTTTTCCTTCCTAGGCACTCATTGGCTAGGACCTGTTTGCTCTTTTTTTTGTGCCCAGAGATACTGGAACACGCTTCATCTAAGTAACTGTGGGGAGGGGTCTTTTTGACTCTACAAGTCCTTGAGCAAAAAGCTGAAAAAGAAGCAGGAGGTGGAGAAGACCCAGTGAAGTGCCCCAAGCCCCATCATGGAAGAGGGCTTCCGAGACCGGGCAGCTTTCATCCGTGGGGCCAAAGACATTGCTAAGGAAGTCAAAAAGCATGCGGCCAAGAAGGTGGTGAAGGGCCTGGACAGAGTCCAGGACGAATATTCCCGAAGATCGTACTCCCGCTTTGAGGAGGAGGATGATGATGATGACTTCCCTGCTCCCAGTGATGGTTATTACCGAGGAGAAGGGACCCAGGATGAGGAGGAAGGTGGTGCATCCAGTGATGCTACTGAGGGCCATGACGAGGATGATGAGATCTATGAAGGGGAATATCAGGGCATTCCCCGGGCAGAGTCTGGGGGCAAAGGCGAGCGGATGGCAGATGGGGCGCCCCTGGCTGGAGTAAGGGGGGGCTTGAGTGATGGGGAGGGTCCCCCTGGGGGCCGGGGGGAGGCACAACGACGGAAAGAACGAGAAGAACTGGCCCAACAGTATGAAGCCATCCTACGGGAGTGTGGCCACGGCCGCTTCCAGTGGACACTGTATTTTGTGCTTGGTCTGGCGCTGATGGCTGACGGTGTGGAGGTCTTTGTGGTGGGCTTCGTGCTGCCCAGCGCTGAGAAAGACATGTGCCTGTCCGACTCCAACAAAGGCATGCTAGGTAAGACATGGGGGGCTCCAGCCTTATCCCCTCAAACTCTGGAAACCTCCTTGCTCCTGGAAATTGCTCTTGTCCTTACCACTGGGTTCCCTAGGACCCTGCACCCAAGATGTTCCCAGAGGGCTCAGGGTTCCTCTGCACACTCTTCCCTCACACACTCCCTCTTCTTGGCCTTGGGTCAGGGTGAAGTTGAATGTGACAGAGGGGCTTGCGGGAGGGCAGCTGGACTGGGGCTTGGGCCAGTGGTTGGGTGGTGGTCTGCTTCATTCTGCAGGAGGTGGCTGTGGTAGGATGGTCCCTACCATTTAATGTTTCTTCATAGCTTTCCCTCTGGTTATCCTGTTCCCTTTCACTGATTGGGGAACAAGAAGCCAGTATCCAAACTCCTTGGTATAAATGGGGAGAGTCAGTTTGGGGTGGTTGGGGGAGGGGGGGAGGGTCCTGGATCTTCTGCCAGAGAAGCTGGTTAGACTTTCTCTCACTCAGATGGGAGTTTCCAGGGGACAGGATGTAGTCTTTGATGGCCTTTCCTGACAGGGACTCTGAGGAGGAACCCCGTAGACTCACAGAGAAAGAATCGAGGCCTTACTCTGCCACCAAATTGCCATGGGGTCTTGGACAGGTCTCTTCTTCCTGGGGCTTGGTTTGGGCATGGGAAAATGCAAAGTTTGGAGTAGATGATTTTAAAGATTAATTCCAGCTTTGGTTTTATGAAGGCAGTGAAAAACAGGAGAGTTTTTGGACCAGAAATATTGAGACTGGAAGGAGTAAAGGATGGATTTTGTGTGGGAGATTTCCTGGGAAGATGAAATGAATTGGAGCCCCTTTCCCCAGGAACAAATGAGAGCTCTCCTGCTGCTTTGAGGGATCAAAGCAGGGAGAATAGAGAGGACCCTGGGGTGGTCTGTGATCCTAGGCACACCCATTCCTCCTTCAAAGTGAGCCAGGGGTAAAGGTGTCACTGTGTGTGTGTCAGAGTGAGAAATGAGACAGACCGAAGAGAGTGGAGAGTTTGCAGGTTCTCCCATATCTTCATTCCTGCCTTTGAACCCCTGGCCTGCAGAGATGATCTTCTATCTTTGCTTACACCATTCATTTTCTCTCACTTGCTCTAATCTCTGGGTAGACTTACCTTCTAGAAGTTTTTCAGATCCTTCAGCTCCCTCAGTGCTCATCTCCTGGGAGAATTAAGGTGTGTCTGCTCACACCCCCTCTGCCTGTTTTCCTCCTCCTTCCAGGCCTCATCGTCTACCTGGGCATGATGGTGGGAGCCTTCCTCTGGGGAGGTCTGGCTGACCGGCTGGGTCGGAGGCAGTGTCTGCTCATCTCGCTCTCAGTCAACAGCGTCTTCGCCTTCTTCTCATCTTTTGTCCAGGGTTACGGCACTTTCCTCTTCTGCCGCCTACTTTCTGGGGTTGGGTGAGTGTACACTTCCTAAGTCCCTTGAGGGCAGGACTGTGCCTTGGTCACTGTTGTATCTTTAGGGCCCAGCACAGTGCCAGGCACACCAAATGCACCTTAAATCTGTGTGAGTTGAACGGATGAATGAGTTCCTTTCTCCCCCAGCCATCTTCAGGCCAGCTCCTCCCTGCCCAGGACCTGTCTGCTGCTGTCCAGAATGCTGTTCCTTGGCCCACTCCTGAGTCCTCCACCCCACCTCTAGTTCCATTTTTGAGCCTGCCTCCACAAAGAGGCCTAGTGGGCCTCAGCCCCACCCCTGGGCTCCTGTGGACCCAGAGTTACCCCCTACCAGAGTCTACACATTTCCTGCATTACACAACAAACCTTGCTAACACCCACACCTGCCAGAACCCTGACGCCTTGTCCGCACTGCCCCTTCACTTTTGCAAGCATGGCAGGCCCGCTTACTCTGCTTCAACTCCAAGCTCCTTTCTGGCCATTCCCACAACATCTGCCCTTGGAGGCTTTTGGCTTGTCTTTTTTCTCTGGAGATTTATTCTCTTTTCTGCAATTACTTTCCCGCCCTTCCAACTCTGTAATTCATTTTCAAGATTTAAGATTTGCTCTTTCCCTTTCCCTGAGACTCGCTTGCCTGTTTCCCATGGTCCCAAGGATGGGTGCTTGATGGCTGGCCCACATGGGAGCTTGTAAGGCTTTATGTGTGAGATGGAGTCTCTTCAAAAGCCTGGAAGACAAAAGGGGCTCGGGGTCCAGAGCAGTGGGGCAGGGGATCAGGACTATGGCCATTTGCTAATGCTGAATTCTTGAAATGCACTTCAGGATTGGAGGGTCCATCCCCATTGTCTTCTCCTATTTCTCCGAGTTTCTGGCCCAGGAGAAACGAGGGGAGCATTTGAGCTGGCTCTGCATGTTTTGGATGATTGGTGGCGTGTACGCAGCTGCTATGGCCTGGGCCATCATCCCCCACTATGGTGAGCAGCCCCCGGAAATCCACCCCAGGTTATCTCCCTCCTCCCTCTTCTTCTGTGCTCCCTGTGGTGGGTTCCCCCAGCCTCTGGCCTCTCTGCTGATGCTGTCACTTTCTCCCTACCAGGGTGGAGTTTTCAGATGGGTTCTGCCTACCAGTTCCACAGCTGGAGGGTCTTCGTCCTCGTCTGCGCCTTTCCTTCTGTGTTTGCCATTGGGGCTCTGACCACGCAGCCTGAGAGCCCCCGTTTCTTCCTAGAGGTGATGGGGCTGAGCTGCATGGGGTGGGGTGGGGTGCGGGCTGTGGAGTGTGGACGGCAGCAGGGGCTTCTGTGTTCAAACACCAACTGGAGTTTGATTTGATCCTGTTTGACTGCCTGCCTTCCTCACAGAGTCCACTCTCCAGGGGACTTTATCTTGCATTCTTTGCCTTGGAATGTGTCCCTGAGGGGTTCTTGGGTGGAGAAACCAGGGGACCTCTTTACCCATGGATGACTTAAGATTTTGCAGGGAAGGGCCTTGGCCCTGTCCTGCATTTACAGCTCAAGAGACATTCCCACCCCCTATACCTTCCCCTCCTAACCCCAGCAGGATTAGGTCTTTGACTACATGCTTGCCCATCATTTCCCTTACCTTTGGTTTTTACATTCCTCTGTACTATGGAATTCCCAAGACCTGTGCTTGCCTTTTTCCCCTGGACAACACTCCCCACCCCCAACCCGCAGCTCTTGCCCAAGTCTGATTGTCTTGCTATACCTCAGCTTGGGGCTCTTTCAGAGTGGTGAGTGCATGCCCATAGGTCAGGGCTTGGTGGTGGGGTTGAGGGCTGGGAACCATTTAGTGTCCTGTGACTACAGAAGCCAGGTGGGAGGGAGGGGGTCTATAACTCTGGGTCAGGTAGGGGCTGACTTGGATGTGGGGATTGTGTCTTTGGCTCTAGAATGGAAAGCATGATGAGGCCTGGATGGTGCTGAAGCAGGTCCATGATACCAACATGCGAGCCAAAGGACATCCTGAGCGAGTGTTCTCAGTAAGCCACAGCCCTCCCGACTCAGACCTCCACGCCCTGCAGCCCCAGCCCCTACCTGGCCCCTCTCTGAGTACCCCCCACCTCAGACCACACTCTACCGTAAGGAGATTTTCAGGGTATCATATCCACCTCCTGCCTCCCATTTTGCTAATGCAGGGGAAACTGAGGCGCCTGGCCGATGTTGGGAAACACAGAGTGTGTGACTGCCCACCCCTTCTCTTGACCCCAGGTAACCCACATTAAGACGATTCATCAGGAGGATGAATTGATTGAGATCCAGTCGGACACAGGGACCTGGTACCAGCGCTGGGGGGTCCGGGCCTTGAGCCTAGGGGGGCAGGTAATGGTGGACGGGGTGGTAGATAGAAGGGAGTGGGGGAAGTGGAGAAGAAGGCAGGACTGAAGTCTATGTGTGTGGGTGATGGGTGAGCTGAAGGGAGGTGGGAGGGCAGAAAAGTGGGGATCTATGGGTGCTAGAACTTAGTATAGTCAAGGTCTGACTTTGTCTGGTCCCCTGTAGGTTTGGGGGAATTTTCTCTCCTGTTTTGGTCCCGAATATCGGCGCATCACTCTGATGATGATGGGTGTGTGGTTCACCATGTCATTCAGGTGAGGAGATGGGTGGGCTGGGTGATGTGTGGTGGTTGTGGTGGTGTGTGGGCTGGGAGAGAGGTGGGGAGAATGGAGATGCAGGGGACAAGCGATGAGGGAAGGTGCCATGCAGACCCCCTCTGATCCTGCAGCCAGCTCCTCTACTTCGCTAGTTCACTCAACAAACTTGTACTGTAGGCTGACCAGGATTCAGTTTCTATTCTGTGCTGGGATGAAACAGATGTGGTCCAAGGTCCTCCTGGAGTTTATGTTTTGGTTAAGAAGCAGGACGATGAGGCTCGTAATCCCAGCACTTTGGGAGGACGAGGCGGGCGGATCATGAGGTTAGGAGATCGAGACCATCCTGGCTACGGTGAAACCCCGTCTCTACTAACATACAAAAAATTAGCCGGGCATGGTGGTGGGCGCCTGTAGTCCCAGCTACTCTGGAGGCTGAGGCAGGAGAATGGTGTGAATCCGGGAGGCAGAGGTTGCAGTGAGTCGAGATCGCGCCACTGCACTCCAGCCTGGGTGACAGAGCGAGACTCCGTCTCAAAAGAAAAAAAAGAAGTGAGACGAAACTTGCTATGAAGCAGGGTGATGAGAGAAGGGTGGGGGAAGGGCAGTGGGAGCACTTGGGGCTTGGGCTGGGGTGGGGACCTAAGTCCTCAAAGGTGAATGGGAGTCAGACAGGTGGAGTGGGGGTGGCTGGGGTGGAGAAGAGTGTTTTTGGCAGAGGGAAAAGCAAATGCTTGGGAGGTAAGAAAAAGTATAGTGGCTGCTGTGCGAGACCCTGAAGTCCCCCAGGAGCGCAGCAACTGTTGAAGGGAGGAGCAGGGAGAAGCTGGTGAGGCTGGAGAGGAGCAAGGTCCTAACAGAGGTTGACTCCATTTCTCCCTTGTTCTGAGATGATACACATTTCCGTTTTCTCCTCTGCCTGATTCTAATCTCTGAGCCTTGTCTGAAGCCCTGTTGTCTGTTTCCATTGTCCTTGACTCTTCAGCTACTATGGCCTGACCGTCTGGTTTCCTGACATGATCCGCCATCTCCAGGCAGTGGACTACGCATCCCGCACCAAAGTGTTCCCCGGGGAGCGCGTAGAGCATGTAACTTTTAACTTCACGTTGGAGAATCAGATCCACCGAGGCGGGCAGTACTTCAATGACAAGTATGTGGGGACTTTTAAACTTCACTTCTTCCCTGTTCCTTCTACCTCGTCTCTTTTATGAGTCTAGGGGTTCAAGACAAGACATTTGGGGGGCAAACACTTGTGGTTTCTTCTCAATGCCCAGCTTCCCATTACTTCGCTAAAGAGTGAGTCTTGGAGGGGGCATGAGGATGACGGGGGAGTGTCTTTCACCATCCTGGCCTTACAGGTTCATTGGGCTGCGGCTCAAGTCAGTGTCCTTTGAGGATTCCCTGTTTGAAGAGTGTTATTTTGAGGATGTCACATCCAGCAACACGTTTTTCCGCAACTGCACATTCATCAACACTGTGTTCTATAACACTGGTAAGGCGGGGTGGCTGGTGGGTGTCAGACCAAAGGGTTGGGTGGACCTTGATGAGAAGGAACCTTTTTCATTCACTATCTTAGGGTTCTCAAGCTGAGATCCCTGGACCCCTGTGGGAAGGTGGCAGAGGGGCCTGATAGCTACCACCAATAATTCTGAAAATCTAATGGATGTTGGACATTTTCCTGTAATAGAATATCTGACAAAAACATCAAGTTTATTTGCCTTTGGCTGAAATTATAACTCAGTGAGGTAAAATTAATGCACTTTTGAAGAAGGTAAAAATCATCCAAAATAGCATTCTTGGGAAAAAGAAAAACAATCAATAAAAGGGGTATTTGGTGCGGATCATTGCATGAATCCACTCCTTTTTAATAGTGATTCTCAAACTTCAGTATATGCACACGAAATGCTGGTTTTGTGAGCTAGACTGAAATTTCCCACCTCATACTGGGCGAGCTTTTTCCATGTTGCAGGAAAACAACAATGGATAGGACTTTTTATTATTTTAAATGTTTTTCTCAGAAAAATTTCCTAAGTCCACGGCATCGCTACTGCTTATAGTCAGCTAGCACGGACAGAAAGAATGAATAAGCAGCTAAGACTATTAATGGGAGAACTTGGACAAAGTCACACTGTTGGACAGATGATGGTCATTTTCTGCTCTAAAGATCCCTAGTTCCCATGGTGATGTTATTTGATGTTTTGTGATTAGCACTGTGAATAATTTTGAGAGCCCCTCCTACTAACTTTCATACATGCAGAGCCCTGAGCCATAAGCCGTAACAGCCTCCCTCTCCCATCTGCTATGACTGCCTGCTTATCTTGGCCTTTGCCCACAGACCTGTTCGAGTACAAGTTTGTGAACAGCCGTCTGATAAACAGTACATTCCTGCACAACAAGGAGGGCTGCCCGCTAGACGTGACAGGGACGGGCGAAGGTGCCTACATGGTATACTTTGTGAGCTTCCTGGGGACACTGGCAGTGCTTCCTGGGAATATCGTGTCTGCCCTGCTCATGGACAAGATCGGCAGGCTCAGAATGCTTGGTAAGGGGGAGAGGCTGAGTCAGATCTGATAGTAGGGGCCAGGGGCTGCGGGAGGCAGTCAACAGGCTTCTCACCTTGGGCTGTGGAAGAGATTGGTCAGAGAGTTCCTCTCTCATGTTTTCTGTTTAGGGGGTGCTGCAGGATGGGGTGGGGACTGGCACAGAAGCTTCTCTGGGGGTAAAGGAGGTAAGCAGAATTGCAAGTGGTTAGGGCACAGGCTTTGAGGTTATGGGTTTTGAATCTCAGCTCCACCACCTGCCTCTGGCCTCTGGCAAATTACCTCTATGAGCCTGGTTGTTTCCTCTGCAAAATGGAGGTGATAATAGTACCTGTGTCATAGGGTTGATGTGCTAGATCAATGCATGTAAAGCATCAATTGCCTTGGCCCATGGCTGGCATTGAATAAATGATGGTTACTGATATTATTAATAAACAATTATAAGGGAGGTTGAGGAGGAGTGAAAAGCCTTCCTTTTGGATACCTTGGTTGGATACCTTCGGAACAAGTCTCATCCTGGGCTATCTGAAAGCCAGCTGATGGGACAGGGTGGGCTGTGGGTGGGTTTCACTGTGGCCAGGCTCATGTTGCTCTCTCCTCTCCTGGCTCCAGCTGGCTCCAGCGTGATGTCCTGTGTCTCCTGCTTCTTCCTGTCTTTTGGGAACAGTGAGTCGGCCATGATCGCTCTGCTCTGCCTTTTTGGCGGGGTCAGCATTGCATCCTGGAATGCGCTGGACGTGTTGACTGTTGAACTCTACCCCTCAGACAAGAGGTAGTTGGAATGTGTTGGAGGCAGGGCAGTGGATTCAGGGGAGGGGTGGGGTGAGGAAGGAGGGCTGAATGGGAAGAGCATCCTTAGGGGTGAGAGGATATACATTTCCATTTTCTCCTCTAAAATCTGGTAGCTTTGGCCGGGCACGGTGACTCATGCCTGTAATCCCAGTGCTTTGGGAGGCCGAGGCAGGCAGATCACCTGAGGTCAGGAGTTTGAGACCAGCCTGGCCAACATGGTGAAACCCTGTCTGTACTAAAAATACAAAAAGTTAGCTGGGTGCCTGTAATCGCAGCTACTCAGGAGGCTAAGGCAGGAGAATTGCTTGAACCCGGGAGGTGGAGCTTTCAGTGAGCCGAGATCGCACCACTGCACTCCAGCCTGGGCAACAGAGCAAGACTCCGTCTCAAAAAAAAAAAAAAAGGAAAAAAAAATCTGGTAGCTTTTGTATCTACTCCTCAAAGTCTTAACTGTTAACCTCAATTTTTGGTCTCCTTTCCCTTTGTCTCTCAATTTATTTACATTCCTGGTGTACATCCTTTACCTCTCTGATCTCTCCAACCTTCTCTCTCCCTCTTGGACACTGCCTGCATCTTCCTGGACTTCACTTCCCTGCCCTCCACTCTTCCTTTGCCTCCCTCCTGTACCTTGCGCCGTGCTGCACTGGGGGACTCCTGAGCAGGACCACAGCTTTTGGCTTCCTGAATGCCCTGTGTAAGCTGGCAGCTGTGCTGGGGATCAGCATCTTCACATCCTTCGTGGGAATCACCAAGGCTGCACCCATCCTCTTTGCCTCAGCTGCCCTTGCCCTTGGCAGCTCTCTGGCCCTGAAGCTGCCTGAGACCCGGGGGCAGGTGCTGCAGTGAAGGGGTCTCTAGGGCTTTGGGATTGGCAGGCACACTGTGAGACCAACAACTCCTTCCTTCCCCTCCCTGCCCTGCCATCCTGACCTCCAGAGCCCTCACTCCCCACTCCCCGTGTTTGGTGTCTTAGCTGTGTGTGCGTGTGCGTGTGCATGTGTGTAAACCCCGTGGGCAGGGACTACAGGGAAGGCTCCTTCATCCCAGTTTTGAGATGAAGCTGTACTCCCCATTTCCCACTGCCCTTGACTTTGCACAAGAGAAGGCTGAGCCCCATCCTTCTCCCCCTGTTAGAGAGGGGCCCTTGCTTCCCTGTTCCAGGGGTTCCAGAATAGGCTTCCTGCCTTCCCCATCATTCCCTCTGCCTAGGCCCTGGTGAAACCACAGGTATGCAATTATGCTAGGGGCTGGGGCTCTGGTGTAGACCATGGACCAAAAGAACTTCTTAGAGTCTGAAGAGTGGGCCTCGGGTGCCCTCTCACATCTCCTGTTGGATGCTGGGGGAGAAGCAATAAACCTCAGCCCTCTGGCCTCCACTTTCCTCTCAATTTGGGCTGCAAATATGAAGCCTGAATTTTATGAAATTAGCTTTCTGATTCTTATTTATTAATAGATTAAGTTCTGAGGCAGCTCCGCAGGACTGTGTGTGAATGTGTATGTATACTTACATATGTGTGTGCATGTGCCATGGGGCGGGGGGTATCACTATACTGTCCTCAAATATAAGCCAAGGGTAATTTCAGCGGATGCACACACAACCCTGCCTCCCACAGTTCCTCCCCTAATCTGGTTTCTGTGTTGAGCCTGGGATGGAGGAGCCCTAGGCCAGCCTGGGATAAGAGTCCCACAGTCTAGGGAGATCTGAGGGCATCCGACAAGGCCCATCTCCTTCCCTCCTCAAGAAGCAGAGGCCTCCTCTGGAGTGAGAGGCTCCACCCACTACAGCACAGGCGGGAATAGCACAGCTGCCCTCCCATGCTCCCTACCTGTCCCCTCACAGGGAGGGGAGCAGGGGAGGGAAAGAAACCAGGCATCTGGTCAAACCAGCAGATCAAAAAGCACAAAGAGCTGGGGCAGAGGCAGGAAGCAGGGGCCCTCCTGGCAGCTCCTCTGAGTGGGGAGAGGTTGGGCAGTGAGTGAGGGACCCCTAATGCAGGGACTAGAAGCCTCAGTTTCCCCATTTTACCCTTCCACACAATAGCCTCTGTAGGTTAGGCTGCCCCATCCCACCCTACTCTGTGTGGCTGCTTTCTTTGGTGCCCTCCCCTCACCCCACTGTAGCTGTGACGTGTTGTAGTTTTTAGATGTTTGTAAAATGTTTAAAAAAATGTTAAAAGGAAAAAAGTGAAAATAACAAAAAAGAAAATCAAAATTCACCTTCGTCATGCTGCGTCCAGTGCCCCAACCCTGTGGTCACTCTCCCCATTTTGTAACACTGTACCAGGTGGTGACTGTTTAACTCTTTGGTGTCTGTGCTCAAAAGACTGCCTTCTCCAGTGCCCAGTGTATGAGTGTGTGCCCTGTGCCCTTGTCCCTCACTCCCCACATGCTGGACGTAGCCCTCTTCCTCGCACCCCTGGGAGGGACCCATCCATCTCCCTTGCTCTCCTGGGGAACCCTAAACCCAACTCTGTTGATGTGAAAAATGCAGTGAAAAATATTGACGAAAAATAAAACGGAAACAAATCCTCAAAATACAAAATGGCTATACCTGCTTCTGTGACTCTCCACCTACATCCAATTCTCCTAACAGCCTTGGAGGGTAAAATGGTGAGATGGACTGAAGGTCAGAATAACATGGTGTACCAGATTTACTTCCTAAATTGGCCTCTCTACCTTGATCTTTCCCCTACAGATGGAGGGCCCTCTAAGTCTCCCAGATTTGAAAACTTTGGGAGTAATGTTTCATAAGAATAGAACCAACTTTCCTCTAAATCTTCTGGTATGCTTTTTAAAAATATAGACCCCAGACTCCACTCTTGACTTGTTGAATCAGAACCCTTTTTTTTTTTCTTGGTTTGGAAGGATAGGGACCTTGAATCTACGTTTTTTTTTTTTTTTGAGACAGAGTCTCGCTTTGTTGCCCAGGCTGGAGTGCAGTGGCGTGATCTTGGCTCACTGCAACCTCCGCCTCCCGGGTTCAAGCGATTCTCCTGCCTCAGCTTCCTAAGAGGCTGGGATTACAGGTGCCTGCCACCACACCCAACTAATTTTTGTATTTTTAGTAGAGATGGGGTTTCACCATGCTGCCCAAGCTGGTCTCGAACTCCTGACCTCAGGCGATCCGCCCGCCACGGCCTCCCAAACTGCTGGGATTACAGGTGTGAGCCACCACACCCAGCCAGAAGCTTCATTTTAAACAATCTCATGGGAGTTCTTACCTGAGAAAATCTGAAAACCACTGCCTTGGGGTTACCATTGACTCCCCTCTCACTCTAGTCCATTTCTGTTCCAATCAAACCATTTTCTGATTTTATGGTAGCTCTCAAATAAACTCCTTCCTTTCCATTCCCACAGATGACTTGTAAGTCAGGGTTCTACCCTCACTCTGGATTGATCTCTGTTCCTCCAGTCTCCCATGCCAACTCACTTACACATCACTGCCAGATCCATCTGCCCCCAGATGCTCTCTGGCATGTCTGTACTCAAAATTTGTCAATGACTCCCTACTGCCCAACCACATGCACCTTAAATTCTTTAGCTAGAAATGGTCAAGATATATGTTAACCGGGCCGGGCGTGGTGGCTCACGCATGTAATCCCAGCAATTTGGGAGGTCGATGCAGGCAGATTGCTTGAGGTCAGGAGTTTGAGACCAGCCTGACCAATATGATGAAACCTCGTCTCCACTAAAAATACAAAAATTAGCCGGGCATGGTGGCAGGCACCTGTAATCCCAGCTACTCGGGAGGCTGAGACAGGAGAATCGCTTGAACCTGGGAGGCGAAGGTTGTAGTGAGCTGAGATTGGGCCATTGCACTCCAGTCTGGTCAACAAGAGCAAAACTCCGTCTCACAAAAAAAAAAAAAAAAAAAAAAAAAAAGATATATGTTAACCAAGTTTTTTTCTCTAATAATTTCCACATTGAGATTATTGGAAAGTTGCTTCTATAGACATTACTCGAGCTCCCCTCAGAAATATGACAATATCTGTAATGCTCAAAAAGGGCTACATTGCGGGGCATGGTGGCTTACGCCTATAATCCTAGCACCTTGGGAGGCTGAGGTGGGCGGAGTGCCTGAGCTCAGGAGTCTAAGACCAGCCTGGGCAACATGGTGAAACCCTGTCTCTATAAAATACAAAAAATTAGCTGGGTGTGGTGGCACAAGCCTCTAGTCCCAGCTACTTGGGAGGCTGAGGCAGGAGAATTGCTTGAACCTGGGAGGCGGAGGGAGGCTGCAGTGAGCTGAGATCGCGACACTGCACTCCAGCTTGGGCAACAAAGTGAGACTCCATCTCAAAAACAAAAACAAAAACAAAAACGCTACGGGTAGTGGCTCACGCCTGTAATCCCAGCATTTTGGGAGGCTGAGGCAGGAGGATCACCTGAGGTCAGGAGTTTGAGACCATCCTGGTCAACATGGTGAAACCCCATCTCTACTAAAAATACAAAAAAATAGCTGGGTGTGGTGGTGCATGCCTGTAATCCCAGCTACTGGGGAGGCTGAGGCAGAAGAATCGCTTGAACCCAGGAGGCGGAGATGGCAGTGAGCCGAGATCGTGCCATTGCACTGCAGCCTGGGCAACAAGAGCGAAACTCCATCTCAAAAAAAAAAAAGAAAAGAAAAGAAAAGAAAAAAAAGGCTATATAAAGGTTTCTTCATCATCTGTAATCATTTTCTTAGTTCTTATCCTCTTTTCACTGCTTTAGTGGTTTTTAAAAACATTTTTCTTTTAAACAAATACAAATACTACTTTTTGGAAATGAACAGGCTGTAAAAAAGCCAAACATTCCCCCCCTCAAGATGAAATTCAAATGTGTCCCTGCCTATATCCCCTGTCTTGTCCATTAACTCACTTCTCAGTCCAGCGTCTATGTCTTTGCTCAGGTTCTTCTCCCTGCCTGCAGCACCTATCCTCTCCTTTCTGGTTAATTTTGTGCTTTCCTTTAAAGATCCAACTAGATCACTTCCCTCATAAAGCCCTTCCCGACTAGTCTACAAGTATCTTTCTTCTCCCAAGAACACCTGTGGCACTGATTCAGCAGTCCATTAAGAACACAGCCTCATAGTGTAATTTCTTTTAATGTATAGGATTGTTTCCAACTCATCAGGTCTGGTGCAATTCTGTCACGATTTAACATGGAACATCCGGGCTGCCCTTCCTGAATAGTCCAGGGCAAGAGCAGTAGTGAGTGATTCTTCTCTTTTCTCGGGTTCACTTTGACCTGAAGCAAGTTGCTATCTTCGGAGAGTATGTATGGACCCCAACAGAATGGGGCCCAGGGGTCTTCATCCCTTACAAATCCTGGACTGTATCAAAGGGAAGGCCTCGGTAATTCGTGCTCACCCAGCCCATTCGGATCCTGGTCCTCCCTCTCTTGGGGTTCAGGGGGTTCCTAGAGTTTTCTTGTTCCCACCCAGGCATGGGGGGCTAGTGTCCAGCTGAGAGTTCTCTCTCCACTGGGCGGGGGTCCGTGCCTGGATGGCCAGCGCATGGACCGGACCTCCCAGCTCCTCGGCCAGCGCTGCGTGGACCAGCCGGTGTCGTTGTAGGGGGCTCAGTCCCTCGAAACGAGAGCTCACCACAGCCACGCGGAAGTGAGTCTCACTGCCAGGCGGGACCGCGTGGCCACCGCTCTCGTTGCGAAGCTCTAGCACCTCGGGGCTCAGGGCCTCCTCCAACTTCGTGCGAATGGCGGCCTCCACCGGACCGATGGCCCCGGATCCCGCGCTGCCCTGGCACAAACAAACGCGGCCAGCCATGGAGACCAGACCCAGGACCAGCCGCCCACTCAGCATGGGCTACGCCAGAGACTCAGACGCCAGGAGTGAGGGTCGGGGCGATCCGCCTGGTGAGAGCACAATGTCAACACCCGCCCCGCGATCCCCGCATCCGCCCTAACCCCACGCCCGGACGTCCACACCAGCTCCTATAGGGAGCCCGCCTTGATGCCACACGGGGAGACCCGAGACACCGCCCCTTTTCTCTACGTGACGTGGTGAATTCGACCTCCAGCTGTGGAAGTGAAGGGACAAGCGAAGATTAGAAAGGCCCGCACGCGAGGCGCGTTCGTTCCTTAGGGGATTTGCAAAGAATGGGCAAAAGTAGGGCATGTGCAACTGCGTACTTGTGGTTGGGCCGAAGCCCCTGTGTTCCCTGTGAAGCCCCGGAGACGCCCCTTCTACCTGCCGCTCAGCCTCGGCCACTGCGATTCCCGCTCAGGGCCAGGACTCTGGACGCTCCGGAGCAAAATGCAGTCCTGGCGCCCTTCCTGAGGCACGCTGGGAAATGGAGTCCTCGCTGCGCGTTGGTAGCACGGGCAGGCACCACGTGGTGCCCTGAGGGCTCATGGGAACTGTAGTCTCGGATTCTCCCCACTGGTAAGGTGGTCAGAAAGTCTGAACCCAGCAATGCAAAGAAAAAGGGAATTCACGCGCAGTTGGGATTGGGATTATTAGATCTATTTTACTGCCAATAGATCTTGTAGATCATCCAGCCCAACTCCTTTATTTTATATGCAAGAAAATGGAAGTCTGATTGAATACATAATTACTGTGCCCCAGACTAGTGCTGGGGACTGGGGAGTCAAGTCAGGCCCTGTTTTCAAGGAGACAACAGAGCACTGAAGACTAACAAGTGAGCGGACAATTGCAATACTGGGTACTAGGTGCTACGATGAGATAAACACAGGATGCTAAGGAGGCAAGTTACCCAGACTTGGCCGGGGTTGGAGAGGTGGAATGGGAGGCGGGCAGAGAATATTTCCGAGATTTAGGGAAACAGTTCAGCAGAAACAACATGAGAATCCATTTCTCAGTCCCTCATAGTGAGGTTTTGGCTTTGGTAGCTGCATGTGTAAAGGACAGGAGGAGAGAGAATTTTGAGGGAGTCTTTCCTTCTGGTGTAGTTAGGGTGTGGTTATGTGTGGTTGGAGCCTAGGGGGCAGCTGATGGTGATGAGTAGGGTACCAGGAGGAGAGGAACGGGCCAGACCACCCCAGGCCTTGTAGCCCTTGTTAGGCAATTTTGTCTTTATCCTAGAAGTAGTGGGAAGCTACTGAGGTTTTAAGCAGGGATGTAACAGGATGTAATTTTTCCAGGATGATTCTTAACTTGTAAAATTATTTAAATTTTATTTTGTATCCTTAATATATTTACATATTTCTAAATGTTTTTCCCCAACTTCTCATTTTGAAAAATGTCAAAGCCACAGAAAAGTTGAATAGTTCAAAGCAACACCCTCTACCTTTCACTTGACCCACCATTTTTTGCATTTATATTTATTTTATACTTGTACATATATACTCATATATTTAAGTACTTTACATATACTTTAAAATATATTTATATGCTTTTTTGGATGAACCATTTGAAAGTAAGTTGCAGATAGCATGACATTTCACCCCTAACTACTCCAATATGTATCTCCTAAGAACAAAGATATTCTCATACATAACCACAATAACCTTATCACACTCAAGAAATTTAAACTATGACATACACTGTTTTCCCTAGCCTTTAAAAAAAATTAAAACTTCCAGAAAATTTGCAAGATTAATACAATGAGCAACCCATTTATCCACTCTTCACCTAGGTTCACTGATAAGATTTTGCCAGACTTGGCTTTGTATCTCTTTTAATGTATGTGTGTATAATAATAATGAAATAATAATAATTATTTCTGCTGAATCACTTGAGTTAGGTGCAGAAATCTTATTTATTTATTTTTTTTTGAGATGGAGTTTTGCTCTTCTTGCCCAGGCTGGAGTGCAATGGCGTGATCTTGGCTCACTGCAACCTCTGCCTCCTGGGTTCAAGCAAGTCTCCTGCCTCAGCCTCCTGATTAGCTGGGATTACAGGCATGTGCCAACA
This sequence comes from Homo sapiens, assembly GCF_000001405.40. Taxonomy (NCBI): domain Eukaryota; kingdom Metazoa; phylum Chordata; class Mammalia; order Primates; family Hominidae; genus Homo; species Homo sapiens. The sequence continues at coordinate 149,897,986 of NC_000001.11, read as the reverse complement.
TGCCCGGCTAATTTTGTATTTTTAGTAGAGACGGGGTTTCTCCATGTTGATCAGGCTGGTCTGGAACTCCCAACCTCAGGTGATCCACCCTCCTCGGCCACCCAGGATTACAGGGATTACAGGCGTGAGCCACTGCGCCTGGCCCAAAATTCTTTTTTTTTTTTTTTTTAAACAGAGTCTCACTCTGTTGCCCAGACTGGAGTGCAGTGGCGCCATCTTGGCCCACTGCAACCTCCACCTTCTGGGTTCAAGTGATTCTCCTGCCTCAGCCTCCTGAGTAGCTGGGACTACAGGCTGGTGCCACCATACCTGGCTAAATTTTTTTGCATTTCTAGTAGAGATGGGGTTTCACCATGTTGGCCAGGCTGGTCTGGAACTCCTGACCTCAAGTGATCCTCCTGCTCTGGAACTCCTGACCTCAAGTGATCTGCCTGCCTCAGCCTCCCAAAGTGATGGGATTACAGGCGTGAGCCACTGCACCCAGCCACAAAATTCTTTTTTTTTTTTTTGAGATGGAGTTTCGCTCTTGTTGCCTAGGCTGGAGTGCAATGGTGCGATCTTGGCTCACAGCAACCTCCGCCTCCTGGGTTCAAGCGATTTGCTTGCCTCAGCCTCCCATGTAGCTGGGATTACAGGCGTGCGCCACCACTCTGGCTAATTTTGTGTTTTTAGTGGAGACGGGGTTTCTCCATGTTGGTCAGGCTGGTCTTGACTCAGGTCATCAGTCCGCCTCGGCCTCCCAAAATGCTGGGATTATAGGCGTGAGCCACTGCGCCTGGCCCCACAAAATTCTTTACACTTAATTGCTATGTACTTTCAATGTGTATCTCCTAAGAACAAGGACATTTTCATACATATCCACAATACCATTACCACATCCAAGACATTTAACATTCATACAATACTATAATCACATACAGTTGATATTCAGATTTCCCCAACTGTCTCATTGGTGTCTACTATAGTTTGAATATGTCTCCTCCAGAATTCATGTTGAAAATTAATCCATGGTGTTGGTATTAAGTGGTGGGGCCTTTAGGAGGTAATAAGGCTATGAGGGCTCCACCCTCAAGAATGGACTAACGCCTTTTGAAAGAGCTTGAGGGGGTAAGTTGGCCCCTTCTGTCCCTTCTGCCATGTAAGGTCACCTCGATGGCGTATCTATGAGGAACTGGCCTTCACTAGATACCAAACCTGCCAGTGCCGTAATCTTGGACTTCCCAGCCTCCAGAACTGTGAGAAAATACATTTCTGTTTATAAATTACCCAGTCAGTGGTATTTTGTAATAGCAGCACAGTCTAAGTAAACATTATAAATGTTTAATTTTCAGAAACCAATCAAGGATCATGCATTGCATTTAGCTGACTTTAAGTTTGTATTCTGCAAAGATCACTGGCTTCAGGGTGGAGAATGGATTGTAGAGGAGGCAAGAGTGGAAACAGGGAGACAAGTTGGGAGGTTACTGTAGCAGTCTAGGTGAGAGATGATGATGATTTGGACCAAGGTGGTGGTGGTGGTGGTGGAAATGGAGAGAAATTGTGGCTACAGGATGTATATTAGGAAAGTAAAACCTACAGGGTGTGGTAATGGCTTGGTTGTGGGAGGGAAAGTGTCAAGGATAATTACAAGGTTTGTGCATCTAAAGTTAAAAAAAACAGTTCAAATAATTCCTGTATATCCTTTATCCTGATACCTAGATTACCCAAATATTAACAATTCACTGTTTGTTTTATTTGTATGTACCTATCTACAAATATATAATTATTTTCTGGACTGTTTGAGACTAAGTTTCAGAGATAAAGCCTATTAAACTCTACCTGTGATGGTTAACTTTTTTTTTTTTTTTGAGATGGAGTCTCACTCTGTCGCCCAGGCTGGAGTGCAGTGATGCAATCTTGGCTTACTGCAACCTCTGTCTCCTGGGTTCAAGTGATTCTTGTGCCTCCGCCTCCTGAGTAGCTGGGATTACAGGCGTGGACAATGGCGCCTGGCTAATTTTTGTATTTTTAGTGGAGAGGGGGGTTTCACCATGTTGGCCAGGCTGGTCTCAAACTCCTGACCTCAGGTGATCCACCCACCTCAGCCTCCCAAAGTGCTGGGATTAGAGGCGTGAGCCACCACGCACGGCCTGTGATGGTTAATGTCCCAACTTCTAGAGGATTGGTGCTCAGATATTTGGCCAAATATGGGTGCTTCTGTGAGAGTATTTTGAATGAGATTAACATTTGAATTGGAGACTGAGTAAATTGCCCTCCCTAATATAGGTGGGTCCCATCCAACCAGTTGAAAGCTTGACTAGAACAAAAGACTGACCCACTCCGGAGTAAGAGAGACTTCCTTCTGCCTGACTGCTTTGAGACCCGGACATTGGCTTTTCTCAGCCTTCAGACTCAGAAGTAAACACTGGCTCCATCTGGGTCTTAGACTCGGCCTTTGGACTGGAACTACACCATTGGTTCTCAGGCCTTTGAACTTGGACTGGAACTATATCATCAGTTCTCCTGGGTCTCCAGCTTGCCAACTTACCCTGAAGATCTTGGGGATCTTGGGATTTATTAGCTTCCATAATCAAAAAGCCAATTTTTTATAATAAAACTATCTATCAAAATATCTACCATTCGTTCTGTTTCCCTGGAGAATCCTGACTGATGTATATTTACTTAAAAAAAAAAATTTTCTCACATAGCCGGAATATAACTGTCAGACTCTAGAAATGAACACAGATACGGTACTATTATCTAATCTACAGACCTTATTCAAAATTTGCCAATTGTTCCACTACTATCATATATATAAAATGAAAAGAAATATCTTCTGGTCCAGGATCCAATCTAGGATGACGTGTTGCATTCAGTTGTTATATTTCTTTGTTCTCCATTAACTTGAAATAGTTTCCTAGATTTTCTTTGTCTTTCATGACTTTGGTAATTTTGAAGTTACAGACATTTATTTTGTAGAATGTCCCTCAATCTGGGTTTGTCTGATGTTTCTTTATGATTAAAATTTAGCACATGCATTTTTGGCTGGAATACTGCAGAAGTAATGTTGAATTCTTCTCTGTGAACCTTACCAGGGCACGTGATCTTTTTGTTATTACTAGTGATAGTTCTGATCACTTGATTAAGATGGTATCTGTCAGGCTTTTCCACTATAAAATTCCTTTTCTGTCTGTAATTGTGGAAGATACTCTAAGTGTATCTACTTTCCTAATTCTCATTAAGTTTTTTCCCACTAATTTTAGCATGTGAGAAGTATATTTGAGACATCTCTTAGTTAGGGGTTGTTGAAGATGAAATGAGATCATGGGGGTGGGGCTGGGGTGTGGTATGTGATCACCTGGGGAGAGAGTGTACAGTGAGAAAAGAATCAGAATGTCTATTAGAAAGGCCACTCTGGTGAGGAGTGGGAAGAGTAGAAGCAGGGAGAGGAGTAGAAAAGTCTTTGTTGGTAGTCTGGGTGAAAGATAACCTGAGTGAAGGCACGAGATGGGCTAGAGAGAAGTACATTGATTAGAAAGCTGCTACAAAGATGGCATCTATAGGACCTGCTTTGGTTAGGACCTTGCAGTTTGCAAATCCAGTGACAGTGTTAGGCAGAGGTAGGAGGCTGAGGTCAGGGAAAGCCTAGGTGTGAAGGTAACATTGAAACAGAAATTTGAATGACTAGAGGGAACTAACCACGTGGAAAGAGAGATCCAGGCACAATGAATGGTATATTCACTATATTCTAGATGTGTGATGCCAAGCTCAGTGTTGACATACTTAGGTGTTCAATAAGATATATTGGATGGATGAGTGAATTGATGTATGAATGGAGACGGCAACTTCACTATTATTGCTGTCGTAAAAATAAACGAAAGCTTTGCAAGTTGCGAGCTCCACAGGGCAAGCTTATTGTCTTTGTTTCTAATAAAAATATAGTCATAATAATATCTACTATTTAATGAAGGTCTGTCGTGGTCAGATTAAGGCTTTTAGAGGCTTTAAGCACCGAGAGATTATGTTAGCCACCTCATACACAATTAAACAAAACAACCAAACAATAATAAACACTCATTTGTAACATGAGGATTGGGATGCCCAACAAAGTACTCATTGTTTTCCCCATGATGACTCCTTCAATTTTGTTTATATTTAAAAATTGTGCTTACTGAGGTATGATGTACATGTAAGAGATTTATAAATCTAGGCCGGGCGTGGTGACTCACGCTTGTAATCCCAGCACTTTGGGAGGCCAAGGAAGGTGGATCACTTGAGATCAGGAGTTCGAGACCAGCCTGGCCAACATGGTGAAACCCCCTCTCTACTAAAAATACAAAAATTAGCTGGGCGTGGTGGCAGGCACCTGTAATCCCAACTATTTGGGAGGCTGAGGCATGAGAATTGGCTTGAACCCGAGAGGCAGAGTTGCAGTGAGCTGGGATCACGCCACTGCACTCCAGCCTGGGTGACAGAGGGAGACTGTCTCAAAAACAAACAAACAAAAAAACCCCTATAAATCTTAAATGTAGAGCTGAATTTTACATATGAATATGCCTATATCAAGATAAAGAAAATTCCCAGCACCTCAGAAGACTTCCAGGGAAGTCAGTATTACCCTGCCACAGTTAATCATTAGTCTCATTATTCTAACCTTTATCACCATAGATTACTTTTTGTTTGTTTGTTTTTGAGACAGAGTCTCGCTCTGTTGCCCAGGCTGGAGTGCAGTGGTCCGATCATGGCTCACTGCAACCTCCACCTCCTGGGTTCAAGCGATTCTCCTGCCTCAGCCTCCTGAGTAGCTGGGACTACACAGGTGCATGCCACCACGCTGGGCTAATTTTTTGTATTTTTAGTAGAGATGGGGTTTCACCATGTTGGCCAGGCTGGGCTCGAACTCCCGACCTCAGGTGATCCGCCTGCCTTGGCCTCCCAAAGTGCTGGGATTACAGGTGTGAGCCACCGTGCCCGGCCTCAGATGCTAATCTCTTTCAGAAATACCCAGAAAAATGGGCCAGGCGTGGTGGCTCATGCCTGTAATTCCATCATTTTGGGAGGCTGAGGCGGGCGGATCACCTGAGGTCGGGAGTTTGAGACCAGCCTGACCAACATGGAGAAACCCCATCTCTACTAAAAATACAAAATTAGCCAGGCATGGTGGCTCACGCCTGTAATCTCAGCTACTTGGGAGGCTGAGGCAGGAGAATCGCTTGAACCCGGGAGGTGGAGGTTGCTGTGAGCCGAGATCACGTCATTGCACTCCAGCCTGGGCAACAAGAGTGAAACTCCGTCTCAAAAAAAACAAAAAACAAAAAACAAAAACAAAACCCAGAAAATGTTTTACTAGCTATTGGGCTAGGCAAGTTGACTCATAAAATGAACCATCATATCCTCCTAATCTAGCTGTGGGGCCTCTCAGGTTCCCAAGCTCTCTACTAGGTTATTTACATTTATTCTCCTTTATTCCAGCAACCGTATTATGGTAGGCTATATTATTATTATTATTATTATTATTATTTTTTGAGACGGAGTCTCGCTTTGTCACCCAGGCTGGAGTGCAGTGGCACGATCTCGGCTCACTGCAACCTCTGCCTCCCGGGTTCAAGCAATTTTCCTGCTTCAGCCTCCTGAGTAGCTGGGATTACAGGTGCCCACCACCATGCCCAGCTAATTTTGTATTTTTAGTAGAGATGGGGTTTCACCATGTTGGTCAGGCTGCTCTCGAACCCCTGACCTCGTGATCCACCTGCCTTGGCCTCCCAAAGTGCTGGGATTACAGGTGTGAGCCACTGTGCCTGGCCTGTATTATTTTTATTTAACTGATGAGCTTCTATCTTCCATCATTCTGTTTACCATCATCTACTATTTATGGTTGTCATTTGGAGAGTGGTTGTTGACTAAATATTTTAGAAAAGAAAATGCTAATTTTCTAAGAGTTTGTTTCATGTATTCATGCCAAAAACATTTAAGGAAACTATTAAGGGCCAGGTGGAAGGAATCAAGAACTCTTGATTCAAATAAGAGGAAGACATGATCTTTCTCTGGAAATGGTTACAGAAAGGAGATTAAAGCACAGTACAGGCCAGGTATGGTGGCTGACGCCTATAATTCCACCACTTTGGGAGGCTGAGGTGGGTGGATCACCTGAAGTCAGGAGTTCAAGACCAGCCTGGCCAACATGGTGAAACCCCATTTCTACTAAAAATAAAAAAATTAGCCAGGTGTGGTGGCACATTACTGTAATCCCAGCTACTTGGGAGGCTGAGGCAGGAGAATCTCTTGAACCTGGGAGGCAGAGGTTGCAGTGGGCAGAGATCGTGCCGTTGCACTCCAGCCTGGGCGACAGAGCGAAACTCCATCACACACACACACACACACACACACACACACACACAGCACAGAATGGTGAGTGCTGTCACCAGGATATGAACAAAGAGATGTGGCCACAGCAAGGATATTTGTGTGGGAGTAGAGAAGATCTCATCTAATAATTCTTTCTTCCTTTTTTTTGTACAGAGGAAGAAACAATGGCTGGATAAATTAAATGACTTCTTTAAGCCCAACATCTAGTTAGTGAGAGTGTGAATGACATGGTGAGGAGCATGTTATTTGAGTCAGGCAGACCTAGGCTCTAATCATGTGGCTGTGTGACCTTCAGCAATTTTTTTTTTTGAGATAGAGTCTTGCTCTGTCACCCAGGCTGGAGTGCAGTGGCGCTATTTTGGCTCACTGCAACCTCTGCCTTCTGGGCTCAAGTAATCCTCCAACCTCAGCCTCCCAAGTAGCTGAGACCACAGGTCACAGGTGTGTGCCCCACCACATTCAGTTAATTTTTGTATTTTTTGTAGAGATGGGGTTTCGCCATGTTGCCAGGCTGGTCTCAAACTCCTGGGTTCAAGCTATCCGCCTCGGCCTCCCAAAGTGCTGGGATTACAGGTGTGAGCCACCACACCCGGCCCAGCAATTGTTTTAATCCCTGTAAGCTTCAGTTTATTTGTGAAACACATAATTTTATCTACTTTGTAGGCAGTCACTACTGCAGGGTTTATCATAGCAGGGTTTCAACATAATCTCTTTTTCTTTCACCCTTCTTATGGCACAGAGCACCGTGATAGAAGTAAAAAAGAAATCAGAGGTCAAGTCCAGGCGCAGTGGCTCACACCTGTAATCCCAGCACTTTGGGAGTTCGAGACCAGCCTGGACAACATGGCAAAACCCTGTTTCTACTGAAAATACAAAAATTAGCTGGATGTGGTGGCGCATGCCTGTAATCCCAGCTATTTGGTCGGCTGAGGCATGAGAATCACTTGAACCCGAGAAGCAGAGGTTGCAGTGAGCTGAGATTCTGCCACTGCACTCCAGCCTGGCTGACAGAGTGAGACTCTGTCTGGGAAAAAAAAAAAAAAAAAAATAAGGTCAGCGAAAGAAAGGAAGGTCATCTTGCCCCTCAAGCAGGGCCTTATGGGGTGCCAGGATTGTGGTGGGGTCCCCTATCATCTGGGTTTTGTTCTCAGCCCTTTAGGTCTGAAAAGTTGACACTATGAGAACTTCCAGGACTGACTGGCTTCTTGGGGAGGGGCCCACGCTAACAAAGTACACACAAAATTTATGAATAGTCCAAAATGCAAATTCATTGAATTATATGATGAACATCTTTCTATAACTGGCTCCCCCCACTTCAGTCTTATGTTTTTATCTTGGAATAGAATAATCAGAAAGTTGTTAATTGAGCACAGAATCTGAATGAAAGAACTTGGATAGTCTTCAGAAATATTTCACCCAGGCTGTGAGAAAGGGTTGATGCTTTCATAACCAAGGACCCTTTTCTAGGCCAAACTTTACATCTGCCAGATATATTTTAGTGTTGGTGAAAACATAACATATTCCTACTATAATTGCCACCTGTTTGGACTCTATGTGGACCGCACCTTTCTGTTAACATTCATCTTCTCAAATGATATAATCAATTGGATTAGAAGGATCTTAGGTTACACCCTCATCACCTCTGTCTGAACTTTGGTGTTTCCCAAATCTATACCAGCATTCTTATCAGGAGTAATCTCTATACGTAGCTGATTTTAACTAATTTAACTCTCAGAGTTCACCAGATTTCCTCCATTTTCTGGAGGCATTTCATCACAGACTTGTTTGTACTACTTTCAATTATCTATACACCCATGGCCCAATAGCACACATCCAATAAATGCCAGTTGAATAAACTGGTGAGAATAAAGGAGAAAACATCAGGAAAAGTGTCAAAGAATGATTTAAGTATTTTCTGGCCGGGTGCAGTGGCTCACGCCTGTAATCCCAGCACTTTGGGAGGTCGAGGTGGGCAGATCATTTGAGGTCAGGAATTCGAGACCACCTTGGCCAACATTCGAGATTTGAGGTCAGGAGTTCGAGATCACCCTGGTCAACATTAGTAGAGATGAAACCCCATCTCTACTAAAAATACAAAAATTAGCCAGGCGGGGTGGTGGGCGCCTGTCATCCCAGCTACTCGGGAGGCTGAGGTGGGAGGATCGCTTGAACCCGGGTGGGTGGGGGCGGGGTGGAGGAGGCGGTGGTGGAGGTTGCAGTGAGCTGAGATAGTGCTCCAGCCTGGGTGACAGAGGAAATTCCGCCTCAAAAAACGAACAAAAAACCCACAAGTCTATTTTTTCTCTCTAGCATTCTACCTGACCTTAAGGGATACTAAGGAAAGGGTGAGAATGGTGTAGGAGATGTAGAACTCCCAGAGATGGGACGTTGAGGAGGAAGAAACACAAGAGCTTTCAGGTTCATCTGTTATATGGGATAAAAGAAAAAAAGGAGAGCTTTCAGGAAAGATTTCTAAGACCGCTGGAGTCATGCCAGCGATTAGTGCCTGACGGCAAAATTACCCTTTCCCGGCTGTTGCTGAAATCTAAGGGATGATGATGAGGTGGACAAGGGAGCATGGAGAAAAAGTCTGAAGGGATGTTAAGGAAGCAACTGACTGGATATGCTAAGACGAAGGGAAGAGTAGAGTAGATTTCGGCTTAGGTATCTGTAAGTATGCTGGTGCATTTCAGGAAAAGAGGGCAAAGAGGGGAGGTTGTTTGTATGAGTTCGCGTTCGGATAGGCTGAGGTAGAGTTTGAGTTTGAGGTGCTCGTTGGGATAAGTAGGTTGAAGTATTCTGTAAGCAGTTAGGCATAAGGGTCTGAGCTTCTGAAACAAATTTGGACGTTAGTTGAAAGCATATAAATGGGTAAGACTCTTCGGGATAAGTGAAGAATTGGAGACAGGGAAACAGTCCAGCTGGACTCGCAGATTTAGAGATGGGCAGTGGCATGGGGGAGCAGGATAAGAAAAGTCGGCGAGGTAAGAAGAAAAACAGGGCGACATTTTGAAAGCCAAGGGAGCAAGTTTGAAGGCCGCCTCCTGGAGGTCAAGAGGAGGATGACAAATCTATTCTAGCCTCGGTCAAACCGGATTCCGAGGAGTGCAGGCGGGTGGGGGTGGGGCGGAGACACGCCGCTGCGGGCGACTTAAGTTTAGGGGCGAGAAAGGAGGCAGCCTTAGTAGTACATGTATTTTTAAAGGGAATTTGGCTGTGACGAGACAGAAAGGGCGGGACTTGGCAGTTTAGAGCTCAAGGGGATCATCGGCTTCAGAATCCCCTACTCTTTCGTGAGAGTAACTCTCCGTCTAAGGATGTCTTCTGCAGTTCCTTAGGGTCCATATTGGGATTTCCCGGCTGTAAACTAAACAAAGCAAAGCAAAACAAAACAAAAACCCACAGTGCCTCTCAGTAAAACAAAACCAGTATTTTGTTTGAAAGCCTGCTCTCTTTAAAGATCCTGGCATGCAAATAAGGGGCTTTAATGTGGCTCTCAGCGATTGGTAGATACTTACAAAATCCGTCATTTCCTTTCAGTGCAGGACGCAAACCAAGAGGCGGCTTTCTGCTTTTCTATTGGCTGTTAGATACGGCTCCGCTTTTAGCCAATCAAACGACTTCCCTTCACCCCTCCCGGTAGCTCTTATAAATTACATCAAATTGGTTATTCTTTCCACATTCTTCTCCTTGTAAAAGAAGCTGTAACTGCAATTTTAGCCGTAATGTCAGGACGCGGAAAGCAGGGAGGCAAGGCCCGCGCTAAGGCCAAGTCGCGCTCGTCCCGCGCTGGTCTCCAGTTCCCGGTGGGGCGAGTGCACCGCTTGCTGCGCAAAGGCAACTACGCGGAGCGGGTCGGGGCAGGCGCCCCGGTGTACCTGGCGGCGGTCCTCGAGTACCTGACCGCGGAAATTCTGGAGCTGGCGGGCAACGCGGCTCGGGACAACAAGAAGACGCGCATCATCCCTCGCCATCTGCAACTAGCCGTGAGGAATGACGAAGAGCTCAACAAGTTACTCGGGGGTGTCACCATTGCCCAGGGCGGCGTCTTGCCCAATATCCAGGCTGTCCTGTTGCCCAAGAAAACGGAGAGTCACAAGCCTGGCAAGAACAAGTAATTAAGAGGCTTGACACCATACTCATTCACCCCAAAGGCTCTTTTAAGAGCCACCAAAGTGTCAAATGAAGGGCTGATCACGAAATAGCGCATTAGCTCTTTTTTTGAAAACTTGGGTGGCTCTAAAAAGAGCCTTTGGTCTTGGTTTGTTTGTCTGCATTTATTTGCTTTTGGCTTTGTGGCTTTCGGTTTTCTTTGGTAACAGAACGGCCTGGATGTTAGGCAAAACGCCGCCCTGGGCGATGGTGACTTTGCCCAGCAGCTTGTTCAGTTCCTCGTCGTTGCGGATGGCCAGCTGGAGGTGACGAGGGATGATGCGCGTCTTCTTGTTGTCCCGAGCCGCGTTGCCCGCCAGCTCCAGGATCTCGGCGGTCAGGTACTCGAGGACCGCCGCCATGTAGACGGGCGCGCCGGCCCCCACCCGCTCCGCGTAGTTGCCTTTGCGCAGCAAGCGGTGCACTCGCCCTACCGGGAACTGGAGGCCAGCGCGGGACGAGCGCGACTTGGCCTTGGCGCGGGCCTTGCCTCCTTGTTTGCCACGACCAGACATGACTGAAATCAAGGTTAAACACAGACAACGCTCAGAACCTCGCAACAAAATAAGATTGAAAGAGAACCAAGAGGAAAGCCTTTATAAGCTTTCCTAGGGGTGGGGTCAAGAACGAGTTTTTCATTGGTCCTAATATGGCTTCAGAACCGGCCAATCAAGTCAAGAGTCGGTGTTGTTACGTACGCATTGCTGAAAACGCAAGGTCCGCACACGGACCAATGGAAATGAACGACTTTCGGAGCCCTAATTTGCATAAGGTGGTTATAAAAGAATCAGGCCCGCCCATTCTCTTACTTCTTTTCTTGGCTAAGCCGCGTTTGTACTGTGTCTTACCATGCCTGAACCGGCAAAATCCGCTCCGGCCCCTAAAAAGGGCTCCAAGAAAGCCGTCACCAAAGCCCAGAAGAAAGACGGCAAGAAGCGCAAGCGCAGCCGCAAAGAGAGCTACTCCATCTACGTGTACAAGGTGCTGAAGCAGGTCCACCCCGACACCGGCATCTCGTCCAAGGCCATGGGCATCATGAACTCCTTCGTCAACGACATCTTCGAGCGCATCGCGGGAGAGGCTTCCCGCCTGGCGCACTACAACAAGCGCTCCACCATCACATCCCGCGAGATCCAGACGGCCGTGCGCCTGCTGCTGCCCGGCGAGCTGGCCAAGCACGCCGTGTCCGAGGGCACCAAGGCGGTCACCAAGTACACCAGCTCCAAGTGAGTCCCTGCCGGGACCTGGCGCTCGCTCGCTCGAGTCGCCGGCTGCTTGACTCCAAAGGCTCTTTTCAGAGCCACCCACCTAATCACTAGAAAAGAGCTTGTTCACTTATTCCCTTAGTTTCTTTTCATAAAGTAAGTTATTTTAGTGTGAAGGTCATGGGAAATGGCATACGTAGCTTTTTAACTATTTGGAACTCGAGGTCCCCAGTGCGTCATTGGATTTGCTTTTGAATCTAGAGCGTGTCTTTACTCATTGTGCTGCTTAGCCTTCCCAGGAGTCGGTTCTCAATTAGGCTGTTGGGAATCCGCCTCTTTACCCGCCCCCACTCCCGCCCCACACGCGCCCTGGTGGCTCCTTGGGTCTGTTTCATTCTAAAACGAAGTGGCTGAGTTCGGCTGTCATTTAAGAGAACTCCAGGACACAATTCAGCCCGGGTTCCGCAAACACTGCGTGACAGCTCTGTATGACTGACGCTTGGCAGCAGCTTTTGTGTCCGGTCACCAGTTCTGCCGTGCGATGGGGCCTCCTGTGGATACCAGCCGTTCTGTGTATTTTGGACGAAGGCCGCGCAGCCGGGTCCCAGCCTTGTCCTGATTGGGCGACAAGAATATTCAAAATTCTGCGCCTTTTTCTAATTTGTAGATTTCAGTTTCCGTCGTTCACTTTGAGACTTTGAAATTCCTATTTCTCATTTTGTTGATAATTTCTGCATTTAATGGTCTGTGCTTTAAATGGTAACGCTACGGCCCCAGGTCACTGCGAGGCACTTACCATGTAGATACGGGCTCAAAAGTCACCTCTCAGAGACCTACGTCATCCACTCAGGAATTCGCGCCTCTCATACTTGCCTGTCTCATTTTATCTTCCTTCTAGCAGCTGTCTGAAATTGGTTCGTCTGTTTTCTTGTTTATGGTATTCTCAAGCCCTTGACAGACCGGCTAGTGTGGTTTTCCCGTGCATCTTCAGCCTGGCACATTATGGACACTTAAATACTACGTATTGATCTAATATTGTTGGGTTAATTTTTCCATCCCACCCTTTTCTTAATCGCTTCCGTGGATGGATGAAGGGTGCTGTTCATTTCCATTAGATGTATGTGAAGGCACAGTGAAAATGGAAATGTTCTTGGAGCTACTTCCTCAAAATGTATCCTTAGTCACCTCAGTGCAACAGCTGGGAGGGGGCCGTGTTAAGATTTTTTTTGCTACAAAGAGGAGGTGGCAATGGTAGATCCACCCTTATGCTTCTCAGTTTAGCATAACCTCTTATGGATTTTCATCAAATTCAGCGTGTTGGTCACTGGAAAGAGCCTTTTCCTTCTCCTTTTCTTACTCTCCCCTCATGGTGTTCCCCTCTTAAAGGAGAGGAGCTTTTAATTTACACTTACCACCTCATTTGCTTTTCTGGAGGCCATGCAATATAGGCGGGACTACAGAGTTAATCTCCTTTTTACAAATGAGGCCAAGAGAAGCCTCATTGGTTCACAGTCATGCAGCTCATACTGTCCACCCTTGTATTCTCAGATGCAGGACAATTGCATTTTAGTTTTATTTTGTGGAGGTGCAGAATATTTACTCTTTCTGTCCAACCCTTGATTCTGCCGAGGAAGACACTGATGGTTTGATGAGTGATTCAGCTGTTTTTGGCTAAGGGCTTTTGGAGCTGATGGCAGGGGTTTGATGAATCCAAATGAGCTCTAGACATTATCACAGACTGAATAGATCTTAACTGTCTCCTACATGTGTGTTTTCAAATGTGTATAGATGCTATTGTTATTAATAAAGTTACCAATTAATTTAAAGGCTTTGCTGGATTCTTTTATCTACAGTGTATTTTCTCAATGAATGAAATTAACAGATACAACTTCCACTGTGTCTGTAGAAAAGCGTGGGTGCCTCTGATCTGGGGGATGACTATTTATAAGCCACCAGCCAAACTGCTGCCCCAAAGGTGCACTGGGGCTGAAATAGTCTGTTACAAGGCCACTGTTAATGCTTAGTAATTGAAAAATATATGATCACAAATAGACAGCAGTACAAATAAGATGGAAGAAATAAAGTTCATAATAAAGTTAAGCTAACACCTACGGAGCACTTACTACGTGCCAGGTAGTGTCCTAGGCCCTTTATATGTATTGACTCATCTAATTCTCACTGGGACCTCAGGAAGTAGTACCGTTATTATCACCCATTTTACAGATAAGGAAACTGAGGCAAAGAGAAGCCTTTCTTCAGAAACTCTCCAGAGAATAAGCTCCTAGGTTAGCAGTTAAGGGACTTGAGAAACAGGGTCATTCTGAAAACCTGGACCCTTCCTGTGTTTTAGGGGGAAATATCTATGCTTTAGAATTGAAAAGAAATACCACTGGCTTTATTCTCTTCAGAGTGCACCCTGGATATAAATCCTGGGTGGTGGTGGCTGAGTACATTGAGGGTGGGATTAGGTGGCTGTGATCCTTCATCCCAGAGGCCATAGCTCAACTCAATTGAGTTTGTCCCCACAGTGGTGGGGCTCACCAGCTGGAATCCTTTCACTAACATGAGAGAGCCTTAGTTGCTGGTTTTGGGCTCCACCTGGGGATGATGTTCACTGGGAAGGATGTTATAGAGTGAGGAAGGGGGGGAAGAGGTGATAGATTTTGATATTTTAACTCTGGAGGGGAAGTAATTGGTGAGATTAATCCTCAAGAACCTCTTTGATCGTTTCTCCTGCTCAGACATCTTTAAACATTTGCTTATGTTGGGGTTAATAACAATAATTGTTAAAATAATGATTGCTTCCCCTTACTAAGCACTTAACTGTTTACCTTAAACTTACTTAGCAGTAAGCTAAGAGTTTACCTTACACTTACTTAGCAGGATGGTCTTGATCTCCTGACCTCGTGATCCACCCGCCTCCTAAAGTGCTGGGATTACAGGCGTGAGCCACTGCGCCCAGCCTACAGCCACTTTTTAAGATAGGTTCTGTTGGCCACACGCAGTGGCTCACACCTGTAATCCCAGCACTTTGAGAGGCCAAGGTGGGTGGATCATTTGAAGTCAGGAGTTCGAGACCAGTCTGCCCAACATGGTGAAACCCCACCTCTACTAAAACTACAAAAATTAGCTTGGCATGGTGGTGGGCACTTGTAGTCCCAGCTACTCGGGAGGCTGAGGCAGGAGAATCCCTAGAACCCGGGAGGTGGAGGCTGCCGCCACTGCACTCCAGCCTGGGCAACAGAGGAAGACTCTATCTCAAAAAAAAAAAAAAAAAAAGGAAAAAAAAATGAAGGACCAAAAGGACACTGTCATAGCTCTGTAATATGGCTTATCAATAATTCTGGAGTAGGCCTAAAGGGCAGCTCTGTTTGGGTTTCAGAAATTGACCCTTAAGTGAGAGACTGTCCCTGTAACCGAGGGGACTAGGTTTAATAATTCATTTAATATGTGTGATTGAAAATCTGTATCTACTAATTTTATAAATATTAAGTATCTATGCACATTATTAAATTCTATAAGAACGGCATTCTGGGACCAATTTTCTTCTCTCTGACTCCTAAGCATTGTTAGGTGTGATATCATTTGTTCTTTCATTCAAGAGTTTATTATCTGTGAAGATGGCAGGCAATCTGCTAGGTAGTGAGGACAGAAAATTGAACAGGCGTGGCTTCTGCCTTCCTGGACCTCTAGTGACTAGAAGAGAAGACATATTAATCCAGTGACTATGAGAAAGTGTGACAAGTATTACGACTGTAGAAGTATAGATATAGAGAGTATAATGGAGGGAGTCGTAACTTCACATTGGTGGGTGTAGGGAAGGCCTCCCTGAGGAAAGAACCTTTAGGATGACACTTGACAAGGATAGGAAGGGTGTACCAGGCAGTGGATGGCATGGGCAAAGGCCTGGAAAGAGTGGAAAAGATCATGGTCAGGTAGATAGGAAGAACTGCAGGAAGTCTAGTACAGGTGGTGGTTAGAGGGCAAGGAGGACAGTGCAGCATCAAGAGGTTACACAGGTAGACAGAGCCAGATCTTGCAGGATTAGGCCAGAATGTATAAACTGCCTTTAAAGAAACCAATGAGCTCCTAGGCTGACCTGACTATGGGAACAGAAAGGAGCTGTGTGGCACTAAAAACAGAAGAGTTAAAGTCTCAGAGACCACATGGTTTATGCCCATCAAGCACTTTCTGGAGCAGATGGACCCTGACCCTCAAAAGTGTGTGTTTGTTCCCTGCAACAGGGCTTCCCTTAAAGTGGAAATGGCTTTGTCAGGCCAACCAGATTGACACCAACTACCATGGTCACCTGCCTCTGTGTGCTGCAGGTGGCCTTCTCATTATAGTTTGCCTTTCTTTACAACTCTGCTTCCAGTAGAATGATGGGTGGATCAGGGGAACCGAATATGTGCTCTTTAGAGAGTTGTCTTCAGGATGTAGTTTATCATGAGCCTCTGTGCTCTATTTTCTGTAAATTGGTACTTAGAGGCTTGATTAGATTTAGGTTTAGTTTTTCACCCCATGACATGACTACTTCATAGGTGGTACTATTTCTTTTCTATCAGGAGACATGTAATGTCTAGCTGCTTCTTTTTTTGTGGTAACAGCAGTGATTGATTCTCAATGCTTAGATCAATTAATTCATTATCAATTGCAAAATAATGATATTCTGTCACTCTTCTTTCATATATTAGCTGGAATACTTCAGTAAAGAGGAATATTATTATTTTTTTTAGAGATAGGGTCTTGTTCTGTCACCTAGGCTGGAGTACAGTGGCCAGATCATAGCTCACTGGAACCTCAAACTCCTAGGCTCAACTGATCCTCCCACCTGAGCCTTCCCAGTAGCTAGAACTACAGGTAGGCATCACCACGTTGAGTTAATTTTTAAGTTTTTTGTAGAGATGGTATGGTACCAAGGCTGGTCTTGAACTCCTGGCCTCAAGTGATCCTCTCACTTCTTTTCAAATCGCTGGGAAAAATTATTATTTTTAATAGTAAATATCTGGAAACTACTTGTATATCTACTAGTATGTGGCAATAAAATGTTAGGGTCCCTTTTGGTGGAAATAAAAAAGGATATGTGTGTATTGATATGTATGCACCGATATGAAATAAAACACTTTCCGGGGATTTCACATAACAAAACTAATAATAGTGGCTACCCTTTTTTTTTTTTTTTTTTTTTTGAGATGGAGTCTCATTCTTGTTGCCCAGGCTGGAGTGCCATGGCACGATCTTGGCTCACTGCAACCTCCACCTCCCAGGTTCAAGTGATTCTCCTGCCTCAGCTTCCCGTGTAACTGGGATTACTGGTGCGTGCCTCCACGCCTGGCCAATTTTTTGTATTTTTAGTAGAGACAGGGTTTCACCATGTTGGCTAGGCTGGTCTCAAACTCCTGACCTCAGGTAATCCACCTGTCTCGGCCTCCCAAAGTGCTGGGATTACAGGCATGAGCCACTGTGCCTGACCAATAGTGGCTACTCTTTTTTTTTTTTTTTTTGAGATGGAGTCTTGCCCTGTTGCCCAGGCTGGAGTGCAGTGACACGATCGTGGCTCACTGCAACCTCCACCTCCCGGGTTCAAGTGATTCTTCTGCCTCAGCCTCCCAAGTAACCGGAACCATAGGCTCGTGCCACCATGCCCCGCTAATTTTTGTAGTTTTTAGCAGAGACGGGGTTTCACCATGTTGGCCAGGCTGATCTTGAACTCCTGACCTCGTGATCCACCTGCCTTGGCCTCCCAAAGTGCTGGGATTACAGGCGTGAGCCAACGCACCCGGCCAATAGTGGCTACTCTTAAGGAGAAGAATTTCCTTGGGCCAAAAGATTTTGCTTTTTCCTTTATATCTTTCAGTACTGTTTAAATTTATGATCAATGTTCACTTAAAAACAATGTCAGCAGAGGTTATGTGAACAGTGGGATTATTGGCCATTAAAAAAAAGCCTATAAGATTTTTTTTTGTTGAAAATAATGTATTTAAAAATACCTGTTCTACTGCCTGGCACTGAGTAGGCTCTCAATACATTGTAGTTAATTCTAAAAAATGGTTAAAAAAACTTCATCAATGCAAATAGCAATCAACTTAATAACAGTAGCAGCAACAGCAACAACAAAAACTCCAGAAGTCCCTAGGGTGGATGAGGTAACATATAGGTTTGGGATTGAGTCTCCACTATTCCTAACCTATTTTTTAAAAATCCCTCAAGATTATGAACACTTGCTTTGCAGGAGGCAGTCTCTGGAGTGATTTTCCTGACTAGTTAACTTCACTAATGTGTCCTCGGTCACAGGTTTGGTCATCAGACGGACTAAGAGAGCCAGTCAGGCTCTTTAAGGAGGCCTGGGTCATCGAGAACTGTGAAACTAGCTAAAAATCAGAGTTGATGGAACTGGCCTGGGAGAGTTGGTATAGGTTCTTGAGCAAGTCAAGAGCAATATTTTGGGCAGGTTATTATGACCTTTGTATCTTTATTCTGAAGAAATGTGCAGGATGCATAGAAGAAAGAGAATACAGGAAACCAGAAACCAGTGGGGAGGCTGCTGCAACCAGTAATGAGGTCTTAGACAAGTATAGAGACAGCAGGGAGAGAGAAGATAAACAAAAACCATGTTCTGAATGAAGGAGGCAAAAAACTGTTTTAGTTTTCTATTTATGTGTAAAAAATTACCCCAAATTAAGTGGCTTAGGACAATACTCCTTTAGCCTCTCATAGTTTCTGTAGGTCTGGGCATGGCATAGTGGGAGTATTTGATTAGAATCTCACAAGGGTAAAATCAAAGTGTCAACTGGGCTGCATTTTCATATGAAGCCTGGGGTCTTCCAAACTCATCCACGTTGTTGGCAGAATTCAGTTTCTTGCAGGTGTAGAATTGAGGCCCTCAGAGGCTGCCCTTCTCCACAGGCATGTCACAGCATGGATATTTGCTTCTAATGGCCAGCAGAAGAGCATCTCTGTTGCTTCCACTTTATCTAATTCAGGGAAGGCATTGACCCTCTTTTAAAAAGCTCACTAGGCCGAGTGCAGTGGCTCATGCCTGTAATCCCAGCACTTTGGGAGATCGTGGCAGGCAGATCACCTGAGGTTCGAGACCAGCCTGGCCAACATGGTGAAACCCCAGCTCTACTAAAAATATAAAAATTACCCGGGCATGGTGGCAGGTGCCTGTAATCCTAGCTACTCAGGAGGTTGAGGCAGGAGAATCACTTGAACCCAGGAGGTATAGGTTGCAGTGACCCTGGATTGCACCACTGTACTCCAGCCTGGGCAACAGAGTAAGACTCTGTCTCAAAAAAAAAAAAAAAAAAAAAGGCTTACCTAAGTCAGGGATTCCCTTTTTATTAACTCAAAGTCAACTGATGAAGGATCTTAACTACATCTGCAAAGTTTTCTTGATTAACAGCAAGTACAGGTTCTGCCCATACTCAAAGGGAGGGGATTTAAACAACGGGTACCAGGGGCCAGGACTCACGGGAGCCATCGCAGAATTTTGCCTACTACAGGAATATAGAGGAACTGTGTGTCTGAAGTCAGATACTTTTCTGTGACTTAAATTAATTTTAAAATAAAAGAGTAAAAAGTAAAAATTCCCAGTTACTGAAAGCCCACAGTGTGCAAAATACTATAGACATACCATTTCAAATCCTCAGAACAAATCCTGAAAGGTAAATGTTATGGTTTTTATCGTGGAGGATACTGAGGTTCAGACATGTCAAAGAACTTGGAATTTTCCTTCTAGTACATCATGTTGTATCAAAACAACCCCAAAAAAGTAAATATTACCCCCATTTTACAAAGAAAGAAATGGATATTTATGCAGTTTAAATAACTTGGCATTCCCTGATACACCATGGTGCTCCTGAATTTTACTAAAACATTTGTCTAAAATTTGCAAATAGCAAATAATCTGAGGATCTAGCAACATATTTTCCATGTCTGTTTAATAGAACCATAGAATATTAGTGCTGGAAGGAACCCAGAAATCATCTGGTCCAATTTCCCCATATTATGTTTTCCCTGATTTTAGTATAAAATTATTCTCTCACCTCCTGTCCCCATCAGATCCCTAAGTGGAGTAGATGTTCTTTAGAGGCCCATCTTTGGGATCATCTCTCTTTTTTTTTGGAGACAGGGTCTCACTCTGTCACCCAGGCTGGAGTGCAGTGGCGTGATCTTGGCTCATGGCAACCTCTGCCTCCCGGGTTCAAGCGATCCTTGTGCCATAGCTTCCCAAGTATCTGGGGCTACAGGTGTGCACCACCATGCCCAGCTAATTTTTGTATTTTTGGTAGAGATGGGGTTTCTCCATGGTCTCAAACTCCTGGGCTTAAGTGACCTGCCCGCTTGGCCCTCCCAATGTGCTGGGATTACAGGAGTGAGCCACTGTGTCCGGCCGGGGCCACCTCTTCATAAGCTCTTCCCAGGGACTCCCAGGGCTTTCTCCAGCTCCTCTGGGCAGATGAGAGAAGCCAACTGGGTCTCTAGATGTGCCTCCAGATACACACTCCCAGTTGTCTGAAGTACGTGGCCACTTGCCATTGCCAGTTGACCGTTATGATCCAGTGTGGCCTGAAGTGAACTCTGTTCAGCAGCTCCTCCTTGCAGGCTGTCTATTCCTGTGAAGGTGGCATCATTCTCCTAGTCATTCAGGCAGGAAGGTGCAGAGTCATCTTGGATTACATTTTGCCCCAACAACTCCCTTTCTGCTCTTTCCCCTATCCAGGTTCAGGCAATCTTCTATGTGCAATAAAGTCAACAGTTCCCCTCCTGTCCATTCCTGTGTCTGGTTCCCTTGTTCTCATCCTTGGTCCTCTCATCTTTGTCCCCAAGACTTGGCCTCCTGCTTTGGGTATGGCTCCCTTCTGATTGGTTTTGCACCCTCCATCCCAAATTAACCGACTGTATACACAGCTCATATCACGTTACTTAGAACCATGGCTGCACTGTGTCCCCTGACATTTCCTCCTTAAAATTTTGTTTTTAATGCAAACTTATTTGGAGATATCTCCCTTTTCCTTATTTAGTATTATCCCATTTTATGTGCATTCCTTAGTCTGAGACAATTACTCTTTTTGCTTTTATGTGTTATTGTGAAAAAGTATATTTCTATGCATTTAAAAATTATTCTTTAGTATTTTTTATTTTTATTTATTTATTAATTTTTTTTTGAGACGGAGTTTTGCTCTTGTTGCCCAGGCTGGAGTGAAATGGTATGATCTCGGCTCACTGCAACCTCCACCTCCCGGGTTCAAACAATTCTCCTGCCTCAGCCTCCTGAGTAGTTGGGATTACAGGCACCAGTCACAATGGCCAGCTAATTTTTGTATTTTTAGTTGAGGTGGGATTTCACCATGTTGGCCAGGCTGGTCTCGAAATCCTGATCTCGTGATCCGCCCACCTCCCAAAGTGCTGGGATTACAGGCATGAGCCACCGCGCCTGGCCTCCTCTTGGGTTTTTATGGAAGCTTCATGATGTCAGCATTCCTTCCCCCAGGGTATAGGGCGGGAACCTCTCCGGGGAGGGTCTTAAGACCCTCAATTAAAAAAGTGGGCAAATATTAGAGTTCTGCCTTGGGGCAGGTGAAAGGAGGGCAGGAGAAAGAGAGATTCTGTTTCCTGAGACCTGCCTCTGGGGCCTAACATACCCAACATTGGAGTGTACTGTACTCTGTAAAAAGACCATACAAGGGCTATGGAAGTTATGAGCCAGGAACTGTGGACAGAAACCAATATACATTATAACACCACATATATGTATATTTTTTCTTTCTTTTCTTTTTTTTTTTTTTTGAACCTTGCTCTGTCGCCTAGGCTGCAGTGCAATGGCGCTACCTTGGCTCACTGCAACCGAAGCCTCCGGGGCTCAAGCGATTCTCCTGTCTCAGCCTCCTGAATATCTGGGATTACAGGTGCACACTGCCATGCCCGGCTAATTTTTTGGATTTTAGTAGAGACAAGGTTTCACTGTGTTGCCCAGGCTGGTCTCGAACTCCTGAGCTCAGGCAATCCACCCGCCTAGGCCTCACAAAGTGCTAGGATTACAGGCGTGAGCCACCACGCCCCGCCTATATATGCATATTTTTTTCTAACACTTACATACTTTTTCTTGGTGCCAAGAATGTTTTAAACACTTTACATGTATTAACTCATTTTATCCTCACAAAACCCTGTCAAGTAGGTAGTGTAAGTATGTCCATTTACAGATTGGGAGATGGAGGAATCACAGAGCGGTTAAGAAACTTTCTCATAGTCACACAGTCGGTGCCAAACCAGATTTCAACTCCAGAGTCTTCCTTTAGTCACTATACTACACTACTAATATCAAATAAGTAAGATGTTGATGCAACATTGATAGTAATTTAAAAGATTAGAAACAACCAAGAGCCGGGGTGTAGTGGCCCATGCTTGTAATTCCAGCATCTGGGAGCCCGAGGCGGGCAAGTTTGTTGGGAGTTGGAGACCAGCCTGACAACATGGCAAAACCCTGTCTCTACAAAAAATATAAAAACTAGCCTGGGCGTGGTGGTGTGCGCCTGTAGTCTGAGCTACTTGGGAGGCTGAGGTGGGAGGATCGCTTGAGCCTGGGAGATTGAGGCTGCAGTCTGCAGTGAGTTATGATCACACCACTGCACTCCAGCCTGGGCAACAGAGACCCTGTCTTAAAAACAAAACAAAACAAAACCACCTCCGACAACGTAGGAATGCTGAAATGAGTTATGTTAATTCTAAGTAAAAACTCAACCTATCCCAATTAGCCCAAGACCACTACTTAGTCTACCTAAGCCAAGTCTGTTGACTTGTTACAATGAGGGAGAACACACAACAGAGAAACTGGTGGCAGGGTGGTGGGAGGAGGGTGCTCACCAAACAAGAGGAAAATTAGAGTTATCAATGATTTTGGGGGACGAGTGGAGTGTAGTTTTCATAGGCTCAAAGCAAAGCAGGGCTGTGTGAAAGGGTAGGCATAGGATGGGACTTTGCAGTGGATCCAGGGTCTTGTTTCCTCAGAAACTACAAAGTTGAGATAGAGGTGGAATGCTGTGTTCAGAAACCCCTTACTTGAAGTTTTTGCACCTGGGTTGAAAATTACTGCTGGTTTTTTGTGTCAAGGTGGCTTAGGTCCTCCAGACAGGAGGGGGATACTGCATTGTTACTGATTGATAGGATTTCAAGCAGCCAAAGTTCTGATAGTCTGTAATTTTGAGTACAAGTTCCTCAGTGAATAAGAAAGGAGTGGTCACTCAAAGAGGGGAGTTATGAGCCTTTATAGCTGTAGCATGCCCTTGGGAGAAGAATGTTTTCTGTCATTTCTAGTCTAGCTTTATCTCTGTTAGTGCAGCCTAATGAATGGCAGAACAGGTTTTGATTTTCTCAGTCCTAGCGAATTTCTGCTTCTCGAAGTGCATGTTAGTGGTAATGTGTTTTATATCTTACTTTATTTATTATTCCCCCCCCTTAATCTATATTTTATTTTATTTATTTTTTATTTTTTTGAGACGGACTCTCGCTCTGTCCCCAGGGTGGAGTGCAGTGGTGCGATCTCAGCTCACTGCAACCTCTGTCTCCCGGGTTCAAGCGATTCTCCTGCCTCATTCTCCTGCCTCAGCCTCCTGAGTAGCTGGGACTATAGGCGCGCGCCACTACGCCTGGCTAATTTTTGTATTTTTAGTAGAGACGAGGTTTCACCATGTTGGCCAGGCTGGTCTTGATCTCCTGACCTCGTAATCTGCCGGCCTCGGTCTTCCCAAGTGCTGGGATTACAGGCATGAGACACCGCGCCTGGCCTAATCTATATTTTAAAAATTGAACTCTTCCATGTACCCCTGAACCTAAAATAAAAGTTGAAAACAAACAAACATACAAAACAACAACAACGACAAAAAAAAAAAAAAAAAAAAAAAAACCAGGCCGGGCATCGTGGCTCACGCTTGTAATCCCAGCACTTTGGAAGGCCGAGGCGCGCAGATCACGAGGTCAGGAGTTCGAGACCAGCTTGACTAACATGGTGAAACCCCGTCTCTACTAAAACTACAAAAATTAGCCGGGCGTGGTGGCACGTGCCTGTAATCCCAGCTACCCAGGAGGCTGAGGCAGGAGAATCCCTTGAACCAGGGAGGCGGAGGTTGCAGTGAGCCGAGATCATCCCACTGCACTCCAGCCTGGGAGACAGAGCGAGACTCTGTCTCAAAATAAAAAAAAAAAAAAAAAAAAAAGAGAGAATTCTGTACTTTGTAATTAGAGGGGTAATTCATTAATTCATGTCAGGGGCATATTATTTTATTTTTCCAAATGCTAGGAAGCAGGTATCCATTTTTGATAATATAAATTTTGGGATAATTGGCAGTCATCTGGCTCACAGGGAAAACAGGAAAAACAAGAAACCTAAATAAACTTCATATTGATTTCCCAAAAAAATTACCTTTTATTTTCAACCCTTATAGAACTCAACCTGCATCTCTTTGCCATCCATGTTCTTTTTTTTTAGAGACTGGGTCTCATTCTGTCCCCTAGGCTGGAGTGCAGTGGCATGATCATAGCTCACTGCAGCCTCAATCTCCCAGGCTCAAGTGATCCTCCCACTTCAGCCTCCCAAGCAATTGGGACCACAGGCGCATGCCACTGTGCCTGGCTAATATTTTATTTTTTTGTAGAGATGAGGTCAATCTGCATTAAACTTCATGTTGCTCCAACACCGCATTTTATCTCCCCACTTTCCCAGCAATGGACAACTAGGCTTGTGCCAATTCTCCATCACCACCAGAAATGCTGCAATGAACATTGTTGTATATATTCCCTTTTGGACCTATATAAGAATTTCTTTTGGATAAAAACTCAGGAACAGGAGTGCTGAGAAGCCAGAAACCAGCAGTTCTGTTCAGAGTTTTATTTACATCTAATTGAACTAAGGAGTGTCAGGCTCCCCTCCAGAATGCTTGTCCCGGACTTCCAATACCAAGGTAGCTGGACTCTGAGCCCACATCCAGGCCCAGTCCTCGGGTCATCCAACTTTCTAAGTTTTGCCAGACTGCCTGGTGTAAAGTGGTATCTCAGCATTGCTTTCGTTTTCATTGTTCTGGGTATTCATGAGTTCAAGCATCTCTACCTGAGCTTGATAGTTTTCGGATTTCTTCTCCTGTGTATTGCCTGTTCATATCCTTTGCTCCAACATTGTTTATAGAGCACTCCCTCCCTACTTTGGCATTTGGGGTCCCCTAAACTGGCCCCCATTGCTAAAGCTTACTTCTCATGACTGACCTTTGCCCATGCTGCATGTGGTCCAGGAACAATTCTTCTGTCTTTGTTTTTGCTGTCCCCTCTTGCCTGGATTACATCATCTTCTCCAAACCCCCAATCTAAACATGTCCCGAATCCTAAATATTCTTTAGAACCAAGCTCAGATATCACCTCCTCCTGGAAGGGTTCCTTTATTTGCTCAGCTGGCCTTGGCCTTTCCCTCTTGGCTCCCACAAAGCTCAACCTGCATGTATTTTTATTTATTTATTTATTTATTTATTTATTTATTAATTAATTATTTTTTTGAGACGAAGTCTTGCTCTTGTCCCCGAGGCTGGAGTGCAATGGCACGATCTTGGCTCACTGCAAACTCCGCCTCCCGGGTTCAAGTGATTCTCCTGCCTCAGCCTCCTGAGTAGCTGGGATTACAGGTGCCTGCCACCATGCCCGACTACTTTTTGTATTTTTAGTAGAGACGGGGTTTCACCATGTTGGCCAGACTGGTCTCAAACTCCTGACCTCAGGGGATCCGCCCCCCTCGGCCTCCCGAAGTGCTGGGATTACAGGCGTGAGCGACCGCGCCAGGCCTCAACCTACATTTCAAGTCACCATCTGTCACAGGATACCTTCCACTCTGGCTCTGGATATGGGGGTCACCTCCTCACAAAGACAGACAGGTTGTATGTGCATACACAGAAAGATTCAGAAGAAACATGAAGACTTTTAAAATCAGTGAGATGATTTTAACTTTCTTTAAATCAGTGAGATGATTTTAACTTTCTTCTTTGTAGTTTTCTCTAGCCAGTTTTAAAAACTGTAAGTTGTAGGCCGGGCGCGGTCACTCACACCTGTAATCCCAGCACTTTGGGAGGCTGAGGCGGGTGGATTACCTGAGGTCAGGAGTTCAAGACCAGCTTGGCCAATATGATGAAACCCTGTCTCTACCAAAAAATACAAAAATTGGCCAGGGGTGGTGCCGCATGCCTGTAGTCCCAGATACTCAGGAGGCTGAGGCAGGAGAATCCCTTGAACCCAGAAGGCAGAGCTTGCAGTGAGCTGAGATTGCGCCACTGCACTCCAGCCTGGGCGATAGAGCGAGACTCCATCTCAAAAAAAAAAAAAAAAAAAAAAAAAAAATCCAGAAAAACAAAAACAAAAAAACCTCCCAAAAAACCACAACTATAAGTTGTAATCCATAGTGCAATTAATTTACTTGGTAGAGATCATCTTTTCCTTTCATTTTGCCCTTTTGTAAGAATCATAAAACGGGAAAATATCACCAATAGTAATTATCATTTTGTGAAACTTGTTGCAATTTTTATTTTCCTGTGAATGTGACTGGGAGGCAATGTAAATGTATTTCTTTTTTCTTGTTGTTGAGACGGAGTCTCACTCTGTCGCCCAGGCTGGAGTGCAGTGGCAGATCTTGGCTCACTGCAAGCTCCGCCTCCCGGGTTCACGCCATTCTCCTGCCTCAGCCTCCCGAGTAGCTGGGACTACAGGCGCCCGCCACCCATGCCTGGCTACTTTTTTTTAATTTTTTTTTTTTTTTTGTATTTTTAGTAGAGACGGGTTTTCACCGTGTTAACCAGGATGGTCTCGATCTCCTGACCTCGTGATCCGCCCGCCTCGGCCTCCCAAAATGCTGGGATTATAGGCGTGAGCCCCAGCGCCCGGCCAATGTAAATGTATTTCTTACTGTAGACTTGAGGTC
Source organism: Homo sapiens (assembly GCF_000001405.40). Lineage (NCBI taxonomy): Eukaryota > Metazoa > Chordata > Mammalia > Primates > Hominidae > Homo > Homo sapiens. Next base: position 149,871,334 of record NC_000001.11, on the reverse strand, counting down.
AGGAGAGTGGGCTGTACTGGACACATATTGATATTATTTGTATCTATTCCATGTATCACTTTCTCCTAAAGCATCAAATCTAATACAAAAAAAGAAAAGCAAAACACAAAACCTAGGCTCAAATTCCACCTTGGCCATGTTTTAGCCGAGTAACTCACGTTCCCCGGTGTCTAATCTTTACCAGAAACTTCCTTATCTTTAACATAGGGAAAAAGCCTTTTCTTCTTTCCAGGGTTGTTGTGGACTCAAACGAGAGGCTGTTAGTGAAAGGTTTTTGTGAGTTATGAAGCTCCTAGGAACCCAATTATTTCTGCTGCCTTGGCCACATAGTCTAGAAGAATCTCTACATAATTAGCATCTAGAGACTAGATAATTTACCCATTATTTTCCATGTGCTTGTCTTATTTCCCAGCATGACGGTAATATTTCCAAGGGAAAGATCTAGGATATATATCAAGTAACGTTTATCATAAAAATAATGAAATTGCTAATAACTATTAATTTATTGTCATGTTGAGACTCTGCTCTAAGTACTTTGTATGGACTGTATAGCAATTTATCCCTGCACGAATCCTATGAGGTATGTGTATTTATTGTTACTGTTTTACAGATATTGAAACTAAGACACTGAGCCTCTATTTTAGCCTCATGTCTTCTTTCCTTCCAGCTTTTCCAGGCAAGTAAATGCAGGCCACAGTCTGCCAGCTGTCCAACCATTCAGGCTTTTCATTATTATAGGAAGCATCTGGCCAAGGACCACCACCATCTTCCTGTCCTGCCCCTGAAGCTGTGAGTTCCCCAAGTGGAGACACAGCCTGTTCCCCAACACCTACACTCATGAACATGGGAGGGTTGGTCAAAATTGCACAGCTATCATGCTTAGTTTTATACTCAGGTGTAAGTGACTGATAGAAGGGCCTTTTGGAGGTGGAGAGTGCGCAGGTTCTGAAGAGGCAAGACCGGGGAAGTCTGGACCTGCTTCCAGAGTGTCCTCCCACAAGGCTTAGTGCTCAGGACCTGTAGTGGGTTGAATATGTTCCCTAAAGTTCGTGTCTATCCAGCATCTCAAAATGTGAACGCATTTGGAAACTGGGGCTTTGAAGACGTAAGTAGTTAAGGATCTTGAGATGAAATCATGCTGGATATAGGATGGGCCTTAAATTCAATGACTGGTATCTTTATAAGAGAAAGGAGAGGGAAATTCGGACACACAGAGATGAGTAAGAAGCCATGTGAAGATGGAGGGAGAGATTGGAATGAGGCTGCCACAAGCCAAGGAACATCAGAAGCCACCAGAAGCTGAAAGAAGCAAGGAAGGATTCTCCCTGAGAGCCTTTAGAGGGAGCATGGTACTTTATTTCAGACTTCTGGTCTCCAGAACTGTGGAAGAATACAGTTCTGTTGTTTTAAGCTACCAAGTTTGTGGTCATTTGCTATGGCAGCCCTAGGAAACTAACACAGGTTGAGTATCCCTTATCTGAAATGCTTGGGACTGGGACTGTTTCGGGTTTCAGATTTTGGAATATTTGCATATATATAATGAGATATATTGGGGATGGGACCCAAGACTAAACACAAAATCCATCTATGTTTCATAAATACCTTATACACACTTACACTGTGCCCCATTTTCTCCAACAACTTGACTTTCTGTACTATAGATAAACATAAATGTTTTCTCTCCCTTTTTTTTTTTTTTTTTGAGACAGAGTCTTGCTCTGTCGCCCAGGCTGGAGTGCAATGGCACAATCTCGGGTCACTGCAACCTCCTGGATTCAAGTGAGTCTTCTGCCTCAGCCTCCCGAGTAGCTGGGACTACAGGCATGTGCCACCACGCCGGCTAATTTTTGTATTTTTAGTAGAGACGGGGTTTCACCATGTTGGTTAGGCTGGTCTCAAACTCCTGACCTCAAGTGATCCAGCCGCCTCGGCCTCCCAAATTGCCGGGATTACAGGCATGAGCCGCCGCGCCTGGCCTTGCTTTTTCTCTTTTAAAATTACTGTTACTCATGGGGTATCTGCAGGCCTTTTTGATATTTTCAACAATATCTTTATACCACAGAGCAGAGAATAAGCAAAAAAACCCCACAGTGAGTAAGGCACGTAGGTCTTGGCTCCTACATGGGGCATTATGGGGAACGTGCTGTTGACGACACTGGCCTGCACACATGCCATTTTATGACCCTTTGTGGGTGTGTGCACGTTGGGGAAACCGGGCATGTGCAGAAAAGATATATCTCAGCGGAAAGGGGCTGGGAGGGCCTTTTATTTCCTTGGGGGAAATACTGTGCATTGTATGACCCGTTGTGTGAGGTCAGGTGTGGAATTTTCCACCGAGGCACCACATTAGTGCTCAAAATTGTTCAGATTTTGGAGCCTAGGGTTTCGGATCTTCAGATTAGGGATGCTCAACCTGTACAACATCCTTGCAACAATCTAGGTGTGAGCTTTCCTCAAGAGCAAGAAGAGCTTGCCACTTCTGCTATATGACCACGGTGAAGCCAGCCTGTCACCCTCCTGCCCTGGATGACCCCAGGGAGCTCTACAGAGGTCCATGGCTGGGGGAGGCCAGCAATTGTCTAGGAGAGCTCAGTCCACTTGCAAAGACGACAGATCTCTCTACAAATTCTGGGCTGAGCAGGTGAAGGAGGCTGGTCAGGCCCATGAAGGAGCCTAGTCAGCCGTAAGGAAAGGTTCACTGTGGGGCCCCCGACTTTCCATTCCTGATCTCCTTTTTACCTCTGCTGCCCACTTCCTTTCCTCTTTCCCTCCAAGTATACCTTATACTCTGCTCCTGATGACACTCAGATCTCCCCCCGCCCCCCCGCCCCCATCAAATATAAAGAGCCTAGTGACTTTTGTAAGAACGGTGTATTCATTTCCTAGTGTTGCATTAATAAGTTACCATAAACTTAGTGGTTTAAAACAACACAAATTTGCCGGGTGTGGTGGCTCACGCCTGTAATCCCAGCACTTTGGGAGGCCAAGGCGGGTGGATCACCTGAGGTCAGGAGTTCGAGACCAGCCTGACCAACATGGTGAAAACCCGTCTCTACTAAAAACACAAAAATTAGTCGGGTGTGGTGACGCGTGCCTGTAATCCCAGCTACTCAGGAAGCTAAGGCGGGAGAATTGCTTGAACCTGGGAGGCAGAGGATGCAGTGAGCCGACATCACGCCATTGCACTCCAGACTGGGCAACAAGAGCGAAACTCCGTCTCAAAAAAAAAAAAAAAAAACATGAAACCAAACAAAACGAAAAAAACCACACAGATTTATTCTCTTACCATTCTGGAGGTCAGAAGCCCAAACATAAGTTTTAAGGGGCTAAAACAAATGTCTGAAGGACTGGTTTGTTCTGGAGGCTCCAGGTATATAATCCACTTTTTGACTCTTCCAGCTTCTAGAAACTGGCATTTTTTAGCACCTGGACAGATCACTCTAATGTCTGCTTCTGTCATCACACCCCCTTCTCCCTGATTGACCCTCTCGTCTCTCTAAGGATTCATGTGATTATATTAAGGGCTCATCTCAATAATCCAGGATAAGTTCTTTATCTCAAGGTCCTTAATTTGTTCACATTTGCAAAGTCCCTTTGCCATATAAGGTAACATATTCACAGATTCCAAGGATTGGGATGTGGATATCTCTGTGGGGCTATTATTCAGTCTACCACAAATGTGCACTCCTTTCTAAAGTATTTATCTTCGAGCACTGAGGGGAACTCTGCCTTCAGCTAAGGCTACACAACTATCCTGATGGTGGACTGTAGCAACTTGTAGGCAAGGGGTACAGCTCAGGGCAGCTACCTCTCCCTCTTCTCGGGCCAACCTGGAGGAAGTTCCTTCCAGAGTCCAGGCTATACTTGCTTCTGGCCTGCAAATTCCCGAGAATTCTTTGAAACCTAGGAGGGGCCTGGGTATTATGCCGTTTTGAGTGAGAATTCAGAGGCCAGTGGAATTAGGGCAATCAGGCATTTCCTGATCATCTGCTATGCTCCAGGATGCTGACTTGAAGAGATGAACAAGGCAAAATGCCCATTCTGACGGCACTCAGAATTTCACGGGGAACTGGAAGGATAAATGAATCTGGGAGGAACTGCTAAAACAGGTAGGAGAGGGTAAGCTTGTTAGAACCTGAGAAGAATGCTGTCTGAAAAGGTAGAGAAGTCAGGAGAAGCAGTGAGGCCCTCAACCCTGTGTGTCACAATGCCTCCTGTCATTTCCTCTCTGAGTTTCCAGTACAAGCTTCTCGGTGGCTGTTTTCTGCCCAAGCACATGAACTTTGGAAGACCTAGCACTTTGGACAAAGTCCCTGGCCCTGACACTTAATAGTTTGGGGAACTTGGGCAAAATACTCAAAGCTTCCCAGTCTGTAAAGTGAGAATGATAAAACATCTGCCTTCCTTGCAGGATTGTTGTGGTGATGTGTAAGACAAAATATCAAGCATAGTCAGCAGTCACTGAGCTTAAGGAATGTTAAGTTATAATCATTATTTCTGAACTTCAGTGCCCAATATGACCCTGTTGACACCTCCTTTGCCTCCTTGGGACATACTCTCTTCTGGTGGTCCTCATCCCTTTCCAGCTATCCTCTGTCTCTTGGTATTCTCCTAATCTACCAACTCCCATCAATGTTCCTGCTTGCCCAGGGTGCCTGTCTCAGTCCTCTTCTTTTCTCCCTAACCCCTGGGAAGATCTCATCAAATTCCCTGCCTCTCGTTTTCCTTATCGATTTGCTGAGGGCTTACTCACAAGTTTCTCCAGCTGAGACCCTTTACTGATCAGAGTAATAACAACTGGTGGATGTGTTCTCCTAGGTAGAGAACAGGAATCTCAATTTTTAATGTTGGGAGGGACTTTATGCATCTTTTTGCTTTCAAAAGCAATTTCTGGCTGGGCGTGGTGGCTGATGCCTGTAATCCCAGCACTTTGGGAGGCCGAGGTGGGTGAATAACTTGAAGTCAGGAGTTCGAGACCAGCCCAGCCAACACGGTGAAACCCCGTCTCTACTAAAAATACAAAAAATTAGCTGGGTGTGGTGGCAGGCGCCTATGATCCCAGCTACTTGGGAGGCTGAGGCAGGAGAATCGCTTGAACCCGAGAGGCGGAGGTTGCAGTGAGCAGAGATCTCGCCACTGCACTCCAGCCTGGGCAACCGAGAGAGACTCTCTCAAAAAAACAAAAACAAAAATAAAAGCAATTTCTTCTCTCTGCATTCTCCATGTTACTGAAACCTAACATCAACCCCATAGCTCCTCAGGCCAGAAGCTCCTTTATTGCATGCATTCTCCAAATGCCTAAATCACCAATTTTTTCTTTCTTTCTTTCTTTCTTTCTTTCTTTCTTTCTTTCTTTCTTTCTTTCTTTCTTTCTTTCTTCTTTCTTTTTTTTTTTTTTTTTTTTGATACGGAGTCTTGCTCTGTTGCCTAGGCTGGAGTGCAGTGGTGCGATCTCAGCTCACTGCAAGCACCGCCTCCCGGGTTCACGCCATTCTCCTGCCTCAGCCTCCTGAGTAGCTGGGACTACAGGCACCCGCCACCACGTCCGGCTAATTTTTTGTATATGTAGTAGAGACGGGGTTTCACCGTGTTAGCCAGGATGGTCTCGATCTCCTGACCTCGTGATCTACCCGCGTTGGCTTCCCAAAGTGCTGGGATTACAGGTGTCAGCCACCACGCCCGGTCAATTTTTGTATTTTTAGCAGAGAGGAGGTTTCACTGTGTTGGCCAGGCTGGTCTCGAACTCCTGACTTCATGTGATCGGCCCACCTTGGCCTCACAAAGTGCTGAGATTACAGGCATGAGCCATCACGCCCCGCCCTAAAACACCAAATCTTATTAAATCTATATTCTACAACTCTGTCACATCCATCACTTCATCTCTGCCCACTCCTAGCACTGACTTAGCTGAGGACATCATCAATTCTGATCAAAGGACCCTAAGTCTAAGTAACAATACCACTTTCATGGTAGGCTTTCCCCGGAACCAGCTGGACATAATGAGAATTTTCAAGAGAATGTGAATTGCTCTTTACTTGATTTTCTTTTTTTTTGAGATGGAGTATCGCTTTTGTCGCCCAGGCTGGAGTGCAATGGTGCGATGTCAGCTCACTGCAACCTCCACCTCCCGGGTTCAAGCGATTCTCCTGTCAGCTTAGCCTCCTGGGTAGGTGGGATTACAGGCGCCCGCCACCAAGCCCGGCTAATTTTTTTTTTTTTTTTTTTGTATTTTTAGTAGAGATGGGGTTTCACCATGTTGGTCAGGCTGGTCTGGAACTCCTGACCTCAGGTGATCCGTCCGCCTCGGCCTCCCAAAGTGCCGGGATTTCAGGCACGAGCCACCGTTCCCGGCGATTTTCTTTTCTTTAAGACTAATCTGAAAGTGCGGAACTCTGTGTACCTGAAATGATTACATTTTGATATTGACATGAAAAAATTGGGTACTACTTTGCCCCAGTTTCTCAACCCAACAAAGACATTCCAAAAGTTTCCTATGGGGCCTAGGAAGGTTGGCCTTCACAGGATAGTGGCAGGAGTGTTAACTTTGTCCTATTACCAAAAGGTGTCAAAGCTGTTACTAAATTGTCTGTGTCAGTATCGGAAACCCCGACAGCACTGGAGAATTCCTCATGGTCCTTCCAGACCATGGTCACAGTGAGAAGCAGATTCTGTTGCCCTGGCCCTGTGGGGAAATCCCCAAGATGGCTGCTGATAGTTAAGGAAACAGTGTCCTGCCATGGCCTGACCCTAGGCTGGGTGAGAGAGAGTGGGTCAGACAGGCTGCACTTCCTCAGTGAGTGTGCATACACCTGTTCGCACTGCCTATCGTTTCCTCACCCAGTGTGAGAGCAGGGGGCTCAGTTGGGCTGAGTGGAGAATTCATGGGACCTTTCCATGGTCAAGGCCCAGAGCTTCTATTGTGTAGCATCCCTGGAACAGAGAACAGGAGGCAGTCACAAGGCCCCAGCTTCAACCTTTGACAGTACACCAGAAAAGACCAAGTAGTGAGGCCTCCACTGTCTCACACCAGCCAAGAAAGACCAGGTCTTAGACTATCCAGTGTTCCTGCCTCTCTTTCACGGTGCTGTATCTGGGGAATGAATACTCCATTGTCATAGGAGGGGCAGATGCGGGCGGAAGACTCAGAAGGGTCAAGGTAGGACATAGACATTCCCACTAAGCTAGAGACCCCTGAACTGCCATAGCCATGACATGCACACGTTGTCCTCAAATCCCAGGGCCATGGGCAGGTCTTGGATATCTTTGGAATTTTAAGTTGGTTGGCATCTGTCTAGTTTTAAACCTGATTTAGGTTCAGTTCAACCAGGGAGTATGATTCTTTGGGGAGAGGGCCCTGACCTAGAAATCTACATGCTCAGCGGTCTGCTCAGCCACTAATGGCTCTGACACACTGGAAAGGCACTCACCCTCTGGGAGTTTCAGACTGTATCTTTGAAAACAAAATTCAGTGGATGGGGTGCAAAGGTATTGTCCTCAACAGCTCTAAGTTACTACTTCTAACTCACAGAGCACATATCACAAAGGATCCCACTATCCATTGTCGGTCTGAGCAGGGAATGAGACTTTGGCAGACCATGAATCCTGTATTAATTTCTAGGGGGACTATAACAAAATACCACAGACTTGGGGGTTTAAACTGAGATTGCACCACTGCACTCCAGCCTGGGTGACAGAGTAAGACCCTGAGTCAAACAAAAAAAAAAAAAGTGTATACATGGGAGCACTCTGTGATGAGTAACTCAAAGGAGTGGTTAGAATTTGGGATCTACCTAGCAGCAGGGGAAAAGGAGGAGGAGTAAAGGACATATGGAAAACCAAATGACTTTTGAAAAGATAAATGGGCCCTTAGAATAGATGGAAGATTCGAGTCTTGTGACAATGTCTATTTGGGTGTGGTGACCACTTCTCATCTCCGAGGTTAGATTTGCTTCTAGTGCTGAAGAAGATTTATGACAACTGAGTTAAAAATTTGAGATTTGCGAGGAGGATCTGCTATTAAACAGGTAAGGGATTTTAGCTGTTTGTTTCAGCTGAAAATAATTCTTAAGTCGAAACTGGCACATTTGGAGGTAGCATGTCCTGATCCCCTTAAAAAGGGAACTGCACAGACACCGTATCTCTGATTCTGCCCAGGGTCCTGTGCCCTCTGACACCAGAAATCACCACTTCTCTCAGCCTTGTTTTGCGGTTGTTTTATCATGTTGCAATTTGGTTATGTCTTTTCTAATAGTGTTTAAAAGCAATCAAAGGCAGGAACTTTTCCTTTTATAAACTATTGTTGAGCTTATATTGGACACTGAACTAAGTGTCAGTTTACAAAAATGAATAAACAAAAATCACTGCCAGTAGGGAACACACAGCCAAGATGGGGGAGTAGTAAGATGTAAAGAGATGTAAAATAATGTGATAGATTCGGCCAGAGTTACTAAAGAGTCAGAAAAGGGCAAGCATGTTTCTTCCCTGTCCTGAAGCAGCCAAGGGAGAGGAAGATATCTGTTGCCAATGCTGGGGTGTTGGTTTAGGCATGTAGATGCTGTGATGCGCAGTGGAACCGTTCAATGAGCAGACAGGAGAACCAGCTTTATGCGGGGAGGGAGAGAATTGCTCCCCTCATCCCCCGTGAGTCACACCCTGGAGATTATAAGTTTAAACATTTTGATTTCGGGAGATTTTGAGTTTTGGGCTTAAAATGACTGAAGAACCACCAGGTGGATCTACGTGTCTCGAGTCCAGAAGTCTGAATACAGATTTACGATTTATGAGCACACAGAAGGTGGATCCAAGGGAGAGATTAAACAGGGCACAGAAGAGTTTTTAAAAATAATATTTTTCGGGAAAAAAACCCCAACAAAACACGATTCTTTCAGCAGAAACCAGAAGATTTTCTCATAGACTCTCCTACAGAGAGCCCTGATAAAGTAATAAACATGCTAACAGTAAGAACCCCAACCAATTTCATAGGGCAGTTTGCGGTAACTACTCCCAGTATGGAGCAGACAGTCCTCTTGCAAAACCCGATTTAGCAAACTTTGCTAGCTCCATGTGGGGCCTCCAAAGGACACAGCTGGGCACTAAATCCTGGCTGAAAACAAAGGCCGATTTAGAGGATCCGTAGAAACGGATGCACAGAATATCCCTCAGTCTTCTCTATGTAGCAGGCCCTCCATATACGCGGGTTCCCCAAGACCGAAAATATTAAACAAATGAATTTCTTTTTTAAAAAAAAGTACAACAAAAGATAGTAAAAATAAAAACAGTATAACAATTACTTACATAGCATTTACACTGGATTAGGTGTTACGAAGTAATTTAGAGACTATTTAAAGTACACGGGAGGATGTGCATAGTTATGTGCAAATACTACGCCACTTTCTATGAGAGACTTGAGCAACCTGGATTTTGGTATCGGCGGGGGCCCTGGACCAATCCCCTCTCAGTTCTACCGAGGGAGAACTGTTTTGTTTCTTCCAGCACGGCTTTGACCGACAGTGTGTTGGGATTCGCTGACGTCCATGAGAAAGCTTGGCAGCATGCTGAGACCAATTTTCCCAGGGCCAGAATTCTCCTGTGTGAGCTAAAATACAGTGGCTCGGTCCAACAAAACAGAGCCTGGAGCCAGGAATTATGGCGAACCTGCTCCCTCCCGTCCTCCCTTGGCGCACAGATCCCTGGCGCCGCCGCTCTTGAGGTCGCCTCTCGCGTGTCGACCTCATCGTCGGAACGGCGCTTCCTGAAGCTTTATATAAGCACGGCTCTGAATCCGCTCGTCGGGATTAAATCCTGCGCTGGCGCGCTCCTGCCAGTCTCTGGCCTCCATTTGCTCTTCCTGAGGCTCCCTCCAGAGACCTTTCCCTTAGCCTCAGTGCAATGCCTTCCGGGCGTCCTCAGACCAGACACAGGCCAAAGCCACTACAGAATCCGGAAGCCCCGGTTGGGATCTGAATTCTCCCGGGGACTGTGGCGTAGCGGTTAAAAAAAAAAAAGAGTGAGAGGGACCTGAGCAGAGTGGAGGAGGAGGGAGAGGAAAACAGAAAAGAAATGACGAAATGTCGAGAGGGCGGGGACAATTGAGAACGCTTCCCGCCGGCGCGCTTTCGGTTTTCAATCTGGTCCGATACTCTTGTATATCAGGGGAAGACGGTGCTCGCCTTGACAGAAGCTGTCTATCGGGCTCCAGCGGTCATGTCCGGCAGAGGAAAGGGCGGAAAAGGCTTAGGCAAAGGGGGCGCTAAGCGCCACCGCAAGGTCTTGAGAGACAACATTCAGGGCATCACCAAGCCTGCCATTCGGCGTCTAGCTCGGCGTGGCGGCGTTAAGCGGATCTCTGGCCTCATTTACGAGGAGACCCGCGGTGTGCTGAAGGTGTTCCTGGAGAATGTGATTCGGGACGCAGTCACCTACACCGAGCACGCCAAGCGCAAGACCGTCACAGCCATGGATGTGGTGTACGCGCTCAAGCGCCAGGGGCGCACCCTGTACGGCTTCGGAGGCTAGGCCGCCGCTCCAGCTTTGCACGTTTCGATCCCAAAGGCCCTTTTTAGGGCCGACCACTTGCTCATCTGAGGAGTTGGACACTTGACTGCGTAAAGTGCAACAGTAACGATGTTGGAAGGTAACTTTGGCAGTGGGGCGACAATCGGATCTGAAGTTAACGGAAAGCTACCGCGGCCCATAGCGCTCACAGCCGTAAAGACTTAAGTCGTTGACCGAAAGCGGCTTTTTCACTTACCTGGGCTTTTTTTTTTTTTTTTTTTTTTTTTAAAGCCTTTATCGGTATGAAAGGTTGAATGCTCTAGGTTTGAGCACTGCTTTCTCGGCTTGCTCTTCTGGTGCAGTATAGGCACACCTAGAGGGCCACGTCAGTCTTTGCGATCACCAAATCTGGTTCTGAGAAATAGGCACTGGCAATTTACACATGCCTTGCTGTGTAATCTCACTATATTTGCTCAGGCAAAGTGGGAGAAGCAGCCTTAGGTTTTCATTCTAGAGATGCCGGCTTTCCCACCTGATCGGCTTAGAGTTCACGATTGACTGTTTTGGGCTTCATTTCACCCTCTACATAACAAGCGGGTGGACTAGATGCCTTAGCAAGGGTCCGTGTTGTGTGGTGTCTCCAGCCACGCACTCAGCTCAATCTTAGCACAGTTAAAAAATGCCTTTCTAGCAAGTTATCTGCCCAGTGCCTGAAAAGTATCATTTCTTGTGTTCAATAAAAAGCCTCCTAATTTAATCAAGGACCTATGAGATAACTGTCTTTTAGTTGTGGCATTGCAAGGATACAAATGCAGAGATATTTTAAAGTGATCCTTCTGTAAGAGTGAACCAACGATATGATCTGAAAGCAACTTCACAGGTAATTCAGGTATGTGACTTCTACCTCTTAGGGCCTGTTGTAGCTTAGAATGAGAGACCTGCAGAAACATGCCCACCATCAATACAGAAAGCACAATTTAATTTTGACAAGGCCAAAAGCCAATTCTGTATCAGCATGGCGTATATTACAGCAAGCTATTCTTTACGCTACCACCTCTAAATTGCCCTAATTTGGATTAAAATGTGGGTTCACATTTCTAATCCTTATAGTTTTGCAGCCATTGCATTGCCCGTAAGATTTTTTTTTTCTTCATTCCAGGCTTATGATTTTACTGTGTATGTATTTGGGAGAAGAAATTCTGTCAGCTCCCAAAGGATAAACCAGCAGTTGCTTTATTGGTCTTCAGATGTGGCTGCAAACACTTGAGACTGAACTAAGCTTAAAACACGGTACTTAGCAATCGGGTTGCCAGCAAAGCACTGGATGCAAGCCTTGCCTTCCAGAAGCTTACCAGTCGGGTTGCCAGCAAAGCAGTGGATGCAAGACTTGCCCTCCAGGAGCTTACCATCACAACGAAGAAGACAAATAAATGCATAATATATAGACGACATAAATCCATACTGTACACATTTAAGAATAAACAGTCCAGTAGTAAGAGGCAGTACATATTCAATCTGCTGAGAAATGTAGACAATAACTACTATAAGAATCCTAATGCTACAGAAGTCACTGGCTGCTGGGAAACCGGGGAAAACTTGGCTATGGACGTGGGGGCTTGTGTCGGACTCTGAATAAAGAGCAGAATGATTGGCGTCCTACTGAGATACATAGTAAAGGGGGCGAGGGCAGGGAGGAAGTGGCAAGAATAACATTTGTGAAGATGTCCAGGTGAGAAATAGAGGTTTTAATGCTCAAGATGTTTCCTTTTCCCTTTTAAATCTGACCTGTGATTTCCAGCATTGCTATTTCGAATATCACTGATTGTTTTTAACTTTAAAGGCAATGCTGATGAATATATCTGATCCGCACCAAGATCCACTAAAGAAGGAGATCAAAAATTTGAAGATAAAGCAGAAAGGGAGTGGGGGAGAAAACACGTCCATTGTCTGAATTAGTGGTTCTCAAAGTGTAGCCTCTCATCTAGCAGCACTGATCACCTCGGATAAAATCTTGGGACCCATGCCAGACCTACTGAATGAGAAACTGAGGGGTGAGACATAGTAATCGGTGCTTTAAAAAAGCCCTCCCGATACACATTAAAGGTTGAAAGCCACTGATGCAGGTAACAGCTTTTCTTTTTTTCTTTTCTTCTTTCTTTCCCTCCCTCCCTCCCTCCCTCCCTCCCTCCCTTCCTTCCTTCCTTTCTTCCTTCCCTTCCTTCCCTTCCTTCCTCTTTCTTTTTTTGAGATGGAGTCTCGATCTGTCACACAGGCTGGAATGCAGTGGCACGATCTTGGCTCACCGCAATCCCCGCCTCCCGGGTTCAAGTGATTCTCCTGCCTCAGCCTCCCAGGTAGCTGGGACTACAGGTGCCCACCACCATGCCGGGCTAATTTTTGTATTTTTAGTAGAGATGGAGGTTTTGCCATGTTGGCCAGGCTGATCTCGAACTCCTGGCTTTAGGTGATCCACCCTCCTCGGCCTCCCAAAATGCTGGGATTACAGGCGTGAGCCACCGCGCCTGGCCTCTTTTTCTTTGGCATGAGCCACGGTGCCCGGCCAATTACTGAGAATTCCTGCCTTTTTCACAGGATTATTTTAAGGATCAAATGAAAAGTTCTGTGTGAAAGAAGAATGAGGCCATGAAGTGATACAGAAACCAAAGGTGATATATTTATTGCCTTTCCCACTCAATGTAGTTCGTTTTTTGTTTTGTTTTGTTTTGTTTTTTTGAGAGATGGTTTCACTCGACTTACTGTGACCAGGCGTTGCTTGGGTACTGCTGCTACTATGGAAATAAACAAAGACAAATCCTTACCCTGAGAAATGTTGCCAGCCTAATGCTGAGGTTAAGGAAGGGAAGGGGTATTAAGATAGGAGAGGGCAGAGGCAAGGAGGAGGGCCCAAAGAGATGAGGGCAAAGAAGAGCAAGGGAGCCGGGCACTGTGGTTCATGCCTATAATCCCAGCACTTTCGGAGGCCAAAGCAGACAGATCATGAGGTCAAGAGATCGAGACCATCCTGGCCAACATGGTGAAACCCCGTCTCTACTAAAAATATAAAACTTAGCTGGGCGTGGTGACACACACCTGTAGTCCCAGCTACTCCGGAGGCTGAGGCAGGAGAATCGCATGAACCCGGGAGACGGTGGTTGGAGTGAGCCGAGATCGCGCCACTGCACTCCAGCCTGGGTGACAGAGCAAGACTCCATCTCAAAAAAAAAAAAAAAAAGAAAAAAGAAAAGAAAAAAAAGAAAGAAAAAGAAAAAACAAAAAACCAGAAGAGCAAGGGAAGGCTCACAGGGCTGAATCTTGAAGAATGGGGGTTCTCAGGGTTACAGAGAAGGGGAGGACATTCTGGACAGAAATGGAATGTGTGAAGATATTGTGTACTTGGAGATTGCAGATGTCGTGTGGGGCTAAACATTCTTGTTCAGCTGCAAGAACATCTGAAACCTGGGAAGGCTGTGGGAAACATAAAGAACTAGATGTATAATATTTTCAGTTTTTTTTTAAATTAGTAACTATTAATAGAGTAGCACAAATTAATTGGGTGCTTGTTCTGGACCAGATACTGTGCTACTACTGTGCTAGGTCCTTTGTTTTTTTAGACATGGGGTCTCACTGCTGTTGCCGAGGCTGAAGTGCAGTGGCACAGTCACAGCTCACCACAGCCTCGAACTTCTGGCCTCAAGCAATCCTCTTGCCTCAGCCTCCTGAGTCGCTGGGATTACAGGCATGAGCACCGCAATTTACAGAAATTGTCACTTTCATGATTTCCAACAAAACAACGAGCAAGTTACTCGTTGTTTTACAAATGGGAAAAGTTAAACCTGTTGAGATTTGCTTCCTGAAGTCATGCACCTGTTTACATGGACAAGGCTAGGAATCAAACTTGGGTTTGTCTAACTCCAGAGTCCTTCCTAGTAATTAACCTCCGGTGCTCTGAACTGCCATGCAAAAGAATGTGAACTTCATTCTGAAGGGAATGGGAAGGTCGTGGAAAATTTTTAAGCATGAAAGTGACAGGCTCAAAACAGCAACACCAACCAACCAACCAACCAACAAAAAACCCTCAGTTTTTAAAAGATAGCTCTTGGCCGGGCGCGGTGGCTCACGCCTGTAATCCCAACGCTTTGGGAGGCCGAGGCGGGCGGATCACAAAATACAAAAAATACAAAACTACAAAAAATTAGCCGGACGTGGTGGTGGGCGCCTATAGTCCCAGCTATTCCGGAGGCTGAGGCAGGAGAATCGCATGGACCCGGTAGGCCAAGGTTGCAGTGAGCCGAGCTCGTGCCACTGCACTCCAGCCTGGGCGACAGAGCGAGACTCCGTCTCATAAAAAAAAAAAAAAAAAAAAAGATAGCTGTCATACGGAGTGGAAGCTCAATGGCAGGGCAGAAAGACCAGCCTGACTATGTAATCTACTAGACCAGAGCTGGCGAGGACTTCAGTTAAGGCATGGTCATGGGTGGACGGAGAAAAGGTGATACAATTGAAAGTCAGAAGACAGATTTAGTAATATTTGGAACTCATGAGATTTGGACAGAGGACAAGAGGAAGGGACACCCAACCAGAACAGATGGGGCTAATGAAGGTGTCTTCCAGGAAGATGGGGAATGTGGAAAGAAACAAATGGGCTTGGAAAGCAAGATGAGGCATGTGGTTTTGGAAATAAGCTGGGTTTGAAGTGCCTAGTATCCATCCAGAAGGACCTGTCTACCAGGCAGTTAGAAACATTGGTGTAGCCAGGCACAGTGGCTCACGTCTATAATCCCAGCACTTTGGGAGGCCAAGGTGGGAGGAGGGCTTGAGCCCAGGACTTCAAGACCAGCCTGGGCGATGAAGTGAGACCCTGACTCTACAAAAAATAAAAAAAATTAGCTGGGCCTGGTGGTGTGTGCCCGTAGTCCCAGCTACTCAGATGGCTGAGGTGGGAGGACCCCTGAACCCAGGAGTCCAAGGTTGCAGTGAGCTTTGATTGTGCTACTGCACTCCAGCCTGGACGAGTGAGACCCTGTTTCTCTTTCTCTCTCTATCTCCCTCTCTCTCTCTCTCTCTCTCTCTCTCACACACACACACACACACACACACACACACACAAAATGTGTAGAGCTCAGGATAGGGTCTCAGCAGAAGATAGCAATTTGGGAGCGCTTAGCTAAGGGACAGAAATAGTGAAAGCAGGCAATCAATCTCACTTGAGTTGCAGGGAGAAAAGAAGATGGCCAAGGCCAGCATGGGGGAAACCAGGAATATTGATGGGGAAGAGAAAGACATGAGAAGACTGAGATGGGGACCTAGAGAAGGATAAGGGTGACCAGGAGAGTGGACCCAGGGGACAAGTCCTCTTCTAAGGAAGAAAAATCAGTGTAAACGTGGCCATGTCTCTTACCACGTAGTTTCCCTCTAAACACACACACACACACACACACACACACACACACACACACCTGTCCCCCACTAGCCTAAGGCAGAATTAAATGTGAACAAAGCACGTTTTTCACTTCATAAAAGCCACAGATTCAGAGTGGACTTACTGGCAACCAAGGTAGCCACGTAGAAGCTGGTTATTAGAGGAAGAGGTGGGTTTTCTTCGAGACAGGGTCTCACTCCCTGTCACCCACACTGGAGTGCAGTGGCACAATCTCAGCTCACAGCAGCCTCCGCCTCCCGGACTTAAGCGATTCTCCCACCTCAGCCTCCCGAGTAGCTGGGACCACAGGCAAATGGCACCACCCCCGGCTAATTTTTTCATTTTTCTTTCTGTCTTTTTTTTTTTTTTTGGTAGAGACACAGGGTCTCGCTATGTTTCCCAAGCTGGTCTGGAACTTTGACTTCAAGCAATCCGCCCGACTTGGCCTCCCAAAGTGCTGGGATTAACAGCTGTGAGCCACAATGCCTAGTCAGAGGAAGAGTATTTCTTTACCCTATCCTTAATTATCCTTTAACTCTCACCTGAGGGTAGACAATGATTTAAGTACAGGGAATGATTAAATGTTAAAACTTAACATTTTAGAATGTTATCTTGTATTGATGAATTCAGCTTATGCTGGTCTCGCAAACAAATACGAAGACTGACAGATTCCTGTGAGTGCAGGCCTTCACAGTGCCAGGACCACAAGATGTAATGAATTCTATTCCTGACTGGATATAAAAAATGCCACGAAATTTTCCTTTTGAGATTCAGCCAGGGAGACCTCCTGGAGTTTAGAGGTACCCAGACTGGTGAGTAAAAGGAGTGTGACCTTGTGGGGGCAGTCAGAGGACCTAGATGTCTGACACCAACATCCCCAGGTTCCAGTCTCTGCTCAGTTACTACTGGGCCTGAGAAGCTGGGTGCAGAGATAGTGACCCACCCACCTCTGAAAGTCACTACTTTTTGAAGTCAGAATACCGCCCATACATTGTGGGCCTAAGCAGGTTACGAGGGTCTCGGCAGAGACCCAGAGGCATGCTCTAGAAATTGCTGTGACCCTGGAGCAGAAACATGTGGCAGTCCCCAGCAGAGCTCACCTACGCTGCTCTCCTCGCTTAACACGCCTCAGGAAAGGCAAAATGGCAGCTTTACAAAACGAAGTTTTATTCCATTTCCCCTTCTCCCCTCTTAATTCTCATAGATCGCTGCAGTGAATGCTTTTAACCTGTCAACTGTGATGAAACAAACAGAAAACCGAAGCCCTGGCTTCTTCTGAGGTGCAAATAAATGACCGAGAAGGTGTTATCTAAGACCTCTACAGCCATTTGTATCTGGCCGTGTGTAGAGTGGGCTCTGCAAGACCCTGCCTCACTTTCCCACTAAGAGGCCTTGGACTTCCCAGCTCCCAGAGACTGTAGAGATCACCTCTGTGGCCTCCTGTCACGATTTCCTAAGGCGAAGAGCTTCATTTGCCCAACGGAGGCCCACGTTCTTCCTGTCTGATCTACTGTCTTCCCAAGGATCTGAACTCGGGCACCAGCGTCTGCCCACATGTCCGACGAAAACAACGTAAAGGAACTACTGAGTCTGGACAGAAAATCCAGACATACCATGCAGCTTCTAAGAGGACCGAGTGCCTTCACTGGAATAGTGAATCTCCTTCTGTGGACATGGACAGGGAACGGCTCGATAAAGCCCAGATTCACAAAATTCCGCCCACACCCCGTGCCCCCGGGAATTTTGGCTTAGGGGCAGGATATGGGGGTTACCACTGTGCTAGTGGAGGTGGCGCGGGGACTGAACGGCAGCCCCAGCGCAGTTCTCCCCACGTTTGTCCGCAGAACCCCGGCGAGGCCGAGGTGGTCATTTCCCTCCCTAGCCGGATGGCCGCGCCGGGTGAGGCCGGTTTGGGCGCGAAGCACGGGCGTGTGGCGCTCCACTTCCGCAAAGGCCAGCCGCGCTCAGGACCGCGAGCCCTGAGCGTCCCCCTAGTGACCCCTGGCCTCGTGCCCGACGCCCCGTCTCTCCTGCCCCGGCCCCCCCGCCACGCAGGGCCCCGGTCACGCGCGGGGGGAGCCGGACCGCCAAAGCCCGCGAGCCGGCGCCCAGGAAAGCGTCCGCAGCCCGGCCAGTGCGGATAGGCCAATTGGCCGAAGTCGGCAAAGCTCAAGACGGCACCGCAGCAGGGGGACCCGACCCCGTTTTGTTGGGAGCCTAAGCGGAAGTGCCTTCCCCGCTCTAATGCCGGAGGAGCACGGAGGGCAAGCGGTACAGCTTCTTCCAAGTGCTGATGTGGGTGGCTCTGAAAAGAGCCTTTTGGATACGATGGAACCTCCGGCCGAACCGCCACTTCTTAAGCCCGCTCTCCACGGATGCGGCGGGCCAGCTGGATGTCCTTGGGCATAATGGTCACGCGCTTGGCGTGGATGGCGCACAGGTTCGTGTCTTCGAACAGCCCCACCAGGTAGGCCTCGCTGGCCTCCTGCAGCGCCATCACGGCCGAGCTCTGGAAGCGCAGGTCCGTCTTAAAGTCCTGCGCGATCTCGCGTACCAGCCGCTGGAAGGGCAGCTTGCGGATCAGCA
Source organism: Homo sapiens (assembly GCF_000001405.40). NCBI lineage: Eukaryota > Metazoa > Chordata > Mammalia > Primates > Hominidae > Homo > Homo sapiens. The sequence goes on along the minus strand of NC_000001.11, from coordinate 149,852,835 downwards.
GCTCCGTGGACTTCTGGTAGCGCCGGATCTCCCGCAGGGCTACGGTGCCGGGCCGGTAGCGGTGCGGCTTCTTCACCCCGCCCGTGGCCGGCGCGCTCTTGCGGGCCGCCTTGGTGGCCAGCTGCTTCCTCGGGGCCTTGCCGCCGGTCGACTTGCGAGCAGTCTGCTTAGTACGGGCCATAGCGAACCAAAACACAGGCTTACCAGCGCAGCGGCGGGGAGAAAAACGAGCTCCTAGCCCCGCCGCAGCCGTCTTTATAAGCACAGTCTTTTCCCGATTGGGCGGAACAATAATTGAAAATCCCGCGCTGGCTGTCCATTGGCTGTGACGTCACCCGTCCTAAAGTCACCGGTTGGCTTGGGCAGATTCCTCCCTAATCCCGCCCACCCCGCCTCACTTTCTACTTACCAGTTGGCGAAGTTTCGCAAGCTTGTTTTTCCCCTTTCCTTCAGGGTGAAAGTCATTTTCCATTGCAGCTTTGTCAGATTGTTCCCTTTCCGCCCTTCGCTTCCTTAGAACACACTGCCCGCAATACCCCCCCTTTCTTGCTGCGCCCTACAGCTCCCGCGTGGAACCTCATTCTTCCATTTGCCCCCCGCCCCCAGTTGCTACTTGGCGGATCGTTTTTCGCCTGTCGGGTGCCTTTTGGGTGGGAGAGGTGCCCGCCCCCAGGACGCAAGATTCCGCCTCCGAGGCCCTTACTCTCCGCCGCCAGGGCGCTTTGGAAAACAAAACAGAAACTAAGACTTAAGTCAGCTCAGTGAAGCCAAGACCCAGCTCCGCCACACTAGCGAGCACTACCCGCTCAGGGCCCTCCCCATCGGGGGTGGGGACGAGGAGCACGTCCCGCTGGTGCCAGACTAGGTCTAAGTGTCCGGCCATAGCCTGCGGAAACCACTAGGGAAGCGCGCGCTCCGCGCGCAACACTTCAGCGCGTTGGGTACTGCCCGCGGCGCTGGTGTTTGTGACTGTGTGGAGCGGACCGTGGCGGCGCCCAGGACGTTTGGTGCCTGCACCTGCCCTGGGAAGTCCTAGGACTGGGGACCCACTCATCGAAGAGCCAAGGCAGTTACGTGCTCCAGATGGAAGACGGCGCGCACACACACACACCCCGCCCCGCCCCGCCCCGTCCCGTCCCGTCCCGTCCCGTCCCGTCCCGTCAGCTCCAGGTTCGCTATTCACTACTGAGGAACGCTGGACTGAGAGTGGCCAGCATTAACAACTCTTTTATTTGAAAACGTGGGTGGCTCTGAAAAGAGCCTTTTGAGTTCACAGGTGCCCCTTCGAGACGCGGGCCGGGCTGGGCCCACTTGGGCCGGACGTCAGCCTCACTTGCCCTTTGCCTTGTGGTGACTCTCCGTCTTCTTAGGGAGCAGTACGGCCTGGATGTTAGGCAAGACGCCGCCCTGGGCGATGGTGACTTTGCCCAGCAGCTTGTTCAGTTCCTCGTCGTTGCGGATGGCCAGCTGGAGGTGACGAGGGATGATGCGCGTCTTCTTGTTGTCCCGAGCCGCGTTGCCCGCCAGCTCCAGGATCTCGGCGGTCAGATACTCGAGGACCGCAGCCATGTAGACGGGCGCGCCGGCCCCCACTCGCTCCGCGTAGTTGCCTTTGCGCAGCAAGCGATGCACTCGCCCTACCGGGAACTGAAGGCCAGCGCGGGACGAGCGCGACTTGGCCTTGGCGCGGGCCTTGCCTCCTTGCTTGCCACGACCAGACATGACAGCGATAGTAGTCACCGAGAGAAACTCCTGCCTGGCGATCGGGAAAGTCGCCGAAAACGCCGCTGCTTCACCTTTTTATAGACAGAACGGCGATTGTCCACGGAGCACTTTGATTGGCTCAAGCAAATTTTGTCCCGATAGCCAATAGGATAGCTCAGCCAGAATCCACTCATTTACATAATCTCGTCTCCCTCGCATTGCGCGCCGCGGAAAACTCGCGAACCATAACGCAGCGTCATGCGCACAGCCTCTGTAAGTACACAGTCGTTTCCGGTAGACCCCGAGCCTACCGCTCTGCTTGCGTTCTCGGGGGTCGGTGTCGGTCTTGGGTCTGGCCATGCCTGAGCCTGCAAAGTTCGCGCCGGCTCCCAAGAAGGGCTCCAAGAAAGCCGTCACCAAAGCCCAGAAGAAAGACGGCAAGAAGCGCAAGCGCAGCCGCAAGGAGAGCTACTCCATCTACGTGTACAAGGTGCTGAAGCGGGTCCACCCCGACACCGGCATCTGGTGCAAGGCCATGGGCATCATGAACTCCTTCCTCAACGACATCTTCGAGCGCATCGCGGGAGAGGCGTCCCGCCTGGCGCACTACAACAAGCGCTCCACCATCACGTCCCGGAGATCCAGACGGCCGTGCGCCTGCTGCTGCCCGGCGAGCTGGCCAAGCACGCCGTGTCCGAGGGCACCAAGGCGGTCACCAAGTACGCCAGCTCCAAGTGAGTCCCTGCCGGGACCTGGCGCTCGCTCGCTCCCTCCCTCCCTCCCTCCGCGGGTCGCCGGCTGCTTTGTCTCCAAAGGCTCTTTTCAGGGCCATTTAACCACCTCAGTTAAAGAATCTTTCTTGTGTTGTCAGTCCCAGTTGATGTTTTTGGCTTCACGTCTGGTTAACTTTAGGAGAGCACACAACACCAAGCACAGATAACTATTTTCTTTTCACATAGGCATTGCTATAAGTAAGCTTACATAGATTGATAGTGGTATCTTACTATGGCATAGATAGGTTGGGGCTTGCCTTAGAGGGCTGCTCTTGAACTGTCTTTGGCCTGGTTACGTACCCGTGAATATGTGCCCAGGAGATTGTTTCCTGTTGAGAAACGCAGTGTTAATTTTGATAAGTTTATGTAAGATCAAATTGTGTATATGAACAAAGGTTGGGTCCGCTCTTCAGTGGTAAAATGAAGGTAGAGATTAAATGCATTGTATGCTCTCAGATGTGTACTTAAAAGGGAATAGCTCAACTTTTATATATGGTATCGAGAAACCTGAGGTTTTTATATCATTGGTTCACAAACACGTGCCTACACCACCACTCATGTGAAAATTCCTTAAGGAGGTAGATGGAAGTTCGATTTTGATAACCAGGAGTTAACACCGATAACCTTCTGCGCTTTCTAGTTGAGATACCCTAAAATCTACCCAATACCATTAAATGGTTTTTTTCCCCAAGAGTTATCACTCGGAAAAGCTTGTCCAGTTTAAGGGTTTGTTCCATACAATAGCAACAAAATATACGATTTCTGAAGCCAGAGTTTGGGATCCCTGAAGAGGAGAAGGACCACCAATTTGCAAGGGAGGTTGATTAGGTTTGTTTTCTGCTTTGGGAACACTGGACTTGGAATCACACAGCCTCATTAACCTCAAAATATTATACTGATTGCTCTGGGGATCGTAAATCCTAGGCTGGCCACAATAGAAGCGAGGAAAGCAATTAGGAGGCTGTTGCAGTGTTGTGGGCTGGAACAGTGATTAAGACTTAAAGTCTCTCCAGACCAGCAGCATCAGCATTACTTGAAGTTACTAAAAATGAAAATTCCCAGGTTCCATTATTTGTGTTAAGCTTTCTGGGTGATGGTGATATATGCTAAAGTGTGAAAAACAACGGATAAATGACATGCTGGAGTGCAATGGTGGTAATGGAAACAAATGTTGGATTTTATCTTTGAGGTAGAATTAATAGGTGTGGCTGAGGAACAGGATTTAGCTAACAGTGAAACCCCTAGATTTTTGGCTTGAGCAACTGTGTAGATAGTGGTACTATTAGGATAGAACACTGAGAGAAGATATTCGTTGGGACACTGAAGGGAGATCCAGAGTTCCGACTGAAATTTGAGAAGCTCTTTGCTATTCAAGTGGATATGTGCAGTTGACAGTTTGAGAGATGCATCTAGGGTTCAGTAAAGACAACACAAGCCTGTCTTTAGGGTCTACCTGTGAACTGTGAACACAGCAATGAGAATGATGGACATCACCTTTAAGTATTTTTCTAGACTTTATTACTCATGTGTTTGTCATGAGGTGTAACTTAGTAGTTCATAGTCCTATAATGTATGTTATTGACTAGGTAGCATTTATTTTTCTAATTGTTTCTGTTATAGTGCTGCCACATGTGTTTCCCAGAAACGCATTTTACCCACAGTTCTTAGGGTTGGCCTGATTAGTTTAATTGCTGTCTGAACCTGCTTCTTACTGTGATTAGTTCAGGAATCTAGATCAAACTCATTGGCATTTAACATTTCAGGAAGTGAACTGAGTAACAACTAACTCAGCAGGGGAGTGTAGTATGCTATTATCTTTTGGGAAAGCAGCTTATTTGCTTTCAAGAGGCAGCAGGAGGATGGACTGTCTTTAGGTATGAAGGCAAGAATGATTATAGACAATATGCAGAGGAGGACACAGTGTGGGAGAATCAGGGAACTGAGCCACTCATGGAGTTCAGCCAACCTTGGATCCCTGCTGCACCTTTGGACTTCCAGTTAAGCCAATTTGTCTGACATATTTACTTATACCAGTTTGAATCTTGAAATATTTCAGGAATAATAATTTCCTAGATAAAAGGAAAGACCTTTCATGAAAGGTCTCAAGTCAAATAGGGTCAATTAGGACAGAGTTGCTCCAATTACATATTTGGAACAGATGTCCAAATGTTAATACTTGACTAAGGCTAAAGACTAATATTACCATCACAGGAAAAATGTCCAGGGTTTTTTTTCAGATGTGAAATTTTATTTAAAAATTTTAAATAAACTAAATCAAAAAATTTTAGTAGTTGTACTAATTTCCTGGGGCTGTCAAAGTACCACAAACTGTATGGCGTAAAACAACACAAAGTTATTCTTTCATGGTTTTAGAGGCTAGAAGTTTGAAATCAACGTGTTGGTAGGGCCATGCTCTCTCCAAACCCACTAGGGGAAGACTCCTGTCTTTCAGTGTCTGGTAGCCCCACTTGTTCTTTGGTTTCTGGCAGCATAACTGTAATCTCTACCTCAGTTTTTTCATGTATGTCTCCATGTTTTTTTACTTTCTTTCTTGAGATGGAGTTTCACTCTTGTTGCCCAGGCTGGAGTGCAGTGGCATGATCTTGGCTTACTGCAACCTCTGTGCCCCGGGTTCAAGCAATTTTCCTGCCTCAGCCTCCCGAGTAGCTGGGATTACAGGCATGCGTCAGCACGCCCGGCTGATTTTGTATTTTTGGTAGAGATGGAGTTTCATCATGTTAGTCAGGCTGGCCTCGAACTGACCTCAGGTGATCCACCTGCCTTGGCCTCCCAAAGTGCTGGGATTACAGATGTGAGCCACTGCACCCGGCTGTCTCCATGTCTTCTTATAAGGGTATCAGTCATACTGGATTAGGGCCCACCCTAAAGACCTCATTTTAACTTGATTACCTCTGTAAAGACCCTGTTTCCAAAGAAGGCAAAATTCTAAGCAACTAGGGGTTAGACTTCAACATATCTTTCGGGGGGACACAACTCAACCCATAACAGTAGTCAATGGCTGTGGCAGGCTAAATGTGGCTCCCAAATATGTCCATATCCTAATCCCTACAGCCTGTGAATATTACCTTATATAGCCAAGAGGATTTTGCAGATGTGATTCTGAGATTGAGAGATTATGCCAGATTATCCAGGTAGGCCCCAAATGTAATCACCACAGTCCTTATAGGAGAGGCAAGAAAGTCAAGTGTAGAAGGAGGCGATAGAAGGAGAGAGGGATTTGAAGATTAATAGGCTGCTTGCTTTGAAGACAGAGGGAAGGGACCATAAACCAGAAATAAACCTCTAGAAGCTGGAAAAGGCATGGAAATAGACCCTCCCTTAAGGTCTCTGGAGGGAGTGCAGCCTTGATTTCTACCGAGTAAAATTGATTTTGTACTTCAGACCTCCAAAACTGTAAGAGAATGACTGTTGTTTTAAAACCATTGAGTTTGTAGTAATTTGTTGCAGCAGCCACAAGAAACTAATACAACATCTATATAGAATTTTTTCAATAATTGGAGAAATTTGAATATGGATTGCATATTAATATTACTGAATCAGCATTAAATTTGTTAGGTGTAATAATGTGATTGTAGCTATTTAGGAGAATATCCTATTTTTAAGAGACATGCCACCATATTTAGGGAGAAGTGCCAACATATTTGCAGTTTATTTTCAAATGGTTCAGAGGCTGTCTGTGTACATGAGAAGACAAAGATAAGGCAAATGCAGCAAAATTGTAATAATTGGTGAATCCAGGTGAAGGGACTATGGCTGGTCTTTGTACTTTTTTTTCCAACTTTTCTGTAGGTTTAAAATTTTCAAAATAAAAAAATGGGAAATACTTTAAAAATTGTAATCAAAGACATTAGTACAGAAACTTTCATAATGTATTTTATTTTTACAGTAAAATTAATTTATGTAAATTGATAGAATTTTACTAATTTCACTCCCAAGTTACATTAAAAGGCTTACATATGTTTGATAATAGCATATGTAAACTAGAACTCTGAATGATATCCATTGGTCATAATACGTACTATGTAGCGGTAATGGTGACTTTTGTGATTGCACAAGTCTAGAGATGCCCCAAATGACATTGACTTAGACATCTGGTTATTCTAAGGCTGAAACTGAAGTTGAATAGAAGGTTTTAGTCAAATACTGAGATGAAAACTGAGGCAGTCCTGGCGGGGGGGAGTGAGTGTGTGTGTATATATACACACATAGACATCATGCTTCTAAACATTTACAGAAAGAAAGGGTAGATTATCTACAAAAAAATAAGAATCAGACTGATATGAGATCTTACAAACCTAACCCCCTTCTCTTTCCTAAACTCCAGATTCTCATATTTCTGACTTCCTATTTGATATTTACACTTCGATATTTACCAGGAGTCTTCAACATTTTGTTCAAAACAGTACTCTTGGTTTTCTTCCTCCAAGACTACTCCTTACTCATATCAGCAAATAGCAGCTCTTTTCAAGTGCTCAGTGTAAAAACCTACAATTAATCCTTGATTTCTCTTTCAGTCAGCCTATACTAAATCAATTTCATTTAAAATATCTCGGCTACTACTCTGCATCTCCACTGCTACCATCGGCCTCTCCAGTCACATTCTCCAAGAGCACTCTATCTCATTTAAAAGACAAAATCTCTGCAGTGGCCTGTGATGCTCCTTAATGGCCTACATAATCCAGCCCTCAAGCACCTCCGTGATCTCTGTAAAACTTTCCCTTGGTCACTGTGCTTCAGCCACATTAACCAGCTTGCATATTTCTCACATTCACCAAGCTTGTTCCTGCCTTGGGGCCTTTGTACTTACCATGTTCTGTTCTGAGAATACTCTGCCTCAAGATATCCTACAACTATCTTACTGTATTCAGCTCTCTGCTCAAGTATTAACTGATGAAACCTGTCATCCCTACTCCACTCCATGTTCTGCTTTACTTAACAGCAATTGCACATATGGCCCCCTGAATAATATACATTTAGTCACTTATTTTTACTTATCTGCTAATTAAAATGTAGACTTTTTCTATTCTGTTTACTGCTGTATTCCCAGCATGTTTTATCCGAATGTGCAGTGGTTTCTTTTCTTCTCCCTTATCGTGGGAAGTGATGTGCACAAATACACATAATGGAGCCTGAATGTCATATTGCTTTCATACCTGTGTGAATTTTGGTAAGAAAGGAAAAGTAGCGATTGACAGGTAATATAATTACATTAAGTCACTCTCATAGTTAGCTGTTTATTGCTTTCCTGCTCTTATTCTCAGTCCCCAGGACCAAATGTTGACCACTACCTTCCCCCACATATAATTAGGTTATTTACCGAACGCCATGCAGGTGGCTGTTAAAAGGAAGATATATACTTACCTTATAAACTCAACTTTTCCCTGTTGTCTTTCTGTCTCACCCCTACCTCCATGCTTTAAATTAACTTTTCAGGCTTAGGCCTTATCTCTCAGTAGAGCCATATAAGGTATGTGTAAAAGCAGGAAAATGTTTCCTGGGGATGAAGCTTTGAAAAGCTTTTTTTTTTTTTTCTTTTGGCAATAAAATAAGGTAGATTCAGCACAATACCTAATAACTAAAAAATCTGTTTTTAATTGGGTGGGGCAGACAGCAAGTGTGTCATCCTGGAAGATACTATTTGGGATTTTATGTAGGTACATAAGAGAAAAAAGTGAACAAAAGCAAGGGGCTACCAGGACGCCGCAGTATGCTTAACATGTATTTTCTAAGTTTGTATTATGCCTTTATCTTGGTACTTTTATCTTCTGTTCTCACTTGATCTTTTTGAAATGTATTTTAAATCCTAATAAAAATATATAAAGTCTGGAATTAATAAAGGATTAAATGAAACTTTTGTATATCTCACTGAAATTCTCAGAAAAAAGGGGGGTGTGGGGAGGGGGAATTGCCTGGGGTAGTGAGTGAAAATTGTGACCAGGTTCTTACTAAGGAATATGGCAACTGCATAATCAAATGTCAGTGGTTACCAAACTTATGAATCACCTGGTGTTGTGTCATAGATTGTCTATCCTTGCCTCTCGCCCCCAGTGATTTAGATCAGTGGAACTATGTGGGGTTTAAGAAATATACAATATATATTTGTATATATTTGTGTGTCTCGAAAGCTTCAGGGTTAAATAAGTTTTAACTGTTTAGGAAACACTATTGTTTTAGGTATCCAGTCTCAAAGACGAAGGCCTTTAAAACTTACTTAATTTTTCATTACATTTCTTGCCCAGAAAATTGTAAAATACCCAACGATAACAATGGGGAATTGTCTATCAGCACTTGACTAAAAAGCTTTACTATCCATGACAGCAGCCTTTGCATTACTCAATTCTGATGGCATTTAACGTCTTGAAACCCAGAAATAAATACCTATAGACTCACAGTACCTGAAAGGAATACCAAATTGAGACAAGAGAGCTATATAAACCAAAAATTGCTTCAACCACAGAATGGAGGTCTACAGGTGCGGAAGGAAAGTTTATATGGTGAGGCTTGGTCGCAAAACTATTAGGAATATTTTCAGGTTACTACACAATTTTGCGAGCTCAATATGCAGTTAACACTTTTTCCCTTGACTCTCCTGAGCAGATTTACATTGACCGCACCCGTAGCATATCGTCTCACTTTGGAAAAGGCAAATTATGTGCACATGACCCTGTCACTACAAGGTAGTTCTCGACCAAGCTACATCTTATAGCTTTATCTTATATTCCTCTCCCATCATCTGCAGGAAAAGGGATAGGTGCTGAGGGAAAACCCCTAAGTAGAACTCACAGTAAGCAGTGGGAAAACAGCTTATTTCACTAACGGGGTTAAGTGGCCCTGAAAAGAGCCTTTGGAGACAAAGCAGCCGGCGACCCGCGGAGGGAGGGAGGGAGGGAGCGAGCGAGCGCCAGGTCCCGGCAGGGACTCACTTGGAGCTGGCGTACTTGGTGACCGCCTTGGTGCCCTCGGACACGGCGTGCTTGGCCAGCTCGCCGGGCAGCAGCAGGCGCACGGCCGTCTGGATCTCCGGGACGTGATGGTGGAGCGCTTGTTGTAGTGCGCCAGGCGGGACGCCTCTCCCGCGATGCGCTCGAAGATGTCGTTGAGGAAGGAGTTCATGATGCCCATGGCCTTGCACCAGATGCCGGTGTCGGGGTGGACCCGCTTCAGCACCTTGTACACGTAGATGGAGTAGCTCTCCTTGCGGCTGCGCTTGCGCTTCTTGCCGTCTTTCTTCTGGGCTTTGGTGACGGCTTTCTTGGAGCCCTTCTTGGGAGCCGGCGCGAACTTTGCAGGCTCAGGCATGGCCAGACCCAAGACCGACACCGACCCCCGAGAACGCAAGCAGAGCGGTAGGCTCGGGGTCTACCGGAAACGACTGTGTACTTACAGAGGCTGTGCGCATGACGCTGCGTTATGGTTCGCGAGTTTTCCGCGGCGCGCAATGCGAGGGAGACGAGATTATGTAAATGAGTGGATTCTGGCTGAGCTATCCTATTGGCTATCGGGACAAAATTTGCTTGAGCCAATCAAAGTGCTCCGTGGACAATCGCCGTTCTGTCTATAAAAAGGTGAAGCAGCGGCGTTTTCGGCGACTTTCCCGATCGCCAGGCAGGAGTTTCTCTCGGTGACTACTATCGCTGTCATGTCTGGTCGTGGCAAGCAAGGAGGCAAGGCCCGCGCCAAGGCCAAGTCGCGCTCGTCCCGCGCTGGCCTTCAGTTCCCGGTAGGGCGAGTGCATCGCTTGCTGCGCAAAGGCAACTACGCGGAGCGAGTGGGGGCCGGCGCGCCCGTCTACATGGCTGCGGTCCTCGAGTATCTGACCGCCGAGATCCTGGAGCTGGCGGGCAACGCGGCTCGGGACAACAAGAAGACGCGCATCATCCCTCGTCACCTCCAGCTGGCCATCCGCAACGACGAGGAACTGAACAAGCTGCTGGGCAAAGTCACCATCGCCCAGGGCGGCGTCTTGCCTAACATCCAGGCCGTACTGCTCCCTAAGAAGACGGAGAGTCACCACAAGGCAAAGGGCAAGTGAGGCTGACGTCCGGCCCAAGTGGGCCCAGCCCGGCCCGCGTCTCGAAGGGGCACCTGTGAACTCAAAAGGCTCTTTTCAGAGCCACCCACGTTTTCAAATAAAAGAGTTGTTAATGCTGGCCACTCTCAGTCCAGCGTTCCTCAGTAGTGAATAGCGAACCTGGAGCTGACGGGACGGGACGGGACGGGACGGGACGGGACGGGGCGGGGCGGGGCGGGGTGTGTGTGTGTGCGCGCCGTCTTCCATCTGGAGCACGTAACTGCCTTGGCTCTTCGATGAGTGGGTCCCCAGTCCTAGGACTTCCCAGGGCAGGTGCAGGCACCAAACGTCCTGGGCGCCGCCACGGTCCGCTCCACACAGTCACAAACACCAGCGCCGCGGGCAGTACCCAACGCGCTGAAGTGTTGCGCGCGGAGCGCGCGCTTCCCTAGTGGTTTCCGCAGGCTATGGCCGGACACTTAGACCTAGTCTGGCACCAGCGGGACGTGCTCCTCGTCCCCACCCCCGATGGGGAGGGCCCTGAGCGGGTAGTGCTCGCTAGTGTGGCGGAGCTGGGTCTTGGCTTCACTGAGCTGACTTAAGTCTTAGTTTCTGTTTTGTTTTCCAAAGCGCCCTGGCGGCGGAGAGTAAGGGCCTCGGAGGCGGAATCTTGCGTCCTGGGGGCGGGCACCTCTCCCACCCAAAAGGCACCCGACAGGCGAAAAACGATCCGCCAAGTAGCAACTGGGGGCGGGGGGCAAATGGAAGAATGAGGTTCCACGCGGGAGCTGTAGGGCGCAGCAAGAAAGGGGGGGTATTGCGGGCAGTGTGTTCTAAGGAAGCGAAGGGCGGAAAGGGAACAATCTGACAAAGCTGCAATGGAAAATGACTTTCACCCTGAAGGAAAGGGGAAAAACAAGCTTGCGAAACTTCGCCAACTGGTAAGTAGAAAGTGAGGCGGGGTGGGCGGGATTAGGGAGGAATCTGCCCAAGCCAACCGGTGACTTTAGGACGGGTGACGTCACAGCCAATGGACAGCCAGCGCGGGATTTTCAATTATTGTTCCGCCCAATCGGGAAAAGACTGTGCTTATAAAGACGGCTGCGGCGGGGCTAGGAGCTCGTTTTTCTCCCCGCCGCTGCGCTGGTAAGCCTGTGTTTTGGTTCGCTATGGCCCGTACTAAGCAGACTGCTCGCAAGTCGACCGGCGGCAAGGCCCCGAGGAAGCAGCTGGCCACCAAGGCGGCCCGCAAGAGCGCGCCGGCCACGGGCGGGGTGAAGAAGCCGCACCGCTACCGGCCCGGCACCGTAGCCCTGCGGGAGATCCGGCGCTACCAGAAGTCCACGGAGCTGCTGATCCGCAAGCTGCCCTTCCAGCGGCTGGTACGCGAGATCGCGCAGGACTTTAAGACGGACCTGCGCTTCCAGAGCTCGGCCGTGATGGCGCTGCAGGAGGCCAGCGAGGCCTACCTGGTGGGGCTGTTCGAAGACACGAACCTGTGCGCCATCCACGCCAAGCGCGTGACCATTATGCCCAAGGACATCCAGCTGGCCCGCCGCATCCGTGGAGAGCGGGCTTAAGAAGTGGCGGTTCGGCCGGAGGTTCCATCGTATCCAAAAGGCTCTTTTCAGAGCCACCCACATCAGCACTTGGAAGAAGCTGTACCGCTTGCCCTCCGTGCTCCTCCGGCATTAGAGCGGGGAAGGCACTTCCGCTTAGGCTCCCAACAAAACGGGGTCGGGTCCCCCTGCTGCGGTGCCGTCTTGAGCTTTGCCGACTTCGGCCAATTGGCCTATCCGCACTGGCCGGGCTGCGGACGCTTTCCTGGGCGCCGGCTCGCGGGCTTTGGCGGTCCGGCTCCCCCCGCGCGTGACCGGGGCCCTGCGTGGCGGGGGGGCCGGGGCAGGAGAGACGGGGCGTCGGGCACGAGGCCAGGGGTCACTAGGGGGACGCTCAGGGCTCGCGGTCCTGAGCGCGGCTGGCCTTTGCGGAAGTGGAGCGCCACACGCCCGTGCTTCGCGCCCAAACCGGCCTCACCCGGCGCGGCCATCCGGCTAGGGAGGGAAATGACCACCTCGGCCTCGCCGGGGTTCTGCGGACAAACGTGGGGAGAACTGCGCTGGGGCTGCCGTTCAGTCCCCGCGCCACCTCCACTAGCACAGTGGTAACCCCCATATCCTGCCCCTAAGCCAAAATTCCCGGGGGCACGGGGTGTGGGCGGAATTTTGTGAATCTGGGCTTTATCGAGCCGTTCCCTGTCCATGTCCACAGAAGGAGATTCACTATTCCAGTGAAGGCACTCGGTCCTCTTAGAAGCTGCATGGTATGTCTGGATTTTCTGTCCAGACTCAGTAGTTCCTTTACGTTGTTTTCGTCGGACATGTGGGCAGACGCTGGTGCCCGAGTTCAGATCCTTGGGAAGACAGTAGATCAGACAGGAAGAACGTGGGCCTCCGTTGGGCAAATGAAGCTCTTCGCCTTAGGAAATCGTGACAGGAGGCCACAGAGGTGATCTCTACAGTCTCTGGGAGCTGGGAAGTCCAAGGCCTCTTAGTGGGAAAGTGAGGCAGGGTCTTGCAGAGCCCACTCTACACACGGCCAGATACAAATGGCTGTAGAGGTCTTAGATAACACCTTCTCGGTCATTTATTTGCACCTCAGAAGAAGCCAGGGCTTCGGTTTTCTGTTTGTTTCATCACAGTTGACAGGTTAAAAGCATTCACTGCAGCGATCTATGAGAATTAAGAGGGGAGAAGGGGAAATGGAATAAAACTTCGTTTTGTAAAGCTGCCATTTTGCCTTTCCTGAGGCGTGTTAAGCGAGGAGAGCAGCGTAGGTGAGCTCTGCTGGGGACTGCCACATGTTTCTGCTCCAGGGTCACAGCAATTTCTAGAGCATGCCTCTGGGTCTCTGCCGAGACCCTCGTAACCTGCTTAGGCCCACAATGTATGGGCGGTATTCTGACTTCAAAAAGTAGTGACTTTCAGAGGTGGGTGGGTCACTATCTCTGCACCCAGCTTCTCAGGCCCAGTAGTAACTGAGCAGAGACTGGAACCTGGGGATGTTGGTGTCAGACATCTAGGTCCTCTGACTGCCCCCACAAGGTCACACTCCTTTTACTCACCAGTCTGGGTACCTCTAAACTCCAGGAGGTCTCCCTGGCTGAATCTCAAAAGGAAAATTTCGTGGCATTTTTTATATCCAGTCAGGAATAGAATTCATTACATCTTGTGGTCCTGGCACTGTGAAGGCCTGCACTCACAGGAATCTGTCAGTCTTCGTATTTGTTTGCGAGACCAGCATAAGCTGAATTCATCAATACAAGATAACATTCTAAAATGTTAAGTTTTAACATTTAATCATTCCCTGTACTTAAATCATTGTCTACCCTCAGGTGAGAGTTAAAGGATAATTAAGGATAGGGTAAAGAAATACTCTTCCTCTGACTAGGCATTGTGGCTCACAGCTGTTAATCCCAGCACTTTGGGAGGCCAAGTCGGGCGGATTGCTTGAAGTCAAAGTTCCAGACCAGCTTGGGAAACATAGCGAGACCCTGTGTCTCTACCAAAAAAAAAAAAAAAGACAGAAAGAAAAATGAAAAAATTAGCCGGGGGTGGTGCCATTTGCCTGTGGTCCCAGCTACTCGGGAGGCTGAGGTGGGAGAATCGCTTAAGTCCGGGAGGCGGAGGCTGCTGTGAGCTGAGATTGTGCCACTGCACTCCAGTGTGGGTGACAGGGAGTGAGACCCTGTCTCGAAGAAAACCCACCTCTTCCTCTAATAACCAGCTTCTACGTGGCTACCTTGGTTGCCAGTAAGTCCACTCTGAATCTGTGGCTTTTATGAAGTGAAAAACGTGCTTTGTTCACATTTAATTCTGCCTTAGGCTAGTGGGGGACAGGTGTGTGTGTGTGTGTGTGTGTGTGTGTGTGTGTTTAGAGGGAAACTACGTGGTAAGAGACATGGCCACGTTTACACTGATTTTTCTTCCTTAGAAGAGGACTTGTCCCCTGGGTCCACTCTCCTGGTCACCCTTATCCTTCTCTAGGTCCCCATCTCAGTCTTCTCATGTCTTTCTCTTCCCCATCAATATTCCTGGTTTCCCCCATGCTGGCCTTGGCCATCTTCTTTTCTCCCTGCAACTCAAGTGAGATTGATTGCCTGCTTTCACTATTTCTGTCCCTTAGCTAAGCGCTCCCAAATTGCTATCTTCTGCTGAGACCCTATCCTGAGCTCTACACATTTTGTGTGTGTGTGTGTGTGTGTGTGTGTGTGTGTGTGAGAGAGAGAGAGAGAGAGAGAGGGAGATAGAGAGAGAAAGAGAAACAGGGTCTCACTCGTCCAGGCTGGAGTGCAGTAGCACAATCAAAGCTCACTGCAACCTTGGACTCCTGGGTTCAGGGGTCCTCCCACCTCAGCCATCTGAGTAGCTGGGACTACGGGCACACACCACCAGGCCCAGCTAATTTTTTTTATTTTTTGTAGAGTCAGGGTCTCACTTCATCGCCCAGGCTGGTCTTGAAGTCCTGGGCTCAAGCCCTCCTCCCACCTTGGCCTCCCAAAGTGCTGGGATTATAGACGTGAGCCACTGTGCCTGGCTACACCAATGTTTCTAACTGCCTGGTAGACAGGTCCTTCTGGATGGATACTAGGCACTTCAAACCCAGCTTATTTCCAAAACCACATGCCTCATCTTGCTTTCCAAGCCCATTTGTTTCTTTCCACATTCCCCATCTTCCTGGAAGACACCTTCATTAGCCCCATCTGTTCTGGTTGGGTGTCCCTTCCTCTTGTCCTCTGTCCAAATCTCATGAGTTCCAAATATTACTAAATCTGTCTTCTGACTTTCAATTGTATCACCTTTTCTCCGTCCACCCATGACCATGCCTTAACTGAAGTCCTCGCCAGCTCTGGTCTAGTAGATTACATAGTCAGGCTGGTCTTTCTGCCCTGCCATTGAGCTTCCACTCCGTATGACAGCTATCTTTTTTTTTTTTTTTTTTTTTATGAGACGGAGTCTCGCTCTGTCGCCCAGGCTGGAGTGCAGTGGCACGAGCTCGGCTCACTGCAACCTTGGCCTACCGGGTCCATGCGATTCTCCTGCCTCAGCCTCCGGAATAGCTGGGACTATAGGCGCCCACCACCACGTCCGGCTAATTTTTTGTAGTTTTGTATTTTTTGTATTTTGTGATCCGCCCGCCTCGGCCTCCCAAAGCGTTGGGATTACAGGCGTGAGCCACCGCGCCCGGCCAAGAGCTATCTTTTAAAAACTGAGGGTTTTTTGTTGGTTGGTTGGTTGGTTGGTGTTGCTGTTTTGAGCCTGTCACTTTCATGCTTAAAAATTTTCCACGACCTTCCCATTCCCTTCAGAATGAAGTTCACATTCTTTTGCATGGCAGTTCAGAGCACCGGAGGTTAATTACTAGGAAGGACTCTGGAGTTAGACAAACCCAAGTTTGATTCCTAGCCTTGTCCATGTAAACAGGTGCATGACTTCAGGAAGCAAATCTCAACAGGTTTAACTTTTCCCATTTGTAAAACAACGAGTAACTTGCTCGTTGTTTTGTTGGAAATCATGAAAGTGACAATTTCTGTAAATTGCGGTGCTCATGCCTGTAATCCCAGCGACTCAGGAGGCTGAGGCAAGAGGATTGCTTGAGGCCAGAAGTTCGAGGCTGTGGTGAGCTGTGACTGTGCCACTGCACTTCAGCCTCGGCAACAGCAGTGAGACCCCATGTCTAAAAAAACAAAGGACCTAGCACAGTAGTAGCACAGTATCTGGTCCAGAACAAGCACCCAATTAATTTGTGCTACTCTATTAATAGTTACTAATTTAAAAAAAAACTGAAAATATTATACATCTAGTTCTTTATGTTTCCCACAGCCTTCCCAGGTTTCAGATGTTCTTGCAGCTGAACAAGAATGTTTAGCCCCACACGACATCTGCAATCTCCAAGTACACAATATCTTCACACATTCCATTTCTGTCCAGAATGTCCTCCCCTTCTCTGTAACCCTGAGAACCCCCATTCTTCAAGATTCAGCCCTGTGAGCCTTCCCTTGCTCTTCTGGTTTTTTGTTTTTTCTTTTTCTTTCTTTTTTTTCTTTTCTTTTTTCTTTTTTTTTTTTTTTTTGAGATGGAGTCTTGCTCTGTCACCCAGGCTGGAGTGCAGTGGCGCGATCTCGGCTCACTCCAACCACCGTCTCCCGGGTTCATGCGATTCTCCTGCCTCAGCCTCCGGAGTAGCTGGGACTACAGGTGTGTGTCACCACGCCCAGCTAAGTTTTATATTTTTAGTAGAGACGGGGTTTCACCATGTTGGCCAGGATGGTCTCGATCTCTTGACCTCATGATCTGTCTGCTTTGGCCTCCGAAAGTGCTGGGATTATAGGCATGAACCACAGTGCCCGGCTCCCTTGCTCTTCTTTGCCCTCATCTCTTTGGGCCCTCCTCCTTGCCTCTGCCCTCTCCTATCTTAATACCCCTTCCCTTCCTTAACCTCAGCATTAGGCTGGCAACATTTCTCAGGGTAAGGATTTGTCTTTGTTTATTTCCATAGTAGCAGCAGTACCCAAGCAACGCCTGGTCACAGTAAGTCGAGTGAAACCATCTCTCAAAAAAACAAAACAAAACAAAACAAAAAACGAACTACATTGAGTGGGAAAGGCAATAAATATATCACCTTTGGTTTCTGTATCACTTCATGGCCTCATTCTTCTTTCACACAGAACTTTTCATTTGATCCTTAAAATAATCCTGTGAAAAAGGCAGGAATTCTCAGTAATTGGCCGGGCACCGTGGCTCATGCCAAAGAAAAAGAGGCCAGGCGCGGTGGCTCACGCCTGTAATCCCAGCATTTTGGGAGGCCGAGGAGGGTGGATCACCTAAAGCCAGGAGTTCGAGATCAGCCTGGCCAACATGGCAAAACCTCCATCTCTACTAAAAATACAAAAATTAGCCCGGCATGGTGGTGGGCACCTGTAGTCCCAGCTACCTGGGAGGCTGAGGCAGGAGAATCACTTGAACCCGGGAGGCGGGGATTGCGGTGAGCCAAGATCGTGCCACTGCATTCCAGCCTGTGTGACAGATCGAGACTCCATCTCAAAAAAAGAAAGAGGAAGGAAGGGAAGGAAGGGAAGGAAGAAAGGAAGGAAGGAAGGGAGGGAGGGAGGGAGGGAGGGAGGGAGGGAGGGAAAGAAAGAAGAAAAGAAAAAAAGAAAAGCTGTTACCTGCATCAGTGGCTTTCAACCTTTAATGTGTATCGGGAGGGCTTTTTTAAAGCACCGATTACTATGTCTCACCCCTCAGTTTCTCATTCAGTAGGTCTGGCATGGGTCCCAAGATTTTATCCGAGGTGATCAGTGCTGCTAGATGAGAGGCTACACTTTGAGAACCACTAATTCAGACAATGGACGTGTTTTCTCCCCCACTCCCTTTCTGCTTTATCTTCAAATTTTTGATCTCCTTCTTTAGTGGATCTTGGTGCGGATCAGATATATTCATCAGCATTGCCTTTAAAGTTAAAAACAATCAGTGATATTCGAAATAGCAATGCTGGAAATCACAGGTCAGATTTAAAAGGGAAAAGGAAACATCTTGAGCATTAAAACCTCTATTTCTCACCTGGACATCTTCACAAATGTTATTCTTGCCACTTCCTCCCTGCCCTCGCCCCCTTTACTATGTATCTCAGTAGGACGCCAATCATTCTGCTCTTTATTCAGAGTCCGACACAAGCCCCCACGTCCATAGCCAAGTTTTCCCCGGTTTCCCAGCAGCCAGTGACTTCTGTAGCATTAGGATTCTTATAGTAGTTATTGTCTACATTTCTCAGCAGATTGAATATGTACTGCCTCTTACTACTGGACTGTTTATTCTTAAATGTGTACAGTATGGATTTATGTCGTCTATATATTATGCATTTATTTGTCTTCTTCGTTGTGATGGTAAGCTCCTGGAGGGCAAGTCTTGCATCCACTGCTTTGCTGGCAACCCGACTGGTAAGCTTCTGGAAGGCAAGGCTTGCATCCAGTGCTTTGCTGGCAACCCGATTGCTAAGTACCGTGTTTTAAGCTTAGTTCAGTCTCAAGTGTTTGCAGCCACATCTGAAGACCAATAAAGCAACTGCTGGTTTATCCTTTGGGAGCTGACAGAATTTCTTCTCCCAAATACATACACAGTAAAATCATAAGCCTGGAATGAAGAAAAAAAAAATCTTACGGGCAATGCAATGGCTGCAAAACTATAAGGATTAGAAATGTGAACCCACATTTTAATCCAAATTAGGGCAATTTAGAGGTGGTAGCGTAAAGAATAGCTTGCTGTAATATACGCCATGCTGATACAGAATTGGCTTTTGGCCTTGTCAAAATTAAATTGTGCTTTCTGTATTGATGGTGGGCATGTTTCTGCAGGTCTCTCATTCTAAGCTACAACAGGCCCTAAGAGGTAGAAGTCACATACCTGAATTACCTGTGAAGTTGCTTTCAGATCATATCGTTGGTTCACTCTTACAGAAGGATCACTTTAAAATATCTCTGCATTTGTATCCTTGCAATGCCACAACTAAAAGACAGTTATCTCATAGGTCCTTGATTAAATTAGGAGGCTTTTTATTGAACACAAGAAATGATACTTTTCAGGCACTGGGCAGATAACTTGCTAGAAAGGCATTTTTTAACTGTGCTAAGATTGAGCTGAGTGCGTGGCTGGAGACACCACACAACACGGACCCTTGCTAAGGCATCTAGTCCACCCGCTTGTTATGTAGAGGGTGAAATGAAGCCCAAAACAGTCAATCGTGAACTCTAAGCCGATCAGGTGGGAAAGCCGGCATCTCTAGAATGAAAACCTAAGGCTGCTTCTCCCACTTTGCCTGAGCAAATATAGTGAGATTACACAGCAAGGCATGTGTAAATTGCCAGTGCCTATTTCTCAGAACCAGATTTGGTGATCGCAAAGACTGACGTGGCCCTCTAGGTGTGCCTATACTGCACCAGAAGAGCAAGCCGAGAAAGCAGTGCTCAAACCTAGAGCATTCAACCTTTCATACCGATAAAGGCTTTAAAAAAAAAAAAAAAAAAAAAAAAAGCCCAGGTAAGTGAAAAAGCCGCTTTCGGTCAACGACTTAAGTCTTTACGGCTGTGAGCGCTATGGGCCGCGGTAGCTTTCCGTTAACTTCAGATCCGATTGTCGCCCCACTGCCAAAGTTACCTTCCAACATCGTTACTGTTGCACTTTACGCAGTCAAGTGTCCAACTCCTCAGATGAGCAAGTGGTCGGCCCTAAAAAGGGCCTTTGGGATCGAAACGTGCAAAGCTGGAGCGGCGGCCTAGCCTCCGAAGCCGTACAGGGTGCGCCCCTGGCGCTTGAGCGCGTACACCACATCCATGGCTGTGACGGTCTTGCGCTTGGCGTGCTCGGTGTAGGTGACTGCGTCCCGAATCACATTCTCCAGGAACACCTTCAGCACACCGCGGGTCTCCTCGTAAATGAGGCCAGAGATCCGCTTAACGCCGCCACGCCGAGCTAGACGCCGAATGGCAGGCTTGGTGATGCCCTGAATGTTGTCTCTCAAGACCTTGCGGTGGCGCTTAGCGCCCCCTTTGCCTAAGCCTTTTCCGCCCTTTCCTCTGCCGGACATGACCGCTGGAGCCCGATAGACAGCTTCTGTCAAGGCGAGCACCGTCTTCCCCTGATATACAAGAGTATCGGACCAGATTGAAAACCGAAAGCGCGCCGGCGGGAAGCGTTCTCAATTGTCCCCGCCCTCTCGACATTTCGTCATTTCTTTTCTGTTTTCCTCTCCCTCCTCCTCCACTCTGCTCAGGTCCCTCTCACTCTTTTTTTTTTTTAACCGCTACGCCACAGTCCCCGGGAGAATTCAGATCCCAACCGGGGCTTCCGGATTCTGTAGTGGCTTTGGCCTGTGTCTGGTCTGAGGACGCCCGGAAGGCATTGCACTGAGGCTAAGGGAAAGGTCTCTGGAGGGAGCCTCAGGAAGAGCAAATGGAGGCCAGAGACTGGCAGGAGCGCGCCAGCGCAGGATTTAATCCCGACGAGCGGATTCAGAGCCGTGCTTATATAAAGCTTCAGGAAGCGCCGTTCCGACGATGAGGTCGACACGCGAGAGGCGACCTCAAGAGCGGCGGCGCCAGGGATCTGTGCGCCAAGGGAGGACGGGAGGGAGCAGGTTCGCCATAATTCCTGGCTCCAGGCTCTGTTTTGTTGGACCGAGCCACTGTATTTTAGCTCACACAGGAGAATTCTGGCCCTGGGAAAATTGGTCTCAGCATGCTGCCAAGCTTTCTCATGGACGTCAGCGAATCCCAACACACTGTCGGTCAAAGCCGTGCTGGAAGAAACAAAACAGTTCTCCCTCGGTAGAACTGAGAGGGGATTGGTCCAGGGCCCCCGCCGATACCAAAATCCAGGTTGCTCAAGTCTCTCATAGAAAGTGGCGTAGTATTTGCACATAACTATGCACATCCTCCCGTGTACTTTAAATAGTCTCTAAATTACTTCGTAACACCTAATCCAGTGTAAATGCTATGTAAGTAATTGTTATACTGTTTTTATTTTTACTATCTTTTGTTGTACTTTTTTTTAAAAAAGAAATTCATTTGTTTAATATTTTCGGTCTTGGGGAACCCGCGTATATGGAGGGCCTGCTACATAGAGAAGACTGAGGGATATTCTGTGCATCCGTTTCTACGGATCCTCTAAATCGGCCTTTGTTTTCAGCCAGGATTTAGTGCCCAGCTGTGTCCTTTGGAGGCCCCACATGGAGCTAGCAAAGTTTGCTAAATCGGGTTTTGCAAGAGGACTGTCTGCTCCATACTGGGAGTAGTTACCGCAAACTGCCCTATGAAATTGGTTGGGGTTCTTACTGTTAGCATGTTTATTACTTTATCAGGGCTCTCTGTAGGAGAGTCTATGAGAAAATCTTCTGGTTTCTGCTGAAAGAATCGTGTTTTGTTGGGGTTTTTTTCCCGAAAAATATTATTTTTAAAAACTCTTCTGTGCCCTGTTTAATCTCTCCCTTGGATCCACCTTCTGTGTGCTCATAAATCGTAAATCTGTATTCAGACTTCTGGACTCGAGACACGTAGATCCACCTGGTGGTTCTTCAGTCATTTTAAGCCCAAAACTCAAAATCTCCCGAAATCAAAATGTTTAAACTTATAATCTCCAGGGTGTGACTCACGGGGGATGAGGGGAGCAATTCTCTCCCTCCCCGCATAAAGCTGGTTCTCCTGTCTGCTCATTGAACGGTTCCACTGCGCATCACAGCATCTACATGCCTAAACCAACACCCCAGCATTGGCAACAGATATCTTCCTCTCCCTTGGCTGCTTCAGGACAGGGAAGAAACATGCTTGCCCTTTTCTGACTCTTTAGTAACTCTGGCCGAATCTATCACATTATTTTACATCTCTTTACATCTTACTACTCCCCCATCTTGGCTGTGTGTTCCCTACTGGCAGTGATTTTTGTTTATTCATTTTTGTAAACTGACACTTAGTTCAGTGTCCAATATAAGCTCAACAATAGTTTATAAAAGGAAAAGTTCCTGCCTTTGATTGCTTTTAAACACTATTAGAAAAGACATAACCAAATTGCAACATGATAAAACAACCGCAAAACAAGGCTGAGAGAAGTGGTGATTTCTGGTGTCAGAGGGCACAGGACCCTGGGCAGAATCAGAGATACGGTGTCTGTGCAGTTCCCTTTTTAAGGGGATCAGGACATGCTACCTCCAAATGTGCCAGTTTCGACTTAAGAATTATTTTCAGCTGAAACAAACAGCTAAAATCCCTTACCTGTTTAATAGCAGATCCTCCTCGCAAATCTCAAATTTTTAACTCAGTTGTCATAAATCTTCTTCAGCACTAGAAGCAAATCTAACCTCGGAGATGAGAAGTGGTCACCACACCCAAATAGACATTGTCACAAGACTCGAATCTTCCATCTATTCTAAGGGCCCATTTATCTTTTCAAAAGTCATTTGGTTTTCCATATGTCCTTTACTCCTCCTCCTTTTCCCCTGCTGCTAGGTAGATCCCAAATTCTAACCACTCCTTTGAGTTACTCATCACAGAGTGCTCCCATGTATACACTTTTTTTTTTTTTGTTTGACTCAGGGTCTTACTCTGTCACCCAGGCTGGAGTGCAGTGGTGCAATCTCAGTTTAAACCCCCAAGTCTGTGGTATTTTGTTATAGTCCCCCTAGAAATTAATACAGGATTCATGGTCTGCCAAAGTCTCATTCCCTGCTCAGACCGACAATGGATAGTGGGATCCTTTGTGATATGTGCTCTGTGAGTTAGAAGTAGTAACTTAGAGCTGTTGAGGACAATACCTTTGCACCCCATCCACTGAATTTTGTTTTCAAAGATACAGTCTGAAACTCCCAGAGGGTGAGTGCCTTTCCAGTGTGTCAGAGCCATTAGTGGCTGAGCAGACCGCTGAGCATGTAGATTTCTAGGTCAGGGCCCTCTCCCCAAAGAATCATACTCCCTGGTTGAACTGAACCTAAATCAGGTTTAAAACTAGACAGATGCCAACCAACTTAAAATTCCAAAGATATCCAAGACCTGCCCATGGCCCTGGGATTTGAGGACAACGTGTGCATGTCATGGCTATGGCAGTTCAGGGGTCTCTAGCTTAGTGGGAATGTCTATGTCCTACCTTGACCCTTCTGAGTCTTCCGCCCGCATCTGCCCCTCCTATGACAATGGAGTATTCATTCCCCAGATACAGCACCGTGAAAGAGAGGCAGGAACACTGGATAGTCTAAGACCTGGTCTTTCTTGGCTGGTGTGAGACAGTGGAGGCCTCACTACTTGGTCTTTTCTGGTGTACTGTCAAAGGTTGAAGCTGGGGCCTTGTGACTGCCTCCTGTTCTCTGTTCCAGGGATGCTACACAATAGAAGCTCTGGGCCTTGACCATGGAAAGGTCCCATGAATTCTCCACTCAGCCCAACTGAGCCCCCTGCTCTCACACTGGGTGAGGAAACGATAGGCAGTGCGAACAGGTGTATGCACACTCACTGAGGAAGTGCAGCCTGTCTGACCCACTCTCTCTCACCCAGCCTAGGGTCAGGCCATGGCAGGACACTGTTTCCTTAACTATCAGCAGCCATCTTGGGGATTTCCCCACAGGGCCAGGGCAACAGAATCTGCTTCTCACTGTGACCATGGTCTGGAAGGACCATGAGGAATTCTCCAGTGCTGTCGGGGTTTCCGATACTGACACAGACAATTTAGTAACAGCTTTGACACCTTTTGGTAATAGGACAAAGTTAACACTCCTGCCACTATCCTGTGAAGGCCAACCTTCCTAGGCCCCATAGGAAACTTTTGGAATGTCTTTGTTGGGTTGAGAAACTGGGGCAAAGTAGTACCCAATTTTTTCATGTCAATATCAAAATGTAATCATTTCAGGTACACAGAGTTCCGCACTTTCAGATTAGTCTTAAAGAAAAGAAAATCGCCGGGAACGGTGGCTCGTGCCTGAAATCCCGGCACTTTGGGAGGCCGAGGCGGACGGATCACCTGAGGTCAGGAGTTCCAGACCAGCCTGACCAACATGGTGAAACCCCATCTCTACTAAAAATACAAAAAAAAAAAAAAAAAAATTAGCCGGGCTTGGTGGCGGGCGCCTGTAATCCCACCTACCCAGGAGGCTAAGCTGACAGGAGAATCGCTTGAACCCGGGAGGTGGAGGTTGCAGTGAGCTGACATCGCACCATTGCACTCCAGCCTGGGCGACAAAAGCGATACTCCATCTCAAAAAAAAAGAAAATCAAGTAAAGAGCAATTCACATTCTCTTGAAAATTCTCATTATGTCCAGCTGGTTCCGGGGAAAGCCTACCATGAAAGTGGTATTGTTACTTAGACTTAGGGTCCTTTGATCAGAATTGATGATGTCCTCAGCTAAGTCAGTGCTAGGAGTGGGCAGAGATGAAGTGATGGATGTGACAGAGTTGTAGAATATAGATTTAATAAGATTTGGTGTTTTAGGGCGGGGCGTGATGGCTCATGCCTGTAATCTCAGCACTTTGTGAGGCCAAGGTGGGCCGATCACATGAAGTCAGGAGTTCGAGACCAGCCTGGCCAACACAGTGAAACCTCCTCTCTGCTAAAAATACAAAAATTGACCGGGCGTGGTGGCTGACACCTGTAATCCCAGCACTTTGGGAAGCCAACGCGGGTAGATCACGAGGTCAGGAGATCGAGACCATCCTGGCTAACACGGTGAAACCCCGTCTCTACTACATATACAAAAAATTAGCCGGACGTGGTGGCGGGTGCCTGTAGTCCCAGCTACTCAGGAGGCTGAGGCAGGAGAATGGCGTGAACCCGGGAGGCGGTGCTTGCAGTGAGCTGAGATCGCACCACTGCACTCCAGCCTAGGCAACAGAGCAAGACTCCGTATCAAAAAAAAAAAAAAAAAAAAAGAAAGAAGAAAGAAAGAAAGAAAGAAAGAAAGAAAGAAAGAAAAAATTGGTGATTTAGGCATTTGGAGAATGCATGCAATAAAGGAGCTTCTGGCCTGAGGAGCTATGGGGTTGATGTTAGGTTTCAGTAACATGGAGAATGCAGAGAGAAGAAATTGCTTTTATTTTTGTTTTTGTTTTTTTGAGAGAGTCTCTCTCGGTTGCCCAGGCTGGAGTGCAGTGGCGAGATCTCTGCTCACTGCAACCTCCGCCTCTCGGGTTCAAGCGATTCTCCTGCCTCAGCCTCCCAAGTAGCTGGGATCATAGGCGCCTGCCACCACACCCAGCTAATTTTTTGTATTTTTAGTAGAGACGGGGTTTCACCGTGTTGGCTGGGCTGGTCTCGAACTCCTGACTTCAAGTTATTCACCCACCTCGGCCTCCCAAAGTGCTGGGATTACAGGCATCAGCCACCACGCCCAGCCAGAAATTGCTTTTGAAAGCAAAAAGATGCATAAAGTCCCTCCCAACATTAAAAATTGAGATTCCTGTTCTCTACCTAGGAGAACACATCCACCAGTTGTTATTACTCTGATCAGTAAAGGGTCTCAGCTGGAGAAACTTGTGAGTAAGCCCTCAGCAAATCGATAAGGAAAACGAGAGGCAGGGAATTTGATGAGATCTTCCCAGGGGTTAGGGAGAAAAGAAGAGGACTGAGACAGGCACCCTGGGCAAGCAGGAACATTGATGGGAGTTGGTAGATTAGGAGAATACCAAGAGACAGAGGATAGCTGGAAAGGGATGAGGACCACCAGAAGAGAGTATGTCCCAAGGAGGCAAAGGAGGTGTCAACAGGGTCATATTGGGCACTGAAGTTCAGAAATAATGATTATAACTTAACATTCCTTAAGCTCAGTGACTGCTGACTATGCTTGATATTTTGTCTTACACATCACCACAACAATCCTGCAAGGAAGGCAGATGTTTTATCATTCTCACTTTACAGACTGGGAAGCTTTGAGTATTTTGCCCAAGTTCCCCAAACTATTAAGTGTCAGGGCCAGGGACTTTGTCCAAAGTGCTAGGTCTTCCAAAGTTCATGTGCTTGGGCAGAAAACAGCCACCGAGAAGCTTGTACTGGAAACTCAGAGAGGAAATGACAGGAGGCATTGTGACACACAGGGTTGAGGGCCTCACTGCTTCTCCTGACTTCTCTACCTTTTCAGACAGCATTCTTCTCAGGTTCTAACAAGCTTACCCTCTCCTACCTGTTTTAGCAGTTCCTCCCAGATTCATTTATCCTTCCAGTTCCCCGTGAAATTCTGAGTGCCGTCAGAATGGGCATTTTGCCTTGTTCATCTCTTCAAGTCAGCATCCTGGAGCATAGCAGATGATCAGGAAATGCCTGATTGCCCTAATTCCACTGGCCTCTGAATTCTCACTCAAAACGGCATAATACCCAGGCCCCTCCTAGGTTTCAAAGAATTCTCGGGAATTTGCAGGCCAGAAGCAAGTATAGCCTGGACTCTGGAAGGAACTTCCTCCAGGTTGGCCCGAGAAGAGGGAGAGGTAGCTGCCCTGAGCTGTACCCCTTGCCTACAAGTTGCTACAGTCCACCATCAGGATAGTTGTGTAGCCTTAGCTGAAGGCAGAGTTCCCCTCAGTGCTCGAAGATAAATACTTTAGAAAGGAGTGCACATTTGTGGTAGACTGAATAATAGCCCCACAGAGATATCCACATCCCAATCCTTGGAATCTGTGAATATGTTACCTTATATGGCAAAGGGACTTTGCAAATGTGAACAAATTAAGGACCTTGAGATAAAGAACTTATCCTGGATTATTGAGATGAGCCCTTAATATAATCACATGAATCCTTAGAGAGACGAGAGGGTCAATCAGGGAGAAGGGGGTGTGATGACAGAAGCAGACATTAGAGTGATCTGTCCAGGTGCTAAAAAATGCCAGTTTCTAGAAGCTGGAAGAGTCAAAAAGTGGATTATATACCTGGAGCCTCCAGAACAAACCAGTCCTTCAGACATTTGTTTTAGCCCCTTAAAACTTATGTTTGGGCTTCTGACCTCCAGAATGGTAAGAGAATAAATCTGTGTGGTTTTTTTCGTTTTGTTTGGTTTCATGTTTTTTTTTTTTTTTTTTTGAGACGGAGTTTCGCTCTTGTTGCCCAGTCTGGAGTGCAATGGCGTGATGTCGGCTCACTGCATCCTCTGCCTCCCAGGTTCAAGCAATTCTCCCGCCTTAGCTTCCTGAGTAGCTGGGATTACAGGCACGCGTCACCACACCCGACTAATTTTTGTGTTTTTAGTAGAGACGGGTTTTCACCATGTTGGTCAGGCTGGTCTCGAACTCCTGACCTCAGGTGATCCACCCGCCTTGGCCTCCCAAAGTGCTGGGATTACAGGCGTGAGCCACCACACCCGGCAAATTTGTGTTGTTTTAAACCACTAAGTTTATGGTAACTTATTAATGCAACACTAGGAAATGAATACACCGTTCTTACAAAAGTCACTAGGCTCTTTATATTTGATGGGGGCGGGGGGGCGGGGGGAGATCTGAGTGTCATCAGGAGCAGAGTATAAGGTATACTTGGAGGGAAAGAGGAAAGGAAGTGGGCAGCAGAGGTAAAAAGGAGATCAGGAATGGAAAGTCGGGGGCCCCACAGTGAACCTTTCCTTACGGCTGACTAGGCTCCTTCATGGGCCTGACCAGCCTCCTTCACCTGCTCAGCCCAGAATTTGTAGAGAGATCTGTCGTCTTTGCAAGTGGACTGAGCTCTCCTAGACAATTGCTGGCCTCCCCCAGCCATGGACCTCTGTAGAGCTCCCTGGGGTCATCCAGGGCAGGAGGGTGACAGGCTGGCTTCACCGTGGTCATATAGCAGAAGTGGCAAGCTCTTCTTGCTCTTGAGGAAAGCTCACACCTAGATTGTTGCAAGGATGTTGTACAGGTTGAGCATCCCTAATCTGAAGATCCGAAACCCTAGGCTCCAAAATCTGAACAATTTTGAGCACTAATGTGGTGCCTCGGTGGAAAATTCCACACCTGACCTCACACAACGGGTCATACAATGCACAGTATTTCCCCCAAGGAAATAAAAGGCCCTCCCAGCCCCTTTCCGCTGAGATATATCTTTTCTGCACATGCCCGGTTTCCCCAACGTGCACACACCCACAAAGGGTCATAAAATGGCATGTGTGCAGGCCAGTGTCGTCAACAGCACGTTCCCCATAATGCCCCATGTAGGAGCCAAGACCTACGTGCCTTACTCACTGTGGGGTTTTTTTGCTTATTCTCTGCTCTGTGGTATAAAGATATTGTTGAAAATATCAAAAAGGCCTGCAGATACCCCATGAGTAACAGTAATTTTAAAAGAGAAAAAGCAAGGCCAGGCGCGGCGGCTCATGCCTGTAATCCCGGCAATTTGGGAGGCCGAGGCGGCTGGATCACTTGAGGTCAGGAGTTTGAGACCAGCCTAACCAACATGGTGAAACCCCGTCTCTACTAAAAATACAAAAATTAGCCGGCGTGGTGGCACATGCCTGTAGTCCCAGCTACTCGGGAGGCTGAGGCAGAAGACTCACTTGAATCCAGGAGGTTGCAGTGACCCGAGATTGTGCCATTGCACTCCAGCCTGGGCGACAGAGCAAGACTCTGTCTCAAAAAAAAAAAAAAAAAGGGAGAGAAAACATTTATGTTTATCTATAGTACAGAAAGTCAAGTTGTTGGAGAAAATGGGGCATAGTGTAAGTGTGTATAAGGTATTTATGAAACATAGATGGATTTTGTGTTTAGTCTTGGGTCCCATCCCCAATATATCTCATTTTATATATATGCAAATATTCCAAAATCTGAAACCCGAAACAGTCCCAGTCCCAAGCATTTCAGATAAGGGATACTCAACCTGTGTTAGTTTCCTAGGGCTGCCATAGCAAATGACCACAAACTTGGTAGCTTAAAACAACAGAACTGTATTCTTCCACAGTTCTGGAGACCAGAAGTCTGAAATAAAGTACCATGCTCCCTCTAAAGGCTCTCAGGGAGAATCCTTCCTTGCTTCTTTCAGCTTCTGGTGGCTTCTGATGTTCCTTGGCTTGTGGCAGCCTCATTCCAATCTCTCCCTCCATCTTCACATGGCTTCTTACTCATCTCTGTGTGTCCGAATTTCCCTCTCCTTTCTCTTATAAAGATACCAGTCATTGAATTTAAGGCCCATCCTATATCCAGCATGATTTCATCTCAAGATCCTTAACTACTTACGTCTTCAAAGCCCCAGTTTCCAAATGCGTTCACATTTTGAGATGCTGGATAGACACGAACTTTAGGGAACATATTCAACCCACTACAGGTCCTGAGCACTAAGCCTTGTGGGAGGACACTCTGGAAGCAGGTCCAGACTTCCCCGGTCTTGCCTCTTCAGAACCTGCGCACTCTCCACCTCCAAAAGGCCCTTCTATCAGTCACTTACACCTGAGTATAAAACTAAGCATGATAGCTGTGCAATTTTGACCAACCCTCCCATGTTCATGAGTGTAGGTGTTGGGGAACAGGCTGTGTCTCCACTTGGGGAACTCACAGCTTCAGGGGCAGGACAGGAAGATGGTGGTGGTCCTTGGCCAGATGCTTCCTATAATAATGAAAAGCCTGAATGGTTGGACAGCTGGCAGACTGTGGCCTGCATTTACTTGCCTGGGAAAAGCTGGAAGGAAAGAAGACATGAGGCTAAAATAGAGGCTCAGTGTCTTAGTTTCAATATCTGTAAAACAGTAACAATAAATACACATACCTCATAGGATTCGTGCAGGGATAAATTGCTATACAGTCCATACAAAGTACTTAGAGCAGAGTCTCAACATGACAATAAATTAATAGTTATTAGCAATTTCATTATTTTTATGATAAACGTTACTTGATATATATCCTAGATCTTTCCCTTGGAAATATTACCGTCATGCTGGGAAATAAGACAAGCACATGGAAAATAATGGGTAAATTATCTAGTCTCTAGATGCTAATTATGTAGAGATTCTTCTAGACTATGTGGCCAAGGCAGCAGAAATAATTGGGTTCCTAGGAGCTTCATAACTCACAAAAACCTTTCACTAACAGCCTCTCGTTTGAGTCCACAACAACCCTGGAAAGAAGAAAAGGCTTTTTCCCTATGTTAAAGATAAGGAAGTTTCTGGTAAAGATTAGACACCGGGGAACGTGAGTTACTCGGCTAAAACATGGCCAAGGTGGAATTTGAGCCTAGGTTTTGTGTTTTGCTTTTCTTTTTTTGTATTAGATTTGATGCTTTAGGAGAAAGTGATACATGGAATAGATACAAATAATATCAATATGTGTCCAGTACAGCCCACTCTCCTGACCTCAAGTCTACAGTAAGAAATACATTTACATTGGCCGGGCGCTGGGGCTCACGCCTATAATCCCAGCATTTTGGGAGGCCGAGGCGGGCGGATCACGAGGTCAGGAGATCGAGACCATCCTGGTTAACACGGTGAAAACCCGTCTCTACTAAAAATACAAAAAAAAAAAAAAAATTAAAAAAAAGTAGCCAGGCATGGGTGGCGGGCGCCTGTAGTCCCAGCTACTCGGGAGGCTGAGGCAGGAGAATGGCGTGAACCCGGGAGGCGGAGCTTGCAGTGAGCCAAGATCTGCCACTGCACTCCAGCCTGGGCGACAGAGTGAGACTCCGTCTCAACAACAAGAAAAAAGAAATACATTTACATTGCCTCCCAGTCACATTCACAGGAAAATAAAAATTGCAACAAGTTTCACAAAATGATAATTACTATTGGTGATATTTTCCCGTTTTATGATTCTTACAAAAGGGCAAAATGAAAGGAAAAGATGATCTCTACCAAGTAAATTAATTGCACTATGGATTACAACTTATAGTTGTGGTTTTTTGGGAGGTTTTTTTGTTTTTGTTTTTCTGGATTTTTTTTTTTTTTTTTTTTTTTTTTTTTTTTTGAGATGGAGTCTCGCTCTATCGCCCAGGCTGGAGTGCAGTGGCGCAATCTCAGCTCACTGCAAGCTCTGCCTTCTGGGTTCAAGGGATTCTCCTGCCTCAGCCTCCTGAGTATCTGGGACTACAGGCATGCGGCACCACCCCTGGCCAATTTTTGTATTTTTTGGTAGAGACAGGGTTTCATCATATTGGCCAGGCTGGTCTTGAACTCCTGACCTCAGGTAATCCACCCGCCTCAGCCTCCCAAAGTGCTGGGATTACAGGTGTGAGTGACCGCGCCCGGCCTACAACTTACAGTTTTTAAAACTGGCTAGAGAAAACTACAAAGAAGAAAGTTAAAATCATCTCACTGATTTAAAGAAAGTTAAAATCATCTCACTGATTTTAAAAGTCTTCATGTTTCTTCTGAATCTTTCTGTGTATGCACATACAGCCTGTCTGTCTTTGTGAGGAGGTGACCCCCATATCCAGAGCCAGAGTGGAAGGTATCCTGTGACAGATGGTGACTTGAAATGTAGGTTGAGGCCTGGCGCGGTCGCTCACGCCTGTAATCCCAGCACTTCGGGAGGCCGAGGGGGGCGGATCCCCTGAGGTCAGGAGTTTGAGACCAGTCTGGCCAACATGGTGAAACCCCGTCTCTACTAAAAATACAAAAAGTAGTCGGGCATGGTGGCAGGCACCTGTAATCCCAGCTACTCAGGAGGCTGAGGCAGGAGAATCACTTGAACCCGGGAGGCGGAGTTTGCAGTGAGCCAAGATCGTGCCATTGCACTCCAGCCTCGGGGACAAGAGCAAGACTTCGTCTCAAAAAAATAATAAATAAATAAATAAAAAATACATGCAGGTTGAGCTTTGTGGGAGCCAAGAGGGAAAGGCCAAGGCCAGCTGAGCAAATAAAGGAACCCTTCCAGGAGGAGGTGATATCTGAGCTTGGTTCTAAAGAATATTTAGGATTCGGGACATGTTTAGATTGGGGGTTTGGAGAAGATGATGTAATCCAGGCAAGAGGGGACAGCAAAAACAAAGACAGAAGAATTGTTCCTGGACCACATGCAGCATGGGCAAAGGTCAGTCATGAGAAGTAAGCTTTAGCAATGGGGGCCAGTTTAGGGGACCCCAAATGCCAAAGTAGGGAGGGAGTGCTCTATAAACAATGTTGGAGCAAAGGATATGAACAGGCAATACACAGGAGAAGAAATCCGAAAACTATCAAGCTCAGGTAGAGATGCTTGAACTCATGAATACCCGGAACAATGAAAACGAAAGCAATGCTGAGATACCACTTTACACCAGGCAGTCTGGCAAAACTTAGAAAGTTGGATGACCCGAGGACTGGGCCTGGATGTGGGCTCAGAGTCCAGCTACCTTGGTATTGGAAGTCCGGGACAAGCATTCTGGAGGGGAGCCTGACACTCCTTAGTTCAATTAGATGTAAATAAAACTCTGAACAGAACTGCTGGTTTCTGGCTTCTCAGCACTTCTGTTCCTGAGTTTTTATCCAAAAGAAATTCTTATATAGGTCCAAAAGGGAATATATACAACAATGTTCATTGCAGCATTTCTGGTGGTGATGGAGAATTGGCACAAGCCTAGTTGTCCATTGCTGGGAAAGTGGGGAGATAAAATGCGGTGTTGGAGCAACATGAAGTTTAATGCAGATTGACCTCATCTCTACAAAAAAATAAAATATTAGCCAGGCACAGTGGCATGCGCCTGTGGTCCCAATTGCTTGGGAGGCTGAAGTGGGAGGATCACTTGAGCCTGGGAGATTGAGGCTGCAGTGAGCTATGATCATGCCACTGCACTCCAGCCTAGGGGACAGAATGAGGCCCAGTCTCTAAAAAAAAAGAACATGGATGGCAAAGAGATGCAGGTTGAGTTCTATAAGGGTTGAAAATAAAAGGTAATTTTTTTGGGAAATCAATATGAAGTTTATTTAGGTTTCTTGTTTTTCCTGTTTTCCCTGTGAGCCAGATGACTGCCAATTATCCCAAAATTTATATTATCAAAAAATGGATACCTGCTTCCTAGCATTTGGAAAAATAAAATAATATGCCCCTGACATGAATTAATGAATTACCCCTCTAATTACAAAGTACAGAATTCTCTCTCTTTTTTTTTTTTTTTTTTTTTGAGACAGAGTCTCGCTCTGTCTCCCAGGCTGGAGTGCAGTGGGATGATCTCGGCTCACTGCAACCTCCGCCTCCCTGGTTCAAGGGATTCTCCTGCCTCAGCCTCCTGGGTAGCTGGGATTACAGGCACGTGCCACCACGCCCGGCTAATTTTTGTAGTTTTAGTAGAGACGGGGTTTCACCATGTTAGTCAAGCTGGTCTCGAACTCCTGACCTCGTGATCTGCGCGCCTCGGCCTTCCAAAGTGCTGGGATTACAAGCGTGAGCCACGATGCCCGGCCTGGTTTTTTTTTTTTTTTTTTTTTGTCGTTGTTGTTGTTTTGTATGTTTGTTTGTTTTTAACTTTTATTTTAGGTTCAGGGGTACATGGAAGAGTTCAATTTTTAAAATATAGATTAGGCCAGGCGCGGTGTCTCATGCCTGTAATCCCAGCACTTGGGAAGACCGAGGCCGGCAGATTACGAGGTCAGGAGATCAAGACCAGCCTGGCCAACATGGTGAAACCTCGTCTCTACTAAAAATACAAAAATTAGCCAGGCGTAGTGGCGCGCGCCTATAGTCCCAGCTACTCAGGAGGCTGAGGCAGGAGAATGAGGCAGGAGAATCGCTTGAACCCAGGAGACAGAGGTTGCAGTGAGCTGAGATCGCACCACTGCACTCCACCCTGGGGACAGAGCGAGAGTCCGTCTCAAAAAAGTAAAAAATAAATAAAATAAAATATAGATTAAAGGGGGGGGAAATAAGAAATAAAGTAAGATATAAAACACATTACCACTAACATGCACTTCGAGAAGCAGAAATTCGCTAGGACTGAGAAAATCAAAACCTGTTCTGCCATTCATTAGGCTGCACTAACAGAGATAAAGCTAGACTAGAAATGACAGAAAACATTCTTCTCCCAAGGGCATGCTACAGCTATAAAGGCTCATAACTCCCCTCTTTGAGTGACCACTCCTTTCTTATTCACTGAGGAACTTGTACTCAAAATCACAGACTATCAGAACTTTGGCTGCTTGAAATCCTATCAATCAGTAACAATGCAGTATCCCCCTCCTGTCTGGAGGACCTAAGCCACCTTGACACAAAAAACCAGCAGTAATTTTCAACCCAGGTGCAAAAACTTCAAGTAAGGGGTTTCTGAACACAGCATTCCACCTCTATCTCAACGTTGTAGTTTCTGAGGAAACAAGACCCTGGATCCACTGCAAAGTCCCATCCTATGCCTACCCTTTCACACAGCCCTGCTTTGCTTTGAGCCTATGAAAACTACACTCCACTCATCCCCCAAAATCATTGATAACTCTAATTTTCCTCGTTTGGTGAGCACCCTCCTCCCACCACCCTGCCACCAGTTTCTCTGTTGTGTGTTCTCCCTCATTGTAACAAGTCAACAGACTTGGCTTAGGTAGACTAAGTAGTGGTCTTGGGCTAATTGGGATAGGTTGAGTTTTTACTTAGAATTAACATAACTCATTTCAGCATTCCTACGTTGTCGGAGGTGGTTTTGTTTTGTTTTGTTTTTAAGACAGGGTCTCTGTTGCCCAGGCTGGAGTGCAGTGGTGTGATCATAACTCACTGCAGACTGCAGCCTCAATCTCCCAGGCTCAAGCGATCCTCCCACCTCAGCCTCCCAAGTAGCTCAGACTACAGGCGCACACCACCACGCCCAGCTAATTTTTATATTTTTTGTAGAGACAGGGTTTTGCCATGTTGTCAGGCTGGTCTCCAACTCCCAACAAACTTGCCCGCCTCGGGCTCCCAGATGCTGGAATTACAAGCATGGGCCACTACACCCCGGCTCTTGGTTGTTTCTAATCTTTTAAATTACTATCAATGTTGCATCAACATCTTACTTATTTGATATTAGTAGTGTAGTATAGTGACTAAAGGAAGACTCTGGAGTTGAAATCTGGTTTGGCACCGACTGTGTGACTATGAGAAAGTTTCTTAACCGCTCTGTGATTCCTCCATCTCCCAATCTGTAAATGGACATACTTACACTACCTACTTGACAGGGTTTTGTGAGGATAAAATGAGTTAATACATGTAAAGTGTTTAAAACATTCTTGGCACCAAGAAAAAGTATGTAAGTGTTAGAAAAAAATATGCATATATAGGCCGGGCGTGGTGGCTCACGCCTGTAATCCTAGCACTTTGTGAGGCCTAGGCGGGTGGATTGCCTGAGCTCAGGAGTTCGAGACCAGCCTGGGCAACACAGTGAAACCTTGTCTCTACTAAAATCCAAAAAATTAGCCGGGCATGGCAGTGTGCACTTGTAACACCCCAGCGTTGGCAACAGATATCTTCTTCTCCCTTGGCTGCTTCAGGGTAGAGAAGAAACATGCTTGCCCCTTTCTGACTCTGTCATAACTCTTGCAGAATGTATCACATTATTTTACATCTTTCTTTTTTTTTTTTTTTTTTTGGAGGCACAGTCTCGTACTGTCACCCAGGCTGGAGTGCCGTGGCGCGATCTGGGTTCACTTGAAGCTCCGCCTCCCAGGTTAATGCCATTCTCCTGCCTCAGCCTCCCGATTAGCTGGGACTACAGGCGCCCTCCACCACGCCTGGCTAATTTTTTTTAAAAAAATATTTTCAGTGGAGACGGGGTTTCACCGTGTTAGCCAGGATCGTCTCTATCTTCTGACCTCGTGATCTGCCCGCCTAGGCCTCCCAAAGAGCTGGGATTACAGGCGTGAGCCACCGCGCCCGGGCTATTTTACATCTCTTTACATCTTAGTACTTCGTCCTGGCTGTTTGTTCCTTACTGGCAGTGATTTTTTTGGGGGGGCGGGGTGCGGGGGACGGATTATCCCTGGGTGGTCCAGGCTGGAGTGCAGTGGAGCGATGTCAGCTTACTGCAACCTCTGCCTCCGGGGTTCAAATGATCTTGTCTCAGCCTCTGGAGTAGCTGGGATTATAGGCGTGGTCCACCCCCCCACCCCTGTTTAACATATAATCAAGAAATAACCATAAAAATGGGCAACCAGCAGCCCTCAGGGCTGTTCTCTCTATGGAGTAGCCATTCTTTTATTCCTCTACTTTCCTAGTAAACTTGTTTTCACTTTATGGACTGGCCCTGAATTCCTTCTTGCTGGATATCCAAGAACCCTCTCTAGGGGTCTGGATCGGGACCCCTTTCCTGTAACACATATTCCAGTGGAATACGTTACATAATAAAGGCAGAAATTGCAAAAAATTTGAGCTTACAGTACAGGTAGTAAGTATTAGGGACCAGTAGAAAGGAGAAAGGTGCCAAGTTTTATCAAATGAGCAAGATATTTAAGGAATGAGTTTATCTCATAATGGGGTAAGGAAAAAAGCTGAGACTCTCATGGCTTCTTCAACTTGGTCCAGGGCTGCAGACCATTCAAGAGAAATTCAAATCAGGCATAGGGCCTCATCAACCCACAAACCAATTCAGCTGGTCTCAGCTTATGATACTTATAACCCTGAGGATACTTGAAGCCAAAAATGAAACATAAATTATCTTATTGGAACATCTATGTTAACTTAGTCCGTTACTTTTGTATTAAAAGTAAACACATGTACATACAAAACATTATGTGCGTAATAATTCATTTATTAATATTTTCTTTTGCCTTCTTATTTCTTGTTAGGTAAATTTTAATCTTCTCTTGTCTATTCCCCCGTGCTACCTAATGAAATTTCTGTTCTCAGTATTCAAGCTGCACAGCCTTATAATTTCTGCTGAAGGACACTTCAAAAATTTTAGGAGGAATATTCCGTCTTTGTTACAACTGAAGAAAAGCAGAGCTTCTTTTGCACCATAAAGTTGCTTCTGATATAGTGGTGGATTGAGACCTTTCACAGAAATGTCACTCTAGTGTCCAATGTGGGGACTAGGTGAAATTGAACTAACAATTGATCTGAATTCTGTTATTAAAGATGACTTTTAAGGCAACTATACATCTGATTGTTTTATTCTGAGAAATGATACCTATAGCCATTAAAGTCTGATTGAATGCCATTTTCTTATTTAAATGAACACATCCTACATTATGGTCAAGACTGCATACATCATAGAGAAAGTATATTGCAAAGAAATGTGATGCTTGGGTGGGCTGCTTTGGGCTATCATCCAGATTCCATGGGGTAGTTTTCCCTTCTAATGGGAATAGTTGGGTGTAGATGTTTGAGAAATACTAGATGATGTGATTGCTTGATGGGAAAACGCTTTTGTGCTTTAAACTGTGTTGGCTGGGTGCGTGGGGCTCATGCCTGCAACCCAAGCACTTTGGGAGGCCGAGGAGGGTGGATCACCTGAGGTCAGGAGTTCGAGACCAGCCTGACCAATATGGTGAAACCGTGTCTCTACTAAAAATACAAATAAATAAATAAATTAGCTGGGGGTGGTGGCTTGCGCCTATAGTCCCAGCTGCTCAGGAGGCTGAGACAGGAGAATTGCTTGAACACAGGAGGCAGAGGCTGCAGTGAGCAGAGATCCTACCACTGCACTCCAGCCTGGGTGACAGAGTGAGACTCCATCTCAAATGAAAAAAAAAAAAAAAAGGTATCCTCTAAGCCTAATGAAATAGAAAGTTTCATCATTACAGTTTCATTCTTTTGCTTTAGAATATTACACAGGCTTTGTTACTTACCCAGGACAAGCCATAATTTCTCTGAGACTCAGTTTTCTTATCTGTAAAGTGAGAAGAGTAACATCTATTTCACAGAGTAGGGATTAAATGATAAAGTGTATGTAGAAGAACTTTAAACACTGAGTAGTGCCTGCTGTCTGTAAGGCATTATTACAAAACTACCACAGAGAGGGATAACATTTGTTCACATCAGTTACACTTTTGTACATTTTAGATCTCTCGAGAGGAGGATGCTTCTGCCCATGAGAGACTCTTGAAGATATTAATTAAGCTCACAGATTTCTACTTTGTGTTTAGTGTTCAGGAAGTCCCCTTGAAATCACTTTTACTTTACTTTGACTTCAGTAGGAAGATAGTTCATAATGACACCATCAAAGTAAGTTTTAAGCGTTTCGGGCCTGCTTTTCTCAGGTTTGAGTTTTTATAGTTTGTAATGATTTTTTTAGTAAAATAAGGATATGATTAAAAGTTTTATATTAACTACTACAACTTTTAAGTATCAGTTGCTTCTACATAACCACTATGATATTTACTGTTCTGAACAATACATACTTCAAAGCACATGAAATTGAAAAAGCAAAGCATCTTTACTCTCTTCATAGAGAACAGAAAAAAAACTAAACTTTTAAGCATTATAAAATACTTTATTGAATAAAATGTTAGCAAGTCAGCAATTGATGAATAATTTGCTTTGAAACTTGAACTTGTAATCTGGCTAATAAGCACTAATTTACAAACTATTCTACATTGTAAAGGAGAAATGAATTTCTGGTGTTGTCCTTCTTTGATTTAGAAGCTTAACATCTGCAGGACCTAATTGGCCATTGATGTGAGGTTGAGGAAGAAGGAACCACATCGCAGGGAGAAAAGACTAAAGGAAGGCAGAGGCTCTAATATCAGGTCAATATAGGTCAGCACACTACCCACATGAAATGGCTTTGGCTGGGTTCCAAGGTCAAGTAAATAAGATCAATTTTTTCATTCCTTCAATTACATATTTTTTTGCTAAGCTTCGGTCATTCATGGTATACAATGCATCTAACTTGCTGAGCAAAATGCCAGACATGAAATAAATGTTAGCTATGGTAGAAGAGCTACAGTAACAGGTAACCTGAAACAGGCTGATAGCTCATAGAAGGGCATGCTTGAATTCGGGGAAAAAAAAAATCTCTGTTAAAATGGGATGCAAAACACTTTATACATTGCTTTTACAAAAGTTAGACTAATTTAAAGGAAAGTCTTCAAAAACAATCCGTGATCGATAAAATTACAGAAAAAAATCAGGAAAGGGGGAAATAATAAGGGAAGAAAGATTAGCAGAACAATCTTCCGCCCCAGTAAAGAGGATTGAATTTTAACCAATGAGATCACAAGTTTGAAAATTTCCTTTTCAGGCCCAATCAAGAGGAGACTATGTCTATAAATATGACTGCCTAGACCCTCTCCTATCAATGAGACAGCATGGCCCGTACTAAGCAGACTGCCCGCAAGTCGACCGGCGGCAAGGCCCCGAGGAAGCAGCTGGCTACCAAAGCGGCCCGCAAGAGCGCGCCGGCCACGGGCGGGGTGAAGAAGCCGCACCGCTACCGGCCCGGCACCGTGGCTCTGCGGGAGATCCGGCGCTACCAGAAGTCTACGGAGCTGCTGATCCGCAAGCTGCCCTTCCAGCGGCTGGTACGCGAGATCGCGCAGGACTTTAAGACGGACCTGCGCTTCCAGAGCTCGGCCGTGATGGCGCTGCAGGAGGCCAGCGAGGCCTACCTGGTGGGGCTGTTCGAAGACACGAACCTGTGCGCCATCCATGCCAAGCGCGTGACCATCATGCCCAAGGACATCCAGTTGGCCCGCCGCATCCGCGGGGAGCGGGCCTAAGGCATATTTTTAAGTGGTCGATCTAAAGGCTCTTTTCAGAGCCACTGCCGTTTTCATCAAGAGCAGCTGTACCGGCTCTCCATCTGATGTGCGTCTGCCTTGCGCAGCGGTCAGGGGCCAGGGGCACTCGTGGTGGGTGACGTTACAGAACCCAAAGCCCAGCCGTGAGTTGGCCGGCAGTAGAGAAAGCCGCAGAGGCATGGTCCTTGTGGTTCCGGCCGAGCGTTTTCACGCTGGTTTAAGGCTAGAGGTCCGGCTCCCAATTCTGTGGGTAAAGTTTTGCATGGGGGCAAGAGACTATGGGGAGTTTCTAGATGTGGAAGATCCTGAGTGTAAGGGTGGGGCGAGTCCCTTAAAAATTATAAACCCGTTTCCTGGTTTATTTAGGAACTATAAGCTTAATTAAAGCTCAGCATCTTCCTCATTGCATACTACAGGCGGTGTCCAAGCCAGAATAGTAATTTAAGCGGGCGGGAGTAAATATCTGGCGATTTTTAAAAATGGGTGAGGTAGTATTTCAAGGAAGAGAAAAAAATTTCCACAAAGTATAGAATAAAAATGCAAAAACGAGGCAAGAGAGTTAACTTGTCTAGCTGGCGTTAAGATTTCTTCCGTATGCAAGTCTAATGGAAAGTGAAAACCAAGAAAAAACCCCAAGCCGTAGAAACTATCGCTTCACCTAGCTTAAAACTGGTTAGTGTGAAATGGACCATTCTGATAGGATAACAAGACTTTTGTTACAGTGACCATTAAGGAAGCAAGACTAGAATCTATTATTTACATAGACTCCACCCCCTCTGACGACACCGTTGTAAGTTAACCAATGAAAGCGCAGCACTTTGCGAGTCTTCATTTGCATACGGGCTCTATAAGTAGCGCATAACCAGCCCGTTTTGCGGTAGTTCGGATTACTTCTTTAAGTCTCTTTTCTCTTTTTTCGCGCAAAAATGCCGGATCCAGCGAAATCCGCTCCTGCTCCCAAGAAGGGCTCCAAAAAGGCTGTTACGAAAGTGCAGAAGAAGGACGGCAAGAAGCGCAAGCGCAGCCGCAAGGAGAGCTACTCCGTTTACGTGTACAAGGTGCTGAAGCAGGTCCACCCCGACACCGGCATCTCGTCCAAGGCCATGGGCATCATGAACTCCTTCGTCAACGACATCTTCGAGCGCATCGCGGGAGAGGCGTCCCGCCTGGCGCACTACAACAAGCGCTCCACCATCACATCCCGCGAGATCCAGACGGCCGTGCGCCTGCTGCTGCCCGGCGAGCTGGCCAAGCACGCCGTGTCCGAGGGCACCAAGGCGGTCACCAAGTACACCAGCTCGAAGTAAGAGTGTGCAAGGGACGCAATAGATCAACCACCTAACCCCAAAGGCTCTTTTCAGAGCCACTTCAGTAATCGAGAAAGCAGCTGTAAACACTTGTCAGAGCGTTTGATAG
Organism: Homo sapiens; assembly: GCF_000001405.40. NCBI lineage: Eukaryota > Metazoa > Chordata > Mammalia > Primates > Hominidae > Homo > Homo sapiens. The sequence goes on along the minus strand of NC_000001.11, from coordinate 149,811,833 downwards.
CTTTTGGTCAGGTAGGGAGTGTTACCATGGTCACGGATGCATTCGGGTTTAGGACTAAGGAGTTTCCTGTAGTCCTGTAATGAGTTGGCCCTCAGTCATCCCCGTCCAGTCTTACTGAGTTGCTTGTTATCTGTGCTACGAGATTCGAAAGGTTTGACTCGTTCTGGGATATTTGGGAGGGATGGAGGGAAGGAGGCGGGGGGTGGTTCTACACCCCTTCGGCCTTTAACCTGTATCTTTAAAGTCGTTTTCCTTTTTGTTTCTGAAAGTAATGAACGAGATGAGATTTCCCATACAGATGAGAAACCCTCGGTCCGACCTCTTACTATTTCTTAGTGTTTTAATCTGTTTTCCTTACCATATACCTACAGGCGTCTGTCACAAACTTTGTCTAATATAGCCATGTGCTTTCGTCCCTTAGCCTTTTTGCAAGTCCTGACTTAGCCATCCTCCCCTAACTTCCATTCCAGTGACTTCAAACAGGGAGATATATTGCCACCACCCCACCCCCTGTGGAGTATTTGGCAATATCTGTAGATGTTTTGGGTTGTCAGGTGTGTGTGTGTTGCGGGGGAGGTGCTAGAAGTATCCAATGGGCAGAGGCCAGGAGTGCTAAGCATAAGGCACAGGACAGTCCTCTGGGGGGACAAAGAGCTACCTGGCCTGTAATGTCGATCTTTGGTGATTGAGAGACCCCAGCGCCCAAAGACATCCCTAACCTTCAGGATTTAATCCTCTTCAGTCAAACGTTTCCTTAACCCTATCAGCCCATGTTTTTCTTTTCTTGGTGAAAGCTGAGCACTTCATAGGCTGTTTACAGGTCCTTCTCCACAGGAAAATACTTCCTCCAGGACAAGAACCCTGTCTTGGTTCCAAACTTTCCCAATTATAAGAGTCACCTTTGCGCTTGTTAAACCTGCTTCCAGGTGCTTCTCCTGAGGTTTCCTGATTCAGCTAGACTGGAGGTGGGACCTGACGAGGTGGTTGGTTTTTAGTGTTCTCAGGAGTGTGGATGTTTTAATAGGTGTTGGGTCCTCATGTTAATCGACCTGTGGGTGTGTCACAGTCTTTGTGTCACAGATGTCCTGAGAAAGGAAACAATTTGAGGATGAGTGGAGGGGAATTTGTGGTGTAGAGAAGGCCACAGTTAATATGTGGGGTGAATTTCTGAAGACCTCTCAGTTCAAAACTTGAATAACTCAAGACTCATCCTGACAAAAGCCAGTGGATGTTTCTTTTGCCAAATAAAATATACCCTTGGTGCAACTGGAAAATCTTAGCTTATAATTAACTTGACAGCCTTTGAAATTAAGCCATTCTTGATAAATCTTGGGGGAATTAACAACTTTGTGCTTAAAATGAATTTTACTAATTTTTATGATGTTGAAATTCAAATTTACACCCAATTAAAAGATATAAAATGCGGTATACATGATTTTTTTTTTCCACTAGAAAATAAAGATTCCCAGTTTAGTCATCTTTTTCTGATCACCAGACAAGAGGTCAGGGAAAGATAACTGAGAATCCAAAATTTCCGTTGAAAGTAAAGAAATCATATATAGCACATTCTCTGGTAGGAAAGGTTACTCAGTAAGTGAGACGGCCGAGGTGGTCTATTTTCTATACAGTTGGGCCATAAGAGAATTTATCCAATTTCCTCCTAGCTTAGGGTCCTGAAGTCAGGAGTTCCTTTTTTCTTAAGGATTAGGGACCATGTTTTTCAGGGCCTTTTGAAGTTGTTAAAGCATTGTCAACTGGCTCAACTACACAAATGCCATCATTTATTATCCACTGACCAAAAGATTAACTTCCAAATCCTCATCCTGACACTAAAGGCCACCTATTATCTAGCCAAAACTTACCTTCTTCACTTGTTCTCCCCAGTCCTCCAGCTTAGCCTAAATGTTCTACTGTCATGTAAAGCATTTTAACTTTGTCTTCTGTGCTTTTGTTACATTGTTCTGAGTTTTAGTACTCAGTCCTCTGGACTACTTGAAGCTTTTTATCAGTCTGTCAGTTCTTTTAAACTCTTGCTCAAATCTCACTCTGAGAAGCTTTTTCATCTCATTGTAGTTCACAGGGAAGTCTTTCTCTTAAGGCCTCATTCCTTGCATAACGAATAATTGTGTAGCTTTTTAAACTGTAGGCTTATTCCTCAATTTCTTTTTCTTGTTTTTACATTTTCTTGTCTGTCTTCTGCTAGAGACATATGCTTCTCGGTATTTATTCCACAAAGGCTATCCCAATGCCTACTATAAAATAGCTTCTCAATGAAAGTTTGTTGACTGGTTGCCAGTCAACAGAACACTAGAAAATTGATCTGAGAGTGGTGGGTTCTAGTAAATACTCTAGTAAATATTTTTCTCTACTTTTTTTCTAACTTTTTTTCTTACTCCTTTACTATGGATACTCTTTTAATTATTGCCCTTCATAATTATTGGCCCAGTTGAAACAACTGTTATAGATTCAAAAATCCTCAGAGTGGTAAAGTACTACACTTGGCATCTTCCCTTGAGCCGATGTATCTATGTAGCTAAAATGATGAGATTAGAGTGGAGCTTTCTCACCCTGGTTTGAGGTGCTGCAGAAATGGTCTGCTTTTCTAGTGCCTTGAAAAAGGATGAGAAGAGAGGTGCATTCCAGAAGACAAAAGGTGTGTAGTATCAGGATAAGGGGCTTTAAATATCAGATCCAGAGAACACTGCACATGTAGAAATGGGCTTGGCCTGGGTCAGGGCATTGAGATTGGTTACATAATCTTTTCAAGGATTGGTGAATGAGTTGGAGTATGTGTAGAAACCTACAAAGATGACAGTTTAATCTCATGTCATAATTTTTAGACAAATAATGTATTTTAAAACTGGGTGCAGTTCCTAAAGCTGTTCTAAAAGTCAATGCAACTGAATTTGGAATGTAAGCATAGGACAACAGATGGGAAATAAGTACATGACCTCTGTGGGATAAAGTGAGAGTTACCAAAGAATGTCAGTGTTTAACTAGGAACAAGCTTGTTTTGGAGAATTACTAGATATTATGGAAAATTTTTTTCTTTTCTACATTTGATTAACTATAGCTGAACTATAGCAGATCATATGACTTGGCAAAAATAGAAAACTTGATAAAAATCTTCTAGGCCCCACAATGTCAACATGAACAAACTTTTGAAAAGTAAAAGTAGACCGTGTTTTCTCAGTATGTATTATCAAATATATGTTGAACATAAAATTTTTGCCCCTCAGCCAGGTTGTAATATTTTCCTTTAGTTTATCTCTTTAATAATTTTTTATGTTAATCCATTTTATTTTGAAAAAATAATGAGCTAGAGGATACAAAGATGTAAATGAATCTAAAAGAGAGAATTAAACTGGCATAAAGATAAATATAATTCAAGCAAGATATGTTATTCCCAAAAGAAGAGAAAGAAGGAAATGTTATGTGAATGGAGAGTGAAAGGTTGCCTCTGGTTGGAGAGTTCAGGAAAATTCTGTGAGAACTTACATGGTGCCAGCTACTGTGCTAAGTGATGGAGACACAAAGGTATCCATTCCTCAAGTCCATAAGGTTCAACTGGAGTTTTCTGTGTGACGAGTATATCATGTATCCTCTGAAATTATTTTTTAAGTTTTAGTTTTACCCAGTTTTTACTGTAACCTCTTTCAACTTTTTAATTGTCTGATTTGGGTAGATGGAATTCTCATTCCATTTTTATTCTGTGATTAGAGGTTATTAATTCCTCACCCCTCATCCAGGTTGTAACATTTCCATTTACTTTAAAATATTGCTTAAGAAAATTTGTATTTTACTTCAATTGAGATTTTATTTTTTAATATTATTATATTGAACAGCTTTGGCTATCCCACCCTCCTACCTGCAGAGTGCAAAACAATTTATGCACATCATACTCAGTTTACAGCATCAGAACACTCTTGGAGCATTGCTCACCATGGTCCTAGCTTGATTTTCTTGGGGTGTGATTATTCTTTCTTTTCTCTCTTTCTCTCTCTCTCTCTCTTTCTTTCTTCTTTCTTTCGAGATGGAATCTTGCTCTGTCACCTAGGCTGGAGTGCAGTGGCACAATCTCGGCTCACTGCATCCTTTGCCTCTCGGGTTCAAGCGATTCTCCTGCCTCAGCCCCCCGAGTAGCTGGGATTACAGATGCCAGCCATCATGCCCAGCTAATTTTGTATTTTTGTAGAAATGGGGTTTCACCATGTTGGCCAGGCTGGTCTCGAACTCCCAACCTCAGGTGATCTGCCTGCCTCGGCCTCCCAAAGTGCTGGGATTACAGGTGTGTACCACCATGCCCGCCCCCCCCCCCCCCCGCCATGCCTTTTTCTTTTCCCAGACAGGGTCTTGCTCTGTCACCCAGTCTGGAGTGCAGTGGCATGATTACAGTTCATTGCAGCCTTGACCTCCCAGGCTCAAGTGATCATCCCACCTCAGCTTCCTGAGTAGCTGGGACTACAGGTGCATGCCACATGCTTGGCTAATTTTTAGAGTTTTTGTTTTTGTAGAGATGGGGTCTCACTATGTTGCTCAGGTTGGTCTTGAACTCCTGGATTCAAGTGATCCACCTGCCTTGGCTTCCCAAAGTGCTGGGATTATAGATTGGTGTGACTATTAGGCTGGTGAGTGAATAAGCTTTTTCTTATTTTCCAAACGCAATTTATCAGACAATCCTCTTGGCTCAAAATATGTCCAGCATCCAACCACATCTCACCACCTCCACCACTGTTTCCCTGCTCCAAGCTTCCACCTCTCTTGGATATTTGCAATGGCATTTTAAATGGCCTCCTTGATTCTGCTCTCTCCTTCCTATATTTCCCACAAAGCAGCTAGAGTACACTTTTTGAAACATAAGTCAGATCATATCATTCCCATACTCCTCCTCAACAGAAAACCCTCCAATGGCTTCAGCATCAAGGCCCACATTCACTTCTCTGACCCTCTCTCTTACCTGTTTTGCTCCATTTCATCATAATTTTCTCCTTGTACTTCCTTGAATACATCAAGGCCCTTCTATCTCAGGATGTTTGCACTTGCTATTTCCTTTTCTCAAAGGCTCATCCCTAGATACTTGCATGACTGGCTTCCTAATTTCTTGTAAGCTTTTGCTCAGAAGTTACTTTACCAACTGTCATTGAGGTCTTCCCTGAACATCTTAGGTAAGATAACAAGCTCCCCTCCTTTTCTTTCCTCACTTCTTGGTATTCCTTATCTCATAACTTTTTTTTTTTTTGAGACGGAGTCTCGCGTCTCGCTCTGTTGTCCAGGCTGGAGTGCAGTGGTGCAATCTCGGCTCACTGCAACCTCCACCTCCTGGGTTCAAGCGATTCTCCTGCTTCAGCCTCCCGAGTAGCTGGGACTACAGGCAAGTGCCACCATACCCAGCTAATTTTTTGTATTTTTAGTAGAGACGGGGTTTCACTGTGTTAGGATGGTCTCGATCTCCTGACCTTGTGATCCACCCACCTCGGCCTCCCAAAGTGCTGGGATTATAGGTGTGAGCCAGTGCGCCCGGCCTCTCATAACTTTCTTAATTATTCTCCATATACCATCTGAATACTAATGTATTTATTTGTTTATTTCTGAATGAGACTGATATCCATAAAAATGATCTTTCCTTGTATACTCTAACTCCCTGCTTTCTGGGCGCTTGGCTTCTCAATTAAAGGCTAATTTACCAGCTTCTCTTGCATCTGGGTTTGTCCAAAGTTTGGGGCCAATGAGATGTGAATGGAAGTTGCATGTATTATTTCTAGTTTGTGCCCTAAAAAAGAATATGTATGTGTTGCCCTTGCCCTCTTACCCTCTCCACTGGCTGGGGTGCAGATGTGATGGCAGGAATTGGGGCAACTACTTTGGACCCAGAGGCAGAAGCCCTGTGATGAGGATGGCAGAACTGCTCTGTTAGCCCTGGACTGTTACATGAAAGATAAATAAACTTGTATCTTATTCAAGCCACTGTTTTTAAAGACTTATTTGTTGTATTACTCAGATATAGTCTAAGTTATTATATCATTTGTCTCCCCTCCTACCTCCTCAGAATAAGTCCTATGAAGGTAGGTGCTTTGTTTCATACACCGCTCTATCCCTATTATGTAGAACTATATCTGGAATACATTAGGCACTCAATATCTATGGGATGAATGATGGATTCAAGAAACAGAAGTAACTGAGTACATGGGAAATGGGATTGTGTTTATGACAGGTGGAGCTCCAAGAGTTGAATTTAACAAGAAATGATTGAGTTTGAAATCTTTTGCCCTCTAAATTAGGGACAGCACAACACAGAATGAGGATTTGGGTGAAGTTGCAACCACCGAGGTCCACATACCAGTTTAGAAGCCTCAGAGTATAAGTCATTGGGTATTTAAGGACCTTACCTAAGCTAACTCAGAAGCATTATGAAGGGCAGTATTGACATTAACTGCCAGGAATCTCCTAAAAGTCAAGGGATTATACATGAGTCATAGAAGGATACTTGAAGATGGACAATTATAGTCCCATCACTTTATGGAACACTATAAGACCCAAATAAGAGAAATCCCAGTGGTCCACGAACTTAGCTCTGGTAAGTCCCCGATAATTATTTAAATTATTTCAGGTTCAATATCACTGATTGCTGTCACCATTTTCAAGGCTAATATCTAATCTGCTTTGGTTCTGCTAAGATCTCCCTGTTTTTTTGTCGTTGTTTTTTTCCTCTAGAAAAAACAGAAAAGAGAACTATCTCCAGATGGATACAGAAGAGGTGGTAAAAAGAATACACATAACGTGGCTCTCACATGATCACATATCATGCTGAAGGCTCTCAGAGGCAACTGAGGTTGGAGATCATTTTTAGGGTCTTAAGTTCAGAGCTGTATCTGTAATATCAACAACAGATATTCTGGCTCTTACCACCTTGCCCATTTCTCCTCTTAGCACTGTAAGAGTAGTTCTTGCTGAGAAGGCACTAGCCTGTAGTGGCGATGAACATCAGCTTTGAGTATAGCTTCCCCACGTAAGGACTGTATGACCTTGGAAAACTTTCTTTACTTGTTGTGATAAATAAACTTCCTTACAGCAAATTGATCCTCAAGTTATTCCCCTGTAAAGTGGAAAACATAATGGAAACTACCTTCTAGGCTTGATATGAAGATTAAATGAGGTAATGTACCCAAAGCACTTAGTACAGTGGCTGGAACATGGTAAATATTTGATCAGTGTTGTTCTTATTATTGTTATGGTTAGGAAGGCGCTAGCAAGAGCACCATTGTACTTCCAGAGCACATTCCATTTTCCAGCAAGTGGTGCTTTAATAGATTTCTAGTGACTTGAGAGTGACTTCCCTAAGCATCTTGCATTAAGGAAATAAGACCTTCTGTATTCTAAAAACACCATCCAATAAGGGATTTTCACAATTTACTTGTAGGACCTTTGTTATGTAGAACCTTCAGTGTCTGCTATGTGGCCCATTAGGAAAATAATAAATTAGGAAATGAGACTTTATAGTGTCTGTTACTAGTGCTCTATAAAGGCCGATATAACATTTGGCAAGTACCTTCTTTTTCTATCAGATGATGCTTTTAATACTTCATGTCAATACTTTCAGAAAAAAGTGAAATCATTTCATTAAACACTTCTTTCCTATTTCTGATTTTTGAGTTGAAAGCTCTTAATTTTGAGGATTTAACATAAGAACAAGTCAAGGGAATAGAAATTATCTAGAAAACTATTAGCTAGCATAGAGAAAAACAAGACTTACAGCCAAAAGAAGAATGTGCAAATAATTTGGGAAATGTTTAAATAGAAATTTAAAAATGGGGTTGGTGGAGTCATGTTGATGATTTTGGATTTAATCATTTCTGCTTATTAAATTGTTTCCAGCATTTTCTAGCTGAAGTTACTGTTGTTGTCAACTACTCAGCATCCAAAATTTTCACAAGAAAACAAGGTTTTTTCTCTTCAAATTACAGTCCAAAGAGTGGCAAACAAGAAAGATGACAGAGTCCGAAGACCTTAAGATTTCTTTTCTTTGGTCAAGAACTCATTATACAATGGATGATACATCTTAGGTGGTCCTACTAAAAAGAGACACAAGAATCTAGAGACTATCTCACTGTCAACCAATCCAAGGAACTTTGCTTTAGATGGCCAAAGCCAGAAACAGCAAAGTAGAAGAACCACTAGAGCTTTAAGCAGTTCCTTAGTATTTTTCCTTGGTTTATCCAAGCCTGGATACTGGTCCACTTTCCCAAAGTTGGTAAAGAGCTAATACAGCTTGGGATTGATTGGATATTGAGACAGAAAGAGAGGGGGAGAGAGAGATATCTAGGTACTGGAGCAGCACTAGGCACTCAGAAGAAGGAACACTTGGAGCAAAAAATGAAGGATATAGATTAGTGACGTGAGGTCAGGAGCAAATGATCTCAGTTGCTTTACATGATCAAAGGACAATAACTGCAAATTACCAGAGGGTAGGTGAAGCTCCATATCACTTTTTAATATTAGTGTTTTAAACACCTAGGAATAGAATATACCTAAAGATAATAGCTTGATTTCCCCACACCCACCTTTGCAATGTTTTGATTTTGCACAAGTCTTGGTTTCTAGTTTGTGGGATTATCATTTTTCATTGCATTGAAGGAAAATTCTTTAGGCCAGGAGGGAGTCTAAGACTTCAGACACAGCACAGATACGATCCTGGGCAAGGGTCATTCAGTGTTCTTAAGAAAATTCTAAATCCTAGGGTGTGATGGTTAATATTAGGTGTCAACTTGATAGGATTAAAGGATGCCTAGATAGCTAAGTATTGTTTCTGGGTGTGTCTGTGAGGGTGTTACCAGAGGAGATTAACATTTGAGTCAGTGGACTAGGAGAGGAAGACTCACCCTCAATGTGGGTTGGCACCATCCAGTCGGCTGCCAGGGTAGCTACAACAAAGCAGGAGAGAGAAGGTGGGCTAAGCTGGCTTGCAGAGTTCTGGCTTTCATCCCTCTCCTGTGCTGGATGCCTCCATCCATTCCTCCTGCCTTTGGACATCAGACTCCAGGTTCTTTGGCCTTTGGACTCTTGGACTTAACACCAGTGGCTTGCCTGGGGCTTTTGGGCCTTAGGCCACAGACTGAAGGCTGCACTGTGGGCTTCCCTACTCTTGAGGCTTTTGGACTCAGACTGAACCACTACTGGCTTCTTTCTTCCTCAGCTTGCAGACGGCCCACTGTAGGACTTTGCCTTGTAATCATGTGAGCCAATTCTCCTTCATAAACTCCTTTTAATATATCTGTATCTAATCTATTATCATCTATCTATATCTATAGATATATGTCTCCCCTATTAGTTTTGTCCCTCTGGAGAACTCTAATACAAAGGGTTAAGTCTTAAACTACTTATAATTTCTCTCTGGAACTGTATTTCATCTAGTTTGGAATGTTTACTTACTTAAGACCCATATTATATGTAGAATAATGAGCAGGAGAAAGGTATGCTGATTAACTTGTATATATATTAGCCATAGGATTAGTTCCAGCAAAGGAACATACTTGCTTTTTTTGGTTTCTTCAATCTTCTCCCTGTCACATTATGAAAATTTGATGATTTTACTTATTTAAGTGTCTTTGTAGGAGATTTTTCATGGATCTTTTTAAGTGTTTGACCTCTGATTTTCATAATTTTTTTCACATTAGTATCAAGGTATTAGGTAATGGAAATTATTCTTAAATAACTCCCGCCTGCCCCCCTGAAACAGCAAGCATCTATAGAGTAGAAGACAGTTTTCAGATTAGCAGGAGAGTTAACCAAGTAAAACTTGAATTTTGATCCTTAGCCTGGAGAAAAAGGTAAGAAACTTTTTCATTTGTCTAAGAGAAGTTTATTTCATGGTGTTTATGATTGTGGAGATGTGTTTGTGGGGGAAAGTGGCATATTAAATTTTTCTAGACTAGTATGTGCAAATAATTTATAGTGGGGAGGGGGGAATTTGAGTCTCAAAGATAGAAGCGTAATGAAACAGAACTGTGACTGTTCTTCCTGGCATGAGGAAATAACCTATGAATTACAAGCATGCTTGAGTAATGTAGATTGAGTTGATGGGTAGAAATGTGGCCCCTTACAGCACAGAGATGACAAAGTAAATACATTTGGCCCTCCTGGCAGGGTAGAAGTATAATGTGTTCCCAAAATCACCCGGATATGCCATCGTATAGTGTATTAGTAAAGAGTTCAGGCTTCTGAGACGGACCACCTGGAGTGTAACTTGGCTCTGCTCTTTAGGATGTTTTTAATCTGTGTTTTCTCATCTTAAAACTGGGACTATAGTAATGCTTACTTACTTCATAATGTTTTTATGAAGGATAATTGCTTAATGTTTCCTACTAATAAACAATTCAATAAATACTAGTTGGTGATCGTAGGGAAGTCCTGTTAAGTGCTCTGCAAGTTTCCCATCTCTAATGCACAGGTGAAAAATAGCTACTGATTCAAGATTGTGTCCTGAAGATATGTTGCTTTCTTCTCATATTCCACCCCAAATTCCTAGAAATGATAAAAAATTGACAAAGATGGCAGATGGGGTAACAGTGAAGAGTGCCAAGGAGGACTTCTGCAGAAGACAGGAGTGGACCAAAAAATGATCCACATGTTTTGGAACCAGGAGACAAAAGTTGGTCTTGGGGCAACTGACAGGATGACAGTTCAGGTACCACAGTAGGAATATCCACCCATCTCCTTACCTTGGTGACTGAAGTCTTTTTATTTATTTTCTAGAGACCGGGTCTCACTCTATTACCCATGCTGGAGTGCAGTGGCACGATCTCAACTCACTGCAGCCCCAACCTCCTGGGCTCAAGCTCTCCTCCCACCTCAGCCTCCCTAGTAGTTGGGACCACAGGCATGTACCACCACAACCAGCTAATTTTTGTATTTTTTATAGAGATGGGGTTTCACCATTTTGCCCAGGCTGGTCTCAAACTCCTGGGCTCAAGGGATCCACCGACCTTGGCCTCCCAAAGTTCTGGGTTTACAGGTGTGAACCACCATGTCTGGCTGGTGACTGACATCTTTGACCCCAGCAGTGAGTGCGGTCATTTGGTTCAAGGAGGCAGGAAAATGTGCCAAGTAACTGGGCGCTCCCACATCTTGGAAATTTAAAATTTGATTATTGACATAAAAATTCAACAAGGGATAAATCCAGAACAGGATAGATAAAGCCAAGAGAAAATAAATAAGCTGAAAGATTGTGCTATTATGAAATATATATTTGGTCTTCAACCCCATTTCCTGACATACAACTCCTAAAATCCTTAGAAACACCAAAGTGTGATGTCGTTTTGTTTATTAATGAGTTGACTGATGTCTGGCAGCCCCTAGGTAGCTTCAGGATGGGGGCTGGTGACCAGAAAGAACAAGGGGAGGATTAGAGAGTTGGGACTTTCAGCCCACCTCCAACTTCCGGGGAGGGGAGAGGGGCTGAAGGTTAAGCCGATCACCAATGGCCAATGGTTTAATCAGTGATTCCTATGCAATGGAGCCTCCATACAAAGACCCAAAAGGACAGGGCTTGGAGAGCTTCTGGATAGCTGAACATGTAGAGGTTCCTGAAGGGCGGCGCACCCAGTGGAGGTGCATGGAAGCTCCATGCTCCTTCCCCCATACTTTACCTTATGCATCTTTTCATCTGTATTTTTTGTTATAAACCAGTAAACCCAAGTGTTTCTCTGAGTTTCATGAACTGCTCTAGCAAATTAATACAATGCAAAGGAGGAAGCCATGGGAACCCCAGCTTGGAAATGGTTGGTCAGAAGTTCTGGAGGCCCAGACTTGGAACTGGCATTTGAAGTGGGGGCAGTCTGGTAGACTCAGTCCTCAACCTGTGGGATCTCCTGATAAATAGTGTAAAAATTGAATTGGAGTACACTCAGCTGGTGTCCACTGCAGAACTGATTGCTTGCTTGCTGTATGGAGAACCCCCCTCCGCCGTCAGTCTTCTGTGTTGATTGTTGTAGTGTGAAAGCACAGGAAACACATAGTTTGAGTTTCTCCGTCCTCATGATGATCAAGATAAGCCAGAAATTCCTCCACAAAGCCATATAAAAAGATGCATGCAGAGATGAAAGAAAAGTTAAATGATATGAAAAATAGATCCAGATGTTCCAAACTCATGTAACAGGATGAGGAGTTAGAGAGGAGGGGAGAATTGAAAACATGTAAGAAATAAAATACAAATCTACCAAATAAGATTTGCTGATTGTGCACTGCACAATTTCAGGGGCTGTCATTTGAATAGTAAGATTTGCCAATGTGTAGTGTACAACCTACTATTGTGTAGTATGCAACCATAGTCATGAGAAAATAAAGGAATAAAAGGAGGATATTTCACAGGATCTAAATGCATACATACATCCTTAGATTGCAAGGTCCTATTAAATTCTGAGCATACATGATGAGAAGGACCCTCACCTAGATTCACAGTGACAAAATTTGGGAACAAAGAGAAATTTCTAAACACATTCAGGGAAAATGCTTATGAAGAAATGGAAGTCAAATTTACATCCAACTCATTTGGGCTCCACTGGATATAAGAAGACACGAAGCATTATTTTTTAAAATCTAGGGAAAATAATTTTGAATTCAATTAAACTATCATTTAAGTGTGGGTGACTTTTCAGAATTCTATTCCAGCAATAATTTTAAAAAGATCATAAGGGAAGATGTGAGATAATGGAAGCAAAGGTGGTCATGTATTTGGTAAAAGATATTGCTAAACAAAGTGAATTTAGATTCTAGAAAATTAAAAAGAAAACCTGGAATTCAAATTCCAGGTGATGTAGAAGGGTGGTAGGGAAAGCAAGAGTGAAGAGAAGTAAAACAAGCTAAGTAAGATTTATGTTATAAATAAATAGGATATAGATATTATTACTGTAGAAGTTAGAAAAATGTGGGCTTACATGGTGGGTCACACATGTAATCCTGGCACTTTGGGAAGCTGAGGCAGGAGGATCACTTGAAGCCAAGAGTTCAAGATCAGCCTGGGCAACAAAGCAAGACCCCTGTCTCTACAAAAAGTAAAAATATTAGCCAGGCATGGTTACATGCACCTGTAGTCCCAGCTACTTAGGAGGCTGAAGCAGGAGGATTGCTTGAGCCTAGGAGGTCAAGGCTGCAGTGAGCTATGATTGCACCTTTGCACTCTGGCCTGGTGACAGAGCAAGTTCCTCTTTTTTTTTTTTTTTTAAAGTCGGTTTAAAAATACATTTATATATGGCACTAGAAGGGTATATCATATTCATAAAGGTAGTGCTCCATTAAGGAATGACCATGAATTGTTTGCATTTAACAAGGATACATACACATATGTGCATATAAGTCAACAATCACAGTGATAAGTTTAATATACCTTTCTTAGGAATTGACAGATCTAGTTGACTGAAACTTACTGAGGATATGGAGAATTTGAAGAACACGGTTAATAAGATTAATCATAACTATAATTATGCCTATACCATCTTATATTCAAAATAGGAAAGTTACATTATTTTCAAATTCACATAGAATATTGACAAAAATTGGCCATAAGTGAGATGGCAAATTAAGTCTCAACAAGTGCTGAAAAGCTGAAACCATATAGGACCAGGGCATAGTTAACTGATTATAAAACAATAAAATAATCAAACATGCCCTCCTTAAGTTGTACTCTTAGGAAAAAGCACATGGGTTAAAGGGGATATCAGAATAAAAATTATACACTCTTTAGAAATAACAAGAGCACTATAATTCAGCCATACCCTGAGACTTCACAAGCTTTGGTCCCAGTAAGCTAGAATTCAAATCTTAGCCCTATATTTAAATAACTCCTTGAATTGCCATTTCTTATCCCAATTATCTGTCATTCCACTGTGAAATATATTTCATGGCAAATAATATTAAAACCTACATGAAGCAGTCAGGAGAAAATTTGTAGCTTTAAAATGCATTTAAGAGAAAATAATTGGTAGGCAGATCGCCTTGGCCTCCCAATTATTGCCTCTGGAATTGGAGACCAGCCTGGACAACATGGCAGGACCCTGTGTCTCCAACAGATACAAAAATTAGCTGGATGTCGTGGTGCACGCCTATAGTTCGAACTGCTAGGGAGGCCGAGGCAGGAGGATCGTTGAGCCTGGGAGGCGGAGGGTTACAGTGAGTTGAGATCATGCCACTGCACTCCAGCCTGAGCAACAGAGAGAGAATTAAGTTTTTAACTCAAACGCTAACAAAGGAACACAACAAAAACCTGTGGAAAGTAGAAGGCATAAAGTAAGATGAAAGCATAGTCAATGAAACAGATCATACCTTCCTATTCCACCAAAATGGAATTTATAAAACCAAACACCGTGTTCCCTGAAAAGAAAATTAAGAGTTAATCCTTCCGTAAACTTACTATTGAAAAAGCACATAAGTAATACTAGATATAGAAGATATTAAAATGATGTGTATTTTTGATATATATTTGCGAATGTAGACAAAATGTTGACTTTTCCATACAAATTACCAAAGTTGAGCTAAGAAAAGTAAAATACCTGAATAAAGAATTAACAGAATTAAAGAATAAGAGAAACAGAAAAAAAATCAGATATACATATCCTTAAAAATAGCACCAAGGCCAGGTGCGGCAGCTCATGCCTGTAATCCCAGCACTTTGGGAGGGCGAGGTGGGTGAATTATTTGAAGTCAAGAGTTTGAGACCAGCCTAGCCAAGATGGTGAAACCTCGTCTCTACTAAAAATACAAAAATTAGCCGGGTGTGGTGGCGTGTGCCTATAATTCCAGCTACTTGGGAGGCTGAGGCAGGAGAATCACTTGAACCTGGGAGATGGAGGTTGCAGTTAGCTGAGATAGTGCCACTGCACTCCAGCCTGGGTGACACAACGAAACTCTGTCTCAAAAAACAAACAAAAGCAAGCCCAGACAGCTTTACCAAACACTGAGGAGAGAATATATTATACAAATTGATCAAAATAATAGAATAGTATTAAAAGCCACCGACTGAGTGTGAGGCAATGACAACAGATATTATGAAGGCTAAATGAAATAACCCATGAAAGGTAAATAAGCATTTGTTAAAATAATAAAGTTGACTATTAAGTGCCATGATATAGATTTCACAGTGGAATGAAAGGATAAAATAATTGGGATAAGAAATTGCAATTCAAGGAGCTACTTAAGTGCAGGACCAAGATTTTAATTCAGCCATATCCTGAAATTTTACAATCTTTGGTCACAATAAACTAGAATTCAAGGTAGAAAATGATTATTTTCTAAAATAAAGATGGTACTTATAAACCTATATAAATGCTCATTTCTCCTCTTCGAAGTATTTTTCTGCCCTTCCAGAAGAACTGGGCCTTGAAGTCACAGCCAGGCTCCAGAGGACTGCTGTTTCACTGGATATCACGCCATTGCTTCTTCAAAATTATCTTCTCAGAGAATACCACATTTGGGGAATTTAATTTACTTCTCGAGAATCCCTAACCCAATTATTTCTAGTCTTCCTTAGAGATTTTCTTTCTCCATTAACTCCCATATTATGTCTGGGAATCTTTTACTTTCACATATGCTCCCTCTCCACAATTTATTCTTTTTTTAATCTTCTCTAAGTGTTGAGTAGTATACATGTGTGATAGGGAGATGAAGGGGAAAGGCAGAAAACTGAACTTCTTACCCTCATGGAAGTTTTGACCCCACATTTAGAAAAAACAAGAAGTGGAGAATAAAGAGAGAAGGACAGCAAGCAATTTTATTTGTTCCCATTTTCCTGCCAATGTGCATTAACAAAGAAGTCTGTACCTAAAAGACCTTATGCAAGACCAGATTTTCACATTACTAGCTTTGTGTGTGTGTGACATCCTGCTTTCCGTTGCCAAGCTTAATGTATATGTGTCTTAGGGTCTTTCAGTTTTTATACTATTATGGCTATGTTGTGGTAAACTGAGGAAAGGAGAGGCCAATATGGAAAAACAGGAGGATTGTTGTTTATTTTAGGTACGCATGGCTCAGCAGGTTTGCATCTAAAAAGCTGAGCACTGAACAAAGACAGAGTGGGGTTTTTATAAGCGGCCTTACAGACACAAAACAAAAGCAGTTAATCATACAGTGACAGGTCACATAATCTATAGCATAACATAACTTGTGACCTTGCATAGCTGGTGACCTTGTAGTTGCATCGAAAGAAAAACAAAAACTGGCTAAATACAGACATTTGTAAATAATGCTTAAGAGGCCTGGGGAAAGAGTAAGAGTAAAAGAATCTTTCTCTTTTTCTTCCTCCAACCTTGCTCTGGAAGGGAGGGGTGTCTGGAGCCTATTCCTTTGACCTTGGCTATTTGGACAGCGTTATCTTATAACTGTCCTTGAAGTAAGCTTGCTAGGCAGAGGAAAACTTGTTCTCTTCTTTTTAACCCTTGCCTTGCCACATTCTGGGCCTTAGCTTTTACTTTTCTTGGAGTGAATAAATGCAGTACTTATTATTTATTTGTTTTAAATTTCTGCCTCAGCTGTGAGACTGGTAATAATCATTTATTTATTTATTTATTTATTTATTTATTTATTTATTTATTTATTTTTGAGACAGGGTTTCCCTCTGCCACCCAGGCTGAAGTGCAGTGGTGCGATCTTGGCTTACTGCAGCCTCTGCCTCCTGGGCTCAATTGATCCTCCTACTTCAGCCTCCTGAGTAGCTGGGGCTACAGGCGTGTGCCACTGGCTAATTTTTGTATTTTTTATAAAGATGAGGTTTGCCATGTTGCCCAGGCTGGTCTCCAACACCTGGCTCAAGTGTCTGCCTACCTTGGCCTCCCAAAGTGCTAGGATTACAGACATGAACCACCGCACCTGGCCAATAATTACTTCTGAAGATTCTGACAATACCATTTACAATAACACAAAAATGAAGGACCTAAGAATACATCTAACACATCTAGAGAGAATATTATAATATTGTTGTGAGACATTAACAGTGACATAAATAAATGAGAGTTATACCTTGTTTATGGATTGGAAAGTCAGTGTTGGAATGATATCAATCCTCCCTAACCCTCTCCCTCCCGCCCCTGCCCCAAAAAGATCGACAGATTTAGTGCAGTCCCACTCCAAATCCAATAGTTTTCTCAGGAGAATTTGACATAGTTGATCTCTCTTTCTTGAGACGTTTTATTCTCTGTTTTCCCTCCTACCTCACTGGTACTCCTTATCAATATCCTTTGCTACCACCTCTTCTACGCAACCTCTAAAATGTGGCATATTTCATGGCTCAGCCTTAGACCTTTTTCTATCTGTACTTCCCCCTTACATTGTTCTTTCTAGTCCCCTGACTCTAAATACCACATCTATATGATGATTGGCAAATTTGTATCTCTAGTCTAGGATTCTTCATATATCCATTGCTTTTTCAAGAGTTACACTTAAATGTCAAATAGGAATCTTAAAATGTCCAATATGAAACATTCGCTTCTTGCTACCCCGTTCCCCTCCTCCACCAACTTGCTGTCTCAATTCTGTCAATGGAATATTTATTGCTTTGACCCAAAATCTACGTGTTCCCCCCCCTTCTCTTTCTCACATTCCCTACATCTAATCAATAAGAAACTTTGTTGACACTTCCTACAAAACATCTTCCAAATGTGACCACTCTCAATAGCTCCACTGTTACCATGTTAGTCCAGGCTGCCGCTGCCTCTCACCTAGACTCCTAACTGGTCTCTTTGCTTCTACTGTTGTCTCTCTACAGCCCGAGGAATCTGTCTCCAACTAAGCCTGGTGGCAGTGAGGACCGTCAGCCCCCTCCCAGCCAGCTGTCAGCTATACCTCCATTCTGTCTGGTTCTCAGGGCTGGAATCGCTGGGCAGGTCTAGCTAATCCTTGGCCCTCCTAGGAAAATATTCCTAAATCCTGAAGGCATTTAGCTAGGAAAGATCCAGAATGGACCCAACTCTTCCTGTTTTACCCCAAACCGGTTGGTCTGCTTTGGGGATTACTTCTCAGGCTAGGAACCTCTGAGTGTTCTGAAACGGGCCTGAACTCTTACAGAAGCTCTTGTGGCCCTAGGATGAATTTAGAGGTCTCCATACCCAGCCTGGAAGGTGAAGAACGACCCCTAACGACCCACCCTCCCAACCTAATGCCGGTTCTGCTCCACTTGTCCACTCTGGGGAGCTGTGCTTTGGCTTGGAAGCTCTCGGATTGAAGGATGGGCCCAAGACCCTCACAGGTGAAGCCTCGGTAGGTCCCAGGGAGAAGAAAGATTCCTCCACCCCACCACCCCTCTAAGTCCGACCCACCTTTCTCCCCGCCAGCTGCATCAGATCCCTCCAGGGCCTCATTGTCAGTCCTGTAATCTTTTCATCCGTGATAGGATGGGCCGTGGGCCCTTGTGGGTGAAGCTCGGCGGTTCCCGAGTCCATGTGGGGTGGCCCCTGCGGAGCCTGGAGCCTTCTTGCCCGCTGGCTTGCTGATCCCGCCGAGCCAGCTCCCTTCCTGCTTTTGACGGTGAGGGAACCAGCTGGGAGGTCCTCCGAGCTGGACGGGGAGGCGGGCGGCCTCTCCCACTCCCCACCCGCTCCCTCCCTGCCGCCGCCGCCTCCGGCTGCTCTTGCGACAAGCCAAGAAAATGGGGCGCCTGCTGGGAGCCCAGCGCCGTCCTCCCGTTTCCTGTGATCTACCAATCCTCCTCTCCGCGGAGGCTCGGCCGGGCGCACCTGAGGCCGGCAGCATCCCCGGGGCTTGGCGGCAGCTGCAACCTCCACAGACGGCCGCCAGGTGGCGCCGCGCCGGGGCCCGGGAGCTGGCGGGCCCGGGGCGGGGTTGGAGGGACTCAGCTACGCGCCTGGGGAGGCCGCGGGCCCTCGCAGACTACCGAACTTCCATTCTGCCGCCGGGTTTTCACACCTGCCGGCCCCGAGGAAACAATGACGTTGGGATTTTGGGGGGCCGCCCCTTGACTCGGGCGAATGGGACACGAACGGCGACCCCTTGCTCTCTTCCATCCGCCTGCCGCCGTTGCTGCCCACCGACTCCTACAGCTCATTTCTCGCTCCTGCAGCCTCCAGGAATGCAAATAATTTCTCACTGGGTTTTGGCGGGGGCGCGGAGCTGCGGAGAAGCGCGCGCCCAACAGCTTTCGCCGCAGCTGGGTCCCCGGGCGCTGGCGGCTGCGGCCCCCAGATACAGGCGGAGGCTGCAATATGCACATGCGGCCACAGTGTGGCGCCAGGGGCCCGCCGCGGGACACGCTCGGAGCGCGACGCCCCATCCCATCATTTACGGATCAAACCAAATAATCTAGAATCAAGTTGCTGTGTGTGTCATACTCCTCCTGTTTTTTTTCCCTAAACTTTTAGTAGAGTCATTTACATAGTTCAGTTTTTACCTCAGCTATGTTACACAGTGGCAGGAAAATATTTTGTCTCCAAACTACAGCCCAAGTATGAGAGCAGCGTATCCTGAAGCTAATTAGTAACCAGAAAATCAGGAAGGTAAAGCAAATCTCTGGAGGCAAGATCTGGACTCTATGGTATCGCCGCTTCTCCCCACTTGAAGCGTCTCTTTGCAGTGCCGCACTTGGAGATTTGGACTTAATCGTTAAACAAACAGAACAGTTACATTCTGCCTTCCTACAGGGCAGGGGCCTAGGACTGGCAGCATTTTTGTTGTCTCTAGAAATAGAGGGGTTATGAGAGAGCCTCAAAAGAGAGGGCAAGAATAACACATCCATTTCTCATCATGAGTTACCCCCTTGTATGCCTAGAACGCGTATGGAGACATTCTCTTTTAGTAAAGTCAAAGAGAAAAGCCATGAACTAAGTATCCTGAACACAGAGGCGTGAGCCCTCTCAGTCTCACAGTCCCTTAGGAGTCATTTGTAAGTACTATTTCCTTCCTTATTGTCTATACTATTCCCTCTTGTCTCCCTGAAATCTACCCACTCCTGGCTGTGTGTGTGTCTCTTTCTGTCTGTTTCTCTGTCTTAATCTTCTGTACATATGCACCCACTCACCTTTTTACCTTGTTCTGAGAAATAAAATACTATTTTTCAAACTATGTAATAGGATTATCAGGCTAGGCTTGACTTGTAAGTTTTTCAAGAATTCTTTAGAGTAGGCCTCATTTCAAGTCATCTTTGATGACCACATTTCCAAATGTATCCCAGTTGAAGTCAGTTCATTTATTTGCTTTAAGAGTTACATACCATGAGACACACAGTTCTGGTGTTGTTGAACTTTTGGATGTTTGTACGCAGTGCTCACGGGGAGCAAGTGGGCAGGGGACGGTCCAGATCGATGGCCACCCACTGAGCCGCTGCTACGTGGCCCCCTGGGGCTCCTTCCGGTGCACCCCTTCCTGCAGCTGTTCTTCTTTTTGTTCCTGACATTTCAGCTCTTCTTCTAAATGTCTGTCTTCTTGAAGGCTGGAAATTACCTTCTTCTCATGACCAGAATCCAAAGAGATTTCTAAATCCCACTTTTTCTTTCTTTTCAGTTCTTTACGTATTGTCACCCAGAGAACAGTGTTCACTAAAAACATTATTCCCACTGCCAGATAGAAAAGGACATGAAACCAGACAGGAGTTGGTAACTGGAGGCCTGAAACAGAAAAAGACAAAGAGAAGAGATACTATTTAGAGACCAGAGGGGTCTAGCTGAGTTATGTTTGGAAGGGAAGGTTGGCTGAGACCTGATGTGCCTGTCCTCAGGGAGGCACTGGTCATTTCAGGGAGCAGGAAGGAACTGGCGGTAGCTCTAACTGGCTATATGGTGTATAGACAGGGACAGGCTCCTTGGAAGAGCTTAATTGCTGGGCCCTGTCAGTGGACTTACTCCCTAGTTCCAGAGACAACTGATATCTCTGTGCCATTTAATACTTGAAATGAATTTGGGTTGAAGATGAACTTTTTTCCCCCCCAAGGAGACTTTGTTCTAGAGCTCACAATCCCTCTGCCTCAGTTAAATAGAGATACTTGGGGAGGTGGTGATTTGCAGTTTACAAAATCACTGTCTGATAAATCCACCTTGTGAGCTCCTTGAAGCAAGAACTATACTCAAATGTCTTTATATCCCCAGACGTATGACAACAGATAGGAAGAACTTGATAAATTGTTGGTGAGATTGTTGGTGAGGAGGAGGGAGGCAGGGAAGCAGGGAGAGAGAGAGAGAGAAGGGGGGGTCATGGAGTGGAGGGAAGAGTGGGAGGGAGGGGAAAATAAAATGAAGGAGAAAAAAAGAAGGACAGAGGAGAAAATGAAGGAAAGAAATGGAGGAAGGAAAGGCAAAGGAAAAAGAAAAAGAAAGGAAAGGAAATTTAACAGTTTGCGAGGAGAAGAGTGATGTTGTGAATCAAGGATGGAAAGGCCTGCTTGTGGGCTTTTCCTGAAGAGACTTTCCCCTCCTGTCTGGGCCAAAAACCCTTGAACAAACCTCAGTCCCATGGGAGATAAGGGAGTCCCTTCTTCTGTGCCAGTGGCTTCCCGTCATTCTCACTCACCAAGCACTTGAAGCTCCAACTCAGGGCTGCGCTTAAGGACATTTCCATCCTCTGTGGCAGCCTCGCACCAGTATAACCCAGAGTCTTCTCTTCTAGCAGTTAGTATTTGGTATTCAGAGGATGTGTTCCTGCCTCGCAGGGTCTTGCTGCCCATGTAGAAGGAGAAGTAAAGCTGCAAACCAGGCCTCTGCAAGAGCAACTTTGTTTCACAGCTCAGGGTGACCAGATTCCCCTCCAGGAGTGGGGATGTCACAGATGCATTCAGCACTGGAGCTGGAAATAGCTCTAAGGAGAAAGTTGATGGGGGACAAGGTTGCCTGTTTAGCATCCAGGTCCTTTTCACAAAAGACATGCCCTTTACCCCCTTGGGAAACCTGGCCCTAGAAAATGCATCCATAAGGCATTAACCCTTTTTACTTCCAGCAGAGAGCCATTCTTGGGGTGTCCTAATAGACATAATTAGGGTTGCCAGCTTGCTGAGTCCTACTGAGGATACCTCTATACCAGTGGTCCCCAACCTTTTTGGCACTAGGGATGGATTTTGTGGAAGGCAACTTTTCCACAGCCGGGGGGTGAAGTGGGGACAGTTTTGGAAGGTAACTGTTCCACCTCAGATCATCAGGCACGCACAATTCACAATAGGGTTCATGTTTCTGTGAGAATCTAATGTTGCCACTGATTGGACAGGAGGAGGAGCTCAGGCCGTAATGCTGGCTCATGAAGAAGCTCACCTCCTGCTGTGCAGCCCAGTTCCTAACAGGCCACGGACCAGTAAGGGTTGGGAACCCCTGCTCTACAAGGTCCATCCTTCCCTGAATGACCGTGTCATCTGGTCAGTAACCATGCCCTTTTGGCAGTGGTCAACTAGGAGTGAACCCTGACTCACACACTTGCCATTTCAGTGACTTTATTATCATCATTATTATTATTATTATTATTATTATTTGAGACGTAGTCTCGCTCTGTTGCCCAGGCTGGAGTGCAGTGGCGCTATCTCAGCTCACTGCAAGCTCCGCTTCCCGGGTTCATGCTATTCTCCTGCCTCAGCCTCCCGAGTAGCTGGGACTACAGGTGCCCGCCACATTTCAGTGACTCATTATTTTTGTTCCTGACTTTAAAAGATAATCTGGGACAATAATTTCTTTCCCACAGGAGTGAACTTTTTTTTTTCTCAGACAGAGAAAGGTTGCTAGTGATTGTATTAAGAGGAAAGGCCGTGAAAGGGTCAGAACAAGGCCATATGCAAACTGCTTAGCCTGCAGATGCTCAGGAAGAAGTGGCACCACAGAGGCTGCTTTGTCCCTGAGAGGTAGATGGACAGTATAGCCCGTTCTTCATATTTTCCAGGTTTCTCTTTCTATGGGGCTTCCATGAGATTCCATGGTATTATTTTCTAACTCTCCTATCTACCTAGAGTGAGTCTGTATTCTTTACAACTAAAATAATGATGGATGAAATGGATCACCATTATGCCCTGACATTGACATTAGCTCCTGTGATTGTTGATGGGGGTTGCGGTACACTGGAAAGAGTATTGGACTAGGACCCAGAGACCTCAGTTCTGGTTCCAGCTACTGGTCATGGTGTGGCCTTTAGTAATGCAGTTTACCTCTCTGGAGCCCGGTTTCTTCACTTGTAAATTAAAGTGAGGAGTTTAGAATATTTATGATGGTCCCTCAGGGGGAGGGACTATCAGTTCTATGACTATTCCAATACAATACCTTTCACAGTGACAGATATTCCTGCTGATGTGTAGCGATGCTTTCCCATGCCTGAGCAATGGTAGGTGCCATTGTGACTTATGTTGGTTTTCAGAATGGTGAGGTTAGAATTCCAGTGGAAAAACTTAAAGGCTTTGCCATTTCGATAGTAAAGCACATTGTACACCAGCTTATCCTTCCACGCATGACACCTCAAGGCCAGAGGTTCTCCTTCCGTGAAGACTCTGCTGGAGACCTGCAGTAGTAGCCAGCCTGAAAAATATGAACCCAAAATGTATGTATACAGTGGAGGAGGTACAAGGAGGCCCAAGCTTGGCCCTGTGGGCTTCCTATTTTTTCTCCTTGCAACATCCAGCCTCAGAGCTCTGCCAAATCTCAGGCCTATATCCAGTTCCTCAAATATCTTTAGCTTTGGTGGAAAGAAAAGCAATCTTTACTGGCAACTGCGTACACAGCCCTTTCTTATCTTCCCTTTCCAGATCTCAGAAGTTGGTTGAAACAAAAACAGTTCATACAGCATGGTAGGCAGAATTCTAAAATGATCCCAATGACTCACTCCCTTGCATAATCCCCTTGAGTGTGGGTGGAACCTATGACTTGCTTCTAGCCAACAGAATATGACAAGGGTGATGAAATGTCACTCTTGGGATTGCTACATTATGTAAGACTCTATCTTAGCAGTCTGGATGGAAAGTCTCCTCCTGAACTTGAAGAGGTAAGCTGCCATGCCAGGAGAGGGCCTACAAGAGTGCCACAAGGCAAGGGCCTCTAGGAGCTGAGAGTGGCCCCCCACTGATGGGCAGCAAGAAAGCAGGAACCTCAGTCCTACAACCACAAAGAACTGAATTCTGCCAGTGACCTTGTGAGCCTGGAAGAGCTGCAAAAAGAAACACAGCAAAGTCAACACCCTAACTGCAGCCTTGGAAGACTCTCAGCAGAGCACTCAGCTAAGCTGTGATGGGAGTCCTGACCCATGGAAACTGGAAGATCTTAAATGTATGTTGTTGCTAAATTTGTTACACAGCAATAGAAAACAAATACACTCCAACTCTTGACAAATTTGTTAATAGGACCACGCATCCTAAGACAAACACACAGAAGGGCAAACATCCAGATATAAACATCCTACTACATTGATATGAATACTCACATATGTAAGATCAATGATATCACTAGCAAAACAAGCTCCAAGTCAATGGGCTTTTCCTTTCGACATACACCTCTACACATAACCAAAAATGCTTCAACTACTTTTCTTTTCTCCAGAGGCAGTTGGTTTGGCTAAGTAAAAATGGGGTTCTTAGGAGACTAAGGCGGAAAAGAGACAATAGTGCCTTTTCCCCCTCCAGAACTTATCTAAGAATGGAAGGCAGGTGTTTCTATGCTATACATAGCATGAATTTTACAGTCATGGATACTGATATAATGCTTCCAAATAGAATTAATTCTCTTCCCTCCCTTATTCCCACCCACAGCCAGCAGATGCTGAAAGACTGCACTGCCCAAACACTGCCATCTTTGCTTTATATATCCAAAAGAGTGGGAAGTGCTGTCACATCTCCATCAGAAACTGTCAAACACTAGTAATGGTAGAAAATATTTGAATGACACAATTAATAGGCTTGATTTTGTGGATGCTCTACTTTAGAAAGAAAATTCATATGCTTTTCAAACACACATGCAATATTAGAAAAATTAAGTGTGAACTAGGCCACAAAGCAATTTTCAACAAATACTAATGAACTGATACCATGTTTAACACAAATTCTAACCAAAGTGCTATAATATTAGAAATCAATAGCAAAAAACTACCCTCCAAAAAACATCTAAGTAATTCATGAATAAAATAATGTATAATGGAAATTTATGAGTTTTTAAACTTAAATGGTAATGGTAGTATTATATATCAAAACTCACGAGATGCAGCTTTTAGCAGACATTACTAATTTCCTACTCAACAATCATTCCCCTACCTTCATGACTTTGGTGTCAGCCATATGATTAGGGCTCGGGTCCACCAACCAGCTGCATTTTCTTGGTCTTAGCATATACTGATTAAATTGAAATGACTAAGAGTCAGTGAGCTGCAATTGAATTCCCCATGGCTGACTGTGGCAAAACATTTTAAAATAGGGCATAGACGGCACCAACCAAAAATGTTGGTGTATTGTACTGTAGTAAAATTAACAAGTCTTGTTCATTGAAAACAAACAAAACTTTAATATTATAGTGAAAAGAAAAGCCACAGAGTGGGAGAAGATATTTAAGACACTTGAAAAAGGACTTATATCCAGAATATATAAATAACTCCTGTAAGTCAGTAAGAAAAAGACAGACAATAGAAAAATTATCAAAAAGACCTTACAAAAAAGGATACCCAAATAGGTAATAAACGTGAAAAATGGTCAATATCATAGTCATTAGGGAAATGCTTAATTTGCATTTGTATATCCAAAAGAGTGGGAAATTGTAACATACCTCCATCAGATACTGTCAAACATTAGTAATGGTAGAAAATATTTGAAACATGTAAACAAAAATATCCACAGCATTACTATTTGTAAGTGGTCAAAACCAGAAGCAACCCGAGCCCCTCAGCAGAATGGGAAAATATGAAATATACAGTAATAAGAACAAATGAACTTCAATTTACAACATGTATACAGTTCACAATCATAATGTTGAGAAAAATAAACCAGACACAAAAGAGTACATCCTGTCCCATACCGTAGCCCTTTATATGAAGTTCAAAAATAGGCAAAAAACCTATGGTGCTGGAAGTCAGTGTCAGGGGTGGACTAGAAATGGGCAAGAAGGAGTTTCTGAGGTGCTGGAAATGTCTAAAATAGATCTGGATGCTGTTTACTTTGAAAAAATTTACTGTGGCATACATTTATGGCTTGTTGTACATAAGTTATATTTCAATGAAAATTCACATTAAAATGTAATATAAAAAAGATATGATTCTCAGTAAGTCACTGATGCTGAGTGTCCTAGAGTCTGTGTAGAGGTAAAGAAAATGGACTCTTCCCAGCCCTAGTCCTTTTGTTGTCACTTGAACCATGAAACACTTCTGCTTGAATTACCCAAAGTATCTTGTTGAAACAGCTCTGTCAGAGGTTGCAGTGAGCCAAGATCACACCACTGCATTCCAGCCTGGGCAACGGAGTGAGACTCTGTCTCAAAAAAAAAAAAAAAAAAAAAAAAAACGAAACAGCTCTGTCAGCTTCCCTAACCTCTCCATCCTAAGAACTTATTTACAGAGACCTAAGGGACACATGAGGAACATCAAGCCTTCCCTCAGACATTCTCAACATTTCCTTGGCTAAAACACATTTCCTCTAACAGCAACCATGTCTGCATAAAGGCAATTTTGCCTCCAGTGTGGATTGACTTTTGCATTATCATTTTTAACGAAGTTTAAACTCATCACTTCTGAATAACTAAATAATACATTTGGTTATTTTGTCTTGCATATTGAATGAAGCATTTTTCCCTGAAGAATATTGCAGTCTCCATCTCTTGATGAATAGAAACTCCTTACAGGTTTAAGTGGGTGGTGGGCTTTTCTGCTTCCATTTATTAAAATATGACAATAATTCCATGTCCAGAATATTATCTTACAGATACCCTATGAAATGTGCCCCCGGAATGTATGTATAAAGATAATTATTGCAGCAATGCTTGTAAAATCAAAAGAGTGGAAACATCTTATAAATTTGCTAATAGGCAGAATGGTTAAATTAATTCTGGTACAGCTGTGCAGCAGACATTTTAAAGTGGATTTCTATTAATATAAACAGAACTTTAAGGTATTTTAAGTGATAAAAGTAAGATATAGGACAATACTTAGAAAGTGTTCTACCACCCACAGCTTTAAAACTATATATATGTGTGTATATATATATATATATATAGTTTATATATAATAATGCTAATATATACATATATATGCATAATATGTATATATATATTAGCAGTTTTGTTTCTGTGGAAGGTGACTGCAGATCTAGGTTTTGGGTGGGAGGAAGATATTTCATTGTTCATTATTGCTCATTTGTTTGAATTATTATTATTTACTATGTACAGGCATACATTTGGAATAATGATACAATCTTAGGGCCTAAGTCTTACTCTAGACATCCTACTTAGAGCTGGCCTAGCTGAGGTACTGTTGGTACACAGTTTAAGGACCCTGCTGTGATGTTTTGAGTATACTGATTTAGTTTCACCTGGTAGGTACATAGTGCTGAGACCTGCACCCAGATAAATCGACACACACACATCTGGCATCCAGAAAGGAGAGAACGCAGAGGAAGACCTTGTGGTTTCCGGCCCTCCTGGTCCAAGTCATAATTACCTCTGTGGATTTCCAGCTGTATGGGGTCACTTCGCCCTGAGAGACCTCTCTGGCACCTGTATTCACCACTGTCATTGACACTGGCAGAGGTGATTCTGTAGCTGGGGGTCGAGGTCTGAGTGGCTGTGCCATTGAGAAACCACTGTGTAGAGCTGCTCCCAGGCAGATGGAGCACCTCACAGTGCAAGGTTACGGTTTCCTCTTGGAACACGCTGACCCATGGAGGCTGCAAAGTGATCACTGCCTTTGTGGTGTCTACTTGGAGATTACAAGAAGAAAAAGAAAAAGATCAAGTGGAGTAAAGGGGAGGGCTCTGAGCAACTGGTGAGGCTTTTGTGGATAGCACAAGGGAAAAATACATATTTAGATTTATTTGAAAAATAGGCAAGTGGAAACCTACAAAAGCCAGCCTTTAAGAGTGTCCTCCTGCTGCAGAGACCTCTGTTCATTGTTATTAAATCCTCATCTGGGTGTTGGGAATCTGGGGCTCCTGAGGATTAAATTACTGATGTAGGTTTTTCTGTTGGGAGCAATGAAGCAGGGTTTTAGACTTGGGCAAGCCAAGCGGAGCTGTTTTCCTTATCCTCTGAGCTATACTGTCTCTGAGAGTACATTGCAGGGCTTCAGCAGCTTGTACATTGGAAACGGAGGTTCAAACTCCTCTCTTTGAAGCCTTCAGTATTTGCCTGGCTCTTTCTGAGGAGAAAAAACCCACTCTGCTTTCTTGTAAAGGGGACTGGTTTAGGGGATGTTGGGAAACCCAGCAGACTACTTCAGTGTCAGCAGACTACTTTAGTGTTTGTGCAATTCTGGCCCTTTCCTGCTGTTATATATACATTCAGGCATTTCGCTCAGAGGAAAGAGCTCATTCAGAAAACTTTAGAAAGAAAGCTTACAAATCATAGTTTTTATGAAAATCATGCTCTGAATATGGGAGATTTTACATAATTTATAAATCTTTCTTCTTTCTCTGCTTTCCCTATATGCTCTTCTGCAGGTTAATAGGACCCATCCTTTGGAAGTAGGAAAGTGGCATAGAAGGAGAAGCTGAGTTAGAGATCACTCACCCACTTGCCCATCAACTGGAACTGCAAGAGATCAGAGAATAAAGATATCAGTTGGTCCAAGGAAAATAATGAGGAAGAGAGAATTGGGGAGACAGAATTAATGTAGACTCTGAGGGATCAACTCAGATCTCTTGAGTTTCTATTTCTCTTTCTCAAAATCCAGTACTAACAGAACTGAACAAGCTACAGGTGGTTATCAAGGAAACTTCACTGCGGTGCGTCCAGGCTTAATGCTACCTCAGGGTTGCCCTTCCCATCCTTTTCATAAAATAAGCTCTAATAAACCATGGAAGCACAGATACAAGTTGCTTCATACTCATGAGTTCTACCCAGAGTTACCACAGGAAGACAAAACTCTTGACTCACAACAGCCACAGCCTGTACCCTTCTAACTGTCCCCTCTGAGTCCAACTTACCCCAAAGGAGCAGAGTTGTCAAGAACCACATGTTGTCTCCAAGCTGGTGGGAGCAGTGAAATCTGTAACATGCAAGATATTGAAGAGGTTCTGCTGGTGGCTCCAGAGCCAAATTAGAAAAGAGGAAGGAAATTGCCTTTTCTGACCATTTTCATCATGTTGCTTTTCTGGGAAATACATCTCAAATTCTTGAAACATGCTTTTCCCATGCTCATACCTGTTAGCCCATCTCTCCCAGTTTGAATCTCTGATTTTCAGGTTATGAACTCTCAGAATCCAGGGAAAAGGCTAAAGTTGTATTGACATTCTATTCTATTTTTACCCTCTACCGTTTCTGTTTCTTACGGTTAGAATATGGCAAAACCTCACTCTTTATAATTGGTTCAATGCCTGGCTAATGCCTCCAAACAATCATTTGAATCCAGAAGTTTCTATATCAGCCTCTATGAGGCCATGGGAAAAGTTACTCATCTACAAGAGCTGCCCTAATACAAACCAGCCTCTGCTCCTCTAGGGGACACAGACAGGATCAATCTCCCATTTTGGTTAAAAAAGAAAACAAACTCTCTTCCTGAAAGACATCATGAATTTGGAGTGTTTATTTTGGCTAAATCCAAGGTAATTAATTGTTTAATGTGGATGCTATGGAGAAGAAAAATAACTCATGCACATGGATAGCAATATCTTCAAGAAAAGAGTTTCAGAGTACAAGTGGGGAGCTCTGTGCCACCAAACTGAGGTGGCTCCTGAGACAGAGTTGTAACCCCATAAAAAGATTTTTAGGTATTGTGGTAAGAGAGAAAGAGAGCTAAATGGAAACTAAATGAGAGCTAAAAAAAGAGAGCTAAAGAGAGCTAAATGAATTCAATGAGTGCAGAGAGACTTTGGCAATCTTACTAGCAGAGAATGAAAAATGATGACAAATCATGCTGTAAGTTGGTGTACTGGCCCCAGTTTCTCACCGCTCCCTGAATCTACACTCTCTCCACAGCCTCATGAGGGTATGTCTCTGACTCTTGACTGTGGCTCATCATGAGACTTTCATTGGCCAGCGAAATGTGAATGGAAATGACATGGTGCTAATTTCAAACTTAGCACTTAGGAAGCTTCACACATTATCTCTCACCCTCTTGTTCTCCTGTGATTGCTGA
The DNA here is from genome assembly GCF_000001405.40 of Homo sapiens. Taxonomy (NCBI): domain Eukaryota; kingdom Metazoa; phylum Chordata; class Mammalia; order Primates; family Hominidae; genus Homo; species Homo sapiens. Next base: position 149,781,623 of record NC_000001.11, on the reverse strand, counting down.
GACAAGAACATTTTTTAGCTAGTCAGCCACAGTGCGAAACAGAGCTGTCCTAGACATTGTGGCTTGAGGCAGAGCTGCCTCACCTGCCCTGCAAACTTGTAAGTGAGAACTAAATGCTTACCTTTATATGCTACTGAGATTTGAGGATTGCTATACGAGCAAGAGCTGACTGACACAAATGAAAAGCAAGGAAGAAAGGCCGGGAAGAACTCAGGGTGTTCTGAAGAGACGAGAGAAGCCTCAGCTTGTTAAAATTTATATTCAAAGCCTATATCTGTAACTATTTTACTATTTTGTCTCCAAAGTTTTCTACTGTATGCATGTACCATAATTTATTTCACCAACTTCTCTTCATGAACATGTAGGTTATTTCTAATTTTTTACTGTGTGACCAGTAAAAAAGACTGCTTACTACCAAAATAGTCTTGTGACTACCTTTAAACATTTGACTTATTTTTTCCTTAGGACACATTCCTAGAATCAGTAGTGCTTACTCAAAGGAAATGCGCATTTTTTCCTTTGGATAAGATGCTATCAGATTGTCTATGATCATTATCCTCATCACTGCATAAATTTTAGAGTGCTTATTACATGCCAGACAAATATGCTTGATACATGTTTTCTTATTTAAGCCTCACAATAATCCATGAGTAGACACTAGTATCTCCATTTTACAAATGATAAACCTAGTGAAAGAGGAAATCAGTAATTTGTCCAAGGTTGTAAAAAATAGAAGCAGGATTCAAAATCAGACAGTTTGATTTCCTTTACGTACTCACTGATGGAGTATAACAGTGCCCACCCCATGCCTTGCGATTCCTGCTTTGTAGTAAAATAGCTACTTCTTTGAAAAATAAGTGAAATCATTTCATTGATCAGGATAACATGAGGGAATTAGGATTGTTGTGTAAGAGGAATGTAAGATCTATAGCCTGGAAGGATAAAATACTTTCTTTCTAATAAGTATTGTTGTTTCCAAATGTTGAGGAAATAGCCATTGATGTAGGTTTAAATTCATGTAAGAAGAGCTAGAAAAATGGGGCAAACATAGTAACAAAAGCAGAGTAGTCTTCTAGCATTTGATGGACAATGAAAATCATGATGCTCTGTTCTCACTTATAAGTGGGAGCTGAACGATGAGAAGACACGGACACATGGTGGGGGAACAACACATACTGTGGCCAGTCGGGTGGGGTTGGGGGAGGGAGAATGTCAGGTAGAAGAGCTAATAAATGCTTTGCTTAATACCTAGGTGATGGGTTGATCTGTGCAGCAAATCACTATGGCACACGTTTACCTATGTAATCAAACTGCACATCCCGCGCATGTACCCTGGAACTTAAAATAAAAATTCATGGAAAAAAATCATGATGCTCAGAAGAACAATTAGGAGAATTTACATCTATATATGACATTTGTATTTCCATATATTAATACTTTTTTTTTTTTTGAGATGGAGTCTCGCTCTGTCACCCAGGCTGGAGTGCAGTGGCACGATCTTGGCTCACTGCAACCTCCACCTCCCAGGTTCAAGCAATTCTCCTGCCTCAGCCTGCCCAGTAGCTGGGATCACAGGTGCACACCACCATGCCCAGTTAATTTTTGTATCTCTAGTAGAGACGGGGTTTTACCATGTTGGCCAAGATGGTCTCAATCTCTTGACCTTGTGATCCGCCTGCCTCAGCCTCCCAAAGTGCTGGGATTACAGGCATGAGCCACTGCGCCTGGCCACTGATACTTTTATAATGCCATCATACTCATAGGCTTCATTCTTTTAAAATCACTTTACAAATACAATTTTCTCAAAGGTAGATGCAAAATCTTATTTGCCAATTTTAAGAAAAATTGCTCTCTACTACAGAAAATGATTTATGAACAATTATTTGATATGTTTTTTTTAAAAGATGAGATAGGCTGGGTGCAGTGGCTCATGCCTGTAATCCCAACACTTTGGGAGGCCAAGGTGTGTGGATTGCTTGAGCCCAGGAGTTTGAAACTGACCTGGGTAATATAGTGAGATCCTGTCTCTACTAAAAATAAAAAGAATTAGCTGGGCATGGTAGTTCATGCCTGTGGTCCCAGCTACTTGGGAGGCTGAGGCAGGAGGATTGCTTGAGTCTGGGAGGTTAAGGCTGCAGTGCGCTGTGATTGTGTCACTGCACTGTAGCCTGAGTGACAGAGCAAGACCCTGTCTCAAAAACAAACAAATAAATGCTAAGATAATTTAAATCTCATAAAGAATTGACCAATAATTTATTTTATTTTCATCTCTTTATGAGTAAAAAACAGTAATGCTTTATTTCCTACTCAATTCCTTCTTTGATGATCATGTGTTTTAGAAACTATTCAAATGTATCTGCTAAATTTTAAGTAAAGAATTGCATATAAGTAATTGTCTATAGTACAATTTTGCTTAATATGTTTTGTATACTGTTGTAACAGCTCTTGGACAGGTGAAATGTATAACTTTTATGTAGTTGCTAATGCTTGAGGTGTTTCTCAAATATTCATATAAAGTTTACCCGATTTTTTTCTTCAACTGCCATTCATTATAGAAAGTCCCCCAGTGGTTCAATTTTAAGTTTCCACTAGGAACTCATTAATTTTTTATTCTTAGTTATTCTTACTACTCAATCTTTTATTTTAAAAAATTATCATCTATGATTTTATAGGAATGTTTACAGTTAATTTCTGGAGATATTATAATTTATCTTTTATAAGTTATTTCAATTTGGGATGACCTTGTCCATTTCCTCTTCCCGACTTCACCTTCTTGTGTTGTCATGAATATGTCTATCAAGCCCTTTGCTTATTTTCCTATGTGCCCTTGAGATTCTTTCCTAAGCTTTTAAGGGATCAACTCGTTATAAATCTCAGTCTGTTTGCTTTTGCATATGCAGTTTTCATCTTTCCCCAGATAGCAAGGTCACTCCATTTTGATTTTCTTCCTGTATCACAGCAGCAAGAGGAAAAGGATGGGAAAAGGGTTAAAACATTTATGTAGCTTGTGTTCCTAAAAATAGCTATCATCTGAAATGGAAAAACTCTTCACATGAGCTCATTCCCCAGCTTTTAACTGCCTAATAGTGTGAGTCAGGTGCAGACACTGAAGCGCTATTCTGAAAGACCCTCACTTAGTGTATAAATGTGAGAGGCTACAGTGGCTTGTCAGATCATAAAGTATGAAAGCTCATGATCTTCCCTGTCACCTAACCCAGCACCATTTTTCCTTGACCATCTTGGTGTGTCAGAAAGGCACCTTCAGAGTCATGGTGACAAGGACAGGGGGAGCTGGCTGAGATGGAGGGCTCTAGGTAGAAGAGGTAGAGGGGTCAGAAAGGTACGTGAGTTAAGAGGTTGGCCACAGACTCTTCCTACTTCTTTGCCCTTGTTCCGCCCCAGGGCTCTTCACTTTCTTTTAGAACTTAAAAAAGTTGACTAATATTTTACGCAAATGAAAAAATGTGTAATATATATGTGTATATGGTTAATGATGCAAAATAAGAAAATGAACATTTATAAACCCACAACCCAAATTAACAACAAGAATATTATTAATGATATACCAGATTTCCAGCCAAGATGGAGTAGCAGAGACTGGATTTATCCTCTCACCTGAAACAAAATTAAACAAAATTAAACAAAAGAACAAAATACATGAAACAATGTTTTTTGAAACTGTGGACATCAGGCAACAAAAGACAGTCACCCCTGAGAGATACGGAAGAAAAAAGATGAGCCCTGCAATTGCCTCACCTACTGCATTGAGAGGGTCTCCAGGCTGTGGTACAGGGGAACTCAGGCAGGTCCCAGTGGAGTCCCAGAATTGAGGAGACAGAGCTGAGTCTGGAGAGACCAAGGTGGCTAGAGCTCATGGATCCAAGAAATGGAAATGAAAAAGCTGCACACAGAGAGAATTCCAGAGATCTGCTGAGGGTCCCCACCAAGTATTCAGCAGAGTAGTAATCAGTGTGCTGATCTAGAAGGAAGGGGCTGAAGCACAAGATATAATTTAAAGAGTTTACTTGAGCCAAAGTGAGCACAGCTGCCCAGGACACACTTCCAAGTTAACTCAGGGAGTGCTCAATCAGCTTTTGTTACAAGCAGGTTTTTAAAGGCAAAGGTAAGAAGAAGTGGATGGATACAAAGTTCTTTGATAGAAATTTTCATTGGCTTACAGAGATGACATGGATTAGTTATTGGTTATACACTGTTGAACTATAGGATATGAGTCGTGGTGTCCAGCATATGGTATTTTATGGCTGCTTGGCATCAGTTAGTCTGGAGCCCGTATAGCAAGTGGCTTTACAAGATAATCACTCAAGGGGGAGTGATGTGACTGCAGTTTCATTCCAATGCCTCTCCGAGCCTGATAATTTAAAGGGGCTCACATTCCTCAGATAAAAAGTTTCTTCTTCTTTTTTTTTTTAATTTCACAGGTGCATGTGTGTGAAAAAACTACCCCAGGAAAGAACCACTTGAAAGCATTAGCTAGAACAGTACCCAACAGTCACACAGGGCTGGAAATAGTGCCAGTTCCCAAAAAAGGAGAGCACAATTCACAAGGCATGTGATAGAGAACCCAGAAGGGTCTTACCTCAATTAAGACATGGAAAATAGAAAAACACTAAAAGCCAACTTCTAGAGATGAATACCAGTATGCTGGATGGGATTGAGAGCACATTAGACCACAGAAAACAAGATTAATGAATGCAAAGACAGAGCAATAGAAACAATCCAAAATGAAACAGAGGGTTAAAAAAAAATGAAAAGAGCATCAGTGAGGTGTGGGACAACTTCAAGTGGCCTAATATATGTGTAATTTTGAAAGGAGGGGGCCAGCTGGGCTTCCTGAGTCAAACGGGCTCAGAAAGCTGTAAAACTCACTCATTTTCTGCATCAGAACTTACTTCGGTCCTGAATGAATAATATTAAAGATATATGCTTAAAATATTCCTAACACCAGGATTTGTGCATGTGTTTTCTTCCCAAAAAAAGCTATAAACAGCAAAAATTTTGCTGTAAGCTTCCCTGTGTCCTCTCTCCCTCTCTCCCTTCCCCCTCCCCTAAAACTAAAAGGAATATTAAATGCCTGTTTTTCTATGACCAGCGAACTTTATCTATACTCCCAATTCCAATTCCTTGTAAACATACTTTATAAAGTCCTGTAAGATTGTTTCCTTTGCCATGCTGCTGCAAGGTCATAAAATAAATAAAACCTAAGTTACAATTCTGGTTTTCCTCAAAATCTAAGACATGTCACAAAATAATTTACTGCCTTTGTTTCTCGCTCTGGTAACATCTTCCCTCTACACGTATTTCCCGCCTTAAAGAGTTTCAAAAGCAACTGCATCATCGACCTCTGACTACCCGCTCGAAACCCCTTCCACGCTGAAAAGCTTTGTACTGTCACTCTGCTCAATAAAGCCTACAGCCTTTTTTCTCTTGGTCCGTGTTTCCATCGCCACGGGCAGCCGCCACACCAATTCTTTGGTCTGGCTAAGGCAAAAATCTTTAGCGTTACAATTGGAGTCCTTGAAAAAAGAGGAAGGTGGATATGTCAGAGGCGTTTGAACCAGAGCAACTCCATCTTGAATAGGGGCTGGGTGAAATAAGGCTGAGACCTACTGGGCTGCATTCCCAGGAGGTTAAGGCATTCTTAGTCACAGGATGAGATAGGAGGTCAGCACAAGGAACAGGTCACAAAGACCTTGCTGATAAAAGGATATGGTAAAGAAGCTGGCCAAAAGCCACTAAAACCAAGATGGTGATGAAAGTGACCTTTGATCGTCCTCACTGCTCATTATATGCTAATTATAACCATTAGCATGTTAAAAGACACTCCCACCAGCACCATGACAGTTTACAAGTGCTATGGCAACATCAGGAAATTACACTATATGGTCTAAAAAGAGGAGGAACTGTCAGTTCCTGGAATTGCACCCCCCCTTTCCTGGAAAGGAATAATAATCCAACCCTTGTTTAGCATATAATCAAGAAATAACCACAAAAATAGCCAACCAGTAACCCTTGGGGCTGGTCTGCCTATGGAGTAGTCATTCTTTATTTCTTTACTTTCTTAAATAAACTTGCTTTCACTTTACTCTATGGACTCACTCCAACTTCTTCCTTGCATGAGATCCAAGAACCCTCTCGGAGTCTGGATTGGGACCCCTTCCTGGTAACAGATAGAAAAAATATTTGAACAAAGAATGACCAAAAAGTTTTCAAACTTGATGAAAACTTGTAGGAGACAGGCATGTGCCACCCTAAAATATGACTTTTTGGCATAAGGATTATTTTGAGAAACAGTAGACACAGGAGAATTCTAAAAACACAGTAGAAGTTACCCTTCTGTAAGGGAAATTTACATTTTTAAAAGAAATCTCCATTTCTAAGGCTATCTCCCTCTCTGGGCTGGGAAAAGAAGGAGGACTAAATCACAAAAGGCTCTTACCAATGGAGAAGGCACCAATTTAAATCTGCATAATAAACCTTACTCTTGTTTGATTTTCCTGAACACTTTCCCATAGCTTGCTTTCCCAACACCCTTCTTTCTTTCTTTTAGTTGAAGATGCTACATAAGCCAAAATTCTAGGCCACCTCTTTGAGAGTTACTCATTTTTCCCTGATTATCTGCTTTTCTCTTGTTAATCTATCTTGTTATAAAAGTCCCAGCTGAGAACTCAGAAGGGTAGAAGAAAAATTATTTTTTCTCCCCTACACTATAAATTTATAAATCCAAGATTCTCAATGAACCCCAAGCACAAAAACAAATAAAAACACCCCCCAAACAACAAAAACCATGAAGAAAACAGCATAAAGATTTAATAATCAAATTACTGAAAGTTAGTGAGAGAAAATCTCAAAAGTGATCGGAGATAAAAAGACATGCTACACACAGAGGCACAAAGAAAACATCAGATTTCTTGTTGGAAATAATGCAAGTGAGAAGACAATGTAGCAACAACATCTTTAAAAGGTACTGAAAGAAAAATAAGGTGTTATAGATGTGTAAATTTTTAATTTTATAAGATGATGCCAAGTTAATTTCTACATGGCTATACTACTTTGCCCTGTCATTAATAGGATATAAGGATTTCTATGTCACTAAATCCCTTGTCAACACTTAGTATTTGTCAACAAAAAAGTCAAACTCTGTGAAATATGTGAAGAGATTTATCCTGAGCCAAATATGAGTGACCAATGGCCTGTGACACAGCCCTCAGGAGATCCTGAGAACATGTACTCAAGGTGGTCAGGATGCAGCTTGGTTTTATGCATTTTACAGAGACATAAGACATCAATCAATACATGTAAAAGGTACATTGGTTCAGTTTGGAAAGGCAGGACAACTGGAAGCAGCAGGCAGGGGTGAGGTGGCTTCCAAGTCATAGGCAGATTCAAAGATTTTCTGATTGGCAATTCCTTATTATCAATAGAAAGGAATATCTGGCTTGTGATAAGGGGTTGTGGAGACGAAGGTTTTGTCATTCAGATGAAGCCTCCAGGTATCCAGGCAGCAGACTTCAGAGAGAATAGATTGTAAATGTTTTTTTTTTTTTATCAGACTTAGAGTCTGTTCTACCAGTAATTCCAAAAGGGAGGAGGGTATGATGAGGCATGTTCAGCTCCCCCTTCCCATCATGGCCTGAACTAGTTTTTCAGGTTCACTTTGGAATGCCCTTGGCCAAGAGGAGGGGTCCATTAAGATGCTTGGGGGGTCTTACAATTTTATTTTTGGTTTATATAATGTAAGAAGACTTCTTAGTCCCCATTTCCATTTTTGTAGTTATAAAATAGTACTCTATGGTAGACTTAATTTAGATTTCCCTGATTACTGATGAGGTTGAGTCCTTTTTCATATGTTAATTTACCATTTATGCAGTTTCTTCCATGAAATATCTGTTTGTGGCTTTTATTTTGTTCATAGTGGGCACTTTTGTCTATTTCTTATTGGTTTATAAAGGTTTAAAAATTTAGTCTGATACAAACCCTCATGGCTTACTTCTGTTGAAATTATTTTTTTCTGATTGGCAACTCATTTCCTGACTTTCTTTATGTTGTCTTTTCATGTACAAAAGTTCTTAATTTTGATGAGGTTTAATTTGTCAGTATTTTATTTTATGATTAGTATTTTTGTCTTGCTTATGAAATCTTTGCTGATTCCAAAGTATTTTCTTCTAAAAGTATTAAAGTTTTGCCTTTTACAATTAAGTCTTAAGTCCATGTCTGTAGGTGATGTGAAGCAGGTATCTAATTTCTTTTTTTTCCCTTGTGTATAAGCAGTTGTGTCAGTACCATTTAAAAGACCTAATCATCCTGTTTTTGATATGAACTGACAATTCTATCACAAAGTTTCATATATATGTGTTTTTAGAGCTTAGGCTATTTGACCAGCAATTTGCTTATCTTTGTCTCAATACCACATTGTCTTAATATTATAGCTTTATAATACATCCTTATATATGGTAGTGCACATCTCCTTAATCATCTCAGGATTTTCATAGTTATTCTTGGATTTTTGCTCATTAATGTACACATTGAATCAAGTTGTCAGCTTTCTTAGTATTTGTTGGGATTTAGATGATTTACATTGAATATGTAAACAAATTTGAAGAAAATTTGTACTTAATGACATTGAGTCTTCTAAACCATAAACTTAATGTATCTATTAAATTATGTGGTCTTTCTTAATAACTTCCCATAAATTGCACAGTTTTCTTCATAAATGCCCTGCACAAATCTTACGGGATTTCTTTCTAGGTGTGTGCGTGTGTGTGTGTGTGTGTGTGTGTGTGTGTGTATCTTTGTTAATTCAAATGGTAATTTCTAAAAGTTTATTTTTGATATAATGGAAACACAGCTGATTTAGGGAACACTGATTTTTATATCCAGATACCTTACTAATGTAAGTCCTGGGAGATAGCTATTTGCATGAAAATCTTACACTTTGGGGGATCAGGAGGAGCATGTGCAGTGGTTCTATTCCTTGAAAAAAATTTTTTTTGAGACAGGGTCTTGCTTTGTCTCTCAGGCTGGAGTGCAGTGGCATGATCATGGCTCGCTGCAGGCTTGACCTCCCGTGCTCAAGCGATCGTCCCACCTCCTGAGTGGCTGGGACTACAGGCATGCACTACCAGGCTTGGGTAATTTTTATATTTTTTGTAGAGTCAAGGTCTTCTTATGTTGCCCAGGCTGGCATTGAATTCTTGGGCTCAAGTGATCCTCCCACCTTGGCCTCCCAAAGTGCTGGGATTACAAGTATGAGCAGCTGCGCCTGGCCTGAAAGGTTTTGCACAATGATTTTGTTTCTTAGGGTTTTATCCAGTCTGTAAGGGTAATAGTGATCCTTACTCATAGTCTTGTTCTTTGTCACCACAACTTAGTTTCTCTTCCTCCAGTCACCTCTAGGCTGATTCTTAAGAAGTGAAAACAAGACTTATTGGAAAGACAGAGTAACAGAGAGAGAGAGTGAATGAGTGTGTGTGTGTTTTCCATCTATCTAAACAAGCCTGGAACACTCCAACATTTCAACATTTTACTTAGATGAGAACATCTTACTGTTGTCTCAATTTTGTACATGAGATAAAGCTACAAGAGGTTAAGTTACTTCATCAGGGTCAAAAAATTAGTAAATGGTACAGTGAGACATAAACTAGCTCCATGTCTAGTTCTGTGCAGTAGTGATATAAGAATTATAAGGTTTAACAGAAACAGAATTGTTGCTAATTGTCCCTGAGTATGCTTCCCTCTACACTGTAACTCAGCAGTCTTCTCTCAGGCAATTAGCAGCTTTATCACGTGGAAGAGGAAGAGGCTAAAATTCAGTCAAAATCAGGTCCTCTTTGGGGAAAATTAGTCTTTTGCAGTAGGGGTGTAGAAAGAGAGTCAAGAAATAAAGCATTGTTGGCTGGGCACGGTGGCTTACGCCTGTAATCCCAGCACTTTGGGAGGCCAAGGCAGGTGGATCACGAGGTCAGAAGTTCAAGACCAGCCAATATGGTGAAATCCTGTCTCTACTAAAAAAATACAAAAATTAGCTGGGCGTGGTGTTTTGTGCCTGTAGTCCCAGCTACTTGGGAGGCTGAGGCAGGAGAATTGCTTGAACCCGGGAGGCAGAGGTTGCAGTGAGCTGAGATTGTGCCACTACACTTCAGCCTGGGTGACTCTGTCTCACACACGCACAAAAAAACATAAACATTGCTGAGCCTGGTGGCTCATGCCTATAATCCCAGCTACTTGGGAGGCTGAGGCAGGAGGATCACTTGTGCCCAGGAGTTTGAGGCTGCAGTGAGCCATGATTGCACCACTGCATTCCAGCCTGGGTGACAGAGTGAGACTCTGTCTCTAAATAAATAAATAAATAAATAAATAAAAATAAAGCATTATATCCTCATAGTGGCTTAGCATTTGGTAGGAGTAGCAGATGTTGTACATCTTCTGACTTTTCAGAGGGTGAGCACCGGCTTCTTGTAGTCAAAAGGGACAAAGGGGAGACCATTCTCCTTACAACTATAATTTACCATACTAAGGTAGAACTCAATAAAGACCCTGTTTAAGATACCGTTAGCATTCAAGACTGGATCCTCTGGCCTCCCTTCTTCTCACCTGACTCTATGAAGATGTTGTAATATAGGGTTAATGCGCAGTTTGTGTCAAGGTTTTCTTTTGAACAATTTTCCTAGAAAAAAGGGGGATAGCAATGCTTGTGCCCACTGCTGAGTCACAGAGGCTTGAATCAAATCCCTTCAGCTGCAGCCTAAGTAAACGATGACAAATGCTAACCCAGGAAGGACTGAGGTGGTTTCTAAGTTACGACTAGATTCTTTCCCATTCTACTACTCACTTCTAGATCCAAGTCCTGGCTCTTTTCACTTTAGAGACATCCTGTTTCCTACATGGCAGTCTTCAGTGCTGTCTCTGCAGTTTCAGGAACTATGACCTTTGATGCTGCTGGGGCTCAGAAAACAATACCCCAAAATATGGCACTTTGACATGCTGAACTAAAGAAGCAGCCTCAAGGTATCTCTCTCTGACCTCTCCTCACCCTTACCTACACCTCACCCCCATCCTCTTACTTTCCTGAAGCACTAGCAGGGACTCTCTATGGAATTTCCTCAGCTGACTAAGAAAGATTCCAAAAGAATTGCTGGGCACGGTGGCTAATGCCTGTAATCCTAGCACTTTGGGAGGCTGAGGCAGGAGGATCACTTGAGGCCAGGAGTTCAAGACCAGCCTGGCCAACATGACGAAACCTCATCTCTATTAGAAATACAAAAAATTAGCTGAGTGTGGTGGCATGCATCTGTAGTCCCAGCTACTCAGGAGGCTGAGGCAGGAGAATTGCTTAAACACGGGAGGCAGAGGTTGCAGTGAGTTGAGATTGTGCCACTGCACTCCAGCCTGGGTGATAGAGCAAGACTCCATCTCAAAAAATAAAATAAAATAAAATAAAATAAAATAAAATAAAATAAAATAAAATAAAATAATAAAATAAAATAAAATAAAATAAAATAGAAATGCAATTGTCTTAAAACTCCCTCCCTAGGAATCTCATGAAATAACCAGGAAAGATTAACCACAAGAGAAGAAACTAGGAGTCCTCACCTTGCCCTGACAGACTTTTCATGTATTCCTCCAAGGGCAGCTCAGAGAGAGTACCTGAGAGGCTTTATCTGAATAATAAAACAACCTTTGTTCACAGTAAAGTTCTGTCCTTCACCTTCTGGCCACTGACCCCAGAGCTCAGAGGAACTTTGTCCCAGATCACTGTTCTTTGGGTTCACTCATTCCCCCTGAAAACCATTTACTGCTACACCCTTCATCTCCCCTTTCTCTGTGAGGAAGGGTGTATAACAATTTGGACCTTACTGGGTTGTTGGGTAACCATCCTCCTTTAATTCCCCTGAGCTATACATGTTAAATACATTTTGTATGGCTTTTTCTCCTATTAATTTGTCTATAGTCCATTTTCAGCAAACTTTCAGAGGATAGAAGGGGAAGCTTTTTCTTGGTCCCTACAATGTCAAATTAAACAGATGAGACTAGAAGTCTGGGAGTGCAAGGACTTCTTGGGATCACATCATTGTTTTCCCTGCTTTGGTTAGGAATACTGTCTTACTAGTGCAAATCGATGGCAGTTGGTTCAGTTCAGAAAACTCACATGTGGAAAGGCAATTTCCTGTGTGTCACATTTGTGGGAACTTCACTTCCCCAAACCAGTGAGTTTAAGGGTGATTTCTCTTTCATTCACTTATAGAAGTCATACTCTCTAAAACATCTCCTTTCTCATTTTAGTGATTTCCAAGCTGTCTCTTCAGTCAAATGGACTTATTTCAGTTAAATTACAAATAATTGCTGCTAGGATGAATCCTGACTGAGAGTAATCAGTAATTCTCTTCCTGTCCATCCTCCATCACATTTAGATAAAAATTCAATAATGTTTTTAAATCCCTGTGGGTTGGTTAGGAGAGGTGGGAGAAGATGACAGAGAGATGATGGAAAGGGAATTTAGGTAATGTTGCTGTATTTACTCACGTGCTTCCTTATTCCCTTAGTCAACTCAGTTTCATAAATTTCTTCAGGATCTTTTTCAAGAAGATCTTTCGATTTTTTTTCAGCCTACTCTAATTACTCCTTGTCTATGTTACTGTTCCTATTTGTACAGAGCTCAGACTACCCTATCATGTGTTCCTGCTTTTTCATTTCTTTTTTTTTTTGAGATGGAGTCTCACTCTGTCACCCAGACTGGAGGGCAGTGGTGTGATCTCAGTTCACAGCAACCTCCACCTCCCAGGTTCAGGGGATCCTCCACCTCAGCCTCCCAAGTAGCTGGGATTACAGGCCTGTGCCACCACGCTCGGCTAATTTTTATATTTTTAATAGAGATGGGGTTTCACCACATTGGCCAGGCTAGTCTCAAACTCCTGACCTCAAGTGATCCATCTGCCTTGGCCTCCCAAAGTTCTGGATTGCAGGTATGAGCCGTCGTACCTGCCCCATGTGTTCTTTTTTATAGTCTATTCGTTATATACATGATATATTTACTTCCCCAATTGTGGTGTAAGCATTTTTAGAGGATGCTTACACCACAACTGGGGAAGTAAATATATCACGTTCCTATTCTATTTGTATATTGCTTTACAAAGACATTCAGATAACATATGCTTGATAATGAATACATAAATAAATGTATATTATTTACATTTAGCATCTTCTCTTCCCTCAGTCTTTGTGTATCCTGAAGACAGCTTATATGCAAAATTAGAAGTATGGAAGTTATCAGAGTCTCTCCTGGCAGTTTCTGTATCTGTGTGTCTTGTACACAAACATTTGCTTAATGACTTTATGTTTGAAAATCTTACAACTAAGTGAAAATATGTGAAGTGAATAAAAAGTTTTTGTTATTCTAAACAGAAAAATTAACCCAAGATACCCAAAAGATAGAAAACATATAGATTAAACAAACTAAATTTATGTAAATAATAGATAAAAATAAAATAAATACAGTTTTCACATATGAATTTTTATTGTATTCATCAAAGGAGGAAGAGGAGACTTGGTTATAGGTGATGGTCAATAGAGGAGGACTGGGAGGGGATTATTCTTTCAAAGTCAGTGAAGATTCAGTGCCAGACCAGCATTCAATATCAAATTTAATGTGATTAATAATTTCCTTTACCTTAAGGCTTTGACCAAATAAAAGCTAAACACAAAAAGGCTTTATAGAATATTGAAATGGTGAACATGTACAGCAGATTGAAGAGTCATAGAAGATGCAACCCTCTCATTCACTTTGCTTGGCATGTGTATGAAAAACAGTATTTTGGGTTCATCTAAATATGTCATTGATTTGGTTTGGCTGTGTCCTCACCCAAATCTCATCTTCAACTGTAGCTCCCATAATCCCCACATGTCATGGGAGGGACCCAGTGGGAGGTAGGTGAATCATGGGGCCAGTTACCTTCATGCTGTTCTCATGATAGTGAATGATTCTCACGAGATCTGATGGTTTTATAAGGGGTTTTTCCCCCACTTCGCTCTGTACTTCTTGCTGCTGCCATGTGAAGAAGGACACGTTTGCTTCCCATTCCACCGCGATTGTAAGTTTCCTGGGGTATCCCTGGCCATGCAGAACTGTGAGTCAATTAAACCTCTTTCCTTTATAAATTACCCAGTCTCAGGTATGTCTTTATTAGCAGTGTGAGAATGGACTAATACAGTAAATTGGTACTGGGTAGTGGGGCACTGCTGTAAAGATACTTGAAAATGTAGAAGCAACTTTGGAACTGGGTAACAGGCAGAGGTTGAAACAGTTTGGAGGGCTCAGAAGAAGACAGGAAGATGTGGGAACGTTTGGAACTTCCTAGAGACTTGTTGAATGGCTTTGACCAAAATGCTGATAGTGATATGGACAATAAAGTCCAGGCTGAGGTGGTCTCAGATGGAAATGGTAACTAGTTGGGAACTAGAGGAAAGGTCTCTTGTTATGCTTTAGCAAAGAGACTGGCAGCATTTTACCCCCTGCTCTAGAGATCTGTGGAATTCTGAACTTGAGAGAGATGATTTAGAGTGTCTGGTAGACGAAATTTCTAAGCAGCAAAGCGTTCAAGAGGTGACAGAGCATAAAAATTTGGAAAATTTGCAGCCTATGTGGTAGAAAAGAAAAACCTGTTTTCTAGGGAGAAATTCAAGCTGGCTGCAGAAATTTGCATAAGTAATGAGGAACCAAATGTTAATCGCCAAGACAGTGGGGAAAAGGTCTTCAGGGCATGTCAGAGACCTCCCTGCTGTGTACAGCCTAGGAACTTGGTGCACTGTGTCCCAGCCACTCCAACCATGGCTACAAGGGGCCAAGGTACACCTTGAGTCATGACTTCAGCGGGTGCGAGCCCCAAGCCTTGGCAGCTTTCACATGGTGTTGGTCCTGCAGGTGTGCAGAGGACAAGATCTGAGGTTTGGGAACCTAGATTTCAGGGGATGTGTGGAAATGCCTGGATGCCCAGGCAGAGGTGTGCTGCAAGGGCAGAGCCCTCATGGAGAACCTCTGCTAGGGCAGTGCAGAAGGGATATGTGGGGTTGGAGCCCCGACACAGAGTCCCCACTGGGACACTTCCTAGTAAAGCTGTGAGAAGAGGGCCACCATCCTCTAGACCCCAGGATAGTAAAACCACTGACAGCTTGCACCATGCACCTGGAAAAGACTCAGACACTCAATGCCAGCTGTGAAAGCTGCCAGGAAGAGGGCTGTACCCTGCAAAGTCACAGGGTCAGAGCTGCCCAACATCATGGGAGCCCACCTCTTGCATCAGTGTGATCTGGATTTGAGACATGGAGTCAAAGGATATTATTTTGGAGCTTAAGGATTTAATTACTGCCCTATTGAATTTTGGACTTGCCTGGGGCCTGTAGCTCCTTTGTTTTGGCCAATCTCTCCCATTTGCAGTGGCTGTATTTACCCAATGCCTGTACTCTCATTGTATCAAGGAAGTAACTAACTTGCTTTTGATTTTACAGGCTCATAGACAGAAGGGACTTGCCTTTGGATGAGATTTTGGACTTGGACTTTTGAGCTAATTATGGGATGAGTTAAAATTTTGGGGGACTTTTGGGAAGGTATGATTGTGTTTTAAAATGTGAGGACATGAGATTTGGGAGGGGCCAGGGCAGAATGATATGGTTTTGCTGTGTCCCCACCCAAATCACATTTTGAATTGTAGTTCCCATAATCCCCACATAATGAGAGGGACCCAGTGGGAGGTAATTGAATTGTGGGGGTGGTTTCCCCCATGCTGTTCTCATGATAGTGAGTTCTCACGAGATCTGATGGTTTTATAAGGGACTTTTCCCCGCTTTTGCTCTGCATTTCTCCTTGCTGCTGCCATGTGAAGAGGGATGTATTTGCATCTCCTTCTGTCATGATTGTAAGTTTCCTGAGGGCTCCCCAGCCATGCTGAACTGTGAGTTAATCAAGTCTCTTTTCTTTTTAAATTACCTAGTCTCAGGTATGTCTTTATTAGCAGTGTGAGAACAGACTAATACAGTCATGCAATTCAAAGTTGTTTCACACAATATTCTCTGACTACAAATGGTCATGTCAGGTAAATTGGTGAGTAGTACTGTGTGTCATTCAGGGTCTAAAAGGAAAATGGGCTGGGCATGGTGGCTCACACCTGTAATCTCAACACTTTGAGATGCCAAAATGGGAGGATCACTTGAATCTAGTAGTTTAAGATTAGCCTGGGAAAAAGAGTGAGACACTGTGTCTAAAAAAAATAAAAATTAGCTGGGCATGGTGGCACACTCACTTGAGCCCAGGAGTTTAAGGCTTCAGTGAGCTATGATTGCACCACAGCACTTGAGTCTGGGTAACAGAGCAAGACCCTGTCTCAAAAAAAAAAAAAAAAAAAAAAAATAGAAAATGAACAGTATACCAGAGGGAATTTAACACAAGGAATTATACAGGTATTGGAGGTCTAAGAAGGCAAAAGGGGAACTGATGTAACACAGAGATAGTAAGTGTAGAAAGCGAAGCAGTGATCAACCCTAGGGTTGTAGAAACAAAGGTAAAATGGTTGGGTTGTTAGAACTTGGTAACTTGGATGAAGGGCCACACATAACTGGGAGGATGGCTTCTGAGAAGGAGGTTGCTGGTGGCCTTGGAACTCAGAGGAAGTACCTAGTGTCGCAGGGACTCAGATCTCTGAAGAAGAGGTGTCCACTGGCTGATGCTCATGCCTTTGAGAGGGGGCCATGAGGCTGGCTCCGGGATTGTAAGAAAGGAAAAGAAATGAAACTGGAAACAATGACCACTCTCAGAGTAAAAAATTATGGCTGGGATGATGCTAATTGAAACAAGAAACAAAATAGGAAGCAGCCAGACCTATATCCCTCCTCCAGCCTTTCAGTCTCTTTTTAACACCCCTTACTGACAGAAACTAATAAAGCCAGCAAGCAAAAAAAAGATGTGGTTTGCAGAGTCCTCACCTTAGCATCAAAAAGCAGATTACAGAGGGTGGGCCCCTCTTTGGCCACTTCCCTACATGCTCATTCATACACATCCTCCTACATAGTGTCTGCTTGAAACCATGATGTCAAAATATAATTTCTTATAGCATGTTTATTTATTTTGGGGTGACAAATCATTATAATAAAAAAGGAGTTGTCCAAAAAGTGACATAGCTTTATAATAGCCATTATGGCAAAAAGTCATTAATTGAACAGTCATTACATGAGGGGATCAGGAACTAAAAATCAACGCTCATTATGGTCATAATGTAAAGAAACATCACAGGAAATCATATATATCCACCATTCATGAATAGAGGAAGTCTGATACCTAAGAACAGGAACTGGTCCAAAGGGGTAACCTGGAGCTGTATCTTTTTAAAGACAAAACACCCTCCTCCAGGCTTAACAGAGCTTGAAGTGTGAGAACCAGGAAAAGAGGAGTCAATCTCTGGGAACTTAGCTAATATCTACTTTCATGGACACCCCTACAGTCTAACTTTCATTCATTCATTTAACTATTATATGTTGAGTACATAAAATGTTCTAGGCACTAGAGTGGTGAATGAGACTTAATCCATGCTCTGATGGAACTGATTCTTTTTCTTTTTCCTCGCCCAGGTTGGAGTGCAGTGGTGTGATCTCGGCTTATTGCAACCTCTGCCTCCCTGGTTCAAGCGTTTATTGTGTCTCAGTCTCCTGCGTAGCTGGGATCACAGGTGTGCATCACCATGCCCAGCTAATTTTTTTATTTGTAGTAGAGATGGGGTTTCACCATGTTGGCCAGGCTGGTCTCAAACTCCTGGCCTCAAGTGATCCATTCACCTGGGCCTTCCAAAGTGCTGGGATTATAGGCGTAAGCTACTGTGCCCAGCCAGAATTTACTCTTTAGTGGGTGATTACAACAATTAACAGGTAAAAAGTAAATATATAAAGCTTAAATAAAGATATCAAGAAGTAGTAGGTACTACAAAAGAAAATAAACAGAAAAATGAACGGAGAATAGAAATTTAAACTAACCAGTAATAAGGGAGATGCAAGTCAAGACAATTAAATGTCTTTTTCACTTCCCAGATTGGTAAAAGTATAAATTATTGATAATAGCACCTTGTAAAGGATGAAATAAAATGGATATTTTCATACACTGTCAGTAGGAGTAAATTGGCAAAGCGTTTCGGGGGATATTATTTAGTAGTATAGAAACAAATTTGAATTTGGCACATTAGGTTAATATATTAAGTTGAATCATATGAAATTGCCAATATTTGACAAATTTTGGCCTAAAAAATGAACTTGAAAATAGATCAAATGAAATTATCCACACTGAAACACTAAAAGGAAAAAGAGTAAAATGTTTTCGAAATTTCAAGAACATACTGGTCAAAAGGGAACTGAACCAAACCACAATTTATTTTTCTTTTTGGTAGCTCCAAAATGAAAGAGGCTGTCTGTTATCCACTGGTTAGATAAAGTAAGCATTTCCCTTCTACACAGGCGATGAGGGGATGGGTCAGATAATTTCAGTTGTTCCTTTTATCTGGTTTTTCTATCTCCTGAGAGAGCATCCTTCCTTTTCTGATTCTCAATCCATGTACATAACTCATCTGAGGGATCTTTATAAGCTTGTAAGTCATAGACTTGACTCTTTCCTTTCAAAGTCCAAGTATTTTATTATGTGTGATGTCTCTGGAGTCTATTTGCCACCTAAAAATTGAGAATATGGTCCCAAGCCATCATTTCTGGATATCATTTGAAGCAGGAAATGTGACAACCATTCAAATAGGAAACAATGACAATGACCATTCCCAGAGTCAACATTAGATAATGCATGGACCTGTTGCATGGGATTTATGATGGTCAGGGGTGACCGAAATCAGGTTTCTTGGGTTCCCTCAGTCTAAGATGTCCTTCCAGTTGGAAGGGATCCCCAAATCATTCTACGGTATGGTCACAACCACAAAAGCACCTCTAGGATAAAAAGTGGTGGATAATTTCTCTACACTTCCTCGAAGTTCTGAGTAAGTCTCATCCTGTCCTTTTGAGTTTGAGTCACTTTGGCAGCATAGTCACTTTCCTGTGCTGACTTAGATCCTTTTATTTAAATCCCTGTTCCTGTCACTTGAAGGTGCTTGATGGAAACTGAAGCCCTTTGTTTATTAATTCCATGTGACCTGTTCTTTAGTGGGTAGTTAAACATTTCAAGGACACTGAAAAATACCAAAATACCAAAGAGTGTGCTGTCAGTTGTAGAGGAAACTAGGCTATGCCATCTGATTCAAATAGTTAAAGTTGGCATTGATAGTTCTATGGTAACATTCTTGATTTCCATTTGTGAAAATTTTAGCCCAATTTCCGGCCAATATACACAAATGTATATCTCTATTAGACTATTAAGAAAAATAATAAATGTTTAATTTTATATGATGTGGCTTGATTCTCTTTTACAAAGTAAAATCTGAACATGTGTGAGATTACCAGCTGGGGGTTGTTAGATTTTGAGACCGGAGTTTTTGATCTTGTGGCCTAGAACCGATTGGTCACTGGATGACTTAAGAGGGAAAAGAAAAATTCTGCATTGCTAATAAAATCTGTATTTGTGGTGACCTGACAGTTTCACAGTGGGGGGACTGATTTGTGCTCCAGCTCATGGCCTCATCAACTTAGTTTCAAGTCAGAGCCATAGCAGTAAAATATGACTTTATTTTTTTAAGCATTTAGTATATTTTAAAAGTTGATGATACATTTCTGGTAACACTGACTAAGCTATTTAGGTAATATATAGGAAACAAATATTTTTAAAAGCATCAAGATGATGATTAACACTGAAGAATTACGAGGCCTGAAGTAAAGGAAAAACTGGAACCCAGAGCCGTAAGCAAGCAGAGAAGCCATTTTTTGGCTAAGGACATTTCCTGACCTGCATATTAGGGTTTGACAGCCTTCTGTGACTAATGGGACAGAAATAGAAGACCAGAGTCTGCCCAAGTTGGGGAGTTTATCAGGAGAATAATCCTACAATAAGGTAGGACCTTACATTTCTATAATCTTGGGATAAAAATGAACTATAAAAGAAACATCCCTTATGTTACACAGTTTAAGTTCAGAGCATCTTTCACACCTTTTACTTGATTAAAGGTGGTTCTGGGCTGGAAGTACCCCCAGGTGCTGGGCAAGAAAGCTTTCATTGTAGATCTCAGATTATTCCAAAAATATTTTTCCAGATACAAGATATGGCACATACTCAAAAATAATAATGAACCCAAAGAAACTAAACCAGGTGTGAAAACCAGCAGACATGTCAGGCAGTTGAAATCAAGCCCCCAAATATTAGATATATTAGAAAGACTGCAAAACAATGATGTCTACATTATTCATGAAACAAAAATTTGGAAGAATTTTGCCCACTTGGATGTTTTCTTAGCTTCAAGTTAACGTTCAGGCTCACAAGAATCTCAGAGGCCATACTTGGCACCAGATTAATCCGAGAGATGTAGGATAAGAATTATAGCTTGCTATCAGGGCAGCATCAGGCATGATATTTCTATAGGAGCAGTCCCTGCAGCAGCAGTCCACACAGTACCTAGGAGATAGTCTCTTGACTCTCCACCCCTCATTGTCTACTTGGGGACAGCTGAGGTGCATGTGGCACCATCCTGGAGCCATTATCTCTTGTTAAGAACTTAATAGAGTAGTTTCCAATGCCCATGCCAGGTGTATGCAAGTTATAGGAGTCACTGCATTCAGAGAAGCTCAAAGTCTGGCTTCTTCCAGATACTTAGTTTTCCCAGTCCAAGTGTAGTCCATCAGTTAGGAGTCTTTTTTATGATATGCAATGTTTGCTTAGTAACATAGTTGACATTTTGTCATTAGAAGGCTCTAGGTGGACAGAGCTGGAAAGTTAATTAAGGTCAAATTATCATGCAGAAGGAGAAAAGGGTTTTGTTAACAATTTACACACCAATTGGAAACAACAAAAAAATGACAGAATAGATTTAGAGAGAGGCAAACAGAAATTCGGAAAAAAAAAAACAAAACAAAATTAAGAGCTCAATGGAAGAGTTTAACAGGAGAGCAGTCACAGCTGAAAAGAGAACTAGTAAAGTGGGAGATGAGGAAGAAGAAAAAAATTCAGAATATATAACAAGGAGAAAAAATAATATTTAATACACAAACACAAAAATATAACAAATAGAGTGAGAAAGTCTACTTTATTTTTAGTTAGAGGCTCAAAAGTAGAAGAGAGAGAAAATAGAGGCAATAACTGAAGAGATAATACTTGAGAGTTTTCCAGACAAAATGAAACTCAAAAGTCAACAGATTCTAGAAGGCCTACCAATCAAAGAAGATAAATAAAGGGAACTCCATACCTAAAGACAGAGTAGTAAAACTGCAGACAATAAAAAAAAAAAAACAAAGACAAAAATAGTAAAGACAAAAAACAGAGGAAA
Organism: Homo sapiens; assembly: GCF_000001405.40. Taxonomy (NCBI): domain Eukaryota; kingdom Metazoa; phylum Chordata; class Mammalia; order Primates; family Hominidae; genus Homo; species Homo sapiens. The sequence goes on along the minus strand of NC_000001.11, from coordinate 149,760,165 downwards.
AAAAGGAACATTACATTCAAATAAGCAGCAGCGAGACAATTGGCTGCCTTCTGAAAAGAAACAATCAAATGTAAATATCTTCAATATGCTGAAAGAAAATAACTGCCTCCAGAATTACATACTTAGTAAAAATAATCTCCAATAATTAAAGCAAATAAAGACACTTTCAGAGAAAAATAGCTGAAACAGTTTTTCACAAGCAGACCAACACAAAAGGAAATTCTAAATGATGTTTCTCAGGCAGAAGGACCATGATTACATATGGAAATTCAGAGACATAGCAGAAATAAAGAGTAAGATAGCAGCACATATGTTGATAAATCTAAATTAACATTAACTACATAAAATATATGTCTAGTCTTCTGGGGTTTAAAACTATTAATACTTAGACCTAATAAATGATAACAGCATATATATAGAATGAGACTAAATGGAATAAAAGTATTCCAACATCCATATATTGTGCAGGAAGAGGATAACGGTATCAATTATTACTATGTTTAATAAATTAAGGATTAGCTGGGCACGGTGGCTCACGCCTGTAATCCCAATACTTTGGGAGGCCAAGGTGGGCGGATCATGAGGTCAAGAGATGGAGACCATCCTGGCCAACACAGTGAAGCCCTGTCTCTACTAAAAAAATACAAAAATTAGCTGCACCTGTAGTCCCAGCTACTCGGGAGGCTGAGGCAGGAGAATCACTTGAACCCGAGAGGCAGAGGTTGCTGTGAGCCAAGATCGTGGCACAGTACTCCAGCCTGGAGACAGAGTGAGACTCTGTCTCAAAAAAAAAAAAAAAAAAAAAAAATTAAGGATTAAGATTGTAATTTTTAAAGTAACCACAAAAGAATAGAAGCAACTTAAATACAATTAAAGGAAATACAATAAGGAAGAAAGTGAAGCAAAGCATATAAAAAAGTAAAAAAATATAATGTTATAATAGTTAAAAATAACCAATCCAAAACAGACAAGAAAAGACATAGAAACAGAACAAGCAGAACAAACAGAAAAAAATAAAGATGGTAGATTTAAAATTAATATATATCAACAATTACATTAAATGTAAGTGGACCAAATTATCCAGTAAAACAAACCCCCGAAATACTGCTACACTGGATTTTTAAATTAACTATATGATATATTTAGGAGTTGTATCTAAACCAGAAAGTGAGAGAAAGGTTGGAAATGAAAGGCGAGAAAAGGAGCTTGACTGAAAACATTAACAAAAAGGTGGCTATATTAATAGACTCTAAAGCAAAAAACATGACATCAGAATATATCTCTTAGAGAATATAACCATTCCTTTCTAAATACTTTTTATGCTGACTGGTTATCATAGGTGACAATATATGTTAATCTGTCTGCACCATTTTGTTAAGACAAAAAGCTTTGGTATTTTCTTCTTCACTCTCCAACTATAAAGCTATAATAAACTAATAAATCTTTAAATATTCCTTATCTTTAAAATTTTTGTATAAGTGATTATTGTCATGTTATTTAGTGCAGTGGTTTATTTTCATCCTTTCTTCCTAATCTCCAAGTATTGCCAGGTACTTGAGCTTTTCCAATGCACACGTATCAAAGCCAGCATGAGTCCAGAACCTACTGCCTCTGAGAGCTGATCCATGGTAATTCTTTTCCCAACATCCTCTTGGTCTCTAGGACTCTAATGACCAAAGGAAAAGAGATTGCTGTTGCTTGGCTACTATGTTGGTAGATATGATTTAAGGCTACAGGTATGTCCAGATTTACACTGTGGAAAGGTCACTCAGGATACAGTGTGGCAAATGGGTTGGAATAGACAAGACTGGCTGTAGAGAGGCCAGTTTTTGATCTACTTATGTTAATGGAGGTGATGGATGGACCAGCGTAGTAACAAAGTGGGAATGAGTCTGTATAGAGTCCAATAAATTTAAATACTATAATTCTTTGGAAATGAATTGTCGTGTTGGGAGATTGGGAGTGTTTAAAGAAGATATCAAGATCTGATTTGAGGAGCAGGATGCATAGCAGTGAGGATAAGTGTCTAGGCAGGGGTAGAAGCAGGTTTTAGTGATCTGTTGAAACACCCACAGCAACACACTACTCTTTGGGAGATGCTGGCTTGGGGCTGATCATTGAGGTAGAGGGTAGTATATGATGCTGACAGGGAACTCACTGGTGTGTTGAGTTTTAGCATCTGTGACTCTGAGATGCATATGAGGCCTCTTGTAAATTTTGGGGTTGAGAGTAGAAAGTACAGGTTTGTATTTTAGAAAGAGATTTCGGAATAAATGTAGCTCTGGTTGACACAGACAATATGTGAAGGTTTGTTGGCCAGAACTAGTATGTGTCTTGGGTGTTGGGCAGAGAACAGATTGAGCCAAAGCTCTGCAAGGCCAGTGTGAAGGGTGATTTCCTTGTTGGGTTCAAGTTTATGACTCAGCCTGGACCTAGCTTGGCTTCTCAACTAGAGAAGAAGCATGATTCCATGTCATACACAACTCCTGTCTTTGAAAAAATCATAATGACTCCCAGACCCAACATGTGGGGCAAACTTTCCAGATTTTTCTCTTCAGTTTAATCTTTCCAGGGAAAATTGGGGAAAGAAATCTCTCTATTTGAACTTCATCAAAAGACCAATATGTTAATATTTCAGCCATTAATATGTCTTTAAACCATGTTACTCCTTAAACAGCTATTACACGAAAGTGTATTAACTGAGGAAACTGGGTTCTCCCAAACAATGAAACACTGACTGCAAGCATTATTCATCTTTTTATATCATAAATTCCTTCAAATATTTTAGACATTTTAGAAAGCAAATAATAGTATTATAATGATTACAAGACTGATCATTACTCTTTTACAAAAAACGGCCACAAATAACTAACTCCATTAGCATTACCTTCTGTCCTTTCATTTCCTCTTTCTTTGTCTTCTTTTTTTGCCTATGATATTCTGGTATAGCATATTCCCTCTTTCTTCTAATTCTAATTCTGATTCTGCTTCTTATTTCTTCCCTAGATTAAAACTTTACTTACCTATGCTGCCAGTTAGTGCTTCCTTCCCAGAGCCACTAAAGCAACAGTTTGAGGTTGAGGTCCTAAATTGAAGATTTAGGATCAGAAACAAGGAACCTGGATGAATTTCTGATGTTTTTCTATAGGAGTCTGTTACGCAGTTGGAAGGAGCCTTTTTCGGAATTAAAGTTTGATCAAATAAGCTATTTTAATATTTATAGTTTTGTCTAGTAAAAGTATTCTGTAAAAACCTTGGTTTTGGATGTCTACTGTTAGCTTTTAGTCAATACTGCAAAAAGCTTCTTTTGGAACAATTTCTGTCTTTTTCAGTATTGTATTTCAATTGTTTCTCCAGGACCACACATAAGAGCCGGATTTGTGGTCCAGTGGTAGAATTCTCACCGCCTGCATAGGAGACCCTGGTTTAATTCCTGGCCAATGCAACAAGTTTTGTGCTTCACTTCTCTATATTCTTTATACTTCTGCCCTGCACAGGCTATCCCATGTTTAAGGGCCTTGGTTGTGGAGGCTTTTGATTTATGACAATGGTAACCCAAGTGATGGCCAATGCCTGAAGCATAAGATATTCAGGAAATGATCTAATGATCTAGGGACCTTGCAGTTAGAGTCAAGAGCCATTCCTGTAATCCCAGCACTTTGGCAGGTCAAGGCAGGTGGATCACCTGAGGTCAGGAGTTTGAGACTAGCCTGGCCAACATGGTGAAACCCAGTCTCTACTAAAAATACAAAAATTTGCCAGGCATGGTGGCACACACCTGGAGCTACTTAGCATAGTCTATCTTTGAAAGTGGCAAGTGTTTCTGGTAGTTTGATGCAGTTTTGAATATTGGTATGTAAAACTTTTGTTACTTTCATCTATTCTCCAGGTAGATCCCTAGAATCCCAAAGAACCATCACGTCCCTGATTCGCATGCTAGACCTTGGGCTGACCGCTGGGTCACGCCTCACTATGGAGCGAGGAACAAGAAGTGAAGTCCCCTGAAGGAGAGAAGCTGTGGGGAGGAGCAGTCACCTTGGTGGTGTCAGGTGTCGGCAGTCCAAGAAAAGGGGAGGCACGTGGGGAGGAATCCGTGCGGAGATGAGGGGAGCAGTGGAGACGTGGCTTTGGGCAGAGGTGGCGAGTGGACCCTCAGGCCTGTACCCTGGACACCATGAACAGAATTAGTTAACATTGTCACCCACCATGGCCTCCGTGTGTTCCGTGAGCCCATTTGCTTTCCCAAAGGGATTCCTAGCAATGTGTGTCAACAGGTGTTGGCCTGATTTTTTTTTAATTTTTATTTTTTGAGACTGGGCAGTGCAGCAGTGGCTTGGTCTTGACTCACTGCAACTTCCGCCTCTTGGGTTCAAGTCCTTACCTGGCAATACTGTGTTGAAGCCATTGAAACTGTCCCTATAAACTTTATAAAATTAATCAGGGAAGAAGGGAAGGGGAGAAACAAAAATAAACAAGCTTGCAGCAATTTTGCATTACTCTTGAGAGCAGCCTGCTCTTGGACCTGCTTCCTCACAGTTGTTTGGTGCTGTTTGTGCTAGAATCAGGCAGGCCCTAGATTATAGTTCTCCTGAACTGTTCTATAGATAACAACCTGAAGATTATGAAATGTTAAGTTTCCCGTTAGAGATATTCTTTCAGATCCTGTGTACCAGTGAAACTACTGATGTCAGCTGGTCTGAAGGACCCCACTGAGGAACTGACTCAGTATGCAGTTTCCAAATCCTAATGATTTCATCCCCCTTCCCCTGCCCAATCAACAACCTTAATTTTCCAACCCCTCACCCTCCACAATCCCCTTAAAAACCCTAACGCAGAAGTTCTTGAGGAGATGGATTTGAGGGTCTACTCATATCTCTCTCCTTGGCTGCCCTGTGATCATTAAATTCTTTGTTGCAAACTGCTGTCTTAGTGTATTGGTCTATTACTGCACAGTGGGCATATGAACCTACTGCTCTTATAACACCAGAGTTGTTTTCTACTTTGTTTTAACTATTCTGGAAACCTCTGTATTTGTTGAATAAAATTGTAATGCGATATATAATGTTTTGTTTTTTTTGTTGTTTTGTTTTGTTTTTTAGCATTTTTTTCTCTAAAGGAGAATCAGGCTTTCAGGTGAACAATCTAGGAGACTTGATTTACAAAAATGAAAATGACATTACTTATGTGATGAGGCACATTGAAAGAGCCCATAAAGTGGCAGCAAAAATTAAACCAGGATGATCAACTTCAAGACAATATCCTAGTAACATTATTAGATTTTAAAGATAAAACATACTCAGGTCTCCAGGCATCACTGTGGAACAAGTTACAAAAGCAACTGAATTAGATGGGCACTAACATACAAGGCAAGGTAACAGTGAAGCAGCATTTTCAAAAAACTTATATATAGAAAGTGCAGTGTGGCTGGGCCACCCCAGCCCCCAGCAGTGGGGTAGGATGGCACTAAAGTGGATCCAGAAGGAATTAACCAACTTGCAGACGAATCCTCCTGCCCAGTGCTCCACGGGGCCTCTGGGTGATAATTAATGACAGTCCTTGCCAAGGAGGTGTTTTCTTCCTGACCATCCACTTTCCTATGGATTGCCTGTTCAAGCCCCCAAAGGTTGCTTTCACAACCAAAATTTATCACCCCAATATCAATAGCAATGGCAGCATCTGCTTCAACATCCTATGGTCTCAGTGGTCTCCAGCATTGACTGTCAAAAGTTCTCTTGTCCATCTGCTCACTGCCCTGCATCCCCAACCTCAATGATCCTCTGGTGCTAGAGATACCCCACACCTACAAGGCCGACAGAGAGAACTACAACAGACTAGCAAGACAGTGGACAGAAAAATATGCTATGTAAGTGCCTAGGTGATTTTACGGGAGACATTGTCTCCCTTGAATTCAAGGTCTTCCCTTGAAATTCTGGGCTGTGGGCTGGGCCATTCAAAGTGTCATCTGTTCTTCAAACAAATTGATATAGGAGTTAAAAAGAAATTATTTAGGCATTAGGGTAAGGAAGTCCTTGGTAAGGTTCCCTTTTAATGAAAAGCAGCCACCAAATAATTTCTTTTCTAACAAAAAGCAGCCTGTAAAATGGAGCTGCAGACATAGATAAGCAAGCTGGAAGCTTGCACAGGTGACTGCTGGCGGCTGTGCCAATAGGACAAGGCTACCTGGGGGGTAGGCATGTTCAACATGGTGGCTCCATCTTCCCTTTTCCTTTCTAACCACGTGTACAGTAAGGAGCAGACAACATGGTGCGAGTAAAGTAGAAAACCCATTTGCATAAGAAGAAGATTAGGGTTGGGTGGCCAGCTTCTTCCAGCGCTATGTAAATGTCACACCTGGTCCAACCAATCTTTGGGCCCTATGTGAATCAGACACTGCCTCCTCAAGCCAGCCTATAAAACCCTGTGCACTTCACCACAAAACCAGAAGTTCCACTCTGGCAACCCTCTCTCTCTCAGGAGAGAGAGCTATTTTCCTTTCTCTTTCTTTTGCCTAGTAAACCTCCACTCCTAAACCCACTTCTTGTGTGTCCACATCCTCAGTTCCCTTGGTGTGAGGCAACAAACGTTGGGTATTTACCCCAGACAACTATGCCACTTCAAAATGTTGGTCACCCACTCTCTCCAGCTGCAGCATGTTGGTGCCATTCTCAACAATTGTGGCTTTGACAATGCCACATCTTTGATGCCAAATCAGCAGCCATAGTTGTTATGATCTGCAGCCTTCCCGGTTACACTGGAATCTCTCTCTCTGCCCCAGTTTATCTGTTGGTCTTTTGGGGAGCTAGGCCCTGCACCTCTCTCCTACCCAGCCTCTATTGGTGCCACTGCTCACAAAAGTACCACACCAGGTCTTCAGCCAGGCCCCTCACCACATAACCTTTGCTTTTTAGAACTCAGTGCCATCCTGGGTAACCAGGGTTGAGCAGGGTTTCCTCACACCCTGTCTGCTGCACAACCACAGCCTGAGGAGGCTCAGCTCATGCTGGAGGGAATTGGGAACAGTGTCACTGGGAAGTGAAGGCCTTGCCCTGAGGCTTCCACCAGTCTTATTCTCCATTTGCCACATGCTGGCATTTCTCCCCTCAAACCAAGAAGCAGCAAGTGGAAAATGTTAAGATATAAAGTACATAACACCCCATAAGACATGACTATGTTTTTAGAAGCAAGAGGAAAATTATGAAACCTCTAGAGGTTTGGGTTATGTTTATCCATATGATGAGGATTTTCGCCACCCCTGCTCCTCCCACTAGGAGCCTACACTAAGTTCAAGTGTGAGCCATTCACAGACCAGAACACAAGGAGGGAGAGAGACTCCTTGGGTGGATCATGAGGTCAGGAGATCGAGACCATCCTGGCTAACATGGTGAAACCCCGTCTCTATTAAAAATACAAAAAATTAGCCAGGCATGGTGGCGGGTGCCTGTAGTCCCAGCTACTCCAGAGGCTGAGGCAGGAGAATGGCGTGAACCTGGGAGGTGGAGCTTGCAGTGAGCCGAGATAGTGCCACTGCACTCCAGCCTGGGCGACAGAGTGAGACTCCATCTCAAAAAATAAAATAAAATAAAATAAAATAAAATAAAATAAAATAAAATAAAATGCAATTTACTCATTAAAAAGAAGAAAGTGCAAATTAAGGATATTATATCCAATGAAACTCTCTTCAAGGTACAAGGTACAAGGGAATGGCTTTGCTTAAACTTTACATAGGCAAGGCTCAACCATACTATGACTCAAACCTTGACCAAATGCCCTCCTGGACCATGGTAAGGGAAGTAGTCTTGTGAGCCATTATCATAAGACTATTTCTTACTCATCTCTTTTGGGGGCCTCCTTGTCTTGCAGCAGGCTACCAGCAGGCAGTTTCTCACCTGTTTCTGGTAAGCCATGGAAATTTGCATCTTGCCCCGATCCCCTCAATGGTACAGCTACAGACTGTAACTGCCTAGCTGCAATATAAAATTGGCCCCTTCTTGACAGAGCAACCCACCACTTGGGTTGTCATCTAGTAACTCCAGTTTGGTGTCATGCTGTGGAATTATGGGTGTGGGGAGCTGACAACATACTAATCTTTCTTATGCATAGATATCCCCTATTACTTATGCTGTGTGCGTAAGTCCAAGTGTGAGCCATTCACAGATTTGATGCCCAACATGGGACCAGTAAGGTCACAATGCCTTCTAGGAGAAAAAACAGAAAGAACCACATGGGGCCAGGTTAGGGGGCTTGAGAAGGGCCTCCAGGATCTGGTAGCAGATGTTCTCTCCCAAGTAGTAGGTGTGAGAGGAGAGTAACAGTCCTCCTATTGTTCTATGTGTTAGTGAATATTTGGAGGCTGAGCATTGACAGGGAAGACTGAAACCAGCCACCCAAATGGCATTTTTTGTTGTTTAAAGTTCATTGAAACTGAATGGACAGGCTGGGCATGGTGGCTCATGCCTGTAATCCTAGCACTTTGGGAGGCCGAGGCAGGTGGATAACCTGAGGTCAGGGGTTCGAGACCAGCTTGGCCAACATGGTTAAACCTCATCTCTACTAAAAATAGAAAAATTAGCCAGGCATGGTGGCAGGAGCCTGTAATCTCAGCTACTCGGGAGGCTGAGGCAGGAGAATTGCTTGAACCCAGGAGGTGGAGGTTGTAGTGAGCTGAGATCATGCCACTGCACTCCAGCCTGGGCAACTCCGTTTCAAGAAAAGGAAAAAAAAAACCCAAAAAAACTGAATGGACAGCCTCTTAAAACCAAAAGCAATTGCAGAGTTGTGCTTCCTGTGGTGTGCCTGCTCTCTTTGTGCTCCTAATTCTTCTCTTCCCCTCAACCTGACTCAGGTACTTTAACGAAAGAAGTCTCTCTACTGCATCTTGATGGCTGGTCACATCTCCCTGCACTCCTTGAACTCTCAGTCAAGGAGGTAAGATATTCTCCTGGCAGGTGCTGCTGTAACTAAAGTGCATGTGTTAAACTTCTTGATATGTGTTCCTGTAGAGTGTGAATTCAACTGACAGAGTTTGGGTAAAACTTGTAGTAAAGGGGGAAAAAAAGTTAAAGTTATGAGTGAAGCCTCTGAGCCAATTCAGTGTATAGTTGTGAAAATGTGTCATTGAGATTGATGATTTACATGCTTATACAATGAATGGTCTTAAATTGTTAGAGGAGATTCTTCTGTTCAGAGTACCATCATGAGTAAAAAAAGGGCTAATGGGGCAAAAATCCCTTAACATTTGTCACCAATGAATGGGTCAGAATTTAGCCTGAGTGCCTGTAGCCTCTGATGTCTAAGTTTTACCATATAAATAATGTTCTGTTGGTTGGCAAGTCAAAATTTTAAAACTCAACTACTCTGACTGCAGTGTTATCACATCTCTGCTAGTAGGGGTGACTGATAAACACCATCCCACCCCCGCCAAAATCAATAGCTTGCTTGCCAAGTAAAGTTTCTTGGGACTATGCCAATGAATTCACAATGTTCAATTCCTCTGGCAGCCAAAAGGAAGACAAAAAACTAAAAACTCGTGCTCTCACAAAGTAAAAGACTTGATTTCTGATATAGAAGCCACCATTGCATGCCAGATTTGTCACTCCTGCCAAAGTTTGGCCTGTTCGTTTTGGAGAAAATATTGTTGCTTCACTGCTTTCTGGCTTCCATACGTTTTGATAAGAAACCTATGTTATGGTTAAAATTACAAAATTACAGAAATAATACTGAATAATAGTCTTCATTTCCTTTAACCTGAACTCTCCAAAATAAACAATACTTAAAATTTGTTGTATATAATTTCAAAAATGGTGGAATCAGAGTACTAACTGATAGTGTCTGGCCAGAGGACCAGAATTCCCAAACCTCATTCTGCCAATAACCTAGGTTCTCTGGTGGATGTGGGGATTACTGTAAAAGATATATACATAGATAAAACTGACAAGGTATAGATAATCACAATTTACAGCAGGGCTTGTGCCACAGTGGAGGGAATTCCAGTAAACTGTATCAGAGGATAAGGCTCAGTTCAAGACCTTAGGGTTTTTTCTTCTGTCTAAGCGTAAAGTAACCTTTATCAAACTTCTCCAAATGAATCTGATGGCTGCAAGTTCTCTGAGAAGAGAGAACCAGAAAGAAGTCACATGGAGTGGGAATTCAAGGTTAGAAGCTCCCGTTAACACCAGCCAAGTTACCAGTTTTGATGCTCTGGTAGAAAAGGGATAGTAATAGCCACACCCCTTTGTACAATATACTAAGTCCCCATATAGTAACAAACAAGCTCAGTACTTGTCCTGGTATGTAAAGAATAAGAAGAGAAAACCTAACCTGAGTCTAGGTTTCCTCCTTTGTTTATTAAGGATTGGGGGAGAAAGACAGCAGAGAATTTGTCTTTTTTACATTACACAATTACTTCATTCCAATTTTCTGATGTCACTCCAAGTAATGCTAAGGGAGAAGTTTATTAGGCAAGTCCTTCAAAAGGCTATTTTCTTCCCATTTTCACTCCTTTCGCGTATCTTTTTGGGCCAGGAAATGGACAATTTAGTGGGCCAAGGAAATGCCATTTTAATATTACAGCATAGATATCTGAAGTATACAACACCATGCCATAAATTCAGCTATCTTAGCCCTACACTATCTAAGAGGTTACCAACACTGTCCCATTATATTTAATTTACCTTTTGAAATTACATATGGTTATATATATATATACACACACACGTATACATGTATATACACATGTATACGTGTGTGTGTATATGTAGTAATATGTATTACTACATAGTTGAATGTAATTCATCAGGTAGTGTTATACAGTGGGCAACATATTGACAGCACAAGCCAACTAAATCAAAAGTGAGTAATGTAAGATGTGAAACATTATTTATTATAATTTATTATGAAATTATTATTAAATTTTTCTGAGACAAAGATTTATAGGGAAATTGATGATCCAATAAAGAGACTTTCCTCCACTAGTGTCTTTGTCAAAATAAAGTGGCCATCAAAATGAAAATTAAATTATGAAAATTTAAATCAAATTTAAATTTCATCAAAATAAAAATTAAATTATTAAATTATGAACACAAGCCCTCTCTGGTTTTGAAAAATCTGCTTTGGTTTAAACCAGCCTTAGGTCTTCAGGCGCCGTTGCCTTTATTACTGGTGCCTATTTACTCTGCCAACACTTCCAAAGATGGGTTTTGGGACCCTTCTGTGCACCAGGTGTCCCAAGGGCCTAAAGTCTCAAGCATACCCATGAGACTATCCAAGGAACCACATTCACAAAATTTAGACCCAGTGAGAACACTGTGAGCAAAACGTCCAGGCTTACATTTTTATTACATTTATTAATTATTTTTCTATTGTGTCCAATCTTAACTGGAAGAAAAGGGTAGGTGCCAAAACAGGAAAGAACAGAGAGACTATTGAATTCAAGTTTGCTGAAATTCTAGGCAGTTCTTCCAGCTTTGCCATCTCTTGCGGATTTATAGTCTAAGGGGAAATTGACTATGAAGAAATCCTTTGATGATAAATAAGCTTAAAATTATCTCTAAAAGACTGATAATTTCTAGCATTGGTTCCAAATTCTGGGGAAAAGACGCAGTCTCACACACTTTGGGGAATGTAATTGGTGCTTATACGTTGTAGGGCTGTATACATCGGAATCTTAAATTCACAATAAATTTCACCTAGCAGTTCCACTATTTGGAATTTATCCTAGATAAATAGCTTAAATTTTAGGATCGACATTAATTCCATTTCTCCAGCAGTCTTGGAATAATTGAGCCACAGCGGTGGCAGATGGCAAACACAGGAAAGAACAATACCTCACAGTGAGGCCGAGACCCAGTCCCCTGATCTGGAATCAACCAGTCCCGGCGGTGAAAGCGCCAAACTTTAGCCACTAGACTACCAGGGAACCACAAAGCACATACTTTTTTTTTTTTCCTCCTTCAATTGTTTCAGCAGAAATTACGCTGACATTGACCTCTAGAAAGCTCCATCTACCCTTCCTGGTGCCACCCGCCCATCCAAGGAATAGTCCCAAAAGGCTGTCCTCTCCCTGCTTTCTCCAAGTTGCGAGCCCACACGCGACGTGCAGAGCTCTCTCCTTTCCTTCCAGCCAGTGGCCCTCTTCGAACACCTGCCAGGTTTACAAGTCCCGGAGCGAGTTGCAGCGTCCCGGCCGCACCTCACTACCGACCTAAAGATGCGCCTTTGCTAGGCGGCAGCGCGTGGAGAGACTGTCGCTGGTCGGCGGGGCCAGAGCGCACCAGGCTTCCGGGAGGAGGCTGGAGCGGGGAGGCGCCCGGGGTGAGACCGTGGCACCCTCAACATCATAAAGGACTCAGATTCCTGCATTCCCGACATCATAAACGACTCAGACGGATGCGGAAACCGAGACGGCCTGGATGGAAAACTCTTTCAAGGAAGACCCCAGGGCCCTGAACGGAATTCCGGATATTTTCTCTAAAACGTACTACACCTGCCTTTTCCCACGTTAGTTAATGGCAACTCCACCCTCCACACGTTCAGGCCAAAAACTCGACGCAGGTCTTTCTCTCATGACCCACATCCGATTAGTTAGGAAATCATGTTCTTTTTTTGGTTGATTTTTTCATCTTTCTTCCCTCCCTCCATCCTTTCCTCCCTTCCTTCCTTCTTTCCTTCCTTCTTCCTTTTTTCCTAAGTAAGCTAACACAGGATCATGTTTCTTTTTTGGTTAATTGCAGACTTTGATCCACACAACTATTCTCTTTCTTGGTCTGAATTTTGGCAAACGACAAGCAAGGCATAGAGATCGCTTCAACTCGCTACCCGCGGCTCGCCCAGACGTTAGGGTTTTAGGCCGCCGTTAGACTTTGGCCCTGCAGGTCAAAATCAGCTACTCTAGGCCTGTCTTCTCGGAGGCCAGTAGCAGCACCTGGTCCTCTCCGCGCGGCTTCTCCCGCCGGGTACGCAACCCTGCACCTCTTTCCTGTGACCTGCAGCGAAGCTCGGCGGGGGACCGGGTATTCAACTGGCCAGGAGTTCTCGAGGCGCAGGTGCGGGTGTGCAGGGACGCGCGCGGTGAGTTTGCAGTTCCTGCGGGCTCCAGCAACATCCCGGGTCAGTCCGAACTCCGAAGGCGCCAAGGCAGGGAGGGACCGGTAGGTGAAGGGCAGCCGCCCTCTTGCGCCCTGTTTCAGTCCTCCAGTCGCTGTTGAATGGAGTTTCCGTCTCCAGTCTCAGCCAAAGCAGGCAAGGCGGACAACCTCGGCCTGGCAACCAGTGAGTATGCAGTCCCTTCTCCACCCCGTTGGGCACTTGAACTTGTGCCGTTGGATTGTTTCTCCCCAAGCTTTCTGTGAATTCCAAGAATGCAACTGATAACTATTTAAAAACTGCCCTTAACTTGAAGAAAGAATACTTTAAAGTCTTAGCAAAGGAAATGTTCTAGATGGGTTTTAAGTCGAGGACTTTCAAGGGTGGGAGGAACACGAAAATCACTACACCAGGGAACACAAATACTGTTGAGAATGTATCACACACACCAACTACACACTTGAAGCAGGTAGGTTGTACGCTTAGGTTGGGCTCATCCTATTTTAAGTGTACTGTTGGTGGAACTTAACCTGAGTCTAGGATGAATATTTTAATTTTAAGTTTTTAATTTAAATACACATTCCAAAGGATATACAGAAAGCATATAAAGCCCACCTTATATCATTTTAACAAAAACAGCAAAAGAGATAATACGTAAATGACAGCCTCATAAAATGGTCTTTAAGTACTGGTTGTTTCCACTAAAGTTTTTCTTCCTACAAAGAACAGAAATTGCAAACCAAACATTGTACTTCATGCTACTAAGTAACAGAAAAAAAAAGAAATTCTTTGGCAAAAAAAAAAAAAAAAAAACGAAACAAAAAAAACAACTTGAAAATGAACTTTTTTTCAAAGATAATCTAAATTCATTGCTGAATGTTGCAGACATTTTACCTCTAGATCAGCTTTTAAGGTAACTAGAGATTTATTTTCTCCAGAGGGTACAATAGAGGATCTTTGGCTAAGGGGTCAACCGTTATTCATGAGCTCATGTGTCCTCTAGTGAAATGAGAGCGATTAAGTGACAGCATGTCTTGATTTTCATGGTGGCACCATAGGATGTACACATTTCAGGTTTATTGAGCTGTCAAACCTAGAGGACTTACTATTAAGCTGTTTATTACTATAAACAAAACAGTGTGAATGTGGCAAAAGGATACACATATTGATAAATGAAACTGAAGTGAGACACCTAAAACAGATCCTTGTTATATGGTCAATTGATTTTTTTTTTCAAAAAAGGTACTAAAGCAATACAATGGGGAAGAAGTGTCATTTCAACGAGTAGTGCTGGACCAACTAGATATCTACTAGTGAGGAAAAAAATCTCAATCCCTACCTCACAACATACACAAAAGCTAATTTGAGTTGGATCACAGAACAAACCATACAAACTATGAAGTTTTAGAAGAAAATGCATGAAAATGTCTTTAAGACTTGGCAGAAAGCAAATATTTTCTAAATATTACACAGAGAAATAAATAAAACAGAAAAATGATAAATTAGGCTTTGTTGATATGAAATATGTCTTTTCATCCAAAGACACCATTAAGTAACTGAAAAGGCAAGCCATGGACGAGGAGAAAATATTCACAACACATATTTGACCAAGAACCTGTATCCAGAGTATACAATTAGCTCCTACAATTCAGTATTAGAAATGGAAACACCCATTTTTAAAAATGGGCAAAAGCTTAAACAGACATTTCAGAGAAGAAAATATACTAGTGGCCAGTCAGTTCATAAAAGAGTGCTCAATATCATTAGTTGTGAGAGAAATAGACTTAAACAAGATTGAGATACCACTCCGCCATTTTAGCATGGCAAAATTATAAAGTCAGAAACCACCAAATCTTGGTGAAGATGTGGAACACCCAGAACTCATACATTTTTAGAGGGAATGTAAAATGTTATAATCACTTTGGTTTGACAGTCTCCTATACATTTTAACATAAACATTTTTTTTCCTAGCAATTCTTCACCTAGATATTCTTCCAAGAGACTTTAAAACATATGTACACACACACACACACACAAATTATAACAAGAACGTTCATAGCAGTTTTATTCACATACCCAAAACTACAAACAATCTAAGTGTCTATTATCAGGACACTGGCAAATAAACTGTGGTATATTCGTTCAATGGAATACTACTCAGCAATAAAAAGGAATGAACATCTGATATACTCAACAATGTGAATAAAACTCAGAGACTTTATGCAGAAAGAAAGAACTGGACATAACAGTGGGCATACTCCATGAGTCCATCTACTGGAATTCTTAGAAGAAAAACTAATTTAAGATGCAAAACATCAGCATAGTTGCTTTCAAAAATAATGCAGAGGAAAATGACAATGAGGAAGATCATTCTGATTGATTACTAATTAATCGTCAACCATATCCAGACACAGCTAACAATGGCAAACTGAAATAGACTACTTTTTTCTTTTCTTTTTTTTTCTTTCTTTTTTTTTTTGAGATGGAGTCTTGCTCTGTTGCCCAGGCTGGAGTGCAGTGGTGTGATCTCAGCTCACTGCAACCTCCGCCTCCCAGGTTCAAGCAATTCTCCTGCCTCAGCTTCCTGAGTAGCTGAGATTACAGGTGCCTGCCACCATGCCTAGCTAATTTTGGTACTTTTAGTAGAGATGGGGTTTCACCATGTTGGTCAGGCTCATCTTGAACTCCTGACTTCAAGTGATCTGCCTGCCTCGGCCTCCCAAAGTGCTGGGATTATAGGCATGAGCCACCACGCCTGGCCTAAGACTACTCTTATTAGCCCCATTTTACAGAAGAAAGATCGAGGCACATAAAGTTTAAGTTATTTATCCAAGGCCACACAGGGGCAGAACTAGACTTACAAACCAGAATACAGGTGTGGTTTGAGCACAGATCAGACCCAGTCTTTCTTCTTCTTGTGCTCTAATATCTTGAGCACAGATTAGACCAGGTCTTTCTTCTCCTCAGTTTTAGGTCTTTCTGGTTTTCTCACCTTGTAGGGGTGAAAAGAGGAGAGAGAAGGGAGAAGGCAAGGGGGCAGTGGGGTGGAAGCGCAAGGATCTATAGTTGTCAAAGAGCACAGCAGGAAACTACTGTAAATGTTGTTACATCAAGGGTTATACAAGTTTCTGGGAGATTGAACTGTTGGTCTGCAAGTTGTGGATTTTATAGTGGTTAAGCATTGTGCTGAGATCAGGAGATGAAATTAAGAAGAATTATAGATTTAAAAATAAAAATAAAAACACGTTTCTGGAAGAAAATGTAGGAAAATATATTCACAATCATAGGGTAGGAAAGATGTCTTAGAGGTCACAAAAAATAAGAAAATTGGATTTCATCAAAATTAAAAACTGCTTATCAAAAAATTACCACAAGAAAGAAGGTAAGCCTTGTTAAGACTGGGAGAAGATATTTGCAGTATGCTTATTTGAAAAATAACTCAAATATTGAATATTTAGAGAGAACTTTTAGACATTAATAATAAAAGCCAAGCTATTTAAAAATGAGCAAAATACATGAATAGGCTTTCTTCACACACACAAAATTTCTAAATGGCCAAAAGACATAAGAAAAAATGTTCAAAATCATTACTCGTTAGGGAAACACAAATTAAAACTTCAGTGATGAGCTACCTTTATGCACTGCTATGGTCTGAATGTTTGTGTGTCTGCCTCCCCCCACTAAATTTATTTGTTGAACTCCTAATCCCCAAGTTGGTGGTAATAGGAGGTTTAGGCCCTTGGAAGCTGATCAGATCATGAGGACTCTGCCTTCATGCATAGGATTAGTATCTTTATAAAAGAGGCTGGAGGGAGCTTGTTTGCCCTTCCACCATGTGAGGACACATGGAGAAGGCACAGCCTATGAACCAGAGAGTGAGCCCTCATCAGACACAGAGTCTGCTGGCACCTTGAACTTGGATTTCCCAGCCTCTAGAACAGTGAGAAATAAATTTCTGTTGTTTGTAAGCTACTCAGTTTAAGGTATTTTAACAGCTTGAATAGAAGAAATTTGAAAGACAAGAAGTACTGACAAGAATGTGGAGTAACTATACTCTCGTTGCTGGTGAGGAGGTAAAATAGCACAACCATTTTGGACAACTGTTTGGCAGTTTATAATAAAGTTAAATTTAGACCTACTCCATGACCTAGCAACTCCACTTCCAGGTATAAACTGAAGAAAAATGGGTGCATATGTCTACAGAAAGAATTGTACTAGAATATAGCAGCTTTGTTCACGAGAGCCAGAATTGGAAATAACCCAGTCATCCACACAGAAATAACAGTCATCAATAACACCAAAATAATATACTAAAAACATGGATGCATCTCAAAAACATTATGCTGCAGGAAATTAGAAGTCAGACACAAAAAAGTATATTCATTTATGTGAATTTCAGAAGCAGTCAACATTCGTCTGTGAAGATAGAAATCAGAATGGTTTGTCTAAGTGAAAGGAAGGTGGATGGGAATCTAAAGGAGGTTATTGACCTTTCTGGGCTGATGGAAATTTTCTATAACTTGATCTAGGCGATGGTTACGTTTCTATGCCCTTAAGATTTGTGCATGTTACTCTATGTGAATTATACTTCAATAATGTACTATTAGCGCTCCCGTTCCCCCGCCAAATAATTAGGTGGGGGAGGTGGAGGATGGCATCAAGTTTAGGTTCTATTACATTTATTGGGTTTTATATGATCAGATTTTATTGTAAAATACCCTGTTGAATGAGAACTCATACAAAGCTCATTGTCATTGCATCTAAAAAGGCCTTACTGACCTTTGAAATATCTCAGCCAGAAAAATGGTTATTACCACACCATTACGTCAGTTGAAGCTACAGACAAGGCTCCTGAAGAGTCAGGGCTTTACCTTTTGAGATGGTTCCTGCACATGCTCAGACACACGGTCCCTTCTAACCTTCCCCAAAGATTCTGCCGTAGGTTAGTGCACTGTGGGGGTTTCCTTCTCTTGTCCTGACTGCGTCACAGGGAGACACAGTAAACTCTGCTTTCTGACCACAGCTACTGGGTGCAGTTGGTAAGGGGATTTAAAAAGTGAAACTGTAACACATACCAAATCTTGCCAAGAAGGAAGCCAGATGCTACTGTGGCTCCAATTCCAGCCAAGGTTGCTTCGGTCACAATGAAGAGCACTAACTATTATATCATCATGGTGCACCATAAACCTGGGGTTGCCAGTGGGCTGCTTTTAATATTTTTGATGCAAAAATATCCACGATATTTTCCTGTTTTGTTCTTGGATAGCTACAAGTTCTTGTGTTTTTTCTCTTTCATGTCCTTTTTCTATTTCTTCCCATTCAAATACATGACAAAAACAATTCTCATCTCTCAGGATCCAGCCTTTGCCTCTGCACAAGTCTCCTGGGAGGTGTCATTGTCCCTGCTGTTTCCCTCTTCATGTCTCCTTTGGTCCCTGCCCCTTTCCTGATCTTGCCCACTGACCCCAAAAGACGTAGGAAAAATGTTCAAAATCATTACTCGTTAGGGAAACACAAATTAAAACTTCAGTGATGAGCTACCTTTATGCATTGCTATGGTCTGAATGTTTGTGTGTCTGCGTCCCCTCACCAAATTTATTTGTTGAACTCCTAATCCCCAAGTTGGTGGTAATAGGAGGTTTAGGCCCTTGGAAGCTGATCAGATCATGAGGACTTAGATCTCAGTTCTGTTGAGAGCCAGGAGCTGCAGCCGCACAGATGGTGCACTCTAGGCCTCTTTGTGGCCTACCCCATGGGACATTGCACACTTGGAAATCAATTGACTAGAATAAAGCCTTTAAAAAAAGAACTTCCCCCTTTGAAAAATCCTTTCATTTATTTTCCAGTCTCAGAATCCTTCAAAGGGCTAAAAGCTTAAAGATGACAAAGTGTGAAAACGAAGGCCCATCAAATGAAAAAAGCAATGGTTATTTATTCTGACGCAAGGGCGTCAGCCACCGGCATCAGCCACCGGCACTTGCATTTTGACAGAGCTTAGAAGGCAGGTAGAGGAGTGGGACAGCTTTATAGCTGAGGAAAGGGAAGGCTTCAGGTGTGCCCTGATTGGAGACTGCTGGTGTGGGGAAGCTGCCTGTGGGCTAACTAGAAGGGGGACATCCAGTGTGCTTGGTTAGGGGTGCATATTTGGCTTTCCCTGGTTGGTCCTAAGTTGCAAGTGGGAACATAAATTAGGGAAAGTGTCAGTTACTAACCAAGCTCTTGCCATTTGGAGCCGATTGTTATGGATGTTATTGTTTGTTACTACAGATAACTGCCTGGCTCCCTGTGAGTCTGACTTATATAATAGCAGGCTGGCTTCCCCGGTTGTTTATTCGTACATAAGGAAGTTGATTTCTTGGGCAGGTGGCCCCAGGTTGTGGATCAGAGTTATATTTTTACGTATAGTCCGGCCATTGTTCGATTGTATATTCTGTCTCTCAAATGTATTATTAATTCAACAAGTCCTAATTGAGCGCCCTGGGCGTTTCAGCTTCCCTGGGGCCCAAGTCGCTCTAACAGGAGTCGCGATCCCGGCATCTCCGGAAGCGCCGGCTTCTGAGGCAGGCAAGGCGGGGTGCGGGGCGTTTCGGAATCACTCAATGCACAGGTTTCAAACTTGACAAACAAGTAGATTCGTCGCTCTGACTGCTCCGGCTTTCCGAGGCTTTGGAGATTACCCAGTCATTTTGCAAAAGGCGGATGGTGCTAGCTAGCGTTTAGTGACAGCTTACCCTCTTATAGAACGAAATTAGGAGCTCAGCCATGTCTCTGTGGCGCAATCGGCTAGCGCGTTTGGCTGTTAACTAAAAGGTTGGTGGTTCGAACCCACCCAGAGGCGTCGCTGGTCTTTTATAACTCCCACGGTGGTCTGCTCCCTTGAAGACTACATGCCTCACTTCCCCTCCTGTCAACTAGTGGCTGCTTCTCATCCTCCAAGAAGGTCTCTGTTGGAAAGAAATGTAGTTGGAAGGTACAGAAGTTCCTTGGACCAGGGAACAAGAGAAATTTTGTGTGATCTGTTCACGGGTTCTGGGTGAAATCTTGCTTCTCTTTGTGCCTTTGGGCTATTGACAAGCTATTTGTACCTCAATATTTTTTCAACTGTAATATGAGGATGGTAATAATACCGCATTTGCAGGATGTGCCTAGATTTACTAATTGCTCGATCAATAATGTTATCAGTAGACTCAAGATTATTATTATCCTCTGCATTATTTTTGATGAAGGCATTTCTTCTTTTGTTTATTCCATCATCTAACCCTTTACATGTTGTTTTTTAAATTAAGTTTGTTCCATGATTTTACGATTACAAATAATGCTGCAGTCATCATTCTTGTACAAATATCTTTTGCTATTTGTACACGGATTTCTATAGGGTAGAGTTCTGGAAGCGCAACTGCTGTATCATAGTGGTTACAGTACACATTTTTTATTTTAATTAATAAGCCCTGTAAATTTGCCTTCCATAGAAGTGGTACCAATTTATATTCCAATTTGTTTTTTCAACTCAGAGAATCCTTTTCTTCATACTCTTGCTAGCACAATAAACTTTCTATACATCTGTCTGATAAATAGAGGGGCCGAGAGCTGTGGCTCACACCTGTAATCCCAGCACTTTGGAAGGCCGAGGTGGGCGGATCACCTGAGGTCAGGAGTTCGAGACCAGCCTGGCCAAAATAGCGAAGCCCCATCTCTACTAAAAACACAAAAATTACCACAGGTGGTGGCCTGTGCCTGTAATCTTAGCTACTCGGGAGGCTGAAGCACAAGAATCACTTGAACCTGGGAAGCAGGGTTGCAGTGAGCCAAGATCACGCCACTGTACTCCAGCCTGGGCCACAGAGTGAGACTCCATCTCACACACACATACATACAAAATAAAATAAAAAATAAAGGGAGTGTTGCCCTCCTGACTTAACTAAGGGGAGGTACAACAGATGACATGGCGCACATTGAGCAGTAGAGTATCTCCTCATCTCTTCAGCTAAACTTCCAAGATATTTTGTATAGCTATAATTTGTTTCTGTGGTGACCAGGTCTGGAGAAGATATTCTGATATTTATTACTCCACTCTTTCCTCTATAAATGGCAAGGGTGAATTAGTATGCTATCTGTATTAGTCAAGGTTCTCCAGAGAAACAGAATCATCCATCTATCATCTATTTTTATTGATTTATTTTAAGGAATTAGCTCACATGATTGTGAAAGTTCAAGGCAGGCAGACTGGAGACCCAGGGAAGAGTTGTTATTTGAGTCCTAAGATATTCTGTTGGTAGAATTTCCTCTTCTTCCAGGAAGGTCAATCTCATTCCATTCAGGCCTTCAACTGATTGGATGAGGTCCACCCACATGACATGGGGCAACCTGCTCTACTCAAAGTCTACTAATGCAAATGTTACTCTCATCCAAAATACCCTTTCTCAGAAACCTCCAGAATTATATTTGACCACATACCTGGGCACTGTGGTCTAGCCAAGTTAACACATAAAATTAACCATCACACTGTCTCTATATTATTCCTTGACAGTTTTTCTTTTTTCTTGCTATGTCCACAGAGATTTGCCCACCTGAGACATAATCTTAGCTAATAGAATCCTGCACCTTATGGGCATCCCATGCGGACCTGTAATCTCAGAGCTATTGGCATATGTTCCCTCAGTTCATCTGTTGAATCTCATGAGCAGAAATTGAGCTATTTGGCTTTTAGACACTAAATGTAATTCTTAGACAAGTATTTTTTCTCTCTCTCATTTGTACATTGTCAACCATTTTTTTCCATGATCCACATGGAATTCTGTTTTTGACTTTATGAAATGAACATCTGGGGATAGTGGTTAACAGGGATACATTATCTGTTAGGTGGTAGATGACAGCTTATCTAGTCTGTGAGTCTTTTTGGACTGGCTATTTGTTTGTCCTGAGGTTCTTAGTATTTCCTAGTATTTGAGTCTGCAGCGTTGAGAAGTGGTTCACATCTTATCTATCTAATACTAGATAAAATCTTACGGGTCCAACAAATGTCAATATCTGCAAAAGTGGAATATCTTTTGATCTACTATTGATTCACATTTGATCCACAAGGATGATCTCCATACACAATGATTTTCCCTTAGGAACTCTGACTTCAATATGTCGCTCTAGCTAAAGGGATCTTGGAACAGAAAGAAAACTGAATTTCTGGCATCCAATATTCTCCTTTCTTAGACTAAAGTTCCTAAACCCTATACCCATTAATTTCCCATTCTTCCCTCCCTAGCCCCTGGCACAACCACCATTATTTCCTGTCTCTATGACTTTGACTACTCTAGGTATTTCATATAAGCAGAATTATATAGTATTTTTTCCTTTTGTGACTGGTTTATTTCACTTTGCATAATGTCCTCATGTTCATCTATGTTGTAGCATGTGTCAGAATTTCTTTTCTTTTTTAAGGCTGAATAATATTCCATTGCATGTATTTGCCACATTTTGTTTATTCATTTACCTGTTGTTGGACACTTGGGTTGTTTCCCTTCTTTAGCTATTGTAATACTGCTATTGATGTAGGTGCACAAATATCTCTTTGAATCCTTGCTTTCAGTTCTTTTGAGTATATATCCAGAAGTAAATTTGTTGGATCATGTGATAATTATTTTTAATATTTTGAGGAACCACCATATGGGTTTCCACAGTGGCTGTACCATTTTATTAGGTTGGTGCAAAAGTAATTGCGATTTTTGCCATTAAACATAATGACAAAAACCGCAGTTACTTTTGCACCAACCTAATAGATTCCAAACAACAGTGCACAGGGGTTTCAATTTTTCCACATCATCACCAACACTGATAATTTTCTTTCCTTCTTTTTAAAATAATAGCCATCTTGTAGGCCTTACTTTTAATTTCCATTTTGTCCTCGAAATCTTGGAGATTGAGCAAGAAGGAGGGAATGCGCATCTTAGTGAGATCTTCTTAGTTACCACCAAGCCTAATGGCTCAGAGCAAGGGTCTGGATGAGTCCTGGCTCTCACTCTCATAGAGATGATGGGACCTTGGAAAGGTAAGCTCAGCCTTTCAGTGCAATGTTCTCATCTGCAACAAGGGGTTGTAATAATCAACACTATCGGCTGCGCGGGGTGGCTCAGCCTGGAATTCCAGCACTTTGGGAGGCCAAGGTAGGTGGATCACCTGAGATCGGGAGTTTGAGACCAGCCTGACTGACATGGTGAAACCACCCTGCCTCTACTAAAAATGCAATAATTAGCTGGGCATGGTTGTGGGGCCTGTGATCCAGCTGTTCAGGAGGCTGAGGCAGGAGAATCGCTTGAACCCGGGAGGCAGAGGTTGCAGTGAGCTGAGATCACACCACTGCACTCCAGCCTGGATGACAGAGAGAGACTCCATCTCAAACAACAACAACAACAACAACAACAACAACAACCACCAAACAAAAAAATCAACACTATCTTGTAGGGTCGTTATGTGGACTAAATAGGTTACTACACAGTAAAGCACTTAGAAACAATGCCAGTCACATAATAATGCTCTTGAAACAGTTATTATTATTATTACTATTATTATTATGTCTTTGTTTTCATTTCTAACTGTACCAGTGAGAAATTTTAACATTCCCTAAAATAAATTAGAAATATTCAATGGTTTTTTTGACCTCTTCTCCCCATATTAGTGGCCAGGTGTCTGAAAAACTGGTTACTTGAAGTGTCTACTCAAAGTACAGATGTAGAATCCTACAGCAGGATTCTATCCTCCAACAGGATCTCTGTTAGTGCACCAGAGGACTGGATCCAACCTGATCAAATTCTTGGACCTTGGACAGGCCTGATTGTTTAGGTCATGGTAGACAATCTTTGGCACATGATTCTAGCAAGAGCCTTTAATACCCATTCAGACTTACGCAAGTATTACAAGAAAAATGCAAGTATATACTACCAATGGCCTCTTCTCTTTTTTTTGTTTTCTTCAGAAATCAAGGTAGGAAAATTTGATTTACCTGGAATTTGTAGAAGATTTCCTCTTTCAGTTACGATGGAGTTTTGTGGCAAACCAGCACTCCCTTCGAAAAGAAGTAGATAAAATCTGGTTTAAAGGAATTCTGTTTGAAGTCTTTGAAAAGCTAGGACCCACAGGGCCAGCTACAGAAAGCGGGTGGAGAGAGAGAGAGAGAAAGAAGATCATTGGAATGAAACAATTTTTCCCCCTCAGGGTATTTGCTAGTTCTTGGCAAGGGACAAGAGGCTGAGAAGCTGGGGAGAGGGCAGTGGTTAAAAACCAGAGAAAACAGCAGCACTTTAAGTAACCTCATGGGGGTGGGGAGTGGGTAGACGTGTGGAGCTGTCCAGGTATTTTGACTTGAAAAGCCAAGATTCTAGAATGAATTGAGATGTGAACTGAACACTTGGTAAAGGTTTTCCCCTCAAGGCATTTGTGAATTCAGCTCTGTGCTGGTGAGAGGCTAGCAGAGAGTGGCTGAAAGCAGTTTTCATTGGGAAGGATGCAAAGGAGACAGAAATCAAAATTCACTACCCTCCAAAAAAATGGCGCCTCTCAAATTGGGAGTCCTAGAGGTCTATAGCCTAGGAATGTGGGCAAACCAGATATAGACTGAGCCTTCCCATGAGTGCAAGCAAAGGTGGGTGGAATGGGAGTTTGGAAGGCTAAAATCAACCTCATATTAAATGAAATCCCTACACGTTGCTACTGCAAGGGAAAGGAAGCAAGTATCGCATTGGGATATATTATTTATTATGTATTAAAAGGTAATACAACATGAGGCTAAATTTATTAGTCAGACTTAAATGATTATTCTCCAGTTTTAGTCACTATATTCTTGAAAGAATGTAGGAAGTGAAAACCTGGAGAGTTCCTAAAAACGAAGAGTAAGAATCACTAGAAGTTAAAAAAAAATTCATTTAGGAAAAGCCACAAGAATTGTTTTTACTGAAATTGTCTTCAAGAAAATAAAAGCTGCTGAGAAAATGTTTTGATGTTTTCAAGGAGAGGTATACTTAGGTTATTTTGCTGTGGTTAGAAATTGGTTGACAACATAAGCAAAAGGGTAAAAAAGCTGGCTATTGAGGGGGTGGCCTCCCCTGTTATAGAGACCTCCAGGGTGAAATACGCAGCCTTGCATTGAGTGTGGCTATCAGAAGTCAGGGCTTCCTTGGGTTCTGTAGCTACTTCCACATTCTAATTCTGTGATTGTGACTCAAGAGCTGGCACCCTGAGTCTTCCCCATAGCACTATTGTTGATGTCCCAGTGACATGGGATTTGAGCTCTGGCATCTGAAAATGTGTTCCTGCCTTCATGACTCTCAAAACTTGTGGAAGCAAAATGCTTCCTGACCTCTGAAGGGACATTCCCTGGGAACTTCATAAGAACTTTATCTCAGCTATAAGAAACAAAAATACTCATCCCTTAGCTTAGTTTAAACCCCATTTGTTTTCATTCATTTATTGCCTGTTTTTTCTTCTAAACACCTGTGGGACCTCCCCTTCCTTCTCATAACAGCACCCACCCCGACCCCACCCCAGCACTTGCTGCATCTTTCTTTTACCCAGTGGATTGTTGGGTCCTCATGGCTGAGGAAGTTGTAGGCTTCACTCTACTTCCTGGTAGGCTCTGCTCTTGAGATTCTATCGTCCTACAGGATCTCCACTAATAATCTAACCTCTGTAAGCCATAATTTTGTTTCAATTGCTTTAGGTAGTTTTGGAGAAAAGCCTGGCCATTGTGAAGACATAGACATCTTTCTTCTCTGTCCTTCCTTTCAAAGACGGCTGTAAGAGAGCTCTTCATGAGAAAATGTCCCAGCAGAAGGCTGGGATGCATCAGCCCTCAGAGAAGAAGGGACCTGCTGAGAAGGGAGTGAATGAGCAGAAGCCTCGGGTTGAGGAAGAATTCTCTGTATCCTGCAGTGGGCAAGAGACTTCCCACTATCAGCATTAAGTCATTGCTCGTCAGAGTAGCTTTCAGGGCCTGCAGCCAGCCTCCATACCTTAATTGTAGGGCTTTCTCTTAATACCTTCCTGGAAATTTCTTCAGAGAAAAATCTATAAAAGTTTTATTAGTAATGACTTTATATTATTCAGAGAAATTTGGTTTTATTCTAACTAACATTGCATGTATTCACCAAATATATGGCCTTTGTGGTTACCTGAGCTGGAAATCTTCCAGTCATGTGAGTGGTCTCTCTTCTGGATCCCCAGGAGCATGTAGGAATCTCCTGTTTCTTCATATGTTACTCTGGTGAATGCTGAACTGTCCCAGTTCCCGAGGAGGTAGATTTATACAGAGGCCCCTCCATTCTACTCCATCCTCTATGGAAACTCAGGTCCCTGGCTTCTGGAATGGCAGTTTTGATAAGCTGAATTTTAAAAATAAGCTTGCAGAATTGTCAAATAGTGGCTTGTTGGCTAAATTTGTCAGTTTGTTTTTAATGGCCATTTTCCTATAGCTTTTTGGAAGCATTTAAATAATATGGGGTTAATCCATTACGCATTTGCCTGTGAGCGCCAGTTACTGAAATACTAAGTTACTGAAATCAGTAATTTGCCTAAGTGGTTGGTGCACAGCTTTGGAAGTGATTCAAATCCTGCTTCATGCTCCATTAGGTCACTGCCCAATATATTCCACTTAAATTTCACTGACCCAGAGAATAATGTTAGGGCTAAAATAACGCTAGGCCAGGCGCAGTGGCTCACGCCTGTAATCTCAGCACTTTGGGAGGCTGAGGTGGGCAGATCACTTGAGGTCAGGAATTGGAGACAGCCTGGCCAACATGGTGAAACCCCGTCTCTACTAAAAATACAAAAATTAGCTGGGCATGGTGGTGGGCACCTGTAATCCCAGCTACTTGGGAGGCTGAGGCAGGAGAATTGCTTGAACCTGGGAGGTGGAGATTGCAGTGAGCCAAGATAGCGCCACTGCACTTCAGCCTGGATGACAGAGCAAGATTCCATCTCAGACAAAACAAAACAAAACAAAACAAAACAAAACAAAACAAAACACCCAAAAAACTCTAGAGTCAGTTAGTCTCATTACCTCATTTTAGAACTGAGAACACTTAGGCCCTAAGAGATAGTCATTTGATCAAAGTTGCATAATAGCCTCTGGCAGAGATAACATTAGAATCCTGTGCTCTCGATTCACAAAGGCTACACTACACCCACTTCATCAAATATATTTTTAAAAATTATACTTCTGTGATCATTCTTTTTTTTAATGGACTTTTTAAGAGCAGCTTTAAGTTCACAGCAAAATTGAGTGGAAAGTAACAGAGAGTTCCCATATGCCCCCTACCCCTGCACGGACACAGCCTCCCTCACTATCAACATCTTGCCCCCGAGTGATAACATTTGGTACAACTGATGAACCTACATTGACTCATCATCACCCAAAGTCCACAGTTTACAGTGGGGTTCATTCTTGGTGGTGTATATTCTATAGATTTTGACACAAGTATAAATGTATAATGGCATGCATCCACCATTGTAATAAAGAATGACTATTCCCTGCCCTAAAAATTCTCTGTGCTCTGCCTATTCATTCTCCTTTCCCTCCTAACACCTGGCAACCACTGATCTTTTTACTGTCTCCACTGTTTTACCTATCCATAGTGTCATATAGTCAGAGTCATACAGTATGTAGCTTTTTTAGGTTGGCTTCTTTCACTTACACACTTAAGGTTCTTTCATGTCTTTTCATGGCTTCATAACTCATTTCTTTTTAGTACCAAATAATATTCCATTGACTGCATGTACCAAAATTTATCCATTCACCTACTGAAGGACATCTTGGTTGCTTCCAAGTTTTTGCAGTTATGAATAGAGCTGCTATAAACATCATGTGCAGGTTTTTGTGTGAACTTAAGTTTTCAGCTCGCTTGGGAAAATACTGAGGAGCAGATGGTTAGGTCATTTGGTAAGAGTATGTTTAGTTTCACAAGAAAATGCCAAACTGTCTTCCAAAGTGGCTGTACTATTTTGCATTCCCACCGGCAAGGAATGAGAATATCTGTTGTTCCACATCCTTACCAGCATTTGGTGTTATCAGTGTTCTGGATTTTGCCATTCTAATAGGTGTAGAGTGGTATCTTGTTGTTTTAATTTGCAATTCCCTAATGACATATGATGTTGAGCATCTTTTCATATTCTTATTTGCCATCATCTTTGGTGAGGTGTCTGTTCAGGGTTTTTTGCCCATTTTTTATTGTGTGGTTCATTTTCTTATTGTTGAGTTTAAGAGTTCTTTGTGTATTTGGCTTAATAGTCCTTTACCAGATATGTCTTTTGCAAATATTTTCACCCAGTGTGTTGTCTTCTCATTCTCTTGATGTGCCTTTTGCAGAGCAGAAGTTTTTAATTTTAATGAAGTCCAGATTATCAATTATTTCTTTTGTGGATCATGCCTTTTGTGTTATATCTGAAAAGTTATCATATAGCTGGGCTCGGTGGCTCACACCTGCAATCCCAGCACTTTGGAAGGCTGAGGCAAGAGGATCACTTGAGCCCAAGAGTTTGGCTGCAGTGAGCCATAATCACACCATGATCATGCCCAAGGAATGCTTCAGTGAGCCATGATCATGCCCTCCAACAAATAAATAAAATAATTAATTTATTTAGAGACTCTGTCTCTAAATTAAAATTGGTATTGCATTGAATCTTTAGATCAATAAATAAAATAAATAAAAAGTCATCACCAATCCCAAGGTCATCTAGATTTTCAGCTGTTGTTATCTTTTAGGGTTTTTTTTTTTAATCATTTTATGTTTTACATTTAGGCCTATGATCCATTTTGTGTAAGTTTTCATGAAGAATGTGAAGTCTGTGTCTAGATTCACTTTTTTTGCATGTGGATGTCCCGCTGTTCCAGCACCATTTTTTGAAAATACTATCTTTTCTCCATTGTATTGCCCTTGTCCCTTTGTCAAAGATCAATCTGCTATATTTTGGAGTCTTCTGGAATCTCTATTCTGTTCCGCTGACTTATTTGTCTATTCTTTCACAAATCTTATACTGTCCTGATTACTGTAGCTTTACAGTAAGTCTTGAAGTCAGGTCATATCAGCCCTCCGTTCCTTTTCAATATTGTGTTGGCCATTCTGGGTCTTTTGCCTCTCTATGTACACCTTAGCATCTATTAGTTGATATTCACAAAATTTATTTGCTGAGATTTTGATTGGTATTGCATTGAATCTTTAGATCAAGTTGGGAAGAACTGACATCTTGACAATATTTAGTCTTCCTGTCCATGAACACAGAATATCTCTCTGTGTATTTAGTGCTTCTTTGATCTCTCTCAACAGAGTTTTGCAGTTTTCCTCATACAGATCTTGTACATGTTTTGTTAGATTTTACCTTGACATAATCACTTACTAGTTCCAGGAGATTTTTGTTGTCAATTCTTTCAGATTTTCTTTTCTTTTCTTTTTGTTTTTGAGATGGAGTCTCACTGTGTCGCCCAGGTTGGAGTGTAGTGGCTCAATCTCGGCTCACTGCAAGCTTCGCCTCCTGGGTTCAAGCCATTCTCCTGCCTCAGCCTCCTGAGTAGCCTGGCTACTATTTTGTTTTTTTAGTAGAGACGGGGTTTCGCTGTGTTAGCCAGGATGGTCTCGATCTCCTGACCTCATGATCCGCCCACCTCGACCTCCCTAAGTGCTGGAGTTACGGGCATGAGCCACCGCGCCCGGCCTTTTTTTTTTTTTTTTTTTGAGTCAGTGTCTCACTTTGTCACTCAGGGTGGAGTGCAGAGTGGCACGATGTCATCTCACTGCAACCTTTGCTTCCCGGATTCAAGCAATTCTCCTTCCTCAGCCTCCCAAGTAGCTGGATTACAAGCGCATGCCACCACGCCCGGCTAATTTTTGTATTTTTTGTAAAGACGGGGTTTCACCATGTTGGAGATTTTCTATAATACAATAACTGCATCACGTGTGAACAAAGACAGTTTTAGTTCATCTTTTCTAATCTGTATACCATTTATTTCCTTTGCTTATCTTACTGCATTAGCTAGGATTTCCAGTATGATGGTGAAAAGAAGTGGTAAGTGGGGAAATTCTTGCCTTATTGTTGATGTTAGTGAGAAAGCTTCTAGTTTCTAGTATGACATTAGTGTAGAGTTTTTATAGATGTTCTTTATCAAGTTGAGGAAGGTCTCCTCTATTCCCACTTTGTTGAGAGTTTTTATGATGAATGAGTGTTGAATTTTGTCAAATGCTTTTTCTTCATCTATTAATATGATCAAGTGATTTTTCTTCTTTAGCAAGTGGCAGGGAAAATGACAATCTTAGAAGGGATTTTTCACATAAAGATTGTTTTCATTTCCTTCATTCCTTTTACCATATTCAGGACACTAAACATATGCTAGAATTCAGTGTGTGGCCTCCTTTGGTGATACTCTCAAGTTCCTTCTCCTAAATTGCTATAACCTATCAGTTATTCCTATCTACCTTTACTTCTTTTTTTCTACTTTAGGAAGTATCATTCCTTGATTCAGGATCAGGCTCAAGAGTTAACCCACCTACGGCAGAAGATGAAGCTTGGGAGAGTGGCCTCTGCTCTTCTCATCCAGCATGTCAAGAACACACTAAAGACCTTTGAGGAGCTACTCCAGAGCAATAACATTGACCACTATATGGAGCAGCACTACTGCGAGCAGCTGGCCAAAGGAAGCCAGCTGGCAGAGAGCCTTGCCAGAAAATTCAGCACAGGTAAGTTGGCCGCAGAGCTTAGGAAGATTTTCAGTCTCTCCCAAGGTCCTAAGTTCACAGGATCCCACCCCCATTCACATGTCACTTTTCAACCTGGTGTCCTGCTTTGTAATCACCACCTTAAGACCATGACAGAGTCAGGACTGGCTGGAGAGGAGCTCCAAGAAGAAGGGTTGAGGATGCCATGATGATCACCAGCACCTCCATCCCTCATGGAATATGACTGTTAGGGCAGGAGGCATCCCCAGAGATGATGGTATTCATCTGAAACTAATTGGCAGAAAGACAGAAGGAGCAGGGGCAGCTGGTTTTTGTGAAGGGCCCTGAACTGGGAATCCAAAAACCCTACCTCTAGCTTATATGTGTTCCTTACCAGCTCTGGACAGGTTAATATTTATTTTGATTTCTGTTTCTCTACCTAAAAAATTAAGTCAAATAATTCCAGCCCTTGAATGTTGCATGATTGTTCTAGGGATTAAATAAGTAACATTAATCGGCACACTTCAAAAAAATGATAAAGAATCATGCTGACTTTGGCATGGTTCAGGCACTGTGTGTACTAGTACACGGTGGTGAGATAATTAGCTGTTTCAGGAGCATTTTACATGAAATTCCCCCTTGAGAACCCAAGGGCCCATAGTAGCAGAAGGCTTGAGTTCACTGTGCTGTCTCCTGATGGTAGGTGGGACACGGATGTCTATCATCTCCTTGGAGAAGGGAGGAAGTTCTGCATGAAAGCTATGGTGGAACACACAGCCATGGGTTTGGGTGCTGGCCTTGTGCCAGGACTTGGAGGCTTTGGCTGGAGTGGATATGTGTTCCATGATATGTGGGAATAAAGACATTTTTAGCTTTTTGCTGTGACTCAGGGCAAAGCAAGTGGAGATGATGACCTTCATGGTGGGCTCAGGAAAGCCTGCCAGGCAAGCTCTCTAAAGACTCAACCCAAGATCTGAGAAAATTCAGAGTATCCTGGAATCAAGGCAAGCATCAGGTAGTCAAGTCTCTGGTCCCAGATAGACCTCCATGTTTGTTTGCAGTCTGGGAAATGAGACCTGCTTAAAGCATGACTGGCCTTTTTGAATTTTGTTCTCAGATGACTGTACAAGTAAGAAGAATCAAGTAGGACAGGTGTCTTCGACTCTCAGGTAACTCCAAATTTTCAGGGGCTGTCGAAGATGTAATCTGGTGAAGGATCCAGAAGCAAGAGCCAGAAGCTCAAAGAAACAGGAGCATACATGGCCAGTAAAAAACAAATAGCTTATTTATCCATTAAACCATTATGTATCCTTAGTGATAAGGCAGTCTCATTTTTAAAATTTTTTAAAAAATATATTATTCTTTTATTTTCACCAATTAATTCACCAATTTAGTAACATAGAGCTGCTCTAACCTATCCGGGTCTTAGGAGTCTTCTGAACCTCCAGGGATCACCTCTGGTTTCCCTTATTTAAAGACCAGAGTAAGATTATATCTGATTTCTTCAAGGGTGACCCAAGGAGTGCTGGAAGATGTAAAACAGCTACAAATTTTCCTTGCAAACAAAAGTTTATACTGTGTCTCTATACTTAGGGAAGGAGATCTAGAAACTGCAAGACACCAGTGAGGCTACATTGCCTGGGGAATCTGTTTTAAATGGCCTATAGCAAATACTATTTTAAAAATTATGTTCACAGAATGAGTTGAATTCTTTTTTTTTTAACATTTTTAAAATTTTATTTTTGAGATGAGGTCTTGCTCTGTTGCCCAGGCTGGAATGCAGTGGCACGATCACTGCTCACTGCATCCTTGACCTCCTGGGCTCAAGTGATCCTCCTCAGCCTCCTAAATAGTTGGGACTACAGGTGCACACCACCACACCCAGCTCATTTTTTATTTTTATTTTTTGTAGACAGAGGGTCTCACTATGTTTCTCAGTTTGGTCTTGAATTCCTGGACTCAAGCAATTCTCCTGCCTTGGCCTCCCAAATTGCTGGGATTACAGGCATGTACCGCCATGCCCATACCTGGAGTTGAACTCTTATGGGTCTCTGGGTGTTTTGTGAAGGAATCATGAGTGTTATTTAAGGGGCCCATTACGGCTTCGTTTTTCCTTAGGATGTTTGTAGCCAATGCACCGGACAACTGTTGCTCTCTCTGTCCCCGCCTTCCCTCCATACTCTATCCTGAAACAGAAATGATTTGTTTGGCTTCTCCTCTGAAGGAATGATCCTCTTGACCTCCCCTTTACATCTCCTGTGAGCCTCCAGATTAGTACAGCTGTGGCATTAGGTGACCTTTATTTTTTCTTCTTTCTTACCCCACTAGTATCTTGAGGAAGATGCATAATATGAGTAAAGTGACAGAAGTCCTAGAGACCAAGTGGGATGCCCAGTCCCAGACTCAGCCCCAGATCTGGTGCAGCAACCACACCCGGTCTACCCCACATCACTCCCTGAGCAGCACGTCTCCACAGCTTGACAAGGAGGAAGTGCATCCTTCAGTGACTGCAGTCAGTGAGTAGCCACATGGCTCCAGTTTTTGGGGCTCATGCATTGTCTAGGCCAAGAGGTGGCATCTTTGCAGCTGGGCCCTGTAGATCCACCGTGATGTACCTGGTCGGGCACAGCTCCAGGACTCAGTGCTGAGCATAAGCCCCAAGGCTTTCAGGTAGCTTTTCTCCATTCCCAGTCTCACATGTCATCAGTCACTAGATCCCCTCTGGCACATACATGGTGTTGGTCTTGGGGGGCATGGGTTGGGAAGGGGAGAAAGGGGGCAAATAGTTCCTCTTCACTGCACACAGTTATGTCATCTTTCAAACTAGGGACATGAGTGTTGCTAACATTGTGCACCTAATCCTGGAATCCCTGGGGTAAACAGCCACAGTTCCTATTTTTTGTTCATCACTAAATCATCTTTATCATTTATGCATTTACAGATCCCATCCATCATCCTAATAAGTTTGCTGTAACACCCTCTAAACTATCAGTGAATGGGGCCATGCTGTGAGGTTCAAGCTGAGTCCATCACCAACCAGCATGTCCCTCCTGAGAATTTCCCTGAGAGGGTCCTTGGGATAGCCTTGATAGAGACGGGAAGAGGAGATTAAGTTTGAAACCAGACTTTCATTTTTCTCCTGCTCAGTTTTCTCTTTAATTTTCCTCTTGAGAAAAGTGTTTGAAGTTTTAGGCCAGTATGAATCATATCCTAATGTGGACAATACCAAGAAATTATTTTTAGTCCCTGGCTGTATCTGGTGTTTTTTTCTAAATTGGCAATTTTAAGTAATGAGTGAGCCATAATGGTTTTTAGTTGTTGTTGTTGTTTTTGAGACGGAGTTTTGCTGTTGTCGCCCAGACTAGAGTGCAGTGGCACAATCTCAGCTTACTGCAACCTCTGCCTCCCGGGTTCAAGTGATTCTCCTACCTCAGCCTCCCAAGTAGCTGGGATTACAGGTGCTTGCCACCACACCAGGCTAATTTTTATATTTTTAGTAGAGATGGGGTTTGACCGTGTTGGCCAGGCTGGTCTCAAACTCCTGACCTCAGGTGATCCAACTGCCTCAGCCTCCCAAAGTGCTGGGCTTACAGGCATGAGCCACCATGCCCGGCCCATAATGTGTTTTGATCTGGTACTATTCCTGTTTCTCATTTCACAATGAGGAGCAAAGCGGCAAAAAGTTTCCTCTAAGATTATAGCAGCCAAGGAAAGACAGGAACTTCTCATTGATTGAGCACCTATTATGCTCACAATATTGACCACTATACATATATTTCCTCATTTAATTGACACAGTGATCCCCTCAAATAGGTAGTGGTGTTCTGCTTTTATAGTGGAGGACACTGAGGCTCAGCAAAGTTAAGGAACTTACTGAAGACAAAGCAGCTTGGGGTAACGTACACTTTGAGTCTACCTGACTCAAAGCTCAGGTTGTGAGCATTTCACTCTGCAGCCTGAGAAGTCAGGGGCTGCGTACAAAGGGTGCTCACTCCTTCTCAGCACCTCTTTTGCTAGGCTTCTGGAGCCAGGGTTTTTCTCATTCCACTTTTTCTGCTCTGTGCACCCAGCAGAGTTCTGGCCTCTGAACATGGGACAAGACCTTACACATATTACACTTCTATCTAAGAATTTGTAAATAGATGAGCTGCCCTTGATATGTACATCACCTATTCCAAGGGGCCAATGGGACTTTTATGTGCATCCTTGATTCAGTTGCCCAGAGGCACTTGTTTCAACCTCAGCACTGCCCCAAGAGATGGCAGAAGGGCAAGCCCATGCTTCCCTTACCTGCAATCCCTGCCACTGCCTGCAGTGAGGTGTGGCCTCTGGAATGATGCTTCTGGAGAGCACCAGCTTTACTTTTTGCCACAACTGTCTTTCCTGAGGGAGATCGAAGCCCTTCTCTTTCCCACTTGAAGTCACTGTCCTTTCACAGGGGCAACTGTTTATCACCACTTCCTCTTTGGTTTTTGAACCAAAATTTCTAGAACAGTCAACCTGTAGTGCACTGGCATGACAGCTACATTGTGAGGCCAAATTTCCTTCACAAAAGTCTAGTCTCTGTTGCTTTCCATCTGCAGTGTAGGGCATGTTCCCCGTGTGGTATGGCCAGGGAACGTTAAAACACTGATCACTGTTACTGATAAAACTTAGAGCTTCCTATGGCCATGGTTGAGAGTAAACTGATTTTCTGAGATAAAGGAGGTTTGAAAGGGGGTGGTAATCACATTTTGATTGAGTTCCTACTTTAAGTCAGGCATTTATTAAAGACTTAACATAGTTGTCGTTACTCTTTATCTCACAGTGATTCTAATTAGTATCTGATATTTTATAAATTGGAGAAGGAGAGACCTACTGGATACTGATTTAAATATACAGTTCCTAAAAGAACGTGATGTTGTTGAGGGCAAACAGAAACCTCACTCCCACCTGCTCAGAGGAGAAACTTGTCTATTCTTTAGCCCTTGATAATAATCCTTGAAAGGGAAAGACTCTAAAACTTTTCTCTGAATTATGGCCCTGCCACCCCAGCTGGGTTTTTCTCTCAAAGGGAGACAGTGATGAAGGGCCCAGAGGATCTGGCCATGTTCTCATGGCATCATTGAGCTGTAAGATGCCATGTATTTTGTGATTCTACAATCCTCTATGCAAGAGTACACTAGCTATTCTATGGACAGGAGCCAGACAATGTGAGCTGTACTTAAGAATTATTTTTGCAGTGTCAAAAGCCATTCTAGGTGGAATCCAAATCACCACTTGCCTTAGACAGACACCCCCTCAGCTTCACTGCAGGTCCAGAGTCAGCCGAGGCCAGAGAGAGAACCACCAGGAGTGGAAGCAACACTCTCTAGGTTCTCTGCACATTGTCCAGAATTGGAGGCCATTTTCTCCTCCTCCTCCAACAGCCTCAGTGTAGAACAATCCCAGGAAGGAGTAGCTGGTGTGTTTCTGGCAAGGGCATAGAATGTTGAATAAATAGTCACCTGTTTACAGACCAACAAAATGCTTCACCCCTCACTGTCTGAACTCCTAGGATTGGCTGTGAGTCCTGCTATTAGGAGAAACATTTCTGAAGTACCTCCCCAGGATCATTCCAGCATTGGGAATCATAAAGGGAGCTAGGAGAGGGGCCCCATATTTTTCCTGTATGTGCGCTGTGATGCTCAGATATTACAACTAACACTACTGCTTATGTCATAGGCTGAGAAATGCCAGTTACTTTAGGGTGAAATGGGGAGTCCTTGGGAAATGAGTCTGCTGACATCTGCCTTAGTCTTCATTCCGTGGATTGCTTTATTAGCTTTCGAGGGCTTCCAAAACAAAAAAACACAAACCGGGCGTCTTAAAACAGAAATGTATTCTCTCACAGTTCTGGAGATGAAGACGTCTAAAATCAGGGAGTCAGCAGGGCCATGCTCCCTCTGAAGACTCCGGGGAAGGATCCTTCCTTGCCTCTTCCTAGTTTCTGGTGGTTTCTGGGTTGTAGACACATCACCCCAATCTCTGCCTCTCTTGTTACATGGTCTCCTTCTCTGTATGTCTCTTTATCTCTGTGTCTCCTCTCCTCTCATAAGGACATCAGTCATGTTGGATTTAAGACATACCCCCAATTCAGTATCATCTCATCTTAACTTATTATATCTACAAAAAACCCATTTACAAATAAGATCACATTCTGAAGTTCCAAGTGAACTGAATGAATTTTTGGAGGACACTATTCAACTCACTATAATTACCTTTAAAACACTCATTTATGACTTCCCTGTTGGTTTCTCACTCACATTCCTTTCTGGACAGATGCCAGCCCTGCCATTTCTGCTGATTCAGCTGCTTTGCCCAGCAACCAAGGAACCAGGTCTGCCCAGCCCTTCCATCCTTCGAGCGGCACTGGCCCAGCAGAGCAGGACACTAGAACACGGTAGCAGTGGCCCATGGGAAGAGATGAGGCCTCAAAAAATGAATGCATCTGGAGACCTAGCCTCCTTCTCCTCTTTGTACCAACCCAACTCCGAAACCTCTGGTAAAACACAAAGGAGCACTTAGTGAAATCGAGCCCATTGGTAGGAATGACACATTCCTTTCCTGGCCAGAGGATTTTTTGGTTCCTCTGTTAGAACCTGGTTCATAAAAAATGACAGGACAATATGTAGATCAGCCAGACAGTGAGAACCAGCTCAGTGCTTGTTCTTTGAAAGTGCCTTCTCCTAGCCACCCTACCTAGGAACTTACTCTGGGCAGGAGAGTAGGAGAAGTCAGGGACATTCTGAGGTGCTCTACAAGGAGGATAAGTTACCTCACACTTAAATGTTGCCTTCTCTCTGTGCTACAACCTTCTTAGGCCTAGATTAAGACTGTCCTGGAATGCTAAGCTCAGATTTCCATGGGGAAGGTCTTCCTTAGGTCAGGAGCTACTGTCGGATGGGAAACTATTTCTACAGAGTCACCCAGCCCTACACACTCTTTCCACTCTTTCACACACATCTTTCACACACACTGTGCATACAACCACGTGCCAATCCTGCCCCCATAAACATTGCTTTTGGATTTGGAGCCAAACATCCTGGCACCCGGCAGCTAGGAGTGCAGCTATTTAGAGGAATGGCTTGAAGCAGCTCCATTTCTGTGTCCCAGGTAGTGTAACAATAAGACATTTTAAATTCTCAGAGAAAAACCTGACCCTACGCAAAATCTCCCAGTGGGTGAAGCCTATTCTCAGCCTCCTCTCTCTGTGCATCTTTTTCCTTCCTTGGAGATTGTTCCCTTCTCTCCTGTTCCCCCTCTTCAGATCCTGATACCTTCCCAAGCTCTTCCATGTTCCTCTTTGCCAAAACTGGTTAAAGGAGAACATTCACTATCACTCATTATTCACAGCCTGGTTTAATTTCATATGCACTTACCTTGGTCTTTCTCTCTGTGAGTGAGTGAAATCTCAAAGGCTGTTGAGTCGGGATCATCATCGGGGAGAGGGATGAGGTAGAGAGGGAGATTCTCTGGATTGTTTTCCATACCAAGGAGGTAGACAGCCTTTCCCATTACTAGGCCAGTTCTGCCTAGAGGCCTTTAGCAGTTTCTCACCCTGTGTCCATCTCCCTTAGATGTACTTGGTGGTCTCTGTCTGGGAGGAGGCCTGTGGTGTTTCCTTACAGGGGGCCACCCTGTGATTGAAAGCCCAGGACTTTTAAGTAAAGTTGCCTGGTGCTTCCTGAATGCCCAGGAGAGAGGAAGAAGCTGACAGAAGGATAGAGATAGGTAGGGATCTTGCAGAGAGATGCCAGGCAGGCCCCACAGCTGCCCAGGGATGATCAGGCTTCCCTACCTCCTACCTCTCCTATGTCTTGGTGGTTTGCAGTAGGGGCTGACCTGCTGGAAAAGAATCTTGCTGAGATACAGAACCTGCGCCAGCGCCTGGAGGAGTCCATCAGTCTCAATGACCGCCTGAGGGAGAGGCTGGAGCATGTGCTTAGCAATGGTGACCAAGGAAAAGGTAGAAAGGCAGAAATTTTATGTTTCTGTCCACGTCTAAGGAGTCTCAAAAGGGCACATAGCTTCTTGGGGCAGAGTTTTACCGGTTTAAAGCACATTGGTGTGCATGATTTCACTTGTTCCTTACAATTAGCCCAGATAGGGAAGCAGAAGGGTACTATTGCTCCCACTGAGTGGTTTGCCCCAAGCAGGGATAGGTCTAATTCTCAGGACTATCTGAAGTGATGTCATTCTTATATGTCCTTATACTGCCTGGTGCTGTTCTTGGGCTTGTGGCCTGACTGGCGAGTGGTAGCACCAAGGTTTCCATGGTGCCCACTTCAGCAGAATGAGAGCAACGTTCCACCTTTATGCCATTACTACATGCCTTTGATATCACCTGGCTCTTCTCTTGTGCTAATGACCCTTATTTCAACACTCTTCACCCTGGATGCTCTCACTTGGAGACCAGTTCTTCCCCATCCCTTCTTCTCTCGTATTAAAGCCAGAAGAATGATGACCTACAACATCATAACTGAAGCCAATTAGTGGGAAAGACCCTGATCCATACCTGAAGCCACTGCACATGAGAGTGTGTGGCCTACTCTGGTGTGCCCAGCAAAACCTGAGCCTGAGCCATATTGCACTGCTATCCCAGTGCATGAGGTCCGCAGGTTTTCAGATTAGCTGAGACTAAAACTTTAATGGATGCAGGAAAGTACATCTTTGAAAGTATCTGTTACCTAAAGGTATGACTTGTCTGGGTTGTTTTTATTCCCTGTGAAGTATCTACCTCCATCTTCCATGGGTAGGACCTGTAGTCCACACCCTAGTTGTGCAACAGGAAAAGGGCTCAGGGAAGCAAACTGGAGTTTTCAGGCTTCCAGAAGGAAAAAATCAAAGCTGAAGTCACTTCCATATTTCTTCCTTTCTGCAGCAATGCCCAGTTGTAGAAGCAAAGAGAAGTAAGCAGCACAAAAGTTGACCAGATCCACACAGCCTAAAACTATAATAGCTTATTCCCAATCTAGATAAGGCTGCTTCTTAAAAGATCCCACCTACATGTTCGCAGACTCCTGGCTCCAGGAGTAAATATCTCTGGAAAATCTACATGTCATGTTTAAGTTCCTTTCCCAATCTTTGCAGATAATCAGAGAGTCACTAGCTGTCAACTAGAAAGCTTGGTGTCTCTCTTCCTGTCTTTCCCACTTTCACCTGGGTACGGAATAGGAGAGAAGAAATGTAAGTTTTTGTTTGGTACAATCAATGAATCTCCTAAATCCCTCCAGACTTCATTGCAGCCCTGTCTCTCCCTCCCTAGGTACTGCACAGTCCACTGTAGCCCCTCATTCATATACTCAGAGTCACTCTTCTGGCTGTGGCGAGGACATCCTGTGACATGATGCCTAGAGAGTCTGGAAGAATGTTCTCCAGAACTTTTCTAGCCCTATCCAACAGAATTCTTGGGTGGGAACTTGGAGGCATTGGATATTATCTTTAAATGAAGAGATCAAATTAATAAATTATTTTTAAAATTAGTGTTTATATTTATTTATTGAACACCTATAAAGAGTAGAATTTGTGTAGAAAAGAATAAAACCAGAATGGTCTGAAATGTGTGGAAAAGGTTAAAGGAGAAATGAGTTTTCTTTATTAGCTATCTCTGTTTCAGAAGACTAGAATGGGAATTTCACTGCTGTGGGAAGGTAAGAAATATTAATAGATAGTGAGGATGTAGAATTCCTTGACTTCCATTACATGCTTAGGAAGAACAGAAAAACTGTCACATGTGAAAGGATTGCAGAATAAAATCTGAATGTTTTAAAATGAGGACAACTTACCATACCAGGTGAGCTTCACTCAAGAGAATGACAGAACTCGTGAAGAGCACGCTTGCCTCGAGCCTGGAATATAGCCATTCTGACTACTGTGAGATGATATCTCACTGTAGTTTTAATTTGCATTTCTCTGATGATTAGTGATGTGCATTTTTTCATATGTTTGTTGGCCGCTTGTATGTGTTCTTTTGATAAGTGTCTAGCCATGTCCTTTGCCCATTTTTTAAATAGGGTTATTTGGTTTTGTCTTGTTGATTTAAGTTCCTTATAGAGTCTGGATATTAGTCCTTTGTCAGGTGCATAGTTTTCAGATATTTTCTCCCATTCTGTAGGTTGTCTGTTTACTCTGTTGATTATTTCTTTTGCTGTGCAGAAGCTTTTTAAGTTTAAGTCCCATTTGTCAATTTTCGTTTTTGTTGCATTTGCTTTTGAGGTCTTAGTCATAGGCCAATGTCAAGAAGAGGTTTTCCTAGGTTTTCTTCTAGCATTTTTATAGTTTGACGTCCTATATTTAAGTCTGTAAACCATCTGAATTAATTTTTGTATATGGTGGGAGGTAGGGGTCCAGTTTCATTCTTCTGCATTTGGCTAGCCAGTTTTCCCAGCACCATTTATTAAATAGGGTATCATTTTCCTCATTGTTTATTTTTGTCAACTTTGTTAAAGATCAGTTGGTTGTAGGTGTGTGACTTTATTTCTGGGTTCTCTATTCTTATCCATTGATTCATGTGTCTATTTTTGTGTCGGTACCTTGCTGTTTTTGTTGCTATAGCCTTGTAGTATAGTTTGAAGTTAGGTAATGTGATGCCTCTGGATTTGTTCTTTTTGCTTTGGATTGCTTGACTATTCGGGCCGTTTTTTGGTTCCATGGGGATTTTTTTTTTTTTTTTTTTTTTGAGACAGGGTCTCACTCTGTCACCCAGGCTAGAGTGTAGTGGCATGATCTCGGCTCACTTCAACCTCTGCCTCTGGGTTCAAGTGATTCTCCCACCTCAGCCTCTTGAATTAGCTGGGACTATAGGTATGTGCTACCACACCTGCTAACTTTTGTGTGTTTTGGTAGAGATGGGGTTTCACCGTATTGGCCAGGCTGCCCTTGAACTCCTGACCTCAAGTGATCCTCCTGCCTCAGCCTCCCAAAGTGCTGGCATTACAGGTGTGAGCCACAATGTCCAGCCCCATAAGAATTTTATAATTTTTTTTTAAATTCTGTAAAAAATGACATTGGTAACTTGATAGGAATTGCGTTGAATCTTTAGATTGCTTTGGATAGAATGGTCATTTTAACAATATTGATTCTTCCAGTCCACAAGCATGGAATGTTTTCCCATTTGTTTGTGTTGTCTATTATTTCTTTCATCAGTGTTTTGTAGTTCTCCCAGTAGAGATCTTTCACCTCCTTGGTTAAATATATTCCTAGGTGTTTAGTTTATTTGTGTGTGTGTGTGTGTGTGTGTGTGTGGCTATTTTAAATGGGATTAAGTTCTTGACTTGGCTGTCAGCTTGAGCATTTTTAGTGTATAGAAATGCTACTGATTTTTGTATGCTCATGTTGTAACCTGAAACTTTACTGAACTTGTTTTTCAAGTCTAGGAGTATTTTGGAGGAATCTTTAGAGGTTTCTAGATGGAGGATCATGTCTTTGGTGAACAGAGATAATTTGACTTCCCTTTTTCCTATTTGGATTGCTTTTATTTCTCCTGACTGATTACTCTGGCCAGGATTTCCAGTACTGTGTTGAATAGGAGTGGTGAGAGTGGACATCCTTGTCTTGTTCCAGTTATTAGGGGGAATGCTTCCAACTTTTGCCTATTCAGTATGATATTGGCTATGGGTTTGTCATAGATGGCTCTTATTATTTTGAGTTATGTTCCTTTGATGCCTGGTTTGTTGAAGGTGTGTATCATGCAACGGATGTAACATTTTATTGAATGCTTTTTCTGCATCTATTGGGATAATAGTATGGTTTTTGTTTTTAATTCTGTTTATGCAGTGAATAGCATTTTTTTTTGCGTCTGTTGAACCATCCTTGCATCCTAGGAATAAAGCCCACATGATCATGATGAATTATCTTTTTGATGTGCTGCTGGATTCAGTTTGCTAGTATTTTGTTGAGAATTTTTGCATCTGTGTTCATCAGGGATATTGGCCTGTAGTTTTCTTTTTTTATTGTGTCCCTGCCAGATTTTGGTATCAGGATGATACTGGTTTCATAGAATGAGTTAGGAATCCCTCATCCCCAATTTTTTGGAATAGTTTTAGTAAGATTGGTACCAGCTCTTCTTTGCACGTCTGGTGGAATTCAGCTGTAAAATTCTGTCTGGTCCAGGGCTCTTTCAGATTAGTAGAATTTTTATTACTGATTCAATTACATAACTCATTATTGGTCTGTTCAGGATTTCAATTTCTTCCTGGTTCAATCTTAAGAAGCTGTGTGCTTCCAGGAATTTAACTATTTCTTCTAGGTTTTTCTAGTTTGTGCATGTAGAGATGCTCATAGTAGTCTCTGAGGATCTTTTGTATTTCTGTGATATGAGTTGTAATGTCACCTTTGTAATTTCTGATTGTGCTTATTTGGATCTTTTTTTCCTGGTTAATCTAGCTAGTGGTCTATCAATCATCCAAATAACCAACTTTTCATTTCATTGATCCTTTGTATTTTTTTTTTTATCTCTGTTTCATTTAGTTCTGCTCTGATCTTAGTTATTTCTTTCCTTCTCCTAGCTTTGGGTTTTGTTTCTTCTTCTTTTCCTAGTTCTTTAGGTGTGGTATTATGTTGTTAATTTGAGATCTTTCTATCTTTTCAAGGTAGGTATTGAGTGCTATAAACTTTCCTCTTAACACTGCTTTTCTATATTCCAGAGTTTTTGGCACATTGTGTCTCTACTTTCATTTGTTTCAATTTTTTTTATTTCTGCCTTAATTTTATTGTTTACCCAAAAATGATTCTGTTGTTTAGTTTCCATGTATTTGTGTGGTTTTGAGAGTTCCTCTTGGCATTGATTTCTGCTTTTATTCTACTGTTGTCTGAGAAGATGCTTGATATAATTTCATTTTTTAAAAAATTTATTGAGACTTGCTTTATGACTGAGTATGTGGTCAATCTTAGAGAATGTTCTGTGCACAGATGAGAACAATGTATATTCTGTGGTTGTTGGATAGAGTATTCTATAGACATCTATTAGGTTCATTTGGTCAAGAGTCCAATTTAAGTCCAAAGTTTCCTTGTTAGGTTTCTGCCTCAGTGATCTGTCTAGTGCTGTCAGTGGGATGTTGAAGTCCTCCACTAGTATAGCATGGCTGTCTATTTCTTTGCTTAGGTGTAGTTGTATTTGTTTTATAAATTTGGGTGCTTCAATGTTAGGTGCATATATATTTAGGATAGTTAAATCTTCTTGTTGAATTGAATGCTTTCTGATTATGTAATGCCCTTCTTTGTCTTTTTTCTTTTTTTAACTCTTGTTGGTTTAGTCTGTTTTACTTGATACAAGAATAGCAACTCCTGACCTTTCTTGTTTTCCATTTGCATAACAGATCTCTATCACTTTACTTTGAGCCTCTGGGGGCTATAACATGTAAGATAGGTCTCTCTTAAAGGCCATGGAAAGTTTGATTTTTTTTTTTTTCCCAATTTGCCACCCTATGCCTTTTTTTTTTTTTTTGATGAAGTCCCAGGCTGAGTTCAGTGGT
This sequence comes from Homo sapiens, assembly GCF_000001405.40. Lineage (NCBI taxonomy): Eukaryota > Metazoa > Chordata > Mammalia > Primates > Hominidae > Homo > Homo sapiens. The sequence continues at coordinate 149,715,905 of NC_000001.11, read as the reverse complement.
GCGATCTTGGCTCACTGCAGCCTCTGCTTCCTGGGTTCAAGTGATTCTCCTGCCTCAGCTTCCCGAGTAGCTGGCATTACAGGCGCCCATCACCACGCCCAGCTAATTTTTGTATTTTAGTGGAGATGAAGTTTCACCATGTTGGCCAGGCTGGTTTCGAACTCCTGACCTCAAGTGATCCACCCACCTTGGCCTCCCAAACCGCAGGGATTACAAGTGTGAGCCACCACACCTGGACTACTCTATGCCCGTTAAGTGGAACTTTCAGGCCATTTACATTCAAGGTTAATATTCATGTGTGAGGTGTTATTTCTGTCATAGTGTTAAGCTAGTTGCTTTGTAGACCCAATTATATATTGCTTTATAAGGTGTACGAGCTTTGTAATTACATGTGCTTTTATGGTAGCAAGTACCATCCATATTTAGAACTCCTTTGAACATTTATTATAGAGACTATCTGGTGTTAATGAATTCCCTTAGCATTTCTCTGTCTGGGAAAAACTATTTCTCCTTCATTTATGAAGCTTAAATTGGCAGAGTATGAAACTTTGACAGGCAGTTTTTTTTTTCTTTTAGGTGGCTAAAAATAGGCCCCAGTTTCTTCTGACTTGTAAGATTTCCGTTGAAAAGTTTGCTGTTAGTCTGATGGGATTTCCTTTATAGATAATCTGGCCCTTTTCTTCAGCTGCCTTTAAGATTTTTTCTTTCACATTTATCTTGGGAAGTCTGATGACTGTATGCTTTTCAATGGTTATCTTGTATAGTATCTTGCAGAAGTTGTCCGAATTTCTTGTATCTGAATATCAATCTCTCTTGAAAGGTTAGGAAAATTCTTTCCTGAATTATTCCTTCAAATATGTTTTCCAGGTTGCTTACTTTTCTTCTTCTCTCTCAGGAATGCCAATAAGTCATAGGTTTGATCGCTTTACATAACCCCATAATTCTCAAAAGCTTTGTTCATTTTTAAAAATTCATTTTTCTTTACTTTTGTCTGACTAGGTGAATTTGAAAGACCAACCTTCAAGCTCTGAAATTCATTCTTCTGCTTGTCTAGTCTATTATTAAAGCTTTCAATGTATTTTGAAATTCCTTTAGTGAATTTTTCAATTATAGAAGTTCTATTTGTATTTTTCTTAATATAGTTTTCTTGTCTTTCATATTCTGTATTGTTTTTCTGATTTCTTTGCATTGGACTTCAACTTTTTCTTGGATCTCATTGAGTTCCCTTGCAATCCGTATTTGGAATTCTTATCTGTCATTTCCGACATTTCAGTCTGGCTAGGATCCATTGCTAGAAACTAGTGTGATCCTTTGGAAGTGTGTAAATACTCTGGGTACACTGGAGTTATTGCACTGATTCTTTCTCATCCGAGGAAGCTGTTGCTTCTTAGTTTTGAATTTGGTATTGTTTGGATGAGGATTTTTAATTTTTTTATTCTTTTTTTCCCTTGATGGTATGACTGTGGTGTATGTTGTGTATGATTGTTTGGCTTCATTTCTGGGTGCTTTCAGGGAGCCCTAGCTTTGTATGGGTTTCTTGGTTGTGGATAGCTTCTGAGCAGTAGCTTTCTCAGATGCTGCTTGTTGTGGTGATGTATTGGAAGTAAAAGCTAACACAGTAACCCTTGTTGGGGGCTGAGGGTACGGAATTCTCAGGAAACTTATCTCATGGACTAGCACTAAGCCCTTTGGTAGCAGGGTTTTTGAATTCAGTGGTCCAGTTTAGGATGCAGTCCAGTAGATGGTGCTTAAGAGTCAGGGCTGTTACGTAGGCTGGTGTCCAGTGGAAAAACCTGCCCTGACAGGATGGTGGGAAAGAGATCATGTCGGGGTGTGCTGAGGTCTCAGGGGAAGGGGCAGAGGTGCACTAGCTCCTCCTCCTGAGTAGGCAAGAATGTGATCCGCTTCCCTATCATGCCCTGTCACAGAGCTCACAACCTTCATTTTATAAAGACTTTGTCCTTTGGTTCCTGGCTGTGGTGCAGCTGAAGTCTGTGGATATGCCACTCTGACAGCTACCACTAAAATGGGGTTTAGGGCAGAGCCTCTTCCCCGAGTCCAGGGCAGGCAACTCCATGGTCTGTCCTCCATTGCCAGGGCACTGCAGCTCTGTATAGGGAGGGAGAGTTGGGCCCGTCCTTCCTGAAAGCCCAAGCAGCACAGGCTCACTTTCAGCCTGGGTGGTGCCACCATGAATAACGTGCATAATGTTCTCTCCTGGTGCACACTCACTGGGTCCTGGAGAAAAGAACCACTGCTATGTCTGCAGCCATATACGGGGTAGGAGAGAGATGATCCCTGCTTTTCCTGCTTTTCCACTCCTGTTCCTGGGTGTCAATGCTGCCCCCTTCTGCGATTGGTGCCATGCCAGTGTTTTCTTCGTCCCTAGGAGGGCTTTGGGACAGTGAGCAAACAACTGTTCTGATAAACGCAATTTAACCCGCGACCCTTGGCTCGCTCAGGTCGTGGGGTTGGGCCGCCTTTGCGCTTTTCCTTTGGATCTGCCCTTCTTCTGGGTTTGTTCTCTCGAGCTAGGGGAAGGCCTGGGTCCCCTCTCTTTGGCTCCTCTTGCCGTATCAGAAACCTCACACTTCTTCCTTTTCCAGAGAAGCTTCAGAGTGCTTTGTTGGGTTTGCTGGAACTCGGCAGGGCGCAGTATGTGGGGATGCGCGCTGTGAGTCTCTGTTTCCTCCGCTGTGACGGCTCTTCCCGCTCCTGTAGGAAAAGGCAATGCCCCTTTTGTCTTGTCTATGTGGGACTCCAAAGGGTCCAGACGAGACAGAAAGGGGGCGAATCCTCTCAGAGTGGGCAGGGGAGGAGATACAATATGGGAATGGGGCGGTAGAGGGGTGGGATTTCATGAAATTTCCTGATTTAAGGCGATCATGAAGTAGGCCTCTTTGGGAGCTTGGCCCTCCAGTCGCTGGTAAGGGTAACAGCCCACCAGTCTCTGGTGAGGTCCAGTCGCGTCCCCCGACTGCATTTAGAGCCAAAAGCAGAACGAGGCCGGCTCTGCGGCCTGGCGTCCAGTGACCCAGCTGTCTGCATATTCCCCAGGGTGGAAGCACTTGGACTTCAGGTGTGAAGGCAATGCGGTCACCACCACAGTAAGAAAAGCAACTAGGGAAAATGGCACCTTCTTCTCCCAACTTTTTTTTGAGACTCTCGCTCTGTCGTCTAGGCTGGAGTGCAGTGGTGCGATCTCGGATTTGGAAACTATAATAGAAACGGCCGATCTAAGATTTTCATGGTTATATTTTGCCGTGCAGGTACTGCTTGTGGTTTCCGTAGTGTAGTGGTTATCACGTTCGCCTCACACGCGAAAGGTCCCCGGTTCGAAACCGGGCGGAAACATAGGTTTTTTTTTTTTTTTGTTTTTGTTTTTGTTAGCCCTTAAATTTAGTGAGTTTACTCGAGGTTGGAAAACAGAAAAGTAGTTGAACCTGTGACTACATTTTAGACCTCATCAATCTATACAGATTGTCGACCAGGCTACAATTTCCACTGGTCTGCCAGGAAGAGGACGTCACAGCAGGCCTGCTTAATATTAACTTTGGTTCCAGCAATTCCTTAAGGTTCTCTTCATTCTCTTTATCGCCTGAATTTTCACAGGCAGACACCGAAAGTGGATGACATGTTAGCGCATTTCCTAAGGGTCCAGCTTGGCTTCGCTTTACTCTGATACAGTTGCAGATCTGGCTGATTTGCGAGACAACAAAAACAAAATGTTTTTTAAAAACGTTCCAAATCTGCATCTGGAACTCATGGAGTCAATATTCCGAAATCACACGAATTATGTACACACATTTGCATGCATACCCCTTCCCCAAATAATCCTCAGAAAACCGGTAAGCGTCCAAACTACTCTCCGGAGGCTTAGGTAATCAACAATTTAATAAATACAATTGCTAATGTATGGTGTACAGATCCTGTATTGCCCACCCTTCTCTATTGCTTTGTCCCCGCGCGCCCTCTGTTTTGCCTAAATGGGTTCCAGGCCATAGCCACCGACTCTCGCTTTGCCTTCTGGCCTCTCGGCAGTGCGCTTCAGCACCATTGCGCCAGGTGACGCTGCTGAGAACAGCTGAGTGGCCGGCACTAGTGCAGCTGGAAGCCAAGGCCCAGAATTCTCAGGAATCTGCACTTTACCCAGGCGAAAAGCCCAAGGGCTCTCCCCACAGCTTCCCAACATCCCTCTACAGAGTTTTTAAATATTAGACTTATTAACCTGTAGAGATGGAGAGAATCAAAGAAATCACAAGGTATCTCTGAGGGAAAAAGAAGAGCACCAGCAGTAAATCACTTAAGAGTATTGAACCAGCAAGCCAGGGATAGGAGAATGGAATGGAAACTGACAGGATGACTGCAGAGGGTGGTACTGAGGGTGGATGCGAACCACTACTTACTATTAATATATTGAGCCAAGCACACTAATGGGGGCATAACCAAAATACTTAATAGGGCACTCTTTTACCCACCATGTGTTTTACAATATAGTTGCTAAAGGATGTATCACCCTACTGGTTCTAGAAGCTTCTGGAGCCAAGGAGCCAGAGCATGAGAGCATAAAAATCCTGTCAATTGAAGCCTTGGGCTCTACACTGCTAAGCCTGGCCCAGAGGCTGGATTGCAAATGCAGGTGCTAGTGTAATGGAATGGATGTTTGTGTTCCCTTCATATTATATATTGAAGCCTTAACCCCCAATGTGAAGGTATTTTGGAGGTAGGGCCTTTGGGAGGTAATCAGGTTTAGATGAGGTCATGACCATGGGATCTCCATGATGAGATCAGTGTCATTATAAGAAACAGAAGAAAGACGAAAGTGCTCTCTTTCTCTCCACCATGCGAGGACAGAAGGAGAATGTAGCAGTCTGCAAGCCAGGGAGAGAGCCCTCACCAAGGAGGTGAATCCGCTGGCAGTTTGATCTTGGACTTCTCAGCCTCTCAAACTGTGAGAAAGAAATTCCTCGTGTTTAAGCCACCCAGTCTGTGGTATTTTGTTATGGAAGCCTGAGTTAAGACAGCTGGTTCACTGGGGAATCCACTGGTGTGAACCTGTGAAAAGTTTGTGACATGTGAAGTAGTTTGCTGCTCCTGGATTTGAGTATTGGCAAGAGCTGTTAGAATGATGAGCATAGAGGGAAGAAGGGTACAGAGAATATGGTATTAATCATTGTACTGAAGAAATAAAGGGACATTATATGGTTCTAGGCTGAAGTTATGTGCAGATTTAAGCTGTGGAAGGGTCACTCAGCATACAGTGTGGCAAGTGAGTGGTGCATACTACACTGGCTGTAGGGAGTCCAGTTTTTTGTTGTTGTTGTTGTTGTTGTTGTTTTTTTTTTTGAGGTGGAGTCTTGCTTTTTCACCCAGGCTGGAGTGCAGTTGTGTGGTCTTGGCTCATTGCAACCTCTGCCTCCTGGGTTCAAGCGATTCTCCTGCTTCAGCCTCTCGAGTAGCTGGGACTACAGATGGGTGCCACCACGCCTGGCTAATTTTTTTTTTTTTGTAGTTTTAGTAGAGATGGGGTTTCACCATGTTAGTCAGGATGGTCTCAATCTTCTGACTTCGTGATCCGCCTGCCTTGGCCTTCCAAAGTGCTGGGGTTACAGGCTTGAGCCACCGCACCTGGCCAGGAGTCCAGTTTTTTGTCTGCTTATGTTAATGGATGCAAGAGCCGATAGATGGAAAAGTGTGGTAATAAAGTGGCAGTAAGCTTGTGGAGTATCCAATAAACTTAAACGCTATTTTTTTTGAATTGAACTGAAATTGTTGTGTTATGAAAATGAGAGAGTTTATCCAAAGAAAGATCTGGCTCGGCAAATAGGATAGATGGTGGTGAGGATAAGTGTGCTAGGCAGGGCTAGAAACAGGTTTTAGTGATCATTGAAACACCCAGGGCAGTGCACTACTCTTTGGGAGATGCTGTGCTTGAGTCTGATCATTGGGTTTTGAGGTAGAGGGTGGTACATATTGCTGACAGGGAACTCACCGGTGTGTTGAGTTTTAGCATCTGTGACTCTGAGATGCATATGAGGCCTTTGTAAATTTAGAAGCTGAGAGTAGAAAGTACAGGTTTGTATTTTAGAAGGAGATTTGGGAATAAATGTAGCTCTGGTTGATATAGATAATATGTTAAGGTTTGTTGGCCAGAGCTGGTGTGTGTCTTGGGTGTTGGGCAAAGAACAGAGAACAGTCAAAGCTCTGTGAGGTCAATGTGAAGGGTGATTTCCTTGTTGGGCTCAAGTTTATGACCCAGCCTGGACCTAGCTTGGCTTCTCAGCTAGAGAAGAAGCATGATTCCATGTCACAGCTCCTGTCTTTGAAAAAGTCATAATGACTCACAGACCCAACATGTGGGGCAAACTCTCTGAATTTTTCTCTTCAGTTTAATCTCTCCAGGGAAAATTGAGAAAAGAAATCTCTCTATTTGAACTTCATCAAAAGACTAATATGTTAATATTTTGACCATCAATATTTCCTTAAACTAGTCTACTCCTTACATAGCTAATACATCAAAGCATATTAACTTAGGAAATTGGATTCTCTCTAACAATGAAATATTGACTGCAGGCATTATTAATCTTTTTATATCACATTTCCTTTAAATGCTTTATACATCTTCAAGCAGACAAATAACAGTATTATGGTTACAAGACCGATCATTACTCTTTTGCCAAAAAAACCAGCGACAAAAGACTAACTCAGTGGACCAACCTTTGTTTCTTCATTATCTCTACCTTGATTCTGTCCTTTTATTTCCTCTTTCCTCTAATTCTAATTCTGCTTCTGCTTCTTATTTCCTCCCTGGATTAGAACTTTACTTACCTAAGCTACCAGTTAGGTTACCTTCTCAGAACCACTAAGGCAGCAGTTTGACGTTGACAATTGAAGATTTAGGATTAGAAAAAAGAAACATGAATGAATTTGTGACGTTTTATTATAGGGGTATGTAATGCAGGTAGAAAGACCTTTTTCAGAGTTAAGAGTTTGATCCGACAAATGAGCTATTTTGATATTTATAACTTTGTTTAGTAAAAGTTTCCTATAAAAACATTTGGTTTGGATGTCTTTGTTAGCTTTGTTTTGAGTCGACACTTGAAAAGGCCGCTTGGAAGTTTCTAAGTCTTTCTGGATACTCTTTTCAATAATTCTCCCAGGGTTGCCAGAGAGAGGCAGTGGTGGTTCAGTGGTAGGGTTCTCGCCTCACACGCGGGAGACCCGGGTTCAATTCCCGGTCAAAGCAAGGGGTTTTTTTGCTCTTCACTATGGCTCTTTACCCTTCTGCCCTGCAGAATTACACTGCATAACCTAATAGTGCATTTAAGGGCTTGGCCACCACAAGCTAAACTGACAACAACGCTGACCAAAGTAGCAGCAAAAGAAATTCAGGAGACTAACCCGGGACCCACGCAGTTGTTGGACTCAACAAACCGCTAAGCAAAGTGGCAAGCACGTAGTGTTTCTGGTGAGTCACTGCAGTTTTGATATTGGTACCTGTTACTTTCATCTGTTCTCTGGGCGGATTCCTGCAAACCCAAGAACCATCAGTTTCCTGATTCGTGTGCTGGACCTTGGGCTTACCGCTGAGCCACTACGGAGAGGAACAAGAAATGAAGCTCCCGGAAGGAGAGAAGCTGCGGGCGGGGCAATCACCTCGGAGGTCCAAGAGGCCTCAGCGGCCCAAAGAAAGGGGAGGTGTGTGCGGGAGAATCTCAATGGAGATGAGGAGAGCAGCGGTGACTGGTCCTTGCGCAGAGTGGTCCTTGCACAGAGGTAGCCAATGGACCCTCGAGGCTGTACCCCAGACACCGCGAACCGAATTTGCTAACATCTTCAGCCACCGTGGCCTCCGCGTGTTTTGTGGGCCCATCGGTGTTCAGTGAGGGATTCCGTGTGTCTGGCAATGTGTGTCAACAGGTGTTGGCCTGAAATTTGGCCGGGCACGGTGGCTCACGCCTGTAATCCCAGCACTTTGTGAGGCCGAGGCGGATGGATCGCTTGAGGTCAAGAGTTCAAGACCAGCCTGGCTAACATGGTGAAATCCCGTCTCTACTAAAAATACAAAAATCAGCCGAATGTGGTGGCGTGCACCTGCTATTCCAGCTACTTGAGAGGCTGAGGCAGGAGAATCGCTTGAACCCGGGAGGCGGAGGTTGCAGTGAGCCAAGATCGCGCTACTGCACTCCAGCCTGGGCGACAGAGCAACTCCGTCAAAAAAAAAAAAAAAAAAAAAAAAAAAAAAAAAAATGGAGCGAAAGAAGGGAGAGGTGTCGATGTCGATGGGACAACGAGACTTCCCAGGAGGCTTGTTGTAGAGGCAGTGGCCAGGTCCTGAGAGATGAGATGTTTTTTAAATTATGTAGCGGAATGGGGAGAGAGTAACGGAGAAGCGCATGAAAGAGAGAAAAGCACGAAAATCTGCAGACGTTCGAGAATAAAGCAGAGAAAATAGTATGAGTGTTTTTACATAAAAAAATATAAGAAGTACAATGGTTGTCAGCAGGCTTTTTGGTCGTGTAGTGGTCAATACTTGCAGCTGTGGTTGCCGCAACCTGGGTTCTAATCTGAGTCACAGTAGTGTTTTCTCTCCTGCGATTGTAGCTAAAAGACCTGTCGTTTGCTTTGCCTTTAATCCTAGCAGCCTCCAGAGAGCGGAGTAAACCGCTGGCCCGGAAGGGCGCCAGCTTCTGGAGTTTAGCCCACAGTGCGTAAACTAGGGGGCGGCCTGGCCAAAATGAAAACTCGGACATGCTCTTTGTCTCACAATGGAGCAGAAAAAATTCCCATAGGTGAAGATGCCGCCTCTCAAGGGCCCTTTGTCTGTAGCTTCCACTGATGAAATAATACGGTTATAGTCTCATCTGGTAGAGAAAACGGCTGTATCAGTGGGATTTTTTAAAAACACAAAACGAGAACGAGCTTTTAATGAGTTTACAATAAAATCTAAACTAGTTGTCATGGTCTACACCGGCTTGCCTCCATTCCCCATCCGCTAATTTTTATGAGAACAGTAAATTATTACTATTACTATTATTTTTGAGATGTAGTCTTGTTCTGTCACCCAGGCTGGAGTGCCATGGCTCAATCTCGGCTCACTGCAACGTCCCGTTTCCCGGGTTCAAGCAATGAGAACAGTAAATAAACTACAGTTCACATAAAGTGCACAAATCTTTAGTGCAGTTCGTTTATTTTTGATGAATGTAATCACCACCCAGCTCAAGTTATAGAAAATTGCCATCATCTGAGAAAGGCCTGTTAGAGCCCCTTTCCAGGCAATTCCCACCCTGTGTCCTCTTAGTTAATCACTATTCTGATGTCTATTCCCATAGGTTACAATTGCCTGTTCTTAAAGTTCACATGAGTGAATGGACATATCTTTTGTATCTGGCCTTTTTTCTGCAGGTATGTTCATTATACTCATGAGATATATCCACGTAGTTTCATAGATCACTTCTCAATTTTGGTGTTATTGAATTCTTGTGATGAATATTCTTCTACAGGTCTTTTTGTGCACTTGAGATTCATGGAAGTACTTCAATTGCTGGGTCACGACCTGAGTACAAGTTTAACATTAGTATAAATTGCCAGTCTTCTAGAATGTTTTTTCACCAGCAATGACAGTTGAAGTGGCACCAAATTCTTGTCAGCATTTGGTGTACTAACTTTTTAAAATGTAGCTATGCTCTCAGACCAAACTGGCCAACATGGCAAAACCCCGTCTCTACTGAAAATATAAAAATTAGCCAGGCATGGTGGCATGCACCTGTAGTCCCAGCTACTCAGGAGGGGGAGGTTGCAGTGACTCAAGATTGCACCAATCGCACCATTGCACTCCAGCTTGGGTGAGAGAGACCCTGTCTCAGAGAAAAAAAAAAAAGTAGCCACACACTGGTGATTGGTTAGTGGTATCTCAGTGTGGAATTAATTTGTACTTGCCTAATGAGCAATACTATGAAGCATATTTTCTTATGGCTTCCAGCATATAAGAAATTCTCCTTTGCAAAGGCCTATTCGAATATTTTGCCCGATTTTATTTGGCTTAGCTCTATATTACTGATTTATGAAAGTTCTCTTATATATTCAGGAGTTGAGTCATTTTTCAAATAAATATATTGCAAATGACTTTTCCCAGTCAATGACTTGACTGACAACTGAAAGCTGTCAACTGAAAAATCACACAATTTATAAATTTAGAAAGGAGATTTTATTTTTTTATAAAGGGTTACAGCCTGCAAGTGGCCATTCTGACAGACTGGGAGGCATAGCTTCCTGCTGAAACCCGAAAAGTAGGTTTCCAGGGAGGGGAGGGCGAATAGTGATTTACGTTGATCTGGCTGGCCACATATACATATTCAACAGGGAATAGGGGGAGCTCTGAATATTTGTGAAGGGATCCTGCTGCATGCATGCTGAGTAAACATGCCTGTTACATGCAACCCATGTTCACTTTGGGGTGGAGACAACATTTAAATACATTATAATTAGGCCCTATGCTTCAAAAGGTGAAGCAGGGACACAAAGGCAATCAAGTGCATAGCTTCTGTAAACTGTCCAGAACCCGCCCACGGCCAGTGGTCTCTTATCAAGAGAAAACTACTGAAATCAGTCTCTTGTCCAATCAAAGCAGTAGTTACGGCTTGTGTAGGGAGGGCTCAGTCAGTTTATGGTAATAGGTGAGCTGCAAGTGCTTCAGCATTGCTTATCTCAAGGCCAGTGCTTGTTTAGCTAGAGAAAAAAAGGAAGAAGAAAAAAAAACTGGCAATTAGAACATAGTGCCTACTGCCACACACATACCACCAAATCCTGCACTCCAAGCTTCTCCTTCTGCACCCTGGACTCCCAACCTCCAGTTAGACAATCCACATCTTCCCACACCTGCCTCAGGCTCCATCAGGCCACTGTGCCTCCCATAGCAACCAGGCCAGGGGGGATCTTGATTCCTATTACGTTTCTGAAGAAGGTGGTCAGGGGGTGTGGAGGATGTAGGTGGGAGGGGGTGAGGTTGAGGGCAGAAGTACACTGTGGTCTTCTGTCTTCTACCTCATTGGCCCAGGTGCTGCTCTCCCTCCGGTTGTCTGCTTTCAGCCCTTCGTGGGAAATCAGGTCTGCACCCTGATCTTCCTGACTCTCATTTTGTGAGGAACCTGAACGGATGAGACGTCGCTCTTGTCCCACAGGTTCTGTCCAAAAGGTGCCCTCCTCTCTGCTTGCTCGGGGGCCTGCCCACTGAGCTCTGGCACTCAGGCTGGGATGCCGCCCAGTACAGAGGCTCTGCAGCCCTGCAGGGGTCTGACTGTTCCACACCAGCAGGATACAGGCCACAGGGCATGCTGTGGTGGAAAAGCATTCAGAGGTGTGGGCTGAAGGCTTCTCTTTCCACAGTCCCTTTGAAGATCCCATGGAAGTAAGCACCCCTTTGAGGAACAAGGTGGCCCAAGGCCTGGCTTCACATGCAGGCTCTTGTGTCCCAGTGGGTCCTCTCTGTGCCTGGTATAGCCGACTGCTTCACACATCTTACCCGGTTTCCTCTCCTCCACCACCCAAGCTCCTCCTCGACCCCCTTGCTCAGCTGTCCTTAGGACAGCAAGATCCCCAGCCCTTGGAAAAGCCCTATCTCCAGTGCTTGGGGAGGGAGTTGGGTTCAGGTCTTCTAACCACAGAAGAACAGAGAACCTGAGGCAGGAGGGAATCCCTTCCCTTGCTGGGTCTCTTGGCACAGCCCATCTAGGGGTCTGGGTCAGGGTCCAGGTATCCTCTACCCTCCTTGAGGACCTGAGTTTTCAGGTCCCCGGGGTTTGTCAACGTAGAGTCTTTCCCACTGTTCATCTGGGAACTGTAGGAATATCCCATGGGGCCCTCTCTTACTCATTAGAGACACCCAGAAAGTACTCCTGCAGAAACTGGGTGCAGTGTACCAGACCACAATAATTCTAATTACAGGATGTGGAGGTCAGATACGTTTTGTGACTATTTTCTCTCTGTCTGTGGCTTGCTTGCCTTTTCACTTTCTTAGTGGTATCTTTTGATGAGAAGGTATGGCTAATGTTGATGAAGTCTAATTTATCATGTCTTTTATATATATTTTTTCAGTGTCCTACTTGTTGGTAGGCTAATCTTTACCTACAGAGTATCCTTGAAATGCTTTATATCTTTAACTTTTAAGTTTTGGTGTATAATGCACCTCAAATTACTTTTGTATGTAGTGTGAGGGAGAATAACATTGTTGGTCTCCCCCACCTCCATATGAAAGTCCATTAATTGAAATGATTTATTTTCTTCTATTGAACTGCTTTCATTGAAAGCTCATTTATTGACTGTATGGCTGTGGATCAGTTTCAGGTCTCTTAACTCAGTCTGTTTATCTATTTGTCCCTCCTGATGCCTTGTCTGTAATAGCTTATAGTAAGCCTTGAAGTCAGATAGTACAAGTCCTTGTTCTTTTGCACACATTGCAATAACTGGGTCTGGATTTAGTCCCGTTAGTCTGAGTGGGACTAATGCCACTATAAAAGGGACCCCAGGGAGCTCTCTCTGCCCCCTGAGGATACAATGAGAAGGTGGCAGTCTACAACCAGAAAAAAGTCTCTCATCATAACCCTACCATGTTGGCACCTTGATCTCGGACTTCCAACCTCCAGAACTGTGAGAAATAAATTTCTGTCGTGAATTAGCCACCCAGTTTATGGTATATAGTTATGGAAGCCCGAACTAAGACAGAGATGGAATCCCATGGAGGGTCTCTAATTTGCTGAGCTGGTCATCAGGTGGGATGTTGCAAGTTAGAAACAAGAAGAGCTGACATTTTGTGCATATGAAAGAAGATAGTGGACAGGCCCATTGTCGTCGGCTTTGTCCGCCTTGGCGAACTGGAGACGGAAGCTAGATTCACCTTCGACAGCCACGGGAGGACCGGGAGGACCTCCAGAGGAGGTTAGGTCGACCTCATGGTAACTTTAGATCCTGAAAACTCACAGGATTTTTCTTGTCTTCCCTTTGATCTCTCTTCCGCCTACTCAACAGGACAGGACTCACCGCCTTTCTTTCCCGTCAGAAAGGGATCCCTTCCGGACAGGACAGAAGTGAGCAGATGGTTTCCCCTACGTGTCTTTCCGGGCCTGGGCGTCTCAGGAGCTCAGGCTGACCTGAGACCTAACTCCTGGCAAGTGGGACCAGCAGGAGCCTGGAAGAGCGCGCGCACCGGGGTGGAGGTTGGGCGCCGGGGGTGGAGAACCGCAGTCAAATCCTCTTCTTCCCCGCGCACCGCGCACCTGCCCCCGGGGATGCCGAACGAATTGGCCCATAAAGCTTCTCTGCAACGGAAAGAAGCCTGAAGCTCCAGGAGGTGCGAGAGGAGCCTCGTTGAGCGAGCCCAGCCCTCTGCCCGGCTGGCCCTGGTCAACAGGCTCGGAAGAGGCCGATTTGGAGGACAGAACGGAAGACAAGACCTAAAGGTTTCGAATCTCATGATGTGGAGATGTTAAAGCCTAAATCCTAAGGTCCGACTGTGAGGGGGAGCGAGGGTGTCTCGAGCTGGATCCACCCTTGAGCCTTCACCTGGAGAGTCCTCTGCACAAGTTCAGAGAGAAGGACTACGCGCAGCAATGGTTCTCAACAGGGGGCAACTTCGCCCTCACATGCCTCTCCCAACCCCGCTGGGACACTAGGCCGCGGCTGGGGGAAGCGGGAGGGAGAATGTTATCCCCCTGGCATGTGTCTAGTCAGCGGAGGAGACAGATGCTGCTAAACACCTTGCAATCCACGGCGGGAGGGCCCCTCCCCCACCCCGAAGTAGCCATTCGGCAGAGGTGGAGAAACTCGCGTGTAGATCAATGCCCACGCACTTGGCCGACGGAAATCACGAATTGGTGACCAATTGGATCTTGGATCTGAGGAAAAAGCTCCAGCTTCAGAGGGAACTCTCGAAGTTTTGCCCAGAGCAAACGGAGGGGTTGCGTTGCCATCGCCTAAAATGGGAAAATGGCAGGCGTCACAGGTTGCAGGGGAAGGTTGGAGACCAGTTGAGTGCCCCGGAGCCTTCCTGGAAAGAGTTTCCTATCCAGCCCGTCTCGGTTTCCGCATCCGTCTGATTCCTTATGATGTTGAGGGTGCCGGGGTCTGGGTCCTTTATGATGCAGAGGGTGCCCCTGTCTCACCTCGGGCGCCTCCCCGCTCCCGCCTCCTCCTGGCAACCTGGTGGGCGGCTCCGGACCCGGCGACCCGCGACCATCTTGTCAGTTGCTGCCGCCTCGCAAAGGGCATCTCTAGGCCAGTGGTGAGCTGCGGCCGCGTGGCCGCAACTCGCTCCAGTACTCAGGACTCCCTCGTGGAGTCCTTGGTGTGTCGCCTGCAGGTTCTTTTTTTGAAGAAAGCAGGGAGTGAACGGCCTTGTGAGACGACTCCAGGAGCAAAGGGCGACTCTCACAAGACCCAAGTCCTCCTAGAGCACAGGAAAGTGTCGCTTCAGGTCGAAGAAGGGAGAGAAAGCAGCTTTCCGCATCTGCATGGTTGTCTAGTGGCTAGGATTCGGTGCTGAAAGCGCCACGGCCCGGGTTCGATTCCCGGTCAGGGAATTGTTTTGCACTGGCCGCCCTCCCGCAGAAATCTTCCTTTACCACGCTGTCAGCCGGCCTGCTCCAAGGGCCAGATGTAGAACAGCCTCCGCAGCGAGGGGCAAACCCGGGCAAAGGAGGGCAAGTCGTGGTGGGCCACCTCTCACGTTTATCTCCGTGTCTGTCATCCGCAGAAGCGGCTTTAGAGAGCGACTGAGCGTCTCGCTCAGGTGTACACAGCCGTGCAGAGAGGCCAGTCCCCGTGGAGCTGCACTTAATAAGCGCACCCTCTTTGCCGTCGCCGCCCCAGAGGTGCCTATCGGGCTGAGCTGTGAATAACTAAGAGAGAGGCCAAGCCAAGTCATGGCGTTTGTGCGTGCCCTGGACGTGGGCACCGGTCAGTCAGCGGAGCCTCCTCACCTCCGTTCGCAGCTAACATGCTCGTTAGGCCTTCGGAAGAGGCGACCGGAGGCGATGCCCGCGAAGTTGGGAGGGGAGTGAGCGGCGGGTGAGGTCCTCAAGGGCGGTCCCTTTTGCTGATTGAGCGGTAGAGGGAGGCGATGTTCGCTGACCCAACAAAGACAGCAGGTGGAGTAGGCACAAACGGAAAACTGTTGCCAGTGCCCTAAGCAGAATGCAGGTGTAAAAATCAGCACTAGGACGTCAAAGCGATGGTACCACAGTCAAATCCCACAATGTCTACACTCTACCAAGCACTTGCGCACGCTCCCCCTTTTCCATTCAGTATTCCCAAGAGGGGTTTGGAAGAACCCCGCGTCCACTGTAAGCTCAGGGGAGAGCGGGAGCCAGGGAGGTGAAGTGCACAGACTGGACAGAGGCGGCGGGCAGAACCGCGGGGGTGAGAGGGCGCGTGGTTGCGGGGCGGGAGCCACTGCTGAAAGGCGGCCTGCGTTGTCGTGTGGGGTGACTGTCGGTGGAATCTTTGGCAGAGAGTGGTTTGGAAGAATGGCGAAGGGGGCAGTGGGTAGGGTGGTGACCCTGAGCGTCCGACCAGGGCGAGGACGCTGTGCTGTCCCTGCAGGGCATGCGCTCATTCCCACTTACCTGGCAGGAAAGAGACCGTGGTCACGAAGGGGGTTCTCCCAGAGTGAAGCTTCTTCATCGCACTCTAGAGTTGCTGATCTCTGTGATTTCTTCAATGTGGGAAACGGTGTTTGTGCTAGAAGAGGGCTGCGCTCTCTACCTAACATAAACGGGGTTCAAAACTGACATCGCCTCACGCCTACCCGAAAACGTTTACGTGGCTTCCTTGTCTCTTTGTTTTTTCTGTCCTAAAGTCGCCTTATCCTCACACCCCCTCATGTTTTTCTTTCACACTCGAGAGTGTCTCTCCGTCTCATTAAAAGCTCCACCAAATATTTGAAATATCTCAACCAGAAAGGCTGCAATGAATACAGTATTTCATTTGTGGAAGCTACAGACCAGCTAGGTTGAGAGTTGCTTGATATTTTCTGCTAAACCGTGAGGCATAGAGCACTTGGAAGGTTTCTCTTTGGGCCTTTGTTTGTGTACTATTGGGTTTCCTTCTTTTCCCCAGACCGTATGGCGCTGTGGGGCCAGCGGTAAACCCTGCTTTCTGGCTGCAGATAAAGGCCGCAGCTGGTGCAGGAATTAAAAGCAAACCAAAAGACTCGTGGGTTCGCCCCAGTGGGTCCAAGATAGAGTCTGACTGTACCAGGATTCAGATTAGAACAGAGGTTGCTGCAGGCACAAGGCAGGGTACTAACCACTATAGAATCCCAATGCGCCCCACACCTACTGCCCGTCGTTTTGCTTCCCCACCCCTCTTTTATTTATTTATGCATTTTTTTTGAGAGACAGAATTTCGCTTTGTCGCCCAGGCTGGAGGGCAGTGGCGCGATCTCGGCTCACTGCCACCTCTGCCTCTCAGGTTCAAGCGATTCTCCTGCCTCAGCCTCCTGAGTAGCTGGGACTACAAGCGTCGCCACCACACCCAGCTAATTTTTGTATTTTTAGTAGAGACGGGCTTTCACCATGTTGGCCCGGCTGGTCTCGAACTCCTGACTTCAAGTGAGTGATCCACCCACCTCGGCCTCCCAAAGTGCTGGGATTACAGGCGTGAGCCACTGCGCCCGGTCCCCCGATTTTTTTTTAATGTAAAAACATTTATGCGATTTTTACGTGTTTATTCTTGGGCAGCTACAGGTTCTTGTGATTTTCCCTCACGTCTTCTCCAGTCCATTCTGATACGTGTCCCATCTTCTCTGCATCCAGCCGCTGCCCTCTGCACCGGCATCCTGGGCTGTCCCATTGTCTCGTCCTGGTCTCCCCTGCTTCTTCTCCCTCCTTCTTTTCAGGTTTTCCCTTTTGACTCCCCTGCCTCTTTCCCGCTCCCGCCCCACCAACCCCATCTACTGAAGCCGAGTTGAGTGAGGGGATAGCAAGCGGAGTAGATGATTGCCTGAAGGCGGCGCAAAAAAACAGAAAGAGCTACCTACCATGAGAGCCGTCGGGGCGTTCAGCTTCCCTTGGGCCCTACTAGGCTCAGGCTGGGGTCGCAGATCCAGGCATTTCCAGAGGCACTGGCTTCTGAAGGAGGCGAGGGTTAATGGAGGGTGAAGGCCATTCGGCCGCCCTTCTGGTTTCAGAGTCAGGCAATGCAAGCGTTTCTAACGTGCAACAACACGATTAGTCGACTCAGCCTCTCCGGTTTTCCGAAGCTTTGTAGTCTGCACAGTTGTCCTGCAGAAAGCGAATGGCAACCCCTAGAGTTTAGTGATTGCTTAATCTATGTTGAGATGAAAGCGACCAACTGAGGTTATCTCCGTGGAGCAATTGGTTAGCGCGTTCGGCTGTTAACCGGAAAGTTGGTGGTTCGAGCCTACCCAGGGACGTGCTTTTAAATGTTGGTTAGTTGTGGTCAGGCGCGGTGGCTCACGCCTATTAATCCCAACACTTTGAGAGGCCGACGTAGGGGAAGCCTCGCCTGAGCTCAGTTCAAGACCAGTGAGAATCCCATCTCATTAAAAAAAAAAAAAAAAAAAAAAATTGCAGTTGTTTCTCCTCAGGCCTATCACTGTATTTAAAAAGTGAGAGATTGTTCCCTTGTGTCTTGTGCATCCTATAAGTACACAAAGCAAAAGGTCCCCCTCCAAGCCTCCTATAAAATAAGATCCCTCCAGATCAAACTAGGTTCCAGATAGGCTGGAGTGCAGTGGAACAATCTTGGCTCACTGCAACCTCTGCTTCCCGGGTTCAAGCGATTGTCCTGACTCAGACTCCTGAGTAGCAGAGATTACAGGCGTGGGCCACCACACCGGACTAATTTTTGTATTTTTAGTAGAGAGAGGGGTTCACCATATTGGCCAAGCTGGTCTCAACCACCTGACCTCAAGTGATCTGCCTGCCTCAGCTTCCCAAAGTGCTGGGATTACAGGCGTGAGCCACCACGCCCAGCTAAACAGTCAGATGTTAAAATTATATATTCGTCTATTAGATGTCATGTCTAGTTTTTTTTTTTTTTTTTTTTTTTTGTACAACCAGATTTTCATCCGATGTCAGTTTCGTTCTGCCTGGAGGACTCCTTCAACTTTTTTTTTTTTTTGTGGTAATGGCTGGTGGTAGTGAATTTTCAGCTTTTGTAGAATTTCACATTGACTTTTCCCCTCAGTGCGGTTTTTTTTTTTTTTTTTTTTTTTTTTTAGAGGGAGTCTTGCTCTGTCGCCCAGGCTGGGGTGCAGTGGCACCATCTCGGCTCACTGCAAGCTCCGCCTCCCGGGTTCATGCCATTCTCCTGCCTCAGGTTCCCGATTAGCTGGGACTACAGGCGCCCGCCACCATGTCCAGCTAATTTATATATATATATTTTTTTTTTGTAAAGACGGGGGTCTCACTGTTTTAGCCAGGATGGGCTCTATCTCTGGACATCGTGATCCACCCGCCTCCGCCTCCCAAAGTGCTGGGATTACAGGCCTGAGCCACGGTGCCCGGCGGCTTTGTGTTTCATAATCTTTTTTTCTGCAGTGTCTAATCTGCTGTTAATTGCATCCAGTGAATTTATTATCTCAGATGTTGTAGTTTTTAATCTCCAAAGTTTGATTCTGACCATTTTTATATGTTTGATACCTCTGCTTAATTCTTTGGACCCATAGAATATTGACATAATAACGGTTTTAAAGTCCTCTGTTTTCTTTTCTTTCTTTCTTTTTTTTTTTTTTAAGACGTAGTCTCACTCTTGCTGCCTAGGCTGGAGTGCAATGGCACAATCTCAGCTCACCGCAACATCTACCTCTTGGAATTAAGCAATTCTCCTGCCTCAGCCTCCCGAGGAGCTGGGATTACAGGCATGCACCACCACGCCTGGCTAATTTTTGTATTTTTACTGGAGACGGGGTTTCATCATGTTGATGATGAAAGGTCCCAAACCTGAGACCTTTCACATGTGAAGCGAACATGTAATCACTACACTACAGAAACCCCTCACAGTTCCTGGCACAAGACATATTCCTGAAATGTTACCATCTGCTGTTTTTAACTACTAGGGTTTCCAATATAACAAATTCGACTGCTTTTCAAAATTTGAGTGATAAATACGCCAGGAAACACAATCCCTCAGGCAGACAGGCTGAACCCTCATTTACGGTTCCACGCCTAGCCCCGAAGCCAAGACCCTAGGGACCCCCAATCTGGCTTCGGGATCCCGCATCTCATGCAGGGTTTCCAGGAACTGAGTGCCCGTGTGTGGGATTCTCCCTGCTGACTCTCTGGCTCCCAGAAGCTTCAGGAGCTGGTGGAGCCATGAGTGTCCCGTGCCACACAGGAGTGTGAACGCCGCCCCTGCAGGGCTGCTGACTGCCCCTCGGGGGCCCTTTCCCCGGCGCTGGCCATTAGGGCTCTTGGCTCTTGACAGGCGATCATGCTTCGGGTCCTCCCAGGAACCATAGGACCCTCCCTGCCTGCTCTTCCACCAGGCTGAAGGGCCTGACCCGCACGCTCTTTCCTTGCTAGCCCTTTGGCCTCAGCACCTCGAATCTTCCAGAGGGCATCCTTCACTGCCACTCTCGCTGAGTCTATTCGATTCAGTGTAAGCTATATTTATCCACACGTTGAAGTTTTAGCAGGTACTATAGCAAAGGCTGTGTCTCAAGGCATTTCACTCTTTGAAAATATAGAGCATCCAACCCAGGCCAAACTGTGCTTCTTGGCCTGCACTGAATTCGTTTGAAGACCAGGGCATGAAGTTCATAAAACACAAGGGTTTCAGAGCCATCACCACTGAAGGACACAGGAGCAGCCTATTCAGATTTCATGATCACAGGATCTCCACCTCCATCTTGAGATTTTTTTCAAAGGCAGTTTTATTGCATTCTTTCATAATACTTGAAACTTTTTATTTGCATTTTTGATGTTCCTACTACTCAACAGATCTTGAAGTGAATTATAACAAAGAGGTAAGGGCAGTTTTCAGAGAAAGGCAGTGTCTGTGAACTTTTCAAGTTTGTCTCACAGCAAAAGATCAACAGGCAGAATTTCCTTTTGCTGAAAGATGTTAATGTGGTTTCTAAGGTGTTCCTTAGACATGAGTGTAAAAACAAATTTGGGGAAGAAAGTGCCATTTTCTCCAGCAGTTGCTTTTCTTACTGCAGTGGTTACCATGTTTCCTTCACATCCAAAGTTCAAATGCTCCCACCCTGGGGAAAGTGACAAAATGTTCATTGGATGCCAGGCTGCAGTGTCCAGCTTTGTTCTGCTTTGGCTCAGACTGGAGACTGGGACTGGACTGGACTATGTCTCCCTCACTAGAGACTGGGAGCCCAGTTCCAGATGAGGCAGGCATCATGGTAACTTTTGATTAGGCAATTTTGTGACATCTTTTTCTGCTTTCTTCCCTCTGAAATCTCTCTCTCTCCCTCCCCACTGACCCAGAGGAGAGGATTCACTGTTTTTCTGACTCAGAACATTCTGGGGTCCTTCCTGGACAGAAAAAAAAAGGCAATTGCCCTTTAACCTACAGGAGCAGAAAGGGCTGCAGGTAACTGGAGACCCACAAACTCACTTCGTGGGCCACTGCACATCTGTGCCTTGTGGGATCCTAGCATACCCAAAACTGTGCGGCTTGAAGCTTCTCTGCCCGCTAAACAGGAAGTATGGGGTTCCTGACTCTTCAAGAAGAGCCACACAGAGAGGTCTTAAGCATGCCTCTGGACCTTGAACACAGGCCAGAAAGAGGCTTGAAGGTGAGGGCAGAGTCAAGAAAGGGTGGAAAGACAGGCCAACCCACTCTCCCAAGGGTACCTTCTTCAGGACAGTGATTTACTCCAATTTAGTGATCAGGAAAGGAGAGGATTGTGTAGAGCAATGTCCGTACTTGAAAACATGAATTCCCACCTAGATGTGGAGTCCGAGTAAAATATCGGCATCAAAAAGAACTCTGGTTGGCTGGGCAAGGTGTCTCATGCCTGTAGTCCCAGCACTTTGGGAAGCCTAGGCAGGCTGATCCCTTGAGCTCAGGAGTTTGAGACCATTCTGGGCAAAATGGCAAAACCCTGCCTCTGTGGTGGCACACCTTTGGTCCCAGCTACACCAGAGGCTGACGTGGGAGAATCACTTGAGCCCGGATGTTCGAGGCTGCAGTGAGCCGTGATCATGCTACTGCACTCCAGCCTGAGTGACAGAGCAATACCCTATCTTCAAACAATCAACAACCTGTGATTTTTTTTTCTCTGCGTATTGCAAGGATGAGAACAAAGAGCTCCAACTAAGATGGAAACGGTACAGATGCGAAAGGATTTAGGGGGAAACCTCTGGTGTTCTGTCAGGGACCACTGGCCTTGCTTGAAAGAAATTTCATCCAGGCTGTCTGGTTTCCTGCATGTGTCTCAGGCCTGCTGTTGGTGGTCCCAGGGGCTGAGTGCTTAGCCCCTTCTCAGCTTGGGTGCCTCCCCTTTTGCCTTCTCCCAGCAACCTGGTCCACTGCCATGGTTCCTGTGGCCATCTCTCCAGAGCCATGCTGTCACCTTGAAAAGGGGCATCTCTAGATCAGTTTTTTTTTCACTAAATTGGAATATGAATATATTTATTAGCATGCTCACAAAATAAATGACACATTAATTAGCACTCTCCTCATATGATAAAGAATACATATGACCCACACTGTGGCAGGAAACAGGGGTAAGGGCTATCAGAGCTGGGACTAAGTGTCCACTGAAGAAATCTTGATTCACCGGAGAGAAGTTGTTTCCTTGGATTCCATCATCTCTGCTCTAGCTACCAGCCAGGTCTCCACAACCTTCCCAGAATCCTTCATTCCAGCACCAGTTCATGTTCTTTGCCCTGGACACTCCTGACTCTTTCAAGACCTGAGTCCACTTTCCCATGTCTCACTCACCCACCTCTGAAATCTTGCAGCACATCTCTTTGGTATGCTGCTGCCTGGCCACCATTGGGGGCACAATTGTCAGGTGGAGGAAGAACATACATACCGAAAGCAAAGAGCAGGGATACATTAGTAAATGGCACTTGGACATAAACTAAACAACCCCACAGAATACATGCTTCCTCCCAAAATGATACATAATCCCCTAGAAGCAAAGGAAACCCTTCGGTCAACATGTATGAATGATTCTGTATGCCAGGCACAGGGGATATATAGTGGGTGGTGTTTACTTCCATTGTGCCCTGCACACAGCAGAAAGTTAGTGACTGGAAGACTGGAAGCTAGAACCAGGTCTATATCCCCACTCCCATCAGGTTCTCCTGGCCCTTCCTGCCTTTGATGGTGCCACCACTCTACTTCCTCTGTTCTGAACATTTGTTCATTTTTCAATAGAGAGTTTAAGAGGATGCAGGATGGCAGAGAAAGGGTGGGCATGGAGAAGGGGGAAAACAACCCTGTAAAACAGAACAAAAACTATACAAAACCCCAGAAACCAGATTTAGTACTATAATATTTTATAGCAATAGAAAGTAGCTGAGAATAACCTCAGGGGGAGGAGTCAGCAGAGATTGTGCAGCAGAGGCCACGGGTTTAGACGCCACAGGTTTAGACTAGGAGCCTTTCAACGGACTGCTGAATGGACTGGATCAGCTGTGAGCCTTCTTTGATGGTGACAGAACAGGTGATGACAGGACTGGAGACCCCACAGGCCCGCCCCAGGGCCCGCCTGGAGTGCGCAAACGTTCCAGGCAGGCCCAGCACATTCTTCTCTTCACACAGCAGTGGGAGTGCAGAATGCTCTCTTGCAGCGTGGTGTCTGCAGCCACCACAATGAACTCACAGATGCCTCTGTTGAGGGTTTTGATGGCCTCATTGGTTCCTGTCTGAAGCTGCTTGTGGTTCCAGTGGCTCCGCACTTCTCAAGGAGCACAGCTACTTCAGAATCTCTAGATCACTTTTGACTTGTGCATCTGGCGGGCTTCGTGAGCATTGCAGACAGGTTCACCTTTTGGAGAAACCTTTGGAAGGCAAGAGGAATGAAAAGTGCTTGCTGTTGTTTCCCCGGTGGTCTAGTGGCTAGGATTCGGCGCTTTCACCGCCTGCAGCTCGAGTTCGATTCCTGGTCAGGGAATACATGCTTTGTAAGGTCTCCAAAAGTGGGCGATCTTAGCCCTTGTTACTGGAACTTGCGATGTGCCCCAAAGCCCACTGCAGGAGAGTTTCTGTAGTCTTGGGTGCCAGAAAACTCTGGTGAAGAAGGGGAGTTAATGGCGACCCTCTCCCTGTTTCTCATGCTGCTGACCGAAAATCTTGTTACCTACTCTTTTCTCCCTTGGGCACCCTAGCACTCCTGTTCTTTTCATATCTCCATTTCTCATACAGCAGTACTGACTTCAGAGGTCGACTAAGCAGCTTGCTCAAGGTTATACAGCCATGCATTGATCCACACCTGGGTGGGGCTCCTGCCCTATTTGCTGGGTTGCCATTACTGACAGAATGAGATCTGCATCTGGTAATGGCTTCTTGCTGCTTTCAGAGTAACTCTCCCACAGATAACGACTATAAACTAGAAAAATTTATTTCATATATATATTATATAATTTGAAGGTGCTGGAAGACTGAACAAAAGCAGGCAGACATATGGAAGAATGGCAGGTAGTGAGTATCCCATTTTGCAAACTTTCAGCAGAGGGCTGTTAACTGAAAAACCATACAATTTGTGAGCTTACAGAGGAGAATTTATTTCTTCTAAAGGGTTACAGCATGTAAGGTGGTCATCCTGACAGGCTGGGAATCGCGGGAAGCCCAGAAGCAGGCACTTTGAGGGAGGGAGGGGCAAGACAGTAATTTAAGTTGAATGGGTGGGCCTAAAATACATATTCAACAAGTTATAGGAGGATTTATGAATATTTATGAAGGGGTCCTGATGCATGCTTATTGAACAAACATTCACGTAATATACAACCTTGTTCACCTTGTTATGGATACTTAGCATTTAAATGCATTACAATTAGGCCCTATACACAAAGGTCTTTTCAGGACACAAAGGCACTCAAATGCACAGATACTGTAAAACTGACAGAACCAGTCCATGGTCGCTGGTCTTCTCATCAGAAGAAAGTTACTGAAATCAGTCTCTTGTCAGTCAAGGCTGTAGTTATGGCTTGTGGAACAGCGGGGTTCGGTATCTGGTGAGGGGTGAGCAGCAAGTGCTTCAACACTCCCTATTCTCAAGGCCAGTGCTTGTTTAGCTGCTAGAGAAAATCCTTGTGGCAGTTAGAACATAGTTTATTCTTTGCATATATGGGGTGTGTGAGTTAATCCTTGCCCGGAATAGTCCTAAGTCCTATTTATAAGTTGGTGTCTTATTGCCATAAAGAGTCTGTTCCGTCAGTCTTATGATCTCTGTGATAACATTAATGTTGGTCAGTTTTGTCTAAATTGCAAAGGGGTGGGAATATAATGAGGCTTGTCTGGCCTCTCGTTCCTTCTTGGCCTGGGACTCAGTTTATAAGGTTTGCCTAGGGTCCCGTTGGCCAACGGGGGGTCCCGTTGGCCAACGGGGGGTCCATTTAGTCAGTTGGGGGACTTAGGATTTTATTTTTAGTTTATAGAACAAACTTTGCTCCCCCTTACTTGGATTAGCTAAATTACAATACAAAACCAAACTGTCTTCCTAGATTAAAGGAACAGAGGACAAAGTTTTAGACAACCACAGCAGTTGGAACATCAAGGGGTTAGGTGGAATCTCAGAAAAGAAACAGCACAGTAGGGTGACTACAGCTACCAGCAGTATATTGTACATTTCAAAGGAGCTAAGAAGACAGAATTTGAAATGTTCCCAACACAAAGAAATGATAAAATGTCTGAGATGATGGATATCCTAAACATCCTGATTTGATCATTACACATCGTAGGCATATATCAAAATATCATCTGTACTCCTATAAACATGTATAATTATTCTGTACCAATTTTTGTATTTTTGGTAGAGATGGAGTTTCACTATGTTAGGCAGGCTGGTATCAAACTCCTGACCTCAAGTGATCCACCAGCCTGGGCCTCCCAAACTGCTGGGATTATAGGTGTGAGCCACTGTGCCCAGCTGAATAGTTTTATTGTATACATTGTGGTGATGATTTTTTTGTTTTTTGAGATGGAGTCTTGCTCTGTTGCCCAAGCTGGAGTGCAGTGGTGCGATCTCCACTCACTGCAAGCTCTGCCTCCCGGGTTCACGCCATTCTCCTGCCTCAGCCTCCCAAGTAGCTGGGACTACAGGCGCCCACCACCACGCCTGGCTAATCTTTTTTTTGTATGTTTTTAGTAGAGACAGGGTTTCACCGTGTTAGCCAGGATGGTCTCAATCTCCTGACCTCGTGATCCACCCACCTCGGCCTCCAAAAGTTCTGGGATTACAGGCGTGAGCCACCGCACCCGGCCTGTGGTGATGATTTAATGTGTCCATACTTATTTCCAATCTCAGAAAATTGTGTTCATTACATATGTACAGCTTTTAGTATACCAGGCATACATCAATAAATTGTTTTAAGAAAAAAATAAAGAAAATAAGAAAATATAGTTATTATAATTGTTCTGCGGTGAATAGATGCCAAATAGAGACAAATACAAAATCTAAGAAAACACAGAATATTTGTTGATAAATAGATTTGTACAATAATATTCATGCACAGCAGCCTTCTTCATAATAGTCCAAACTAGAAATAACCAAATTGTCCATCAACAGTGGTGTATTCACATATTGGATAACACTCACCAGTTACACCCAAATAAACTAGATACATATAATAATATGGATACATTTCAAAGATGTGAAAAAAACGCTAACACAAAAAGTGAATTTATATGAATTTCAAGAAGAGAGCAACATAATCTATGGTGATAAACATCAGAATAGTGATAAACTAAGGGGAGAAGGGTGGGATTGCCTGGAAAGGGACTCTTGGACCTTTTTAAATATTTTTTATTTTTTGAATTTGAAAAAAATTTTTTATAGGGATGGGGGTCTTGCCATGTTGCCCAGGCTGGTCTCAAATTGCTGGGCTCAGTCAATCTTTCCACCTCAGCCTCCCAAGTGCTGGGATTACAAGCATGAGCTACCATGCCTGGCATCCACAGACATTTTTGGGATGATGGAAATTTTCTATAACTTGATCTGGGTGATGATTTCATTTGTCAATATTTAATAACCTGTCCTAGTTAATATATTTGAATTTTACACTGTGTGAATTACATTTCAATAGTCTGCTCTTTAGCATAAACATGGCGGGTGGGGGATGGAAGATGGAGACAAGCCAGTGTAGACCATGGCAAGGAGTTTGGATTTTATTTTAAACTCAGTAAAAGCTCACTTTCATCCCCCCTCACCCCCCACAAAATCCCTCCTAATATCTCAAACAGAAGAACAGCTATGACTCACAATTTCATTAGTGGAAACTGCAGGCAAGCCTCTTTGAGAAGAGGCATTTCACCTTGTGTGGTGGTTCAATGCATGCCCAGATGTAAGGCACCTCCAAAGTTCCCAATGACCTAGTGCAGGTGTGTTTTTGATGGCCCTGGCTGTATCATGCTGGCAATTCAGTGGTAAGCCTTGTTCTCTAGTCACAAATAAGGGTTGCAGCCATTGTAAGGAACAGTAAAAACCAGTTATGACCACACCACTGCATTAGTGGAAGCTACCAACATGGCGGTTTGAAAGGTGACATTTTACCCTTTGGGATATTTTCTGCTCAATGGTGAGACATAGGGCATGTCCTGGGCCCTAGGTATGTGCAATGTGGGGTCTCCTTTTTGCCTGACTGCACTGCATTGCAGGAGTCAGTGGTAAACCCTGCTAAAGGACTCAGTCAGTGCACGGATTGAAAACAAACCAAAAGACAGCTCAGTTTCTCCCCAAAAAGATGCCACACACTGCCATTTTGGATTGGAATCAAGGTTCTGCATTCACAACACAAAGTGCCAATCACTATACCACCGTGGCACGCCATAAACTTGCTGGCAGATGCTGAGTTTTCTTTAACACTTTCGATGTAAACATATTCACAATATTTTGTTCTTGCATCACTTGCTTTCTGACAGGTTGAGTGGTAAGAAGCACAAATTCCTATATTCTGTTCTTTCCAAAAATGTTTAGTTTGATCAGAATGCAGGATGTTGAACAAGATAACTAGCCTATCCACTTCAAAAACTTAGCAACAAGGACAAAGAAATGGAGGGACAGCTCTAGGTAAGTAAAGTGCAATTGAGGAACTTTACTTGGAACCTAGGGAAGCAACATCAGTACCACAAGTCACTTCTCTCTCTCTCTTAAATAAATATTATATATACACATACATATATATATTACATGTGTATATAATATATAATACACACACACACACACACACACAGAGTTTAATTAAGCAAAGAAGAATTCCTGAATCAGAAATTTCCAGAACCAGAATAGGTTCAGAGAGGTTCCAGTGCTACCATGTGGTAGAAGAAGATTTATGGATGGAAAAGGGAAAGTGACTTACAGAAAACAGAAGTGAGGTACAAAAATAATCGGATTGGCTACAGCTCTGAGTTTGTCTTATTTGAACCCAGTTTGAACAGTTGGCCACCTTTGATTGGCTAAAACTCAGTCATTGGCTCAAGAGTAGGTTACAGGTTGTTTACACATCCAGTTAGGTTACAGTTCACTACATATGGAGAAACCTTTAATATATGGATAGAGGCAGCTTCCAGCTAATGATATGTATATATCTTTAAGATATTGATGCATATAAATATTATTAAATTAAAACATTTATGCATATGTAATGTGCATGTGTGTTATATATACACATACATACACACATGCACACACTATGTATGCATAAATATCTATATACATGCACATATATGTGTATAGATGTGACATTTTCTAAACAGAAAATTTCTATCTGGACTGTATATTAGATAATGTTATTGAATAAATGTTAATATCCTTAGGTTTGATAATTGAATTGTATTATAATTATATAGGATAATGTCCTTAATCTCATGAAATACATGCTGAACTATTTAGGGATGAAGTGGAGTTTTTTTGGTCTGCATTTACTATGAAATATGAATGTGTGTGTAGATGTGTGTAGACAGAGAAAAAAGGTAAAGGAATGTTAACTGTTGAACTTGGGTGAATGGTGTAGAGGAGTTCTTTTTTTTTCAATTTTTCTATAGGTTTGAAGTCTTTCAAAGTAAATGATTGTGGAGGAAAATGTAAAACATGGGAGACTGTGAAGAGCTGGCTGAATTCTAGGCTAAAATTTGGCTCTCTCTGGGTCTTGGCCTTGCAGGAGGGGGTGACGGATCTCAGTACCTCTCACTGCTAGAAGAAAGTGTAGGTTGCCAGCCTGGTGTACAAACCTATCTAAAGGATCCCCTCCTGTTACCCAGGATATGGGTGAAGTGTCTTCTTAGTCCTTCTTACATGAATCAGCCTTCTAGCCTGGAAGTCTGGTAGGTAAGTTTGAGGCTAATTTGTATGTTTCAAAGCTTCTGAAGAAGATGTCCCACTTTTACATTGGATTGCAAAAGACAAGTCAGTGTGTGTGAAGAATTTATTTTCAGAAAAAGAAATCCAAAGGAGAGTAAGTTAGTTGAAATCTAACAGTCCCATTGGAGTATACTGTTTTTACTTGTTGGTCCTTCAGAAATCTCAAGGGTGGGAATTTGGCCTATACAGGAAGATTTTTCCAGATGATGAGTAAACAGCAAACTTTCAAGATCATTCTTTGGCAGAGATTCTACTGAGGCAGGAAAGTGGCAGGACTTATTTTGCGGTTGTGGCCCAGTTGATCAGAGCAGGATCTGGTCCAAACAGGGTGCAGTAAAGAAGCTGACCAAAACCAGCAGATGGAGACAAAAGCTACCTCTAGTTGCCCTCACTGCTCATTAGCATAAAGACACTCCTACCAGTGCCATGACAGTTTATAAATGCCATGTCAACATGCCATGGCAATGGCCAGGAAGTTACCTTATATGCTTCTGGAAACTCCTCATCCCTTTTCCAAAAAGTTCTGAATAACCCACTTCCTAATTAGCATCTAATTAAAAGCATCTAAATAAATACAGCTAGCTAGCAACCCACACACTGCCCATGGGTTAGCCTTCCTCCACGAGAAGCAGTACCAGTTTAACAAAAGTTGCTTTCTTTCACCGCTGGGTTGCCCTTGAATTCTTACCTGGGCAAAGCCAAGAACTCTCCTGGGCTAAGCCCCAATTTTGGGGTTGTCCTTCCTTGCATCATCTGGTGACCACAAAGACAAGACAAGATGGGACAGGACATGATATAACACAGGACAGGACAGAGTCAAGAACTGTTTAAGGCAGGACACTTGGTCGTGAAAAGTCCCTTACTGTGCTGACCCTGAGATGCCAAAGTCACATTGTTCAGTGGCCCCTAACTTGGCCTTTGGGGTTCACCATTGCCTCCCCTGCAGTTTCAGCATTCAGTGTGGGGACCATCACTGGCTGATACTTGGGTACTCTGGGTTTTTGGCATTTCGTTGTGGTGAGAGTTCCACTGTCACTGTTGGCCTCTCCCTGGATGCTCTGGGGTTTTCAGCATTGACATTCCCTATAGGATTGTGGATTAGAGCTCCTTCCCTGGAGGAGTGTGGATGTCATCTTCTCCGCCCTTAAATTAAAAGATTAAGATTTTCCATAACAGCCAGTTGTGGGCCCCCTCCTACGTGACTTTGCTCAAGCCCATATTGAACTCTTGGTCAGAGGGACCAGGGGTTCCTGGACCCCTGGCCCAAGTGACAACTACCCATAGTGGCAGACAAGCAGCAGCCACCCAAACATTTTGCCCAAATATTTTTCCTCAGTCTCTGTGGCTGCTGGGTAGATTTTCTGGCACCTCAGTCTGGACAACGCTGTTCATGCTTTCCCTTCCTCCCTTCCATGATCACCTTGTTTCTTTTAACCCCTCTTTGCCCAAACTAAAATGCTTTCTTCACTCTGTGGAATTCAGACCCATCATTTTACTTCGCATTCATATTTCATAATCTACTTTCATAACGCTTGGCTAACTGTACTTACATCTTCTCTGCAGGAGGTGGGAATTTGAAAGGGAAAGTAACTGAGCTTTTGCTAGACTTAGAAAAACTTCTGGGTGTAGTAGAGATCCTTGTTAGACATGGGGACAAAGGCGAGCATCCCAAAGGACTCCCCACTAGGGTGTCTTTAAGGCAATTGGAGCAAATTCAAATGAGATGGCTCAAAGAAAAAGAAACAATTTTCTTGGGAGAACAAGAAATTTGGCCTGAAACTTGTTCTTTACATTATCATACTATTTTACAATTGGACTTATTCAGTAAAAAGGAAGGAAAATGAGGAGAAGTTCCTTACGTACAGGCTTCTATGGCCCCCTACCAGGATTCTGACTTAAGAGTCAACTGCAGGATGTGTCTGGCTCATGTTACTTCCAGGCACCAAGAAACCGCGTGGGATATCCTCGATGCTCCCTTCCTAGCGGCACCCCCTGGAGGGCCCATGCCCTCTCCAGGGTCTTCTCAGTCCCCCAGTTCTGCGAGGGGTCCTGCCAGTTCTCCAGTGTGGGATTTCACCCCAATGTCATCAGAAAACCCTCCCTTTTATTTAGCTAGCTCCAGCCTGTATCCCCCACTGCCCAAGGAAGTAAGCCCAACCAGAACCACCAGGAGTGGAGCTCTCTATCAGCCCCTCAAATTGAATCTGTGTCCATTGCTGGAGTTAGCTGGCAGAGATAGGGGAACAATCAGAGTATATGTGCCATTTCCTTTGTCCAAATTGGCTTTCTTCAAGGAGAAATATGGCTGGTTTTTGAAGGATCCAGGGAAGTTTATAGAGGAGTTTGTCAGGTTGATGATGTCCTTTGATTTAACTTGGCACAACTTGCAAATATTATTGTCCTCTTCCTGTATTATAGAGGAGAAGAGAGGGATTCTGGGTACTGGCCTGTGAATATGCAGTTAGAGTAGCTGCTCATATCCAAGGCCATACCATTTATGTAGGGGGAGATGCAGTTCCACATAGAGACCCTCAGTGGGATTACCAGAAGGGTTCCCAAGAACTTGAACATAGAAATCACATGCTAACTTGTTTAATAGAAAGTATGAAAAGGTGTGTGATTAAGCCAGTTAATTATGACAAGGATAGAGAAGTAACTCAGTGGAAGGATGAAAATCCCATTCTGTTTTAGGGCTGCTTGGTTGAGGCACTCAGGAAATATACTAATGTAGACCCAGACAACCCGGAAGGGCGGGCTCTTCTGGGCATGCGTTGTATTACTCAATCTATCCTTGACATTAGGAGGAAGTTACAAAAGGCAGGAATGGGACCCCAAACTCCATGAGCCAACTCTTAAACATGGCCTTTGGAGTTTACAACAATAGGGACAAGGCAGAGGAAGAGGATAAAACCAAAAGAAATAGCCAAAAAATGCAATTGTTTGCAGCTGCTTTCAGCCTCCTACTGCTTTTGAGCTGCCCATCCTGAGAAAGTGTTGCAAGAGTGGCTTTGGGATGCCCAGACAAAAGCCAGCTCATCATCCCCTAGGCTGGAATCAGTGTGCCTTCTGTAAGCAAGAGGGCCACTGGAGGAAAGACTGCCTCAGTCTCCAAACGGAGTCTGAGCTTCTCGGACCCCTAATGGCTAAGAGAACAGAGGACTGACAGGGCCCAAGATTCCCTACAGCTTCCACCAGACACCTTGCCATCTCTACAGAAGAGCCTCAGGTAATTCTTGACATGGCGGGTAAAAATATTGAGTTATTGGATATGCGAGCCGCCTTCTCAGTTCTGATCTAGTCCTTGGGGCCGCTGTCTTCCCACTCCTGTACTGTAATGAGGATTGATGACCAGCTAAAAGCTAGGAGATTCACCCATTCCTTTAGTTGCACTGTGGGGAACCATGTTTTTCCACAGATTTTTGCTTAGTCTTGAGTGCCTTATTCCTTTACTGGGAAGAGACTTACTTTCCCAATAACAGGCTGCAGTTCCATTTGGAGCACCTCAAGAGAAGGCCACAGGCTGGGAAGGGACACTTCTCCTAGCTCTAAGTTCATGTCTTTACACAGATAAAGAAAAGACGTTCCTTCCATCAAATATTACTTCTCAAGTAGACCCGTCTGCTTGTGACATGGTAGTTCCTGGAAGAACTGCAAATGTTCTCCCAGTCCAGGTTATTTTGAAACCCAGTGTTAATTATCTATGGGAAAAAAAATATCCTTTTAAGTGTGGTGGCCCATGCTTTTAATCTCTGCACTTTCGGAGGCCAAGGTGGGCATATCACTGGAAGCTAGGAGTTTGAGACCAGCCTGGCCAACAAGGCAAAACCCCATCTCTACTAAAAACACAAAAATTAGCTAGGTATGGTGGTGTACATCTGTAATCCCAACTACTCAGAAGGCTGTGGCAGGAGAATTGCTTGAACCCGGAAGGCAGAGGTAGCAGTGAGCCTTGCGCCGCCGCACTCCAGCCTGGATAACAGAGCAAGACTCTGACTCAAAAAAAAAAAAAAGAAAAATCCAGTATCCTTTTAGACCTTTGGCTCCAAGGGCCATCCATCCCCTGATAATGAAGTATGGATTATTACAATCCTGTCAGTCCCAACGTAACACCCCCATTTTTCCTGTTAATAAGCCAAACGGGGAATATAGATTTGTTCAGGATCTTAGGGCAGTTAATGAGGCATTAGTTCCAGTCACCCAATAGTTCCTAATCTTTATACAATAATAACTCAAGTCCCTGAAGATGCTTATTGGTTCATAGTATTAAATTTAAAAGATGTTTTCTTTCACACACCTTTACACCTGGACACCCAATACATTTTTGCATTTGAATGGACTAATCCAGACACTCATGCTGCATCTCAGCTTACCTGGACTGTCCTGTCCCCAAGGTTTTAGGACAATCCCCATCTGTTTGGCAATGCATTGGCAAAAGAGGTATGGGAACTACAGTTAATTAATGGATCCC
The DNA here is from genome assembly GCF_000001405.40 of Homo sapiens. Lineage (NCBI taxonomy): Eukaryota > Metazoa > Chordata > Mammalia > Primates > Hominidae > Homo > Homo sapiens. Next base: position 149,682,933 of record NC_000001.11, on the reverse strand, counting down.
TCTTACCATATGTGTATCACCTATTAATTTCCAGCCCTACTAGGGGAAGACTCTGAGAAACATACAACTTCAAGTCCTTAATTTTGAAACAAAACAAGGGTATCAGGTATCCCCCCGAAAGGCCCAAATTTCTGTCCAAAGGGTCACGTATTTGGGACACATTCTCACTCCTGGGACCAGGATCTTGACCCAGGGATGAAAAGAGACCATCCTGGCACTCCAGGTCCCTCAAATTCCTTTTTGAGAATAGCTGGATTCTGCTGGGTTTGGATTCCCAGGTTTGGGCTCATAGCAAAACCACTCTACGAACCTCCAAAAGTGAGTGGTTATAAGCCTTTGAATTGCAATGGAGCCTGTCAAAAGGCATTCTTAGCCTTAAAAGAAAAGCCAGGGACAGCCCCTGCTTCAAGACTCTCGAACTTAGAAAAACCTTTCATCCTCTATGTGGATGAATAACAAGGGACAGCTTTGGATGTTCTAACTCGAAGGGTCAGGAATTGCCTCAGACCAGTGGCTTATTTCTCTAAACAGCTAGACCAGGTGGCAGCTGAGTGACCAGGAAGCTTGAGATCTGTGGCTACCATCACTCTATTGGTAGAAGAAGCCAGTAAGTTTACCTTGGGACAACAAGTAGATGCCATACCACCCCCGCCCCCCACCACCCCATGAAGTACAGTACAGAGGGTCCTAGAGGCAAAAGTATACCAATGGCTAATAGGGGGCCAGTTACTTAAATATCAGGCTCTTCTGCTTGACACCCCAGATGTTACCCTTAAAGTATGCTGATTTTTAAACCCTGCTACTCTGTTGCTGGACCTCACATCCCAAGAAACAGATCCCCAACTCATTGACTCCTGGGTGGAAACCATGGAAGAGATCTACTCTAGAAGGTCCAACCTTGAAGACAAGCCCTTGTCTAACCCCAGTGTTGAGTGGTTTAGAGATGGAAATAGCTTTATTCATGAGGGAGTAAGAAAGGAAGGTTAGCTAACAAGAAGTCATTGAGGCCAAGGGTTTACCTTCTCAGAATTCTGCTCAAAAAGCAGAATTAGCTGCTCTAATCAGGACCTTCCAACTGTGAAAAGACTTAAGCCTGGGTTGGATGGCTCACGCCTGTAATCCCAGCACTTTGGCAGGCCGAGGTGGGTGGATCATCTGATGTTGGGAGTTCGAGACCAGCCTGGCCAACATGGCGAAACCCTGTCTCTACTAAAAATACAAAAATTATCCGGGTATGGTGGTGGGCACCTGTAATCCCAGCTACACGGGAGGGTGGGGCACAAGAATCACTTGAAACTGAGAGGCAGAGTTTGCAGTGAGCCAAGATCATGCCACTGCACTCCAGCCTGGGCGACAGAGCAAGACTCTGTTTCAAAAAAGAAAAAAAAAACCCTCAAGAGTCAATGTGTTTACTGACTCTAAGTATGGTTTCCGGGTGCTTCAGGCTCATGCAACCATAGGGAAGGAAAGGGGACTATCAAGAGCCAAGGGATCCCCCATACAACTTTACTCAGATCTTGGAACTTTTAGATGCCATCCAATTCCCAAAGAAATAACAAGTATTCACTGCAGGGGACACCAGAAGGGAGACACTGTTCTTATTAGAGGAAATTCCCTTTTGGAAAGAGCAGCTAAGGCCACAGCTAAGGAAACCCTGGTATTTCAGGCTGCTGCGCTACTACCAGGTCATCCATGTCAGTGGAACCGTACTATACACCCAAGGAAATTAAAGGGACTGAGTAAAAGGCTTCCAGTAAGACCCCTCTAGACGCTTGCTAGAAAAGAACAAACTCTATTCCTGAGGCTGACAAATGGGAAATAATTTAACATTTTCATGATTCCTCACATTTGGGACAGGATTTTCCATTCAAATTAGTTTCCTAAATATTCTTGGGGAAGGGACTGTTCTAATCTATAAAAAGATTTACCAATCAGGAAGCCACCCCATACCCCACTCCCTGCTTAAACTTGTACAACACCACGGAACATACCATAGTGAAGACTGGCAGACAGATTTAACCCAGATGCCACCTTACAGGGGACTACAATATTTGCTAGTATTTATAAACACTTTCACCAGGTGGATAGAAGCTTTCCCCACAAGGACAAGAAAAGTATTGGAAGTGTCTAAATTCTTACTTAAAGAAATCATCCCAAGATTTGGATTACCAAAATGTTTGCAAGGGGATAACTGACCTCCCTTCCCAGCTAAGGTGACCCAGTGAGGTAATGCCTCAGCCTTAAGCATTACCTATCTTCACTCTTCATGGAGATCTCAATCTTCAGATAACATAGAAAGCCAGTTGTGACATTAGCAAAACTCTTTCAGGAGACCTCAGAGGCCTGAGTTTTCCTCCTACTCATAGCCCTTTTGCATATGAGGATGGCTCCAAAGAGAACTTTAAAGCTTAGTCCATTTGAAATGACTTATGGAAGGCCTCCGCCTTTTTTTTAACTTGATCAACACCACAGTTTAATTGTAAACATGTCATATGTGTCAATGATCAAATTGACAACACTTTATAGATTTCATTGTATAATATTAACATCCTAACAGAAAAAGATCCACTGTACTCATTTACAGTTTGGTATTTTAAAATCCTTAAATACAAATTGTATTTGAAACACTGAACACAAAAAAGAAACTTGAATGCCAGAGAAAACTGAAAACATCAAGTAAAAGAAACCAATATTCCGCCCCCCCCAAAAAATATAAAATCATCTGATTACATAATTTAAAAAAGAAATAAAGGAAATCAGATGATCTTATTTTTTAATGATATAAAGTTGCGTTTCTTCAAACCCATTTTAGATGTGAAATGTACCATTTTAAGTTATATGTCTTTTTTGGTATGTGTTCTTCTTTTCCTCTTGGTTTCTAAAGAATGTTTTCCAGGATTTAAATTACATTAAAGAAGTCGGGAAAGAAAGGAAGGAATGTGGTAAAAAGCCAAATTAAATTAACTATTTGGAAAATAATTGGATATAAATTTTTCATGAATCTTCTTTGGCAAGTAACAAAGTCTGCATTTTAAATTTACCTTTTTGTTGAAATGGATCAATACTTGTAAGATTTAAGACATTACATGAGTTAATGTATAAGTAAAAGGAAGCCAAATTCACAAAGCAACGTGCAAACATGAACTTTTCACATTTTTGCTAAAAGCTCTAAAAATGCACTCTCCCTCCTTGAGAGTATGAGAGGTCTTCAGCTCAGAATCAGATGATTACTCTTGCCTCATTCAACACAAGAAACCAGAGGGGACCCCATGGTTTTTCAGTACTTTCCCTAAAATTCATGATTACCATTAGGTTCCATTTCTTCCTCCTTTATCTCTCAAAAGAAATATAGCAGCAAATCACTCCCATATTTTAAGCTTTAAATTCACCAACAACTGGGCTCACTGCCAACAAATACAAATGTTCAATTCTTTATTAGTGTACGTGTCATTACAGTTGGTTTAGATGGTTAATATAGGAATACAGAAAATAACTACAGTTCATTCAAACAAAGGAAATTAAAATGAGATTAAAGAGCCCTGATTAAAAAAAAATACAACTTTCAGCTGAAAAACTGTAAAAGTTACATACATACATACCTAATGGCACTAAGAATGTACAATATCAATTATTGGAAAAATAAGTGAGTGACTCACAGTCATAAGAAATAATTTAATATTAGTATTTTTCTTTTATAGACAAACATAACATACACATGGTTTCTACCTTTTATAAGGCAAAGTAGAAAACTAACCGTTACTGCATTTACCTCAAACACAGCACTGACTGTGCCACAGATAACATGGTCCAAAATATTCAATTCTATACATAGGCCATGGTAGTGGATGTGTGGTTAAGTTTTAGGAAAGGCATATATTTCCAGAAGTAAGTATGTTAAATACACAAATGTCTATAAATAACAAAAAGTTATCAGCAAAAACGCTTAGGTTATAACATTCCCAAACGTTCTAACATTTTAAGTGTTTTAGATATGAGTTGTCTGACCAGTTCATTTGGTTACAGTTTTAAACTAGCAAACCATTGCCCTATAAGAGGAGCTAAACTAAACTGTTAACACTACACAAACTTCCCAAGAAAGGTAACTTGAAAAGTCTAAAAAGTGATTCCAATTATTCTAATTAACATTTGAGATGCTAAAAGAATCAATGACTCAAGAAACACTTTGAAGTAATTCCATTTTTCTTTATCATTTTCTAAAAATGTATTCACATAAATTTAAGATCCAGATTGCTTAAGAGTATGTCTTCAAAGTAGGTTAATCACTAAAGCATTCTGATCCAAAGACATAGTCTTAATGCTTCTAATATGTAATTCTAACCTAAAATCACAATCCTTGGTTTGAAAACATCAAAGGTAAGAAACAAAAAAATAAATCAGGGTGAAAATGTGCAGCAGCTATAGCTACAAGAGTGGAAAATAAATTCTACTTTTTCCATAAAGACTCTGTGAAAATATAAAGCCCAAAGTCAGTGACAACAGAAGTCCACATATAAATGGTGTTTAAAAATAGAAAGTTTTCTAAAGCTTCTCATGAGATGTCAACGAATAGTCATAATCTGAATTAAGACCTTATAAATCAAGGTTAAGTTATACATAACCATGATGATTTACATACCTTCTACAATGTCCAACTGACATACATAATTTAGATACCCATAGGAATTCATAATGCCCTATCATATCATCTCCCAATACTGGATGTTTACTGTTTTATAGTTTTACTACTTTAAGTACCAAGAAGCATTTTCAGAGGAAGAGTTCCATCTCTTCCCTTGATCCCCCAAAGTATAGGTAACAAAATATAAAGTTAAACAAGATTGATGTTTGATAAACTAACATATAAAATTATCATTGCAATTTTCACAGTGACTGCTTTTAAACATAACAGTCATCATAAAGCCTATAAAGTATATACTTAGTTTTATAAAAGAAATGCAGATTGTCTCAAGGTAAAAAAATACAGTGCTGGATGCTAAAAAGCACTTTGTTGCAATAAGATGTGCAATAAGGAGCAAAACTTCAGAAAACATGAATATGTTCCCCAAACTTTTAATATTAGTAAAGCAAGAATTGCTCCGCAGCAGCAGGATGCTTTTTAGTGGCTGACACTATAAAGCTAACGTTAAGAAAGAAAAAAGGCAGAAAGTGTGAGCAGCAAATGGTGTAACCAAATTATTGCAAATGGAGATTAGCAATAAGTGAGGAAGGTGACCATCCACTCCGTTCTGATAAGACACTATCTTTAAATGTTAAATTTTTTGCAGGAAGTGGAACACCCATGTCAGCAAACGATGACTGTGAAAGCAAACTTGAAAAACTGGGCTCTGTGTGAATATCCAATGTTGAAGCACCTTCCTGGAATGAGTGAACAAAGTTAAGGACTTGCAGAGAGAGTTTTCTACTGGAATGTAAGAGGTTTTTGAAGGCTCTCTTTTCTGCAAAGGCCATGTGTAGCAATTTTTCTATATACTTTCCGGTTTAATTCGGAACTGAACAGTGGAATTCCAAAGCACAGCTCGAGAGGAACCCAATCTGCTTCTGTTGTGGCACCAGAGGTTTGCTTTGTTGCTGAATCTATAGTTGCTTCTTCAATGACCATTTCAAATGACTCTGTACTCCCATTTAACATCTGAGCCAGAAGCCAAATCAGGTTTTCCTCTCTCATCAGAAGCATCACTGAGTTTTCTATTTGCAAGTTGGCTGGAAGCATTCAACATGGTGACATATCCGCAGAGATGTTGTAAGTCCACTCTGTTCCTTAGTATCTGCAATGCTTTATGAACACCCATATTGACACGAGTCTTCTTGTAGTTCTGTTTCATCAAATGGAAATGGGACATGGACAGTTTCTCCTATCCCATGCAGACCATGCTCCTGAATTAAAACTGCAGAATGTGTTAAAGCATCATTCAACATCGTGAGCACATTTGAGGTAGGAACTACTCCAGGATCATGACCCCAAGATGTTATTAGCAATCGATCGTAACTCTGAAATATATCTGGCAGTTTTCGAGGTCTTGTACCTTTGGATAATAAAAGGGATGGTGGTCCTTGTCCAGTGATATGATAAACGTAAATGTACTGTTTAAACCAGACAGAGCTGACTTCTGGGATAGCTGGTCCAATATGCTGAGGGGTGCAGCTGCTGACAGGCCGGATTTCATTGGTGAGGGGAGCCATGGAAACAAGCAGTGTGTAATTTTTGTTTAGAACTCTGCTGCCAGTTGCAGGGTCCAGACCAAGAAGGCTTTCACAGCGTAAGAGATCCAGAGGAAAACCATAATTGGGTTGGTCTGGCTGTGCAGTTTGCACAACTAGATCTTTGTTATGACGCAGAAACAGTGTTGTGTTTCTCAGAGTAAGCGCATGCTCAAAATATCTCTGTGCTTCTCTTTCACCAGTGCTCTGAACTGGTGAAAGATTTCCCATCATTAAGAAGGCAGTAAGAGTGGAGTCAAACAGGAATGCGATGTGCTTCGTGTGTCCTGCAGACAGACTCAGGCTTCTTACACTGGCTGTGTCAGCTGGATCTTCTTGACTATTTGTATCAGTGTCAGTTGCCGATGAAGCTTCTTGTACAGGCCTCCTACTTTCCCCTCCACCCCATGACAAGAGCATCTTCTATGGATCTAAGGTACTCTTTAATCTGTTTATGGATGGAACATTCTTCCATGATGAATGAAGTTGATCCAAATTTATTACTTGTCCCTTCTTATGGGCAAAGCCCAATCAGCAATACATTGAAACAGCATTCTTAACCAGGGATAAGTCAATCTCAAGGACATTTGCAAGCTCTGCCACATTTGTGTGCTCATCTACTGAAACAAATATCTTATAGAGTAGAGTTTCAAAATAATCAAAATAAGCACTCGATTCATTACAAAACCTTCAAGGGGTGCAACTGCTATACAACTGTCATCAGACATTGGTACATCCAGATAAATAAATCCTTTTTTATACAAACTATGTACTACATTGTAATCTAGTGATCCAGAGAGTTGAGGGCCTGAATCAACGGTCTTATCAGTAGCACATTTCTCAGGCCAAGTGCATATCTTGATGTCATCTTCTGTGATATATCCAGCCTGCACCACCCACCATGCCTCTATGGCAATTTCCACTGGCTTTATTGGTAGAAGATCACCGGCTGTTTTCCTTCTGAAGAATTTTTTTGATGATCTACACTGAATCATAAGATCAATATACTGGTTTCTTCCTATGCCAAGAAGCCTTAGACAGTCAGCAGCAGTAAAATTGTGCCCACTGTTCATAATATTCTCCATAATCCCAGTGTAATATGAAAATGGTGTTATGCTGAAGCCCTTCACCATAATATCCAATAGACGGTAAGGGTACAGCATGAGATGATCTCGGCTGTAGTTTAGCAGTTCCTCATAGTATCCGCGTTCATCTTTCTTGACATGTTTAAGTTATTTCTGTATCGTAACTGATTGCAGATACTGTACAGGACAACCTGATTTTCATATTCTCTCTGTGAATTTCCAACACGGCTGGGATTTTCTTTCTCCTCTGCCACTCTGAACAGCAGGACCAATACTTCCTGTATTTCCTCCTCCTCAGCCTACTTGATGTGAAGACAAAGATGAAGACCTCCATGATGAGCTATCTCCACTTAATGACTGCCTCACATTGGCCGGCAAATTGTTCCAGGGGTAGTTGTGCCGGATGTGGAACTCCACGTCTATGTTCACGATGCCGCCGCCAGGGCCTGCGGCGGGGGCCGCGACCGCGACCCACCCTAAGCCTCCCGCCTGCCCGCCCGCAGACCGGCGCCTCACACTGCAGAGGCCCTGGCTGCCCCATGACCTGGGCTCCCATGGGCTTAACTGACCTGGGACAGTTAAGCGCGGCCCGGGCCAACCGAGCACTGGGTCGCCTGAGCAGCTCGGAAGGCCCTTTTTAACTTTAGACCTTCTGTTTGATGAAGAGACACATAGATTATCAACTTAGGCCAGGTTCAAAATATGGAAATGAAACGTAACCTCCCACAAGGAAAAGGATTAACTCCCCCATTCAACCAGGAGACTTAGTCTTACTAAAAACTTAGAAAGAAGGATCCCCCAAGAATCAATTACAACCAAAATAGAAAGGGCCCCTATCAGGCATTATTAAACACTCCCACTGCTGTTAAACTCCAAAGTTAATTTTTTTTTTTTTTTTTAAGAAGTCTTGCTCTGTCGCCCAGGCTGGAGTACAATGGCTCGATCTCGGCTCACTGCAACCTCCACCTTCTGGGTTCAAGCAATCCTCCTGTCTCAGCCTCCTGAGTAGCTGGGATTACAGGCACGTGCCACCAGGCTTGGCTAATTTTTTTTTTTGTGTGTGTGTATTTTTAGTAAAGATGAGGTTTCACCATGTTGGCCAAGCTGGTCTTGAACTCCTGACCTTGTGAAATGCCTGCCTCAGCCTCCCAAAGTGCTGCGATTACAGGCATGAGCCACTGTGCCCAGCCTCAAAGATTCTTATGAGTCCTCACAGATGTCAGAGGAAGATACCATGACCTATACTTGCAAACTCCCAGAAGACTTAAAGCTATTGTTTTGCAAATGCACAGATAAATATTAATAACATGATGCTGTGGATGAGCATGAAAGTTTTTCTCTTACTCCTAATTATAATATTTTCTCTCTTACCGCTTTGCCCTGCTGATGGAATTCAATAAAGGAATCTCTACCAGCAGACACTTGATTTTTACCCTTCCTAGGACCTTTAACAGATATCTTGTTATTACTAATCTTTGGTCCTTGCTTGTTTAACCTCCTTGTAAAGTTTGTGTCTTCTAGATTACAATAATTCCATGTAAAGATGATGCTGGCACAAGGCTTTCAACCCATCCCCTCTTCTGACCCAGAAAATAAAGACATCCTGCCTTTGGGTCTTTTAGAACAGGTATCCAGAGATTTTACTTCTCCAGTGCTAGGCAGAGTCTATGCCCATAACATCAGCAGGAAGCAGTTACAGAAGATGAACCTGCACCCTTCTGCAAGCCCCTTAAGATTAAGGAGGAGTATATAATCTCTGATGGGGAAATGAGGTAGGAGACCAGAAAGACTTATTTTCCAGTCACAACCCCATTGAACAGAGCAGGATCTGGTCAAAACAGGGTGCAGTGGAGAAGCCTGCTGAAACCAGCAGATGATGATGAAAGTGACCTCTAGTTGCTCTCACTACTTATGAGCATAAAGACACTACCACTGGGACCATGGCCAGTTTACAAATGTCATGGCAACACACCTTGGCAATGGCCTGGAAGTTACTTTATACGGTTCTAGAAACTCCCTGCCCCTTTTCCAGAAAGTTCTGAATAACCTACCTCTTAATTGGCATGTAATTAAAAGTGGGTCTAAATACAACTAGCTAGCAGCCCACAGGCACCAACTCTGGGCACACTGCCTATGGGTTAGCCCTGCTCTGCAAGTAGCAGCACCAGTTCAATAAAAGTTGCTTTCTTTCACCAGCGGCTTGACCTTGAATTCTTTCCTTGGCAAAGCCAAGGAAACTACAGTCTGGGAGAAATTTCTCAGGCTACAAACCAGTTTTGAGGTTCGCCTGCCCTGCGTCACTACCATTGTTTCCTTGGGTTTCCCAGGAATGTACATGTGTGAGACTGCTGCCCTGCTTATAGATCTGTTTCCCTGCAGGAAACAGGAGTATCTTGCCTGGGGCTTCCAGAGTTGGAGATACATGTAGTTTCACTACTGAGTGCTAACATTTAATTTTGGAATCAAGTGATGCATTCAGACTGGCTGCTATCATTCTGTGGTATACATGTAGTGAACACATTTGTGACTGAGTTTCCTGCTTTTAGCTGGAGCAAGAAAGTTTTGTAATTGTGCTTTGTACAAAAAAATCATAGGCAAGAGAATGTGTGTAAAATAAACTTTATTGTCAGAGGTTTCTAAAGGCTTATCCTTCAAGGAAAATGGACATATGCTGAAGAGCTGATAAACAGTCTACAGCAGTGTTATTCTAACTTAATCTTGATTCCAAGTCCTTGCCATTTTCCTCTAGCTGCTGTTGACTCCAGTTATATATAGGTTGGGGGAAAGGGGATTATTTATGGATCTAGGCATCACTGTCTCTTGGGCAGTTATCACATTTGCAGACTGAAGGGATGTGATTTCTACAATCAAACTATCCATTTGGAATACAAATCTGGAGTGGCTATAAAATTTGCTTCTCAGAGATGGAGCTTTCAGATTTGGACTTTCAATTGTTCTGTTGTTTTAGTTTTTCTCATCAACTGGGGAACTGTTTGTGACTAAGCTTTGTTAAAAGTAGAGAAGAACTTTCCATAGTTCCAACATTAGTTGCTACTTGAAACAAACAAAAACACACACACACATACAACGAAACAATAATCTTTGGTGAGGTCTTGCTGATACCTAACTGAGGCTAGAGTGAGAGCTAAGTGGTGATACAGGCCAGGTGCAAACTGAGTGCAGCTAAGTGGATAATCTCTGGTAGTGAACTACAGTCTAGAAGAAGATAGTAATAATAGATTGAAAAGAAAGTCTCCTGAAATGAACTAGCTGGCCTGTGGTGTAGGACACAGGACCCCAGCCACCTTATGGCTCTAAAAGCCTTGCTCAAAGCCACTGCAGATGAGTTAGCTAGGTCTCTACCACCTCCATAATACTCCTCTGGAGAGAAATAAAGGTCTTTCACACCTCCCAGGAAGGGATTTGCTTAGCCTCAAATGTGCACATTCAGAAATAGCTTGTCATAAGAAAGAGAGGATAGTTTGCAGAGAAATAACCCTTGTAAGTCCACATCCTATTCCTTTTAAATAAGAGAGTGGTGCCAAGGGAAGAGCCCTAGAATGTCAAAGCCAACAGGGTGCTCAGATACCACCCAAGTACAGTTCCATCTTTGGCCATAAGGAGACAATGGTGTCAAGAGGCTAAGGCCATATGATCTGTAGGTGAAAAACCTGGGATGAGAATCAAGGCCTCAAACCTTTTCCACTACATCACAGATTTAGGAGCAGTTAGACGGAAGGCTTCAATCTGGAGAACACTAACAGGTTTTAGAGATTATTGGGTCATGGTGGCTGGGACAGAAATAAGGATTCACAGAAAGATGTTTATAGTCAATGTTCTTTTACAGTAAATGTTCTTTTGGGATTTTCCTTGATAAAAAGGCTGAGCAAAAGTGAAAAAAAATTTTCTTTCTTTCTTACTTTCTTTCTTTGTCTTTTTCTTTCTTTCTTTGTCTTTTTTTTTCTTTCTTTCTTTCTTTTTTTTTTTTTTGAGACAGTTTTGCTCTTGTTGCCCAGGCTGGAGTGCAATGGTACAATCTTGGCTCACCACAACCTCCACCCCCAGGGTTCAAGCAATTCTCCTGCCTCAGCCTCCCAAGTAGCTGTGATTACAGGCAGGTACCACCACACCCAGCTAATTAAAAAAAAATTTTTTTTTTAATTTTTAGTAGAGACAGGGTTCCTCCATGTTGGTCAGGCTGGTCTCAAACTCCCGACCTCAGGTGATCCTCCCAAGGTGCTGGGATTACAGGTGCGAGCCACCACGCCTGGCCAAAATTAAAAATTTTCTAATTGCAATTCTGAACAACTTATGGGTTGTGAAATCAATATAGTGGACTGCTTACTACTACAGGCTTTATTTAAATACCAGGAAGGGTGGATTACACATAATAAAAGATTTTTTAAAAACTGATCACAAAGAATTGTGTATTTCTCACTGTATCTTGTGGTCAGAAAAGTTTGAGAAACTGCTCCACATAGGCAAATTATAGGTTCAATCTATCCATCTACCTCTTTTTCTCTTCTCTTTTTTTCCATGCTATGCAAACAAGACCATGGAGAGAGGAAGGCAAATTCCATCAATGGATGGGGTTAAGCCTTTTCTATGAGGTAGCTGCACATTTGGGACACTCCTATGCTGGCGACTTGACATTCTAGTAGATAGATTGTCCTTTTCATCTTTAGCTACATGTTAAAATTACTTGGGAGCTTTTTAAGACTACTAGTGTCTTCCACCCACCTGGAAGCATTTAAATCAGAATCTCTATGTGTAGAGTCCAGGCACTTGTGTTAGTTAAAACCTTACCAGGCTTTATAATATGACAGAATGGTTTAAAGCTACTGAGTAGACCTATCCTATTTCCCACCATTTTCTTTGTTTCTCTTTCACCATAGGCTTCTTTCCCATGAGAAAGTAAAGATTTTAGTCTCTCTTTTCACAGTCCGAAGTAAATCACTATCTTTCTCAATTGGACTTCCAAGGCAAAGATTTCTCTCCATTTACCTATCTGGATTTTTACAAAGTTGGCCTCTGGATTCCCTTTTCCCAAAGCTAATTCACCACAAACGCACCCCTCAAGTCAAGGAGCTGGGCTTTCATACACCTGCACCTGTCAATCATGGGTAAATACTTTGCAGGCAGGGTTGCATGTGGGATTGACATAAACTGCCAGGTATTGCCAGCTCTGAGCCTCAGGCAAGCTTGTGACTAAGTGACTCCAGTAGTCTGAGGACAGTCCTTACTCAGAAGGGTCTTTGGAAGCAAAAGCAAACATAGGCATGAGAGGGTAAAAAAAAAAAATCCCATGTGATTTTGGCTTATACCTAACAGAACTTGTGCAAGAATGGATATTAAGGTGGGTATTGTACACAACAGAGCTTAGTAAATACCAAGCCTGCAGTTTAAGGGATAGGCTGAAGAGATTTTGCAGGTTTGTAAACATTTTTGCCAATTTGAACATACTTTTGTTTGCGTTTGGTTTTTCTCCTCAGTGGTAAGAGCTAGGCACAATAAGGTAGCTAGGATATTATAATTTCAATCAATAAATTTTTATTTTGCCAAGGACCAAGATGAACTACGATGATTTCAATTATTTAGTACTTTATTTTCATCAGTTTGAAAATTAGGACTTTTGCTCTTTTTTGGCTCATGGCATCTTTTTGGATTTCACACTTTCTCAAAGTCCAGTAACTTAGAATCTAAATTATGATTGCTTATTCTTTCAGTATTCTAGGGGAAAGTTGATTTAATCTTGACAAAATGTATTCAATTAAAATAATTGTTCTCTTAAATCTTTTCTGTCTTTCTTTTCTTTTTTTTTTTGAGATGGAGTCATGCTCTGTCACTTAGGCTAGAATGCAGTGGCGCAAACTTGGCTCGCTGCAACGTCTGCCTCCTGGGTTGAAATGATTCTCCTGCCTCAGCCTCCTGAGTAGCTGGGACTACAGGTGCATGCCACCACGCCCAGCTAAGTTTTGTATTTTTATTAGAGATGGGGTTTCACCCTGTTGTTCTGTTAAATCTTTTCACCTTTTAAGTTTGTCCTTCTCCTCTCCAATTTGCAATAGTGGGGTGTGGCTCACACTGAAATACTGTATTTCTTAGAGCTACTTATTCCTGGAGCCTGGCAGTCTGGGGGCCTGGAGGGGGTGTGTCTAGAAAGCAGCCCTCTCTAAGTTGAGAGTAACTATGAGAATTGTGGGTTATAAGGTTTTGAGCAGCTCTGGCCTCCCCGTCCTCTTTTATTTCTACAGTGGAGTGTGGCAAGAGAAGAGACCCATCTGAGAGTGACTTCATATTGTGGCCTTTCACCACTTACCTCTGGAAATTTGATTCAGGCAAGTCGGGGGAGTCTCCGGTATTCTTCTCTGAGAACTCTGTTTTCATTATACAGCTGGACAATGGAATCTATGATTTGCCTGTAGAGGTTAGAGGTGCATCCTGTTCCAGGAAATAATTACAATTTATGCAAGTTATACACGTTTGCTTAAGAGAATGCTTTCTGCACATTTCATGTTCTTCCTCTCTATCTTAGCCTAGGGAGAAAACCGTGGAGGGCTGGAACGTTAGTGTGATGGGGTGGAAGCTTAATTTTCACATGATTCTCAACAAATGCCAGCACATCACATGTATTATCATGTCCAATGGCTGCAATATGAAGGAGGCTTTTCCAAAATAGTTACTGCTTTGGTATGGGAAGGGACCTGCTTATGGTTATTCTGGCCCAGCACAATGTTATGAAATGATGGCCTCTGTGTGAGAACAATCTAAGAGGAGGGGGGTTGGAGAGAACCACCTTGGGGTGGTAGAATGAAGAGTCACCAAGACATAAGGGAAGCTGATGAGGATGGCAGCAGAGGAGACTCTCATTCTGCTATGTGAGGTGCTCAGAAACCTGGGTTCTACTGAATGCCAATCACATAAGAAGCAGAGAGACAGCAGGCAGTGTACAGCAGCAGACAGAAGACAGCAGACAGCTTAGGAATCACAAGAATGATTTTAGAGGTAGATACCTCTAAGATGAAGGCAAATCTTTAAGCCTATTTATTTACCTATAAATAGGAATGATAGTAGCTGCCCTGCCTCTCTAGCTGGGACATTTGTAATGAATAAGTGAAGTAAAGTATGTCAAAGTGCTTGAAATCTATAAAACTCTGCCCCAGTCACATGCCTTTAGAAAAATACATATTGCCAGAAGCAGGCTGACTTGGGCCTCTCCTACCATTTTCTTCATCAAAGCTGCTGTGATGACGTTCTAGCTTTTCTCACAGGCAGTTGTTGATGAAAAGGGTCTCCTTCAGGTGCTGCCACTGGCTCTGGATCTCATCTTCTGCAGCCATTCCACCAGGACATGGAATGAGATGGGAAGTGAAGATACTGATCACTAAAGGGATAGTCAGGGGTCTCTCGTCAAGATCCCTGCCTTTCACCATTCTTTTGCCAACTTCATCTTCTCATCAGGGAACATAAGGCAACTTCCTTTAAGAGCTTTTAAGGTTTCAAAGAAAGCATGGCCAAGTGCTAAGCAAACTCCACAGGGATGCCTCCCACATGGAGATATGGGAAGTATAAGGCAGGTTGACAGGAGGTGGGAAAACACTGAAGGTCTCTGAGTAGGGCTTTTCTAGCACTAGAAAAGGTATGACCACCTCCTTGAGATGACTTATAGGTACTAGGGAATATCTTCCTCTCTACAAAATATCTCTCCTGAACATATTTTGTTTTTGTTGTTGTTTTTTGACAGAGTCTCATTCTGTCACCCAAGCTGGAGTGCAGAGGCACCATCTTGGCTCAGTGCAACCTCCGTCTCCCAGGTTCAAAGGATTCTCATGCCTCAGCCTCCCAAGTGGCTGAGACTACAGGCGTGCACCACTATGCTTGGCTAATTTTTGCATTTTTAGTAGAGACGGGGTTTCAGCATGTTGGCCAGGCTGGTCTTGAACTCCTGACCTCAAGTGATCCACCCACCTAGGCCTCACAAAGGGCTGGGATTATAGGTGTGCGCCACCGTGCCCGGCCCTGAACATCTTTAACAGATGGTAAAGACCTTCTTCTGCACCTTACTGTGAAATTGGAAAGAGAAATAAGGATGCCTTTGTCAGAAGATGGTATGACTAATTAAAGCCACAAACTTACACCCATCACTGACAGAATGACAAGCCTAATATGGTTTATATTACTGTGAAAGCTCAATGAGTGAATTAATATAATCTCTTTTTATTGCATAGAAGAGTATACAAAGCATATAGTCTCCTAACAATCCAAACTTTTGCCCCCAAAGTAAAGTCAAACATTCAAGTAAGGGAGAGGAGATATAGGTCAAGGTTTTAATCTATACACACACCAGAGAGGCTACCAACCTAAAGGGCTCTTATATACCTAAAGAAGCTCCAATGGCTAGCGTGGAGCTATTCTGGGAAGAGGGCATGCTGGTGGCATTGCTCTTAGATTCAGCCTTTTCTCCAGCAGATAGCCTCGTTGTTTATTTAGATTGAATTACAACACTGAGACGAAACTAACAGACATCTTAAAAATACCTTGGTGCTGCACAAAGATTGAGAACCCTGGCTATTTACCAAAGGGTTGCCAAGATCAAAGTCTTGTCTTTATGGAAATCCCCTGATATTCCAGTAGTCAGATGGAACCTTATGGGAAAGCAAGCACCTGAGGGGAGATGGAGACTGGAGCTTGAAACCCAGGAACCATTATAATTGCACCTCCAAACATATGGACAAGCCTGCCAACATTCTTGGGATGGCTAGAACAGCTTGGGAAAACTGTTCAGGAACTATAATTATCAAGAATATTTCAGGAAGGCTGGGTGCGGTGGCTCACATCTGTAATCCCAGCACTTTGGGAGGCAGGGGTGGGTGAATTGCTTGAGCTCAGGAATTTGAGGCCAGCCTGGGCAAAAAGGCAAGAACCCATCTCTACCAAAAAGGCAAAAAAAATAGCCAGGAGTAGTGGCATGCATCTGTGTTCTCAGCTACTCAGGAGGCTGAGGTGGGAGGGTCATTTGACCCTGGGTTTTAGGTTGTGGTGAGCCAAGATCATGCCACTGCACTCTAGCCTGGGTGACAGAACAAGAGACCCTGTCTCAAAAAATATATATATTTCAGGAAAGATGAGATGTCCCATTTTAAAGAAGAAGATCTGTTAAACAGATTTGTACATGCGCGGCAGTAGTGGCAGAGAGTCTGCCATAATCTCTTCACTCTCTCCATTCTGGCCTGCTTTGAGTATACCGGCTTGCAGATGCCGGTCTGGACCAGAGGGACTGAGGTGAGGACAGGAACAGAGCAAATTACCTGACCCACCAGGGACCTGTACTTGAGAGTTGATCCCAGAGCTGTGTTCAGCCTAATCAGTTTTTTAAAGTGAATGTTTAGGGCCTGCCTGCAGAGAATAACATCTCTCAGTTTAGACAGAGGTGGTGAGCATGTAGAATGTAGGAGCTACTGAGAGATTGATGGAGCTTTATTTTTCTTATCAAAGGAGCACTTACTGGCTATTTCCACAGCCAAGGGGCCTTCCTGTGCATCAAAGAGGAAGGCATTGCTGCTGGGAAGCTGGTGGGAGTCATGGCAGCTGGAATGAGTCAAATACTGTTCATCTAGTGAGTCCTCCAGGACTTCATCCATTTCTTCCTCCTGGACTTCCCTCTTGAGCCAGGTGAAGTAGGCAAGACAAGGGATTAAACCAAGGCAGCCTGGAACCACATAGCTAGTTCTGATCTGAAGCTCATGGAAGAGGCACCAAAACCAAAGGGACCATCACATCAAAGAGGAAGTATACAGTCCACTTTTGACTGGGAGTAAAGTGTGCCTAGAGTTAGTATAGAAGTGAAAAAAGCAAGTGATCAGTGCATTGACCTCATAACACACAGATAAGGCAGCAGACTCAACAACTACTCTACAATACGCTCAGGGCACACAGGACACACAGTGACCCATACTGTCGGCTTCAAAATGCTGTGTTTAAATTTTATTTAATATGATGTGGAGTGGTCCACTGAATACTGGCTCTTGAGACAACACAACCTCCCAGGGCTTTTGCAGATTTTAGACCCCTAGCTCTAAATACTTGGTATGGTTTCAATTTATTTTTCAAGGTTAATTTCTGGCTATAAAATATCTGCCAACATAATTCAGGACAACTGTGCAGAAACCAGATAGGCATCTCACTTTGGTTTGTAACCCTATAGGTTTTAAAGATACAGAAACCAGGGATCCCTGGTTAGTTTACTTTTTGGTAAGACTGACTGGTTAACTAAGTGTGAGAAATTACTAGGAACTAGGAACCAATACAACAACTGCAAAGAGAACAGAGAACCATTTTTAAAAGGACACATTGTATAATCAGTCAACAAAAAAAAGAACAATCAGCAGTTTCTGCTTTTTCTAGATCTGGGACCTTTAACCTCTTGAGTCCTTGCTTCTGGAATTCTCTCTAGATTTGGTCAGTCCATTATCAGCCCCTTCATCATATAGAGTTACCTGGGAGCCAGTGGCTTTTGCCTGTCTTCATTTTTCTTACCATTGTGATTTTCTGCAAACCAAAATTACAAAGACTAGTCAGAAATTAAGCAGGTCCCATTTCACACATTGCACACATGGGCCCTATATGATCAGGGACATAACACCTTACATATATGTTCAGAATACTCTGTGAGATTTATTGCAGGAGGCCTCAGGTGGTGTCTTTAGAGAAGTGGCCTGGCAGGCTTGCCTGAGCCCACTGGACAGGGTGTTCCTGATGTGGTGAATCATCACCAGACGTCAGCTGCCTGAAGCAGAGCAAAAAGTTTAAAATGCCTTTTGTTCCCCAGCTCAAAGAATACTTGCCTGGCTGCCCTTTGGACTTCTCCAGTTGTAACCTTCCTTCCTGCTACAGGCTGGTTGCCAGACCACGACTGTTTGTCCCATTGCTACTCACACACAGAACCTGCTCCAGTCTCTGAGAGGACAAATAGCCCTGTCCTACCTCTACTCCAAAACCAGAGGACTGCCCAGGTGCCTTCAAGTCTGTCCCTGTTGTGCTTCCTCAGATGTTGTTGGGGGTAATTCTTTTTTTTTCTTCTCAGTTTGTTAGTGAGCATTGGGGTTGATTCTGTGAAAAATATTCCAGTATAAATCAACTTTTCTAACACCAGCTTCTACTATATACAGTGCCTGAACTAACCCCAAAAGATTTGGACGGTTTATTGGGACCCAAAAATAAAAAAATAAATAACCCTGAAAGAGAAATACACTCATGAACATTAAGATACTACTTCAACTGATCTGTACAGCAGCTGTGGAATTATGATTTGACCCACTTTACAAATGGGGAAACAGAAATTCAAGAAGGATCAATCACTTGCACAAAGTTAGTAAATACAGTGCTGAGACTAGAGCCTAGGTAATGCTGATTCTTAGCCCATGGGTCTTCCCATTCTAACAAGCTGCCTTCTGTCATACTGTTCTTTCTGACCACAAAGATGGAATGGAGACTTCTGCTTCTGGCCAATTTGGAGTAATGGGGACCTGATTTGTCCTCCACCTTAAACAACTGAGAAACTGGAAAAAGTATTTTAAACTCTACCTTCAACATTGGATATAGTGCAGTACTATAATAAATAAAAGAGGTGAGCCCTATGATTGCTCCAGTTTGCTGCCTGAGATTGTCAACTGTAGAGCAGGGAGGGAGGACCCAGGCAGAGCCTGGTAGTAAGTTTGAAGAAGTCAGGGTGGCTAGACATCACAGGACAGACTAGAGAATAGGTTGCTGCACAGATAGAATGCCTTGGATATCTGTCTTCAATCTTCAGCTAAGTACTGATTAGTACATGTATTTGAGGAAATTATGCAAAGCAGGGCAAAGAACTTCCCAAAAGGAATAATCTCTGTAGCTCACACATAGCTTGCAACACTTGGTGTTTCCATCAGCTAGAGTGAAAATCCCTTTTAATAGAGGGAGCATTGGTTAGAACAGGAGTCCCCAACCCCCAGCACTGGTCCATGGCCTGTTAGGAATGGGACCGCACAGCAGGAGGTGAGCAGCCAGCGAGAAAGCATTACCGCCTGAGCTCAGCCTCCTGTCAGATCAACGATGGCATTAGATTAGCATCGGAGCACAAACCCTATTGTGAACTGTACATGCCAGGGATCTAGGTTGCATGCTCCTTATGAGACTCTAACTAGTGCCTGATGATCTGAGGTGGAACAGTTTCATACTGAAACCACCCAATTCCCAAACCCTACCACCCCACCCCCACCTTGTCTGTGGAAAAATTATCTTTCATGCAACCAGTCCCTGGTGCCAAATCTGTGGGAGATCACTGGCTTAGAATCTTCAAAAGAGTATTGCCCCCAATGTAAACTATGGACTTTGTGTGATAATGACATGTCAATGTAAGTTCATCAACTGTAACAAATGTGCCATTCTGGAGAGAGATGTTGATAGTCTAGGAGGCTATGCATGTGTGGAGGCAGGGGGTGTATGGGAACTTTCTGTACTTCCTGCTCAATTTTGCTGTGAATCTGAAACTACTCTAAAAAATAAGGTCTATTTTCTTAAAGGTCATTTTGCCTCCATAGTGGGAAAAAAAATAGCAGTTGACTAATAGCTGCTCTTATGCTGCCTAAAAAAAATTAAAAAGCCAGCTTGGAAAGATGAAAATTGTTTTTAAGTAACTTTATTGTATACCAAAACAAAGCTCAAAGAATGTTAACACAAAATGCAAAAAAATCCAGCACCCAATAAGTTACAATGCTCAATGTCTAACCCCAAATAAAATAATGTTAGGAATGCAGAGAAACAGAAAACTGTAATCCATGATAAGAAGGGGGAAAAAAATCAATCTACTTAAACTGACTTAGAAAGGACACATCAGGTGAGAATTAAAAAACAATAAAAAGGACACAGATGAGAGAATCTGTAGATAAGCACATTGAAACAAATATAACTGTATACGTTGTATTAAAGAAGCTAGGCCAGTGTGGTGGCTCATGCTTGTAATCCCAGCACTTTGCCAGGCCAATGTGGGTCACATGAGGTCAGGAGTTTGAGATCGGCCTGGCCAATGTGGTGAAACCCCGTCTCTCTGAAAAATATGAAAATTAGCTGGGTGTGGAGGCATGTGCCTGTAATTCCAGCTACTCAGGAGGCTGAGGCACAGGAATCACTTGAACTCAGGAGGTGAAGGTTGCAGTGAGCCAAAATCTCACCACTGCACTTCAGCCTGGGCAACAGAACGAGACTCTGTCTCAAAAAATAGAATAAAATAAAATAAAGAAGCTAGAGGAAAATATGAAATGATGAAGAGATACATAGAAGACCTTAAAAAAAGACATAAATTAAATTCAGATGAAAAATAAAGTCTGAGATGAAAATACACTCGATAGGATTAACAGCAGATTAGATGCTGCTGAAGAAAGATTAATCAATTCCAAGACATGGAAATAGAAAGAAACAGAGAGAAAGAAAAGATACAACAAAAATGAACAGACCATTAGTCAGCTGTGGTAAAATTTCAAAGCAGCTAATACAAATATAACTGGAGTCTTTGAAGGAGAAGATAGAGAGAAAGAATAGAATATACATTATATATATTTGATGTATGTATGCCAAATATAATATATTGTATATGCCATAGGTAAGACTATATATGTCATTATTATTCAAATTTGATGAGAACTATAAGCATGCAGATGCAAGAAACTAAATAAAGTAGAACAATATGTAAAAGAGAAAACTATACAAGGTCTTATCTTAATCAAACTGCTTCAAACCAGTGATAAATAGAAAATCTCAAAAGCATCCAGAGAAAAAAGACATATTATGTACAGAGAAACAGAAATAAGAATTATGGCAGACTTCTTGTTGGAACAGTGTAAGCCAGAAGACAGTGGAATATCACTTTTCAAACACTTTTTTAAAACAAAAACTGTCAACTAGAATCCTACATCCAGTGAAAACATCTTCCAGAAATGAAGGTGAGTTCTTATGCTCATCAAGATGAAGTAATCCACTATACTCTACCTCTCTTACTGATTGAAACTAAGAACTCTCCGGCCAGGCACAGTGGCTCATATCTGTAATCCCAGCACTTTGGGAGGCCAAAGCAGGTGGATTACTCCAGCTCAGTAGTTCAAGACCAGCCTGGACAACAGGGAGAAACCCTATCTCTACAAAAAATACAAACATTAGCCAGGTGTGGTGGCACACACCTGTAGTCCCAGCTACTTGGGAGGCTGAGGTGGGAAGATTGCTTGAGCCCAGGAGGCACAGATTGCAGTCAGCCAAGATCATGTCACTGCACTCCAGCTTGGGTAAGAGAGCAAGACTCTGTCTCAAAATAAAAAACAAAACTTAGAATTCTTGAAAGAATATGAAAAGTGATTACCTGAGTGCTCTAAAGAGAAAACAATAGAATGCAGATTAAGGACCATAGTCAAAACTAAAATAAAATCTATAATGGAGATAAGTTTGCATTTTTTCTCCCCACTTTGGGGCACTTGGGAGGAGCTAAGGGTCTTCAGAGCCTGTAGCCAACTTACCTGTGGCAAGTTTTCTGACAAGGATCTCTGTCAGCTGGCTTCCTTGTACCATTTGCTCACAGAATCTCTGTCTCTGGTAGTAGGCAATGTCAGTGTTCCTGAGAAGGCCCTCAAAAGACTTGACTGTGTTCTTCACATGCTGGGTGAAAAGGTAGCAGACACCTCTCCCTTCCTGTATCTTCTGTCGTAAGTGGGTCAGTTCTTCAGCCTGAGCCTGAATTAAGGGATCATGTATCCTAAGGTGGGAAAGAAGAGTAAAATGTATGAGGGAATGTAGTGAATAATAGGTTATAGAAGTTTCAGAGGAGAGATCTCTTAGAATCCCTGTAAGGAACTCCCAAGTTGAATTCTTTTTTTCTTTTTTTTTGAGACAGGGTCTCACTCTGTTGCCCAAGCTGGAGTGCAGTGATGTGATCTCGGTTCACTGCAACCTCCACCTCTGCCTCCACCTCCCAGGTTCAAGCAATTCTCTTGCCTCAGCCTTCCAAGTAGCTGGGACTACAGATGCCCACCACCATGCCAGGATAATTTATATATTTTTTGTAGAGATGGGGTTTTGCTATGTTGGCCAGGCTAGTCTTGAACTCCTGACCTGAAATGATTCATGCACCTCGGTGTCCCAAACTGCTGGGATTACAGGCATGAGCCACTGCACCTGGCCCAAGATTAATTCTTGTACAAGTTGTGTGACTTGCCTGTGGAAGAAGGAATGAAGAGGCAGCCTTGGGTTTGTCTGTTATTTTACTAAATTTCCTTTAAAAAGATGCCCCTTTGGTTCCCCACTTTAGCCCAAGTACCTTTTCATATGCAGTAACTGGCAGAAAAAAAAAAAAAAAAAGCCAATTTCAAAACTGTTGGGCCGGTATCTCTAGTATTAATTGAAAGTTAAAAAGAAAAATCAGTGAAAAGGTCAAGAGGGGCAGTGTTCTTCTGAATGACATGAAGATAGACTATAATCAGTAAGAAGGCAGTTAAAACTAAAGTTCTGGCCGGGCACAGTGGCTCACGCCTGTAATCTCAGCACTTTGGGAGGCCAAGGCAGGCAGATCACCTTAGGTCAGGAGTTTTGAGACCAGCCTGGCCAACATGGCGAAACCCCATCTCTACTAAAAATACAAAAATTAGCTGGTGTGGTGGTGTGCACCTATACTCTCAACTGCTGGGGAGGCTGACCTAGGAGGATCACTTGAACCTGGGAGGTGGAGGTTGCAGTGAGCTGAGATCACACCACTGCACTCTAGCCTGGGCAACAGGGTAAGACTCCATCTCAAAAAAAGAAAAAAAGTAAAGTTCTGAGTAGTAATTTCATTACTCTGTGGGGATTTATTTTTTTTCTAATTATTGTTTAAATATTTCTCATGGTGATATGGTTTGGCTCTGTGTCCCCACTCAAATCTCATGTTGGATTGTAATCCAACCAGGGACCTGCTGGATAGTGACTGGTCATGGTGGTGGATTTCCCCCTTGCTGTTCTCATGATAGTGAGTGAGTTCTCATGAGGTCTGGTCGTTTGAAAGTGTAGCACCTCCCTCTTTGCTCTCTCTCTCTCTCCTGCTCTGGCCATGTGAAGACCATGCCTCCTTCCCCTTTGACTTCTGCAATGATTGTAAGTTTTCTGATGCCTGCCCAGAAGCAGAAGCCTGTACAGCCCACAGAACCATGAGCCAATTAAACCTCTTTTCTTTATAAATCACCAATCTCAGATATATGTTTATAGCAGTGTCAGAGTGGACTAATACACATGGGTTCCAATGTAGAGTGTGAGCTCTGTGAGTCTAAAGATAGTGCTACCTATTACCCAACTTACAGCACCCGGTAGTATGTACACATACAAGTAGTTATTCAGTTAATGTTTAGAACCATGTAATCCCAGAGCTAGACTGAACATTTACAGTCATCTAACCCATCTAATGCTTGAATTTTCTCCCCACCAGTCTTCTAAGTAGTTATCTGCAGGTCCTCTTTCAAACTCTATTCCTTAGAGTTACTAGAAAGTGTCAGGGGAAGTAAAGACACATACTGGGGAGAAACAGGGGCTCCAGACCTATCCCGCCTTCAATCAAATATCTCTGCTTTGGTGAGTTTTACAAATTTGAGCTTCTATGATTTCATTTCAACAAAGGATTAAAAGAAGTTTCGAATGCTACAATCTACCTTATGTCTGAAACCCTCTAAGGATAGTCAGTGCTGGTCCTGAGCGAATTAATAATTCATTTTCCACACAACAGCTGCTCAATCATCTATCTACCCAATAGCCCTACCAGTTAATACTCCACCTAGTATAATACTTTTTTAAAAAGTTTGGAGGAGAAACATTGTTATCATGAAAGGCACTTTGGAAAGTTTGAAAATATCTCTTATAGAAAATATTAATGACAATCACCACATCTATAAATGGGAACAAATATAATAATTACAGAAAATAGTTGTTCAGAGTTTTATATGTGTTAGAGATGGTTCTAACTACTTGCAATTGTGCATTTAATCTTCATAACCCTCTAAGTAGATACTGTCAGTATTTGCATTTTATAAATGAGGTAGCCTAGGTTAATGACACGCAGAAAAGTGAAGTAAATTTGACCAAGGACACACAAATAGAAGCCACATTGCTAGTATTCCAATGCAGACAGCTGTCTCCATTTTACTAATATGCTATTTAATGGAAAACCCCAGAGACCTAACTAGACCATAGCCTCATTGTGTCTTCGTCTAGTTCTGTGCCTGAGTCATACATTTCTGCCCTTCTCCTTGCACAAATTTGCTCTTTGTTCTACCAGCCTGAGCTGCCCTACTTCAAACAGTATTTATGCACTTCCCACAGAGGTACCTCCTTACCGGAGCCTTGCAGCTGACCTCGGCAATTCGGCCAGCTCCCTCTCCTGAAACTGCACCTCCTCCTCCAGCACAGATTCTATAAGGTCTTTGCACTCTTCACACTCTGAGAAAAGATAGACATGCCTGCATCATGGAAGGCTGGCCATGCTGCTGTGGTCACTGCCTGCAGGGCAGGAGGCAGGGTCTATCTCAAGGATAAAAGTATCCCCAGTACCAGGCTTTACGCTGGGATTTCCATATCTGTATTCCTCAGTCTCTCAACTACTCCCTGTTTTAGAGATGAGGAAAGAAAAGCCTACAGGCTGATAAAGTCACTTGACAAGATGATTCAGCTGGAATGAGGCAGTCAGAATTCACATCCCCTGAGGTCTGACGCCACATCTTTTTCTTTTCTTTTTTTTTTTCTTTTTTGAGATGGAATCTCACTTTTTTGCCCAGGCTGGAGGGCAGTGGCACAATCTCGGCTCACTGCACCTCTGACTCCCGGGTTATTCTCCTGCCTCAGCCTCCCAAGTAGCTGAGATTACAAGTGTGCCCCACCACACCCTGCTAGTTTTTGTATTTTCAGTAGAGACAGGGCTTCACCATGTTGGCCAGGCTGCTCTCAAACTCCTGACTGCAAATGATCCACCCACCTTGGCTTCCCAAAGTACTGGGATTGCAGTAAGTGAGCCAATGCACCCAGCCATGACTTCAAATCTTAAGGCCAATTTACCAAGCCTTACAGCCTCTTAAGTAAAACATGAACATAAGGGCATGAAATAATGACTTCCTGTGTGTTTGGGAAGATACTAAGAATGGTAGGACTGATGGTCCTCCTGTGTCAGGAGTTTCAATAATCCCAAAATATTTCAAAGATTTAAACATTTATCTGTATACAGCTGTGTAAAACTGTATATAGAGGAGAAAGATCCAAATGATATGTGCCCAAAAGCTAATAGGTGGTGTTTTAAAGGGAGAACCAACACATAGTGTTTGTCATGGTACTGTTGCAGTAGGTTTTTAAGAATTATCATCATATGATCATCACCACCATCCAAAGAGGTAGTTCCTATTCTATTACCATTACAGATGAGAAAACTGAGGCACAGTGATGATAAGTTAGATTTGAACCCAGGAAATTTGGCCCTAGGGTATATGCTCTTTAATCACTGCACAATAATACCTTTATACTAGGGTCTTAGGTAATATCTTTCTTCTTCTCTAGCTTGAGAAATTTTTTTCCTACAATTATAATGAGTGAAGGTTTTTTTTTTAAACTAGTTTTTCCACACACCAAAGCTCATCTTTTCACTTCTTTAATAAGAGGGCTTTTGGCTTTACTTTTCTATGACAGTAAGTTACACAGCAACTTTTAGCCACCCCCCCACAATGATGTATTTTAAAATAATTGTAGAAATTGGAAAACAAACTCAATTTCTATGTTAACAAGAATCCTCTTCTAATATCCCTGTTCCTCTCATGCCCTTGTTCCCACGTTTCCTTGTCATTACAGCTTCCCTTCCCTGACTATTAGTAACAGGTTTGGGATTTTACAGTGGATTTAAAAATGTGAGAGCTAACTGTGGAGAGGAAGGGGCCAGCCCCTAACCTGGCCTGGCCTTCTATTGAGAATGGTAGTCTGTTCCACTTGGCCTTGTTCTCATTTTGGCCATATGTCTCATAGCTCTGATCCTGGATGTCCACCTGCAGTTGCTTGCTGTCTGTAAAGTTGATACTCAGAGAGAGACAGAAAGGGTGTTACAAAGTCTCTGATTTTTCTGGAAATACCCTCAATCTAACCAGAGCATGAGGAATGGCTTATCTGAACTTTTGTGGGAAGAGAATCTTGATCCAGGTATCATAAAGACTTTTTTCCGTGTCTGCTATTGAAGTTCACATCTCCACATATCTGTGACTCAGTTGAGAATAGCTAGTTTTAAGTTCCTTCAAGGCAGATAGGGTATACTATTACTTCTATCACCCCTGATGCTGTTGGCACAGTGCTTTGCAAATGGGCGCTCTTAAAAAAGTTTAAATCGAATCCTGAGATGTTTTAACCAACAGTGATGTTACATGTTTGTAGAATCTGATATTCATTGCTGAGAGGGGAAAGACAGTTTCACGCCTAAACCGAGGTTTTAGTCTCTATTCCTCACTACACTCGCCCTGCAAACTTTACACCTTTGTGCCTCAGTTTTTCTGTCCTTGGCAAATTGAGAGTAAAAGGCCCACTTCTACCTTTCTGGGAGTGTAGTTAGCATAAAATTAATTTTGATAGAGAATAAAGTCCGCAGTGTTTCATTTCACAGAGGAAAGATGGGCAATCATTTATCACTTCGGTGACCATGCCCCTTTGGGACCTACTATATTTCTGCAGGTGATTGGCCAGGGAGTAGGCAGTAGCTTTGGATGTCAGGAATTTCTCTGTGAGGTCTTGGAAGTTCTGTTTGCACTTTTCCAGTTCAGAGCGGAAGTACTGATTGGTTTCCAGGATGCTCATTTCTGCCCTTGGACCAAAACAAGTGGTGAGAGATACTGCCATGCTGAAGCTTGTGGAGAAAGTACAATCAGAGCCTAGGGAGAATAAACCCAGACAATTAATAAATTAAAAACAAATGCATGGATTATGGTAATGGTTGCACTACTTGGGTAAATTACTAAAAATTATTGAACTGTACAATTATAATGGGTAAATTTTATAGTATGTAAATTATACCTCAATAAAGTTTCTTTACATTAAATGAAGGGTTTAAACAAGTCAAAAGAAAGCAGATCTGATTCATAAATTACCTTTGGGATAAACTTTGTCAGCATCCTACAACTCTGAGAATCCTTAGCCACAAAAACAAGGCACAAGGTGCCTAAGCTTAGAGTCTAAGGTACTGTCTGTGACTCAGGCTCTGATAGGAATGTCAGAAATCAGACCCGGTGCCAGGTAATGGTCTGGAGTCACAATAACAGAATTAGAAGGTGGGGTGTCATGGAATGTTAGGATCTCTGCCTTCCAGGTGTCTAGGCCATGTGGAAACACAGGTCTCTTCTGAAGGTCACCACCAATGGAGAGCACTGCCTCAGCAGTCATTCTCAGTATTTGTATACCCTTGTGACAATACCACAGGCCTATCTCTTTCTAAAATTTAACCATATTTTCATTGTTTATTATTGCAAATGCATAGAAACATCAAGGAATACATATTTCCCCAAGTTCTATCATTGTCTTAAGAACTGTCATGAAGTCATTTTCTTTCTAATGAAAAATTTAACACTTTTAGATAGTCTTGGTGTTCTTCTTTGGTTCTCCAGTTTTCCACATCATTTATATTATAAGAAAAAAAATCCTGAATATTCTGCTCAGTGCGTGAATAATTGATTTATATGGATTTAGAGGCTAGGTGCAGTGGTTGACACCTGTAATCCCACCACTTTGGGAGACCAAGGTGGTTGGAGCACTTGAGCTCAGGAGTTTGAGACCAACCTGGGGAGCACGGCGAAACCCTGCTTCTACAAAAAATTTTTAAAAATTAGCCAGGCATAGGGCCAGGCACGGTGGCTCATGCCTGTAATCCCAACACTTTGGGAGGCCGAGGCAGGTGGATCATGAGGTCAGGAGATCGAGACCATCCTGGCTAACACGGTGAAATGTCGTCTCTACTGAAAATACAAAAAATTAGCCAGGCGTGGTGGCGGGCGCCTATAGTCCCAGCTACTTGGGAGGCTGAGGCAGGAGAATGGCATGAACCTGGGAGGCAGAGCTTGCAGTGAGCCGTGATTGCGCCACTGCATTCCAGCCTGGGTGACAGAGCAAGACTCCTTCTCAAAAAGAAAAAAAAAGAGAGAGAAAAAAAAACAGAAAATAAAGGTTTTGACTACCTGAGTGGCTTTATTTGTATAACAAGGCCACCTTTGCTAGCCAAACCAAACTAAAAAAGTGATGGTTGTCACCTCATACCCCAGGCTGCAGTTCGGTAGCTAAGGTTCTGCTCCTTTTTTCACCATGACAACCTGGGTTCGGTTCCTAAATCAATTTCTTTCCAGTTTGATATTTGTGTTACTTTTGAACATTTTTTTTCCAGGGAGCTTTCTTAGCAGGATCTTTGTTGGCTTTCACCCCAGCTGTTAGAGAACAGCTTGACTGAATTCAAAATCCAGAAGGTCAGAGGGTATCCTGGGAAGATGGTGGAATGAGAAGCACCTGGAATCTACACAACAACTGCACGGGCAGGATCTGTCAGATGTAAATATTTCAGAACTCTGGAGCCTACTGAAGGCTTGCAACTTCCAGAGGAAGGCCCAGATGGTAAATTGTAGGTAATTTCAGTCAATTTTGGCCCTTAGCACAATAGCAGCTACCCAACACTACCCCCAAGGCAGTCAGCTTGTGTTCCTACAGTAAGCTGCACACATCTTTCAGGATCCAGAATGGGCAAAAAGAATGCTGTCTCCAAACACTGGGGGTCTGGGCCAGGTGCAGTAGCTCATGCCTGTAATCCTAGCACTTTGGGAGACCGAGGTGGGTGGATTACTTGAGGTCAGGAGTTCAAGACCAGCCAGGTCCACATGGTAAAACTCTGTCTCTACTAAAATTAGTCAGGCATGGTGGCAGGCACCTATAATCCCAGCCACTCAGGAGGCTGGGGCACAAGAATCACTTGACCCAGGAGGCGGAGGCTGCAGTGAGCTGAGATCATGCCACTGCACTCTAGCCTGGGTGACAGAGAAAGACTCCATCTCAAAACACACACACACACACACACACACACACACACACACACACACATTGGGGCTCTGTTCTCTAATGTCTGATTGCAGCACAGAGACAAAGAGGCTGGCAGCTACTGCTGTACCTTCCCCCATTGTAGCAAGCTCCTCACCCTAAGCTGAAGCAACTTCCAGAAAGTTTAAAGGGATGGTACCCTTTTTTCACCCTCCCTCAATTTTTCTCTTTTTCCCCTTTTGGGAGCCAGACATTAAAGGATAAAATATTCAAGAATAACTGCATATATAGGTAAAATTAGGGAGTGACCACACACCCAGGGAAAAGTTCAGGCTCAGAAAACATCTGTGAAGACCATAAGTTTATACCTCAGGCTGATCCTTGGCATAGAGACAACCTACAATAATCAAAAAACAAAACAATAACAGAAAAACAGCAAACCCTGAGGAAGGAGGAGAATCTAATTTCTGGAGTTAACCACACTAGTAGATTCAAATGTCCAGTTTTCAACAACAACAATAAAAATAAATAAAAAAAAATGAACCAACAGAAACTCTCACTGAAAAATGCCTGATAGTCAAGTTAAGATTTGGTCATGGGGGAAGAAAATGAAAAGAAAAATAATAAATAATTAAAGAGAGAGAGAAAAAAACAACCTGCTGGATGTGCTACTTGACAGACTTTGAAACAGGTGTCTTAAAGGTACCCAAAGAACTAAAGGAAGATGTAGCATAAGACAAGAAAATAATGCATGAACAAAATGAAAATATAAATAAAGGATAGAAAATCAAAAAAGAAACAAAAAAGAAGTGCTGGATCTGAAAAGTAAAATAGGTGAAATAAAAAATTAACTAGAGGGATTCAAAGTCAAATTTGAAGAAAGCTGAGCAGGCAGAAGAAACAATCAGTGAACCTGAAGATAAGGCAATGGAAATCATCCAGTTTGAGGAACAGAAATAAAAAAAAATTGAAGAAAAGTGAACAGAGCCTAAGTGACCATCAAGTGGACCAACATATGCATTGTGGAATTCCTTTTTTGTTGTTGTTGTTTTGGGGGTGGGGGGTGGGGGGATGGAGTTTCGCTCTTGCTGCCCAGACTGGAATGCAATGGCGTGATCTCGGCTCACCGCAAACTCTGCTTCTTGGGTTCAAGCGATTCTCCCACCTCAGCCTCCCGAGTAGCTGGGATTGCAGGCATGCACCACCATGCCTGGGTAATTTTGTATTTTTAGCAGAGACGGGGTTTCTCCATGTTGGTCAGGCTGGTCTCAAACTCCTGACCTCAGGTGATCCTCCCACCTCGACTTCCCAAAATGCTGAGATTCCAGGCATGAGCCACTATACCCAGCCTTGCATTGTGGAATTTATAAAGAAGAAGGAGAGAGGGGCAAGAGAGAATATTTGAAGAAATAATGGCTGAAAACTTCCCAAATTTGATGAAAGACCTGAATACAAACACAGTAGCCAGGCAAACTCCAAGTAAGATAAACTTAAAGAGACCGACACCAAAACACATTATAATCAAACTTTCAAAAGTCAAAAACAGAGAATCTTTAAATCGGTAAGAGAAAAGCAACTGATCACACGTAAGAAATCTTTAATAAGATTATCAACAGATTTCTCTTCATAAACTTTGGAAGTTGGGAGGACAGGAAATCAAAAGCTGCCAATGGCCAGGAGTGGTGGCTCACATCTATAATCCCAAGACTTTGGGAGGCCAAGGCGGGCAGATCACTTGAGGTCAGGAGCTCAAGACCAGCCTGGCCAACATGGCAAAACCCTGTCTCTACTAATAATACAATACAAAACTTAGCCAGGCATGGTGGTGGGTGGCTGTAATCCCAGCTACTTGAGAGACTGAGGTGGGAGAATCACTTGAACCTGGGAGGCGGAGTTTGCAGTGAGCCGAGATTGCACCACTGCACTCCAGCCTGGGTAATAGAGTGAGAATCTGTCTTAATAAACAAACAAACAAAAAGAACAAAAAAAGCTGCCCATGAACGGGAAAAGGATCAATAAATGGGTATTCCAAAAAGTCAAAAGTCACACAAATATCAAGCCAAAATAAACTGGTTCCCTGACTGGAAATTGAACCCAGGCTATGGCAGCAAAAGCACAGAACTTTAAGTACTAAACTGCAAGGTAGAGCAGACTTTATTGTGAATCCTGGAAGGGATCCAGAGCAGGCAGTTTGAGCTTATGAAGAATTTTAACTTTGTTTTGGATCAAATTTTGCTCTTTAATTTAGTCAAGAGAATTTTTTCCCTACACAAGACAGATAATATTGTCAAGAGAATTTTTAAGGGTAGCTATCACACTAGTATGTGCCTTTCTTTTAATTTGATCTTCCTATCAACTGTTTCAAATAAGAGATCTCTAATTTTTTTTTTTTAATTCAGGTGTCTAATTTAAGGGATCCATCTTCAGGCCATTGGCAACTAGAATATCCAATGGTATAATTATTCCAATAGCAATTCAACCAAATAGCCTCTTTGTGGAAAGCCCAGGATGTCATTTTCCAGGTTAACTTCCTGGGAAGGGCATAGAAGAGGCAATCCCAAAGACTCCCCTCCAAGAAAAAAGTTCAATGTAAGGAGTAGGCCACAGATGGTTAAGGATGATGTTTGCCTCCAGTAACCCACAAATTTGTGGAGGCTTCCAGTCACAGACCTGTGAATCTGTGATACGAGGTAGGCCCTCTTGGGACTGAGCTTTTCTAGGACTAATCAGGCAACAAGAGTTGAGACGGCAAAAGCCTCGAAGGGATGGGACTTCTTAAGACAAACCCCAAGAGCTTGACATAGTTAGAAGAAAAAGTGTACTCGGGTTTCCAGCCATTTTCAGACAGGCCACCTAATATGACCTCAAAATTACCACCTCTTACCCGATAGCGGAAACCAAGAGAAAGTGCTCCCACTTTGTCACAAGTCAAGCTCTCAAGGACATAAAATAAGATAAGAAGGAACCTCAACCAGTACCCCCTTTTATGACAGAATAACACGTAGAGACAAAGACAAAGGAACAGACATTTTCTGGGAAGAAAGGGATTAAACAATATGAATTGGTACCACAAAGTACCAAAAAAGCACACCAGAGTCACTACACCCAAGACTAGTCACACAAATCCTTTTCTCCCATTAATCAAGATTTTGGAGAGGGAAAAGAAACAGTGATTTTTACTGTGCACTTGATCAGATTCCACACAGAGAAGGAGGCTGGGAGCCTGGCTGGTAAAAAATTCTTACCCTTATGACAGCTGATCAGATCCTGGGTTCTTCACTGCAGCTTCCAGAAGAGCAGAGCTTTACTATCCTGCTTACAGCTCCAAAACTGTAGGGGCCAATGGAAACCCTCCCTCTTAACCCTCTGAAGTTTCACTCAAAAATCAACTCGCAAAAGGCAGATTAATTGGAGAAAAGGCATAAAATGTACTAACATGTACATGGGGAGGGCCACAGAGTGATTACCCTACGCTACCCACAATGGGATGCAGAAGCTTATACACCATCTCGAGGTAACAGAATGAATGAGGGCTCAAAGCATGGCCAAAACCAGGTACCATCAGAGTCAGATGTATATCCATTTATTGTGGGCAAGACAGGTTATAGGAGGGAGAGAAGAGGAGGCTTAGCTAGCAAAGGTGGTCTTAATATGTAAATGAAACCTTACAGGTAGCAGCTCTCAGAGACAGTAAACCCTAAAAGTTTCTTTCAGACCTTTACAGCTGTCAGACTCTCAGTTAATCTTTCCTAGATCTGGGCAAAGAAAGACTTGGCTGCATCAATGCAGATTCCCTACAGATGCAAATCTCCCCAACAAAATACAACTTTGCAGGGCTACTTCTGCAGCTGGCTTTCTGAACAGACATCTCAAAATGTGTCAAAGAAATGTATTTTGGGGTGAAATATTTTTAATTCCTTCACATCTACAGCCTGATGCACCTGCCGTTTCAACGCAACATTGTTGGTGGCAATTCCATTCTTCCCTACACTCAAGCCAAAAAAACAGATTCTCCTTGAGGCTAGTCTTTTTCTCAGAGCACACATACAATTTGTCAGAAAAATTACGTTTCCTGTTTGGGTTAATTACAGACTTTGATCTGCCCAATCTTTCTCTTTCTTGGTCTCTGAATTTTGGCAAAGGAGTCTCCGGTCTCCGGATACAGGCGGGATCGATTCTACAGACGAGTCTCAAAACCGTCAGACATTTAAGAGCCTTAATCTCGAGGTCAGGGTTTGGGCCGCCCTTGACACTTTTCTTTGGGCCTACGCGACAAAATCAGCCTGGCCAGGCCTGTTTTCAAGGCCCAGAGGCAGGGCCAGGTCCTCCCGACGCTTCTTGAAGCTTCTCCCGCGTGTCGGCAGCCACCCTCCCCTTCCCTGTGACCTGCAGAGAAGCTTCAGGGATCATTTATTCAATTTGCTAGGAGCCCGCGAGGCGCAGGTGCGCGGTGACTCTGTGGTTCCCACCGCACCCGCCGCCCTCCTTGGTCCTCTCGCTGTCTCCGGAGGGCAGTAACCTTACAGGTGAGCTTGGGCTCCGAAGACACTCAGCCAGGGAGGGACCGTTAGGGAAGGGCATCGGCCCCTTAGGTCCTTCGCAGTAGGGATCCGAAAAAGGTCTTGAAGAAATAGAACGGGAGAGTTAGAAGTAGATCAAAGGGAAAGAAAGAAATTCTAGATTTCCTATCTGAAGGCACCAGGAAGAGAAAGTCCGCCTCCTCTGGGCCGGGTCCTCACGTCGCTAGTGAACCGAGTTCCGACCTCCACTGGAGACCAAATCAGTTGACTTTGGCTGGACTCCTAGTGAAGAAGCCACGCTTTGTCTTCCCTTGTTTAGCTCTTGATCCTGAAGCACTTGATTGTCTCTCCCGGGCTTTCCATGGATTCCAGGGATGCAACTGAGAAGTTTGTTTTTAATGCACTTACTTGAAGTAAGAATATTTGAAAGTATTTTTGCAAAGACAAAGGTTTCCTTTTGTACTGAAGACATTCAGATGTGAGGAAAATCACTCAGCTAGGGAAAGCAAATGCTGTTGAGAATGTCTCACAAACACAAATTACACGTCAGCAGGTAGGTTTGACCCTCAGGTTGGGCACATTTTAAGTGCACTGTTGGTGGAATTTAAGATGAATCTAGGATGTTCATGATTAATATTTTTAGTTTTTTAGTAAAATTTAATATTTTAAATTTAAGTACACATTCTGAAAATTATATAACCACCGCAAGAAACCGGCTTTATGCCATTCTTACAAACACAGGAAAGAAAGATGATATTATAATGGCAATGCTTCATAAATGGTAACATTTTTAAAGTACCCAGAGAAAAAAAGTTAACCTAGAATTCTATGCAAAAATAAAATTTCAAAACTGTGAGTGAAATAAGGACATCGAAAAACATACAAAAGCTAAAACAATTCACCAACCCACGTTACAAGAAATCTTATTAAAAGTCCTCCAGGCAGAAGCAAAAGGATCCCAGATAAAAATCTGGACCTATACAAAAACAAATATTGGAAATGGCATTTAGAAAGCATGTACTACACATTTTCTTATAATTTAAATCTTTTTAAAAATATTTGACATAATAAATGAAAGTAATGATAATCACAAAACTTATAATGCATAAAGTAAAAATACGTAACACTAGGATAAAGGCCAGAAAGGGAGGTATAATTGCACTTGAAAGCAGAATGTGATAAATTAAAGATGTATCCCAGAAACCCTAAAGCTGCCACTGAAATAAGAGAAGGGTTATAGCTAATAAAGCAACAAAGGAAAGAAAACGGAATTAAATAAAAGCTATGTAAACACTATGCTGGAACAACTGCTCTCCAGGCCTCCACCCTATAGAAATACACCAGTGGCCAATGAGAAGTGTACAAGAATGATGACTGCAGCATCGTTTGTAATCATAAAATAATAGAACCAATGTAATTTTAAAGATACATGAAAAGGGTTTTATTTATTTAACAAACAGACAATTGAACAAACAAACAATGGAAGCAAGTCATTTGCCAAAAGGAACACAGAGGGTCATGATGATCTACTCCTCCAAGGATTTCAGGGTTCCCAGACGCCTAGTTTTCTGTCTAGTTCTGGAAGATGTTATTCTTGGGGAGCAATAGGTCCTCGAGTTTGGGGCTCTTTCAGGTTCTCTCTCCATTTCCCCATTCTGCTACAATAGATAAACAAACAAAAACAATTCTCACTTCCAGAAGATCCCGCCTGTACGTCTGCACGAGCCCTTCAGGAGGTCTGGATGTCTGGTTCATAACTCCCCTGCTTCTTTTCCAGCTTTTGCTTTTCCCTTCCCCCGCTCCCGCCCTACCGCCCCACGACCCGACCACCGCCCAGCTGAGCCCCAGAGGCTCCACAGCGCAGAAGGTGCACCGGAGGCCGTGTCAGTTGCCCGCCCCGCGGGGTGCCGAGAAATCAACGCTTTGTAAAAAGAACTTCCCCGTGGAAAAAAATCTCTTGATTTCCACTCTCACCTCTCTTCAAAGGACTAAAAGCTAAAGGCGACAAAGGATTCATTCGACAAGTCCTAGTCGTGCGCCCTTGTGAGTGCCAGACCCTGCTCCCTGCCAGGGGACCCACGAGCGACCCTCACCACCATCCCTGCCCTGGTGGAGCCCCGGGCGGAACACAGGATCCGAAGATGGCAGCGGAAGCTCCGCAGCAGCCCAACAGCGACTGGGCAGGGTGGATACAGGCTCCTTCACTGGGTGAAGGCGGCACAAAGAACCGGAAGAACCATCCCGGGAGCCCACCGGGCGTTCAGCTTCCCTTGGGACCCCAGGCGTCTCGGGCTGGGTCGCCGACCGGGGAGTTTCTGGGGTCTCTCCCTCTGGCTCCAGAATCTCCTAACGCGCAGGTGTCCAACGTGACCAGCGCGATTCACCGCTCTAATATCTCTGGTTTTCCAAGGACTTGCTCAGTCGTCCTGCCAGGCGGGCCCTGGGAATAGAAGGGACGGAGGAAGTTTAGTGAGTGCGCCCTTCCTATATGGCCCAGTGGAGTTAGCAGTGCTTGTCTCTGTGGTGCAATCGGTTAGCGCGTTCCGCTGTTAACCGAAAGCTTGGTGGTTCGAGCCCACCCAGGGATGCTTATTGGAACTTTTAAAGCATGCACGTACTGTCAATCACTACATAAATGGGGAAGAATTAGCCACTAATTTATGACTGATCCATGTCAAGGGCCAGCCAGCTCCCCGACCAGATTCTTAACCGGGTATCTCCTGAAACGGCGGGTTTACACCTGTGTAACTCAGGAATCCTGAAACAGAGACCTAGGAACCCACTTCTGGTGTGATAAAATTCTAATTCAGTCGATTATACGCTTAAATGAGTAACTTACTTGTCTCCGTTTTTTCATATTTTAGTAATAGGAGTCCAGTAGTATCTCCAGGATGTGCCTGGATTTACTGATTGCTCTATCAATAATGTGACCAGTGGAATCATTCATCATCATAGTGATCCTCTCCATCATTTTTGAAAACAGTATTTTTCCTCAGTTTGTGCATTATTTATTTAACCCTTTTCAAAATGTTTTTGTTAGCCAGGCGTGGTGGCACACACCTGTAATCCCAGCTAATCGGGAGGCTGAGGCAGGAGAATCATTTGAACTTGGGAGGTGGAGGCTGCAGTGAGCTGAGATCACTACACTCCAGCCTGGGCAACAGAGTGTGACTCCATCTCAAAAAAAAAAAATGTCTTTGAGATGAGGTTGGTTTCATGGTTTTAGGATTACAAAGAATGCTGCAGTCACCATTCTTGTACACATATCTTTGGTCATTGTGGAAATGTCTACACCGCAGATATTTCTATAGTGTAGAGAACTGGATGCACCATTGCTACATTGTAGTGTTTATATAATGCTTCTAATTTGAGTACATTCTGCAAATGTATCTTTCACGGGAGCAATACCAAATAGTATTCCAATATCAATATTTATAAGAGGAAAAATGTGCAGAAGTGCAATTGAGCTTCGTGCCTCTCCATGGGGCCCATGTTCATAAAATGGTGGCATTAGCAATCATCTGAGAGTGGAGTTTGTGGCCCTCTGACATCAAAAGCTGAAGCAGAGGACATGAAAACCCTCACAGTACATCCTCTGTAGTCTGGCCAGAATCATTCCTAGGTCAGTGGTCTCTTATCAGGAGGGAATGCTGCTTGCTTGTTTTGTCAAAACCACAAAAGGGAGGGAAAGTTTCAGGCCATTGGTTGATAACAGTGGAGAGGCAAGTCTTTCCAAAGGGCTGGTTTGTTAACCCTTAGGAAAAAAAATCCTAATTCTTACCAGATGGTTCCATGAAGTTCCAGGCTTTTGGTGTCCCAAACAAAGAACTGTACATGACACACATAAAGCAGCAAAGCAAAGCAAAAGTTTATTAAGCACAGTAACACTCTCAGAGTGGGGAGAGTCTGGGAGATGAGATCAGTATTAGTTTGGTGTACTTTGGGTCTTTTTATGTGTGTTTTTTTCTTCTCTTCACAGGGATGCCTAATCTTTAGCCAGTGTTTGCCTTTTGATTGACAGGTGGGTTGCTTAGTTACTTTGGCCCTTGTGTGCTTGCACGTTGCCTCCATCCCATACTTTTAAGTACATGCATGATATGTAGTCCATATGCATGAGTTTTAATGAGCTGATTATCATATGAAGTCATGTTAAGCATACTTTTTCTCTCTAATGCACATGCCTGTCTCTGAGGAGCTGCTCCTTTACTGGTTTGGATCTTGCAGGCCATGGAGTCCTTGCTTGCTGTTTTTTGTTTTTTTGTTTGTTTTGTTTTTTGTTTGTTTTGTTTGTTTTTGTTTGTTTTGTTTTGTTTTGTTTTGTTTTGTTTTGAGACAGAGTCTGTCTCTGTTGCCCAGTCTGGAGTGCAGTGGCACAATCTCGGCTACCTACAACCTTCTCCTCCCGGGTTCAAGTGATTCTCCCACTTCAGCCTCCCAAGTAGTTGGGACCACATGCGCACACCACCAACCCCGGCTGATTTTTTTGTATTTTAAGTAGAGATGGGGTTTTACCATATTGGCCAGGCTGGTCTCAAACTCCTGACCTCAGGTGATCCACCCACTTTGGCATCCCAAAGTCCTGGGATTACAGGTTTGAGCCACCAAGCCTGATCCAAAAAAGATTTTTTAAAATTATTCTTTTAGGCCAGGCGAGGTGGCTCACGCCTGTAATCCCAGCACTTTGGGAGGCCGAGGTGGGCTGATCATGAGGTCAGGAGTTTGAGACTAGCCTGGCCAACATGGTGAAACCCCATCTCTACTAAAAATACAAAAATTACCCGGGCATGGTGTCTGGTGCCTGTAATCCCAGCTACTCGGGATGCTGAGGCAGGAGAATCGCTTGAAACCAGAAGGTGGAGGTTGCAGTGAGCAGAGATTGCACCACTGCACTTCAGCCCGGGCAAAAGAGCAAAACTCTGTCTCACAAAATAAAATAAATAAAATAAAATAAAATATAAAATAAAATAAAATAAAATAAATAAAATAAACAATAAAATAAAAATTATTCTTTTAGCCGGGCGTGGTGGCTCACGCCTGTAATCCCGGCACTTTGGGAGGCCCAAGAGGGTGGATCATGAGGTCAAGAGATAGAGACCATCCTGGACAACTTGGTGAAACCCCTTCTCTACTAAAAATACAAAAATTAGCCGGGCGTGGAGGCGGGCGCATGTAATCCCAGCTACTCAGGAGGCTGAGGCAGGAGAATCGCTGGAATCCGGGAGGCGGAGGCTGCAGTGAGCCGAGATGACGCCACTGTACTCCAGCCTGGCAAAAGAGCGAGACTCGTCTGAAACAAACAAAAATATTCTTTTAAACTTGTGTCATGGCCGGGCGCGGTGGCTCACGCCTGTAATCCCAGCACTTTGGGAGGCCGAGGCAGGCAGATCATGAGGTCAGGAGATCCAGATCATCCTGGCTAACACGGTGAAACACCGTCTCTACTAAAAATACAAAAAATTAGCCGGGCGTGGTGGCGGGTGCCTGTAGTCCCAGCTACTAGGGAGGCTGAGGCAGGACAATGGCTAAACCCGGGAAGCAGAGCTTGTAGTGAGCCGAGATGTCGCCACTGCACTCCAGCCTGGGCGACAGAGCAAGACTCCGTCTCAGAAAGAAAAAAAGAAAGAAAGAAAGAAAGAAAAATGAGGAAGCTACTGATAGTCCAGTATGGTATACTGTGACAGATTGAAAAAAAAAGTGGTTATATTTTGCAGCTTCTCTCATCAAGAGAGTCTATTTCTCCTCTCTTTGAATCTTGGATTGGCTATATGACTTGCTTTGGGCAAATGTTGGTGCCTTCGCAAACCTGGCAGAAGAGAGGCTTGCACATGGGAGGATTACCTGCTTTTTTCTTCACTTGAAATCCTGAGGCCATGATCTGAAGATCCCCCAAAGCTAGCCTGCTAGAGAGATCACATGAAGAAAAAGATCCATGCATCCCACTTTTTCCAACCAATCCACCTATACCCCAGATGTGTGAGGCCATCCTAGACCATCCAGCCCCAAATGAACCAGCTTGGACTAGAAGAATTTCCAAGCCAACTCACAGAATCACTAAAAATAATAAATTATTGTTATTCTTTTTTTATTTTTTAAGAGATGAGATCTCAGTCTGTAGCCCAGGCTGGAGTGCAGTGGCATGATCTCGGCTCACTGCAACCTCGGCCTCCCGGGTTCATGCCATTCTCCTGCCTCAGCCTCCCTAGTAGCTGGGACTACAGGCGCCCGCCACCACGCCTGGCTAATTTTTGTATTTTTAGTAGAGACGGGGTTTCACCGTGTTAGCCAGGATCGTCTCAATCTCCTGACCTCGTGACCTGCCCGCCTTGGCCTCCCAAAGTGCTGGGATTACAGGTGTGAGCCACCACGCCCAGCCAATTATTGTTATTCTAAGTCAATAAGCTTGGGATGGTTTATTATACAGCAGAAGTGTATCAAAAGGGTGATGGTAGTTGCAGGAAATAAATATATACCTTTAATTGTATATGCATAAACATCTTTGGAATGATACCTCCAAAATACAAATTCCCATATTGAAAGAGCACACTCAGTACCCAGCATGGTGGATGGAAATAGATCATGAAGTTTCAAACTAATAGGAAGAAGTAGAAGATTCTATAGGCTTTTGGGAGGGGATATGGGAGAAGAGTTTAAGGCAAATAACAAAGAATCAGAACGGCATCCATCTTCTCTATGGTGCTGATGTGCTCCAGTGTATAACCATCAGGAACAA
Source organism: Homo sapiens (assembly GCF_000001405.40). NCBI lineage: Eukaryota > Metazoa > Chordata > Mammalia > Primates > Hominidae > Homo > Homo sapiens. The sequence goes on along the minus strand of NC_000001.11, from coordinate 149,642,308 downwards.
ACCTATAGTCAAACCTGAGTATATTGGCTCATTGCAACACAGGAGACAGCAAACACTATGGGGAAATTGTGGGACAATTCTTCCTTTGGGAATCTCGGTATTTTTATCTAGAAAGTGGGAGAAGTGGTTGAAAGACTAAACACATAATTGGTAAAGAATCAACAGTCAATACAAAAGTTAGCCAAGCATGGTTGGGCATGCCTGTAATCCCAGCTACTTGAGAGGCTGAGGGAAGAGAATCACTTGAACGCAGGAGGTGGAGGTTGCAGTGAGCTGAGATGATGCCCCTGCACTCCAGCCTGGGCAACAGAGACTGTCTCAAAAAAAAAAAAAAAAAAAAAAACTGGCCTGGTGCAGTGGCTCACGCCTATAATCCCAACACTTTGGGAAGCTGAGCGGGGCGGGGGTGGATCACAAGGTCAGGAGTTCCAGACCAGCCTGGCCAATATGGTGAAACCCAGTCTCTACTAAAAATACAAAAATTAGCTGGGTGTGGTGGCAGGTGCCTGTAGTCTCAGCTACTCGGAAGGTTGAGGCAGGAGAATTGCTTGAACCCAGGAGGCAGAGGTTGCAGTGAGCTGAGATTGTGCCACTGCACTCCAGTCTGGTGACAGAGCAAGACTCCATCACAAAAAAATAAAAAATAAAATAATTAACCGTCACTATTAGTAGCTGGGATGTTTGATCATATTATGGTTTGAACAGTGTTCTTTTTATGCTCAAATATGATTGTGAAATAGTATTTCTTTCAGTTTAGTGAGAGGGTAACTTTGTCTGATATTGGTGTTGTGAAATTTTTAGTTTTAACCATAGAACACCATGGCCTAGGTGTTTGTCAGACCAGCTCTAGCTCACAGCAGAAAAGGCTTACCTTTTTCTTTCTCAGAAATGACTATGGAAAACAGTAAACAACAAGGGCCGGGAGCCATGGCTCAGGCCTGTAATCCCAGCACTTTGCAGAGCCAAGGGAGGCGGATCACTTGAGGTCAGGAGTTTGAAACTGTAGCAGGAGTCATAGACAAAATCCCTCAGACACCCGATTGTGGAAGGTAAGAGCTTTTTTCAGCTGGGACCATCGGTAGACTCACATCCTAGAAGCTGAGCTCCCCAAATAAGTAATTCTTGTCCCTTTTAAGGGCCCACAACTCTAAAGGGGCTGTGTTGGGGGGGTCATGATCAACTGAGCAAGCGAGGGGTACGTGACTGGGGGCTGCATGTACTGGTAATCAGAATGAAACGGGACAGAAAAGGGAATTTCATAATGCTTTTTTATACAATGTCTGGAATTTATAGACAGCACAATTGGTGAGGTCAGCGGTTGAATTTTAACAACCAGGCCCGAAATGTGGCACCCAGTTGTCTGAGCGTGATTTTCACTTCTGCCCATTCTTTCAACCTCCACTTTTTCAGCAAACAAGAAATTAAGTGTAAGACAATATGAGGAGTGGTCGCTCTCAAAACCAGCTTGGCCAACATGGTGAAACCCCATCTCTACTAAAAATAAAAAAATTAGCTGGGCATGGTGGAGGCACCTGTAGTCCCAGCTACTGGGCAGGCTGAGGCAGGAGAATCGCTTGAACCTGGGAGGTGGAGATTGCAGTGAGCCAAGATCCCACCACCGCACTCCAGCCTGGGCGACAGAGCGAGGCGAGACTCTGTCACAAAAAAAAAAACAGTGCCTTCAAAAATCTCAGAGAGAAATTATTTCCACCTATCTTTTTGTATCTCTATCTAGTAAAATATCAATTAATTTTATGGGTATAAAAGACATTTTCAGACATGCAGTGTCTCAAAAAGTTTATTTCTAAGGTAACCACTTTATAGGAGGTTTTGGAGGATATGCATCATCAAAAGGAAGAAGTGAGTGAGGAATGAACCCCCTTGAGATCCATGAAGCAGGGGATCTAACAAGAGAGAGGCGATGGAAATCCCAAGATGGTGCAGTAAAGAGAGATATTATGATAACAGCTGTGGGATAAGCCTGAAGAGCAAGTCATCCAGAATGGAACATATAGAAATGTGCCAGGAAAAATTTCTTTCTTTCTTTCTTTTTTATTTTTTATTTATTTTTATTTTTTGAGAAGGAGTCTCGTTCTTTTGCCCAGGCTGGAGTGCAATGGCGTGATCTCGGCTCACTGCAACCTCTGCCTCCCGGGTTCAAGTGATTCTCCTGCCTCAGCTTCCCAAGTAGCTGGGAGTACAGGCGCCCGCCACCATGCCTGACTAATTTTTATATTTTTATTAAAGACGGAGTTTCACCACGCTGGCCAGGCTGGTCTCGAACTCCTGACCTCAGGTGATCCACCTGCCTGGGCCTCTCAAAGTGCTGGGATTACAGGCGTGAGCCACCGTGCCCGGCTGCTCTTTTTTATAGACGAAGAAATTGAGGTACAGAAAATCCAGTAACGTTTTAAATTCACGTCATGAATGAACCAAGATTTCAACCCAGAAATTGAGGCTTCACCACAAGTGAAGACTGGGGTTTTCTTGTTTTCAATTATTGGGAGTTTTGGATTTCCAGGAATGTGCAATTGTAAAAACCCAGCTTCAGGAGGTGATGAAATAGGTGCAGTGGCTCTGGCGTAAGCTCTGAAGCCCCAGGCTCAGGCTCTATTGAAAAATTACTTTTGCTGAAATATTCCTGTTTTTAGGAACTTCCATGGAACTTGAGCCTTCACGCAGCATATTTTGGCATCTGATTCAAAGCTAATAGAGGTCCGGAGGATTCCCAGGATTAAAGTCTTTAAACAGAAAGTGTGAATCTTGCCTAAGCAAAAGGTGCCATCCCTGGATGGGCTTGCACCACCAACCTTTCAGTTAACAGTCAAACGCGCTAACCGATTGCACCACAGAGACTCTAATGGCTTGTGTCTTAAACTCACTTGCTGATACCAGAAATGGCTTTTTAACCTCTGGCTGCAGATAATCTCATATATTTGATGCCTGTCCAATCCCGCGCACTCCAGAAACCCAGAATACGGGAGACAATGAAGCCAAGAGTCGAGTCTTTGGGCACTTTGGACGTTCTACCCGGGCAGAGTCAGCTGGGGGACTCCAACGGCCAAAGGGCCACCTGCTCCTCACCGTCTGCTCTTCACTGCTTCCCCCGCCTGCTCTTCACCGTCTCAAAAGTCGCCGGCCCCTCTACAGGTGACAACTGCAGCTTCTCCGGCGAAAGTCACTCGCTTTCCCATTCTTAGCCCCGCTCACACCTTGCGCTCACAGTCATTTCCGCCAGGCCTGGGCCAGCGGATGCGCGCGTGGGAAGGACCAGAACCCGTGGTGTCCTCACTGCGTCCCCCTCGGGCCCTCAGAGGTGGGATCCACAGGAAAGGGACCTGGAGTTTGCACAGGCTGCAGCCCTTCGCCCAGAGCCACCCTAGCACCTAGTAGGTGCCCAATAAATGCTCGGTGAAGGAAGGCATTCCACCGCAGGGTTTAAGGAGAACCGTGAATTCCTGGGTGAACATTAAGAGTTTAGTCCTACTAGGAAGTCTGGAATATAGAGACTTGAACTGTTTCTCAAAGGCAGCTGTTCTTGTATCCCCAGAGCCGGTTTAGAATCCAGCAAAGGCCCCTGCCCGGTGGATCCCACCTCTGGAGACCCAAGGATAGTGCGGTGGGGGGCACCGCGGGTTCTGGTCTTTCCCACGCTCACATCCACTGGCCCAGCCCCAAAGGAAATGGCTGTGAGAGCAAGATGTGAAGATAGTTACAAATACCAGCTAGGGCCAGTGACAGTTGCAGAAATGAGGACTTATAATAGTTAGGAGTATTTCTTCATTATTTTGAGATGAATACATTTAGTTATATATTAACCAATACTTTTCTTGAGAATTCTCATCTTCCATCATCCTCGCTATCATATTCATTAATAATTAACTTTTAGAAATCTCAATATTTAGGTTACAGGATAGCAAATATGGAATGTGATCTAGCTAAAAAAGGAGTGAACATCATTCAAAGACAAAAGACTTTATCCTGTTGGGGAAAGGGTTGGCATATTTTCACTGAATGAGAAAAAGTATGATTTTCCTATTGTCTTTATTTGAACCTTAAGTATGGCTTTACAAGGAGGAAAAAGGAGGAAGAAGAAGAGAAAGAAGAGGATGAGGAAGAGGAGGAAAAGAGAAGGAGGAGGAGGAAGGTGCACATTGATGCCACTTTGAGAAGAAGTGGACTGTGGTGGATTTGTAATGTATCAGTTTTGCCAAGCTGAATGCACATTTCCCAGATTTGCCATCTTTAGATAGCTCTAGGTTAGCCTGGGCAACAGGAGACACTTGGAAGATAGAATTCAAGTGGCTGTTACACGCTTTTGTATACTGGGAAGGGCGTTGTTACAGCTCAGGCATGATCTTCATCTTCCCTGACCCTTGGACTGGTGGGTGTTTTGCTTCTTGATCTAACATTAAGGTTAGAAGTTGCAGGATTCCAGCCGGGTTTTGTTACATCCAATCTGGTTTAAGTTCCCATATTATTAGGAAAGCTTTAGGGTGCTTCAGGAAAACGCTTTTTAAAAAATCAAATTTGGAAAATATCAAATGGAATTACAGGCAATAAGCATAACCCAGTGGAAACATGAATCAAACCCTCTAGAGCAGGGTTGTCTAAATTTTGGCTTCCTTGGGCCACACTGGGAAAAAAAAAAAAAAAGACATTTGTCTTGGGCCAAACATAATATACACTAACTGCAACTGAACCGTGCGTGTAAAGCTTGTAAACAAAATCTGTCTGTAAAGTCTGTAAACAGGCCAGGCGCGGTGGCTCAGGCCTGTAATCCCAACATTTTGGGTGGCCGAGGCGGGCGGATAACTTGAGGTCAGGAGTTTAAGACCAGCCTGGCCAACATGGTAAAACCCTGTCTCTACCAAAAATTCAAAAAATTAGCCGGGCCTAATTTTTTAGTGGCCTGCGCTTGTAATCTCAGTTACTTAGGAGATCGAGTATTCTCTGGCTGAGGCAGGAGAATAGCTTGAAGGCAGGAGGCAGAGGTTGCAGTAAGCCGGGATCCCGCCATGCACTCCAGTGGACTGTTTGCTGTTAATAAATGTTTACAATGGGCTCCCGTAGGGAAAAGAAAAGCTTAGTTTTATTTCTATAGAACAAAAAAAAAAGCTAAGAGATTAGTAGAGACGGGTCCACCATATTTGACCACACTGACATCAAACTCCAGAGCTCGAGCGGTATTAACATAAAGTTATCAATGCATCTCACAGACTACTGAGATTACAAGCGTGAGAACCAACCACTACCTGGCAAAATCTTTACTTTGAAAGTAAGTTACAGATGGGAACAAAGACCTGTTTATTAGTTTATACTAACGCCTTATATATGCTTCCACAGCAAACAAAATCCACTTTTAGAACGACAACAACCCAGGGGAAAACACAGACACAGTTCCCCACTGCCACAAGTTATGTAATGGAGATTCCCACATTCGGGGAAATCACAGGGGTCAGCACATCCACAGCAAAATTGCTAAGCCTTGCTCTGGAAAAACCACCTTCGTGATCATAACATTTCTTCTGTCAGATAAACATAAGTATAAGCTCACGCCCCTCCGCCCCGCCGCAGCCTCATATTCCTCACCCTTTACACGCAAGGTCACTTGCCTCACGCGCATCCCGGAGCCATCCTAGCCCTAACACACAGCTGCGACTCTCCGTTCCGACCAGAGGTCCCAGACTTGCTCCCACGGCACGGGAACTCTTTCGTGGCGAAGCAGCAGGTGGCGAAGCAGCAGCCCCTGCGCTGCCTCATCTACATAGAAATCGCCCTCTCCGTGATGTCACCGACAACGCCTTCCGGATCCCCGTCTGCTCTTCCGCCTCACCCAACGCCCCTCAGCGGACCAACCCGCTGTCGGAGCCGGCGGGGGAAGTGACTTATGCCTGTCTCTTCTTTCTCTCCTGTCCCCGCCCCTCGTCTCCCGCAATGAAGCGGGTATTTAATCTGTGTCCTGTGGAGGTCCCATTTGGCGGCCAGCTGGAAGCCCGTGCACCCTTCTTCAAATAATGGCTTTCAATGAGCAGACTAGAACGTTTAGGATTACAAAGGAAACCGATTCCTTTCAAACCTGGTTATCTTTGTGATGTGGCACTGTGTGCATATCTTCGTTAAAACGCATTGAAGGCCACTGCACTCCACCCTGGGCGACAGGAGGTGACTGTGTCTCAAAAAAACCAAAAACACTCCCCCCTCACCCCAAAGCATTAGACGTCAAGGCTGGCAGGGATGTCTGTTCTCTTGAAAGTTCAATATCAAAATACTTGGAAATTAAACTAAAATAGTAGAAGCAAGAACAAAAATTAAGTTGAAGATAATATCAAGAATATTTCCCACAAACCAAAGTAAGAATGTAAAAACAGGAGAGAAAAGTTCAGGAAGATAGATGTCCAAGGTCCATATGATTAGCATGCGTATCAGAAAGAGGATAGAAAAAAATCAGTACAATAATTCAAAACACTTTCCATACCAATGGATTGAAACTACAGTGAATTTAAAGTATTGAATTGATATTGAACTTTCAAGAGAACAGACATCCCTGCCAGCCTTGATGTCTAATGCTTTGGGGTGAGGGGGGAGTGTTTTTGGTTTTTTTGAGACACAGTCACCTCCTGTCGCCCAGGGTGGAGTGCAGTGGCCTTTAATGCGTTTTAAGGAAGATATGCAAACAGTGCCACATCACAAAGATAACCAGGTTTGAAAGGAATCGGTTTCCTTTGCAATCCTAAATGTTCTAGTCTGCTCATTGAAAGCCATTATTTGAAGGAGGGTGCACGGGCTTCCAGCTGGCTGCCAAAGGGGACCTCCACAGGACACAGATTAAGTACCCGCTTCATTGTGGGAGACGAGGGGCGGGGACAGGAGGGAAAGAAGAGAGAGGCATAAGTCACTTCCCCGCTGGCTCTGGCAGAGGTTTGGTCCCCTGAGTGCTCCTTTCTTGTAAGCAGTTCTTGTTTCATATTTTCACTATCTCTGACACTATTAACTGTACGATTTTTTTTCTTCTGTACACAAAAAAAGTTTGTTTCAATAGTGAAGTATGAGTCAGGGTGGTGGCTCATGCCTATAATCCCAGCACTTTGGGAGGCCAAGGCGGGCAGTTCACCTGAGGTTAGGAGTTCAAGATCAGCCTGGCCAACATGGTGAAACCCTGTCTCTACTAAAAATACAAAAATTAGCCAGGTGTGGTGGTGGGCACCTGTAATCCCAGCTATTTGGGAGGCTGAGGCAGCAGAATTGCTTGAACGCAGGAGGCGGTGGTTGCAGTGAGCCGAGATTGCGCCACTGCACTCCAGCCTGGGCAACAGAGCAAGACTCCATCTCAAAAAAAAAAAAAAAAAAAAAAAGTGAAGTATGTATCTTCTACAGTATACTCTTCCAACTTATCAGATTCTGTCATTGACATACGATGTTGCATCAATACTTGTGTAAGGGGTTTAACACTACTACTATATATAATATATGTAATATATTTTATATATATATGTATATATATATATAACACTAAGGTTTATTAAAACAACTCTCAGTAAACAGATGCCCCTGATGTTCCAACAAAATAACCTACTATTATTAGAAACCAAATAAACTCCTCCTCCTATGAGGAAGAAAGTAAACAACTTCTGGCTTGGCGCGGTGGCTCACGCCTGTAATCCCAGCACTTTGGGAGGCTGAAGCGGGTGCTCATGATCACCTGAGTTTAGGAGTTCAAGACCAGCCTGGCCAACATGGTGAAACCCCGTCTCTGTTAAAAATACAAAAATTACAGCGCGCCTATAATCCCAGCTACTCGGGAGGCTGAGGCAGGAGAATCGCTTGAACCTGGGGGGCAGAGGTTGCAGTGAGCCGAGATCACCCCACTGCACTGCAGCCTGGGCAACAGAGCAAAACTCCGTCTAAAAAAAAAAAAAGTAAACAATTCTGGAACAGTTTGAAAAAGCAATTTAAGTGAAAATGAAACCAAAAAGGGTAAAAAGAAAAAGGAGGGTATAGTAGGAAATAACCTATATGTGATTATCTATTTTCAATTCTAAGTGGCTTGGTATAGGTTTAGGCAGGCTACCTGGAAAGAAAGAAATAAAGAAGCAGAATGTACTGAGCCACCCCCTCCACCTTCCTTCTTTCCCTTTCACCCAGTGGCCAGGCATCTATCGGTGGGGGCCCCCTCATCTACCCCTTCCCCACTCCACAAAGAAATTTAGTTTAAGCTAGCTTGCAACATAGATAATTGTACCCTTATCAGCTAAGTGCAGCCACTAGAGCCGTAAGTCAAATGTTTGAAAAATCCTGAGAGTCATAATGCATCGTGTGCTGCAATAAAATGCAGCAGAAAGACCCTAAATAATGTACTTGAAGAACAATCAATAGGTGATGTCTAGGAAGATTGTGGAAGGCTAGTACTCAGCCTATGAGGAACTGAGGGAGGGACCTGTGCACTAGGGCGTAAATTGCTTGTTGAAACTGTGCTGGGTGTGCCTGCATGCCAGACACACGATCTTGCAAGACCGTCATTAAAAGTCTCACTTTCGCTGTTCTCTGGGTCTCTGAGTTCATTGTTTGGGTTTAGACGGGTGAATTTGTTTCTCACAAATTTGATTGGATTGAAGGATGAAAGTATTGATCCTGGGCGTATCTGTGAGGGTGTTGCCAAAGGAGATTAACATTTGAGTCAATGGGCTGGGGAAAGCAGACCCACCCTAAATCTGGTGGGCACAATATAATCCACTGCCCATGAATATAAAGCAGGCAGAAAAACATGAAAAGGCAAGACTGGCCTATCCTGCCAGCCTACATCTTTCTCCTGTGCTGGATGCTTCCTGCCCTGGAACATCAGACTCCAAGTTCTTCAGTTTTGAGACTTGAACTGACTTTCCTGCTCCTTAAGCTTGCAGACAGCCTATTGCGGGACATTGTGATTGTGTAAGTTAATACTTAATAAACTCCTGGCTGGGTGTGGTGGTTCACACCTGTAATCCCAGCTCTCAGAGACGCAGAGGCGGGAGGATAGCTTGAGCCCAGGAGTTGGAGACCTGCCTGGGCAATATAGCAAGACCCTGTTTTCCACAAAAAGTAAGAAAAAAAAAGACAAAAAAAAAGTAAGTGTAATACTTAATAAACTCCTTTGTATATCTATCCTATTAATTCTGTCTCTCTAGAGAACCCTGACTAATACAGAGTCACATAAAAATATAAGCCTCAGGCCGGGCACAGTGGGTCACGCCTGTAATCCCAGCACTTTGGGAGGCCAAAGCAGGTGGATCCCGATCACCTGAGGTTAGGAGTTCGAGACCAGCCTGACCTACATGGAGAAACCCCGTCTCTACTAAAAATACACAATTAACCAGGTGTGGTGGCACATGCCTGTAATCCCAGCTACTCCGAAGGCTGAGGCAGGAGAATCACTTGAACCTGGCAGGCAGAGGTTGCGGCGAGCTGAGATCACGCCATTGCACTCCAGCCTGGGCAACAAAAGCAAAACTCTGTCTCAAAAAAAAAAAAAAGCCTCAAAGAAGGCCGTATGGTTGAAGTTTATATGCAGCACATAAAGGACTAACTAGGCTTGGAGTTCTTAGGGGGTGGTGGCCACAGGTTATGGGAGGTTGAGGGGAGGAAAGACATGGTGAGCAAAGGCTGTGTTGTGATGCAGATGTGATGCAGATGAAGTCTCTCAAGAAGCAGCCCTCCACCAGATGTGGTGGCTCATGCCTGTAATCCCAGCACTTTGGGAGGCTGAGGTGGGCAGATTACTTGAGGTCAGGAGTTCAAGACCAGCCTGGCCAACATGGCAAACCCCATGTCTACTAAAAATACAGGCCGGGCTCGGTGGCTCATGCCTGTAATCCCAGCACTTTGGGAGGCCAAGGCAGGTGGATCATGAGGTCAAGAGATCAAGACCATCCTGGCTAACACAGTGAAACCCCGTCTCTACTAAAAATACAAAAAAATTAGCCAGGCGTGGTGGCGGGCACCTGTAGTCCCAGCTACTAGGGAGGCTGAGGCAGGAGAATGGCATGAACCTGGGAGGCAGAGTTTGCAGTGAGCTGAGATGGCACCACTGCACTCCAGCCTGGGCGAAAGAGCAAGACTCTGTCTAAAATAAATAAATAAATAAGTAATAAATTAATTAATTAACCTGGTGTGGTGGTGGGCACCTGTAATCCCAGCTGCTCGGGAGGCTGAGGCATGAGAATGGCTTGAACCTGGGAGGCAGAGGTTGCAGTGAGCCAAGATTGCACCACTGCACACTCCAGCCTGGGTGTCAGAGTAAGACCCCGTTTCAAAAAAAAAAACTTTCTCTGTCAGACCTTTAAAAGCATGAGATCTTTTGTTTCCTTTTCCTGTGAGTTAATCTTACCTGGATCCAGATAAAGCAGATAAGAAGGTCTCAGAGAAAGCCATTTGCAGTTGATGTTTACTTCCTCTACACATGCTAATCTCCCTGACAAAAGGACAGCTTTTCATAGGTATTTCTGTGACTGTGTTGCCTATTGCACTGCCTACATGACTTACCTGGAACCCTACCCAGATGTTGTTGGCCATTGCAGTGCCTATGTGACATGGCTGAATTCTTACTCACCTTTAACTCTGCTTATTTTTAAGAAACAGGATGTCTGTGGTCAGAAGTTTCTTCTTGGGACTAAACCAGCTGAAGCTGGTGAAATCCATGATGGCAGCTTACGCAACCTCTGAAAAACATCTAGCTTTATTATAATCCAATTTCCATGCTAAATAGCACTCCCATCAGTGCATGACAGTTGACAATCACTGTGACAATGAACGGAAGAGACCAAGAAAGGACAGAAATGAGGTGACTCCTTGATTCTAGGAAAATCTCCATCCCTTCCTAAGAAAAGCATGAATATTCCTCACCTTGCTCATTCCCTTCCTTAAAGATCCTCTATATTTGTAACTTCCTGGTTCTCAGTAGCTGAGAAGGTGATTTGCAAGCTATACTACTTCTCCAATTCCATGCTATGCTCCTACTTCTCCAATGCCATTGAATAGAGCCTGCACTGCTTGACGCTCACTCTTGGTTTCATACATTGGCTTTGCAATAATAAACAGGAAAGAGTCCCTTTTTGGGGTGAGACCCCTCAGTAACATCTGCAGCCCCTCTAAATAGCCATCTCAAATTATACCAAAGGAGTGTATTTTGGGGTGGCATATTTTGGGCTTCCCACATGGCTAAGCCAACATATAGCATTCTTGCTGAATGCAGGGTGATCAGACATCACCTAGCAGATGGTGAAGGATGAGGAGCCCTATTAGATATTATGAGTGGTCAGCTATTGAAGATGGGGAATTCTGGCTAAATTGACTGAGAAGGATTCTTGCTGAGATTGAACAATGCAGAGACGAACACAGAAGCTCAATAGTTGAGGCCTAGTGAGAAGAGGACTCAGAAGAGCCTGATTAGTTTGGCCAAGGAGATGTCAACCTGAAATAATTGAAAGGTTCAGAATTCAGTGTTAAAATGTTTATTCATTCTGCTTGTGGGAACTAATGGTAAAAATTAAAAAAGAGTTTATTCAAACAAAAATCTGGGAATAGCCAATCAGGGCACACAGACTCCAGAGAAATGGGGTCAGTGCTGCAAAGTCAAAAGTGAAGTTCTTGCTTACATAGAAAGAAAGAAAAAAAATTAATAGGATCACAACATTTTCTATATAAGGCTGCTTTAAGAGTTACAACAAATTAATTAGTTGCAGAATTTTTTGTTTTTTGTTTTTTTTTTTGTTATTGTTGTTGTTCTGAGATGGAGTCTCACTCTGTTGCTAAGGCTGGAGTGCAATGGCATGATCTTGGCTCACTGCAACCTCTGCCTCTTGGTTTCAAGTGATTCTCCTGTCTCAGCCTCCTGAATATCTGGGATTACAGGTGCCCACCACCATGCCCAGGTAATTTTTTGTATTTTTACTAGAGATGGGATTTCACCATGTGAACCAGGCTGGTCTCAAACTCCTGACCTCAAGTGATCCACCCACCTCAGCCTCCCAAAGTGCTGGGATTACAGGCATGAGCCCCACTGTGCCCAACCTTTTTCTCTTTCCATACTACTTGTTTTCTTTCTTTATAGCTGGCTCACATTTCCTTTCCAATTTAAAGGAGTGTATTTAACATTGCATCTTAAGACAATGCAATAGCCATGAAGTCTTTATGAGAGCAAGGTAAGAAGGAAGTTAATCTATAATGAAAGTCAGCAGTGAAGAGGGAAGCAATCTTCCCTGGCACCCTTCAATAATTTATATAACATGTTAGAAAACAATGCGTGTGGCTGGGTGCAGTGGCTCATGCCTGTAATCCCAGCACTTTGGGAGGCTGAGGCAGGTGGATCATGAGGTCAGGAGATGGAGACCACCCTGGCTAACATGGTGAAATCCCGTCTCTACTAAAATACAAAAAATTACCTGGGCATGGTGGTGTGCGCCTATAGTCCCAGCTACTCGGGAGGCTGAGGCAGGAGAATGGCATGAACCCAGGAGGCCAAGGTTGCAGTGAGCCGAGATCATGCCACTGCACTCCAGCCTGGCCCACAGAGCAAGACTCCATCTCAAAAAACAAACAAACAAACAAACAAACAAACAAACAAAAAAAAACAACAATGTATGTAAGGAAGAAGGCCAATCTATAATCAGAGAAACAAAGGTTACAACTGCCTAGTTTACAGGTGCCTCTCATGTGACTTAGGCTCCATACCCACATTTTCTTTTTTCTTTTTTTTTTTTTTTGAGACAGAGTTTTGCTCTTGTTGCCCAGGCTGGAGTGCAATGGTGCAATCTCAGCTCACTGCAACCTCTGCCTCCCAGGTTCAAGTGATTCTCCTGCCTCAGCCTCCCAAGTAGCTGGGATTACAGGCATGCGCCACCACACCTGGTTAATTTTGTATTTTTAGTAGGGATGGGCTTTCTCCATGTTAGTCAGGCTGGTCTTGAACTCCTGATCTCAGGTGATCTGCCTGCCTTGGGCCTCCCGAAGTACTGGGATTACAGGTGTGAACCATGGTGCCTGGCCCATACTCACATTTTTTTAAGGCTCACAGTAATTTGGAATTCCAACAACTTACATTTTAAATTACTTATTTTCACAGAAAGAATCTTTGTCAGTTGTAACTCGCTTATTTCTCCAAAGACCATAGTCCTGTCCAGTGATCCTCCCCAAGACAATAGCTCTCTCTAGTAACTATAGTTTTCCTTTCCCATTTCAATTTCCACTCCAATTGACTGAATTGTGAACACCAACTCCCACACTTAAATGTTGAAGCCCTAACCCCCAGTGTGATGGTTTATGCAGCTGGGGCCTCTGAGAGGTAATCAGGTTTAAAAGAGGTTATGAGAGTGGGGTCCTCATGCTGAGATTAATGCCATTATAAGAAGAGACACTAGAAAGCTTGCTCATCCGCCTTCCCCATGGTGCACAAAGAAATGGTCACATGGGCACACAGTGAAACTACAGCCACTTACAGGCCGTAGGAAGAGATCTTAGAAAGAAATCCGCTTTGCTAGCACCTTTATCTTGGACTTCCCAACTTCTAGAAGTGTGAGAAACACATTTCTATAGTTTAAGCCACTTGGTATATGGTATTTTGTTATGGCAACCTGAACAGACTTATACAACAATTAAGTCCTAGAGGCAATACAACTTCTCTGCTGATTCCAGATCAGATTCTGAGCGCCTCTCAGTCCTTTGTTGGGTTATTTTGATCCTGTCCATATATTTAGAAATATTCTCTTCATAAAACTCTCTGTAGGCTGGGTGCAGTGGCTCATGCCTGCAATCCCAGCACTTTGGGAGGCCGAGGAGGGCAGATCATGAGGTCAAGAGATCGAGACCATCCTGGCCAACACAGTGAAACCCCGTCTCTACTAAAAATACAAAAAATTAGCCAGGTGTGGTGGCGGGCACCTGTAGTCCCAGCTACTCCAGAGGCTGAGGCAGGAGAATGGCATGAACCCAGGAGTCGGAGCTTGCAGTGAGCCGAGATCATGCCACTGCACTCCAGCCTGGGGGACAGAGCGAGACTCCATCTCAAAAAAGAAAAAAAACTCTCTTTAAATCACACATTCGAGTGTGCCCTTTGTTTCTCATCAAAGCCAAGACTGATTTGAGATGATTTCTTAAGGTCAGGTTAATGTCTTAATCCAGTTGTGCTGCTATAACAAAATACCACAGAGTGAGTAACTTATAAACAATAAAAATTTATTGCTCACAGTTGTGGAGGATGGTCAGTCTAAGATCAAGTTGCGAGCAGGTTCAGTGTCTAGTGAAGGCCCATTCCTCTGTCACCCAGGCTGAAGTGCAGTGTTGCAAGCTTGGGTCACTGCAACCTTCACCTCCCAGACTCAAGTAATCCTCCCACCTCAGCCTCCTGAGTAGCTGGGCCACAGGTGCTCACTACCATGCCTGGCTAATTTTTGTTTTGTTTTTTTTTTTTTTTGGTAGAAATGGGGTTTCACCATGTTTCCCAGGCTGGTCTCAAACTCTTGGACTCAGGCAATCTGTCAGCCTCCTGAAGGAGTGCTGGGATTACAGGCATGAGCCACCGTGCCCACCCCCCAAATTCTACTAATATATATGCATAATTAAATAGTTACCAGCCATCATTTTCTGATACTTTGGCAATTGGTTGAAAGAGTTTATCTAAAGACCTGGAATCCATAGAAGGCAGTCTCTGTGTTAAGGGGTTGTTCTTATTATGCAGATGAAGCCTCCAGATAGCAGGCTTCAGACAGAATTGATTGTAAATGTTTCTTATCAGACTTAAAAAGGTGCCTAGATTAGGGAAAAGACCTGGAAAGGGATTCCCTGTAGCATGTAGACTTTCCCCACAAGAGACAACTTTGTAGGGACATTTCAAAATATGATAACAAATATATTTTAGGGTAAAATATTTGTATTTCTTTCAGGGCCTGCTATCTGTCATGTAATGCTACACTAGAGTCAGGCTGGAATTTGGTGTCTTATTGCTACAAAAAGTCTTAAGATCTCTGTTGTAATGCCAGTTGTGCCTGGTCGGATGTGCTGGTCAGTTGTGCCTGAATTCCAAAGGAAGGAGGGTATAATGAGGCATATCTGACCCCTACTTCCCATCATGGTCTGAACCAGTTTTTCAGGTTAACTTTGGAATGACCCTGGCTGAGAGGAGGGGTGCATTCAAATAGTTGAGGGGCTTGGAATTTTATTTGTGGTTTACACTATAGAAAGTATTTTTCCAGTATTACCTGGACAATGTGTCTCCCTGTCAGTATCCAGGGGATGGCACCTGGATCAAGCATTTAGTGTTCAGTTGCTACACTCTCACCTAATCCCTCATTTTCAATATTTTGCCATGTTTTCCAGTGACCCAACTGGCCACCATGTCACAGACTTTATGGTCTCCAAGGGAGACCCCTCCATTTCATGTTTTGTGATTTGAGCAACAGACTGGAATCTACTTGAAATTTGCAAATGGTCTTTGACTTGGGCTTTCCAATTTTGCTCTACTTCACAGTGTTTTCTGGGTTATATACAAGGGAGATGATCCAGTCATTTGTTAAGCGCCTCAAATAAGAAATGCCCTAGATGTTTTTTTGTTTGTTTGTTTTGGGATGGGACATGGAATTTACACCTAAAATAATCAGCGTCTGAAAGGACGTCCCCTCTCTGGATATGGAAAAGGAAGAACTGCAGGAGTTGTATGCAGCTGCCTTGCAATCCCATGGGAAACAATGCTAGCTCACAGGAAGGTAAAGCTGACTGTTGAAAAGAAACCAAGTCCTTGAAGACATTGTTAGGCCCCAAACCAATCAACCCAGAAACCCATTTACCACTGAATCTAGAGTTAAATAAGCAAGAAAATCCCCTTTTATTTAATCCAGTCTGAGTTGGGTATTCTGTCATTAGCAAATGAAGGCATCCTGACATGTGGGAATGTCAAGACACACAAGCTCTTGTGCAGTTTTCCATGCATGGGGACAGTGCCCTGGCATTCCAGAAATCCTGGCTTACTTATCACCACGCTCTAATCAACTGCAAATAACATTTTAAATCTAAGTGCAAAGAGAATGATCAGGAATATCATAAAATCTGCATTTATTTAAAAAAAAAAGGAGCTTACAGTGAAGTAGTCTCAAGCAATTGCTTTTTTTTTTTTCTTTTTTTTCTTTTATTATTATACTTTAAGTTTTAGGGTACATGTCCACAATGTGCAGGTTAGTTACATATGTATACATGTGCCATGCTGGTGCGTTGCACCCACTAACTCGTCATCTAGCATTAGGTATATCTCCCAATGCTCTCCCTCCCCCCTCCCCCCACCCCACAACAGTCCCCAGAGTGTGATGTTCCCCTTCCTGTGTCCATGTGATCTCATTGTTCAATTCCCACCTATGAGTGAGAATATGTGGTGTTTGGTTTTTTGTTCTTGCGATAGTTTACTGAGAATGATGATTTCCAATTTCATCCACGTCCCTACAAAGGACATGAACTCATCATTTTTTATGGCTGCATAGTATTCCACGGGGTATATGTGCCACATTTTCTTAATCCAGTCTATCATTGTTGGACATTTGGGTTGGTTCCAAGTCTTTGCTATTGTGAATAGTGCCGCAATAAACATACGTGTGCATGTGTCTTTATAGCAGCATGATTTATAGTCCTTTGGGTATATACTTCGCAAAAGAAGACATTTATGCAGCCAAAAAACACATGAAAAAATGCTCATCATCACTGGCCATCAGAGAAATGCAAATCAAAACCACAATGAGATACCATCTCACACCGGTTGGAATGGCAATCATTAAAAAGTCAGGAAACAACAGGTTCTGGAGAGGATGTGGAGAAATAGGAACACTTTTACACTGTTGGTGGGACTGTAAACTAGTTCAACCATTGTGGAAGTCAGTGTGGCGATTCCTCAGGGATCTAGAACTAGAAATACCATTTGAGCCAGCCATCCCATTACTGGGTATATACCCAAAGGACTATAAAGCAACTGCTTTCTAAGTGGGATGGCTGAAGCAAGAGACCTTAAATCACTTGACCGTCTTCACAAAACAGAACTGAAGCAGAACCAGAAGTCCCCTGATAGCCTTTCAGGGACACCACCTACAAATACACCGTAATCCCTCATACTCCACACGCCACTTCAGGGAAAGGGACATGAGGCAGGAATACAAATATATACCATCTGTGACACTTCCTAAGCTCCTGGCTTCAGAGTAGCCATCCTGATAATTATTATTTAAAGTCCACATTATAAATGTGCAAGTTAAGTGAGTTATGGAAATCATTCCAGATACTGGTTCACCAGTAACATCAGTTTAGCCCTAAATATTGTCATAAGTTCTCTGATAGGCTCATGTGATTTAAGCTGGTGCTCTGTCAAGACTAGACTTAGGCGTTTTATCCTTTTTATGACATTATGTATGTTGAAGAGAATATATGAATACATTTTATATATATGAATATATATAAAACCTTCATTATCACATTATTCTCAATCCAGCATTTTCTCAGCCCCTGATTTTCATGTTAGTTCAGCATTCTTACATCTTTACAGATTTTCATCTAAGACTACATTTCTACTGTTTTATATAATCAGCCCCCCTAAGATCAACATGTCCACATTTTTTGGCAAAGACAAAGCCTACTGATTTCAGGATCATTATTTTCCTTTTTCAAAAGCACAAACCCAAACTGAGAAATAAATCAAGAGAAATTCTCCTTTTTTCTATGCTAATTTAGAAGTGGAGTCTTTATTTCTTTTCAAACCCAAAGAGAATCAGACATACAATATGAATTTATTTACTTTCGCTTGCTCAGACTGAGAGGAAAGATTAATATTTTCAGGCTGTTAGTCAAAACTGTTCATTCAAATATTATTTAATAAAATCCAAGAACCAGCTAAAAAGTCGCTTAAGCTAAGAAACCTTCACCAGCCTCATGGGAAATTGTGTACAGTTTTCTACTAGAATAGCCTATAAATGCTTACTGAAAATGTCTAAGTTCATATCTTGGTAACTAACATTTTAATTCAATCTGCAGAATAATATATGCTTCTTTAGTGCTAAGATATGAATATTAGAGGCATTCTTTCTTAAAATTTCTATTTAGTTATACTTTCACAAATAACTATATAATATTAAAATTCTGCATGTGGCATAAAACATATTTTAATGGAGAAGGTAATGTGTAGGGAGTTTATTTCTGTTTGCTATTAGAACTTGTGTTTATTCTTGGTTAAAAAAACTGCACTGATTACAACATAGAAAAAAACAAAAGTATGTTGTATATCTCTTACAGTAGAAGATAAAGAGTAGATCTAAATTTAGAAAGGAAAAATAAATATACACAGTGAAAATATGTGTCAGTGAGATGTTAATCAAAGATCAACTATTGCTGAGACCAGCAATATTAAATCCCTGCACAATTACTCATATTATAATGAGAATTTTAAAAAGAAAATATGAACACATAACATAATGAAGGCAGAAGTCACTCTCATCCTTCATCTTTGTATTCCCAATTCAGGAAGCTGGTATAGTATCTTCATTATAATTACTATTCAACAAACATTTGTAAAATGAATGAATAAGGAATGAATGATGAGAAAAATGATAAACATCTCCCTCTGTCTCCTGGGAGTTAACTGCACTACTTTCTTTTAAATTTAATTAATCCTCAATGTCCTTGTAAAATAGCCAAAGGGAAAATGTATTTACATTACTCTAAATATTGATGCAATCTACAAAAAGGGTTAAACAACTTCCTCAAAGTAAATAAAACGTTCACAATCCAGCTAGGATAAAAGGATTTAAATCATTTCCTAGGTAGAGGGCTTTCAATTAGAGCCCCTGCTGCATTAACCATGGGAACTCATCTCACTCTCTTCATGATGGAGCCCTGAGTGTTGCTGCTAATCTGTACTCTACCATTCTAATGCTTTTAAGGTTCCTTTTCAGCCCTTCCTCCTCGTAATCCACAAATACTGAGACCAAGGCATTTTTTGGGTCAGTCCTAATTTCAAGCATTCTATCCTGCCCTCCCCAAATGAACTCACACTTATTAGACCATATGTTCCTATATTAGTTCAGGAAGGGGGAAAAAATGTTCATCACACTTGTATATAAGAGATCATAGAAAAACAGTTTACTAACCTGTGAAAATACCATTCATTCTCTGTTTACCTCTGGTCCACAGCTAAGCAATCAGTAGGATATAAATGTACCCTATGTTCACTATTCAGTATTCATAAGTATACTACTTATGAATTGGAAATCTGACACAACATTTACAAGACCTAATTTTGAAAATTTAAAATAGTGTAAGGCCCCTAGGCTTAATTTTACAGGGGAAAGATTAAAGGGACACAAGCAAACATATAGTCTCTCTCTGTGCTGTGGGACACTGGTAATTTTTTGACTTAAAATATTTGATACTTAAAATGCCAAACTTCTACATTTCTGCAGTAACAAGGCAGTTATCATATTGAATACCATTTCTTTCTCTCCAGTAAGTAGAGTTAATATTAGCACATGAACTGAAAATATTAAGTGATTATAAAAAAGTCCAAATAAATTCATTAAAATTTAGCTTGGCAAAATGTTAGTTTCATGTTCTTGGTAGAAGTCCTTTTATATTTATATTCAAATGAAATGAACAATTAACAAGCAAAGGAAATGGCATCAAATATTTGACACCCTGCCTCCCAAGGTGTATTGATTCATGCTTTTTGCTCAGATCTAGGTTTCTCCACTCAGGAAAAGAGGAGAATGTACCCATACTTGGGAAAACAAGTTTCCGATGGCACAGCTTTGATCAAACAGCAAAATTCTATCCATCTATGTATTGCCATCTGACAGTATGACAAATGGTCCCAAGTGTGATATTCACACTGCATTGCAGTCAAACCTGTAAGTCAAAGGATATGAAATAATAGTAACTATACATTAAGCACAGAAGAAAATGAAACAAACAAAAAGGTTTTAAACCAACCAAAAATATGTCTTATTTTGGATGTTCTATATGTTCTTACATTCTCTCAGGTCTTTTGTGTCATTATGAACACAATTCTAACAAGCTTGATTATTTTATTTCCATTCACATATTACAGGCAACAAGCTGAAAAAGTAGAACGGGGTGTAGAGAGACAGGACAAAGTACAGATTAGGGCTTGAAGTGCCCCTGACCAGTCGACAGCAACCACATGGAATAATGACTCATGTGCATTAATGATCACACTAAATGATATTTGTTTTTTACCTAGTCCTTCAACTGACAGCTTAAAGAACTTCAGGTTGTTCTGATTCTTGAGTCTCCTCTACAGCTTCAGAAAGGACTTTCATTTTATTTTGGATCAAATGCTCCACAACTAGTTGAAACTGGAATTAAATTTTATATGAAGTTCCTAGATGATTTAAAGCTGTAAGAAGAAGAATAATGAATCATAAGAAAACTTGCTGCTACAGATATCAAAAAGGAATGTTACCATCCCTCATGCTAATCCTTTTCATTTTAAATAAACAGGATCTAAAAAAAATAATGCTGGGAAGTCCTAACCACATCAAGAATGCCTCAGATCAGTGACCCAAGGAACCTTCCAGAATGGATGAAATAGACCCAAAGCTGAATTCACCTAATTTTAGGGCCAAAAACCCAAAAAACAAAACAAGACCAAAAAAATCTTCAGATACTGGGAGAACAAATCTCAATTGCTCAATTGTATCTTATGAAAACAATTTTTCAAAATAAAACAAGAGATATTTAAGATTCATTAAGTTCTTGTCATTTCAAATTTTAAGAAAAATATTTTCTAATGGAATTACATATATTTGTATGATTCTTCTAGTTATATCCATGGTAATAAATACTCTTTTCAGTTGGAAATAAAACCCATTTGTGCTATATTATTAGGGAAAATATCTACATAAATTAGTTTTTAATTTAACTAAAGTCTATCTTTTGAATTCATAAGCATAAAATTTTAACCACTTGCAAAATTTATAACACACTTAAGGTAGTCAGATGCCTTGTCAAGTAGTTTAACAAAAGTGATTTTCACCTGTTTGTTTTAATAACAGTGCATCGATTTTATGAAAATCAGGCATGCCCTCGGGTCCTAACAAAGTATACGAAGCTGAATGGATCTATGCCAAATATGCCAGATTTTACTTTCTGAGTCTGATTTTATACTTCTGTCCTCTTTCTTACCACATGGCTTCCAGTATCACTTACAGACTAACCCTTCAAAAGGAGAAGGCTAAGTTACTAACATTTGGAAGGCTTATGAAAGTGAAGCATAGTTATGAGCCAGCAATGTTTTTATTTATGGAATGTGTGCAAACCATACACTTAAGCAAGCTCTGGGGAATGAGAGTTGGGGGGAATCAACTGTTTTATTTGCTAATTGGTATTTCCTTTAAAAGATAGAGTTCTTCCAGATTTTAACTGTGTTAATAGTTACTCTAGAAAAATTGGAGATTTGTGTGCATATATTTTATGTTGTAAACAGACACATACCCAGAGACACTGAGAGAGACAGACAGACAGTAAACAGAGGAGCACTAACCACAAACGGTTTACAAATGACCTCTGTGCTCATTCACCTGTCTGTTCCCCACCTTGCCTTTTATAGCAACTATAGCAACAGCCATGAGAGTCATTGTGGAAAGAAATAAAATAAAATAAAAAAATCCTGGAAGCTTGTAAAGAATGTGAGCAAAGGGGAGGAAGTTGTGAAAAAAATGAATAAAGGGCACTGATCCAGAGTATTGAAGAAGGCAGAGTGGAGAGCCTAGTAATGAGTATCTGGTACCCCAGTATCCTCTCCCACAGAATCTGTACAGCTCTCCGTTTATGACAGTTTAAACTTAATTTAAATTATCAAACAGACACTTTCCTCAAACATATAAATGATGAGGCAGTTCATTCAGGCTGTATGTATAAAGTTGTTCCAGCCACCTTTTTCTAACGGCTTCTCTATATCTTTTACATGGAGACAATGAGAGATTTGCTTAGGACAATTTGACTGTAATTTAGAAGTAGGAAATGGGAAGTATTTGTATCTTCTTTGCCTAACTCACATTAGTTACTCAAGTAAGCATTTCTTCCGTTATTGCATTTTCCTGATTACAAGTTTTATGTTTTCTCTAAAACACATATCAAAAGAAATGTCCTAAGCACTATGCAGGGGGAAGCCATGACATTTATCCACCACTGTCAGCAAAAACATGAACTTAGCCCTCAACAGAATATTTCACTTCATTCTAGTGTTACCTCTGCGTCACCTGCACTGGAGTCACCACTTGCCTGTTGGGTAAGACCAGGATGCACCGCTGAAATAAAAAGGGGTCAGACAATACAAGAAAAGCCAGTAGAAATTGCCAAATGTATCAGAATACACACAGGCTTTCTAAGGATATGGCCCAAGAGGAAGGCTCTAGAGCCCACCCTGAAACAGGATTTTTGACTTCACAGAGAAATTATTTAATTTTCAATAACACAATTCAATTAAAGAAAGGGAAATACAAGGCTAAACAAATAAGAAATGAAGACAAAAACCCAACCTTTCAAATCTAAAGAAAATAATCTGTTTTAAAGACACAGATGAAGATCAGGAACCCAAAACAGAAGAAAGGAAAAGCAATTAACGCTGGCATCTGATAACAATGAAAAGTATGGAGTCTGGAGAATCGCTAGACTCTAAAAATTATAAAGGTTTAGACTTGGACTTTGTACACTGAAGAAAAGAAAACTGCATGCATTTATACTGACCAATGTACAATATTGCTGCTTTTTAACTTTTGTGTATATGTAGGGTAGATTTTTTTTTTAAGTGAAAGCAAGCTTATTAAGAAAGTAAAAGAATAAAAAGGTGGCTTCTCCATAGGCAGAAAACTAGCGTAGTTTTTTAATTAGAAATTGTTATTCAATAATAGTACATGTTACAAATAAATACCATTTTAAACTGAAAAAATTGTAGACTTTCAAATCAGTTAGGGTGGTCACCCTAAAAAAGGGCATTTTTCTCCCCTTAGTCTCCTTGTTCATGTTGCTCACAACAAGAAATGGGCTAATGCTATGAATAATAATAACAAACACTGCCTTCTGTCAGGCCCTGTGCTGAATACCGTCTGCATATGTATAGGAAAGGGTTAACTCAGCAGGTCTTGTTTGCCCAGACTGTGTACATTTCCAAGAAAGGTCTGCCTTTAGTACTGGTCCTTGGCCAGCTCCTGGAGAATGAGCTCTCAGCTTTTAGAAAATTCTATCTGCTGAGAATAGTTTTGCATGTCTCAGGTCTTGGGCCACAAAATATCAGTTTAATCAGATGGTTTATGTTAACAAGTATGATTTATGGCAAACATAGATCTCTAATCTCCATTTCTCTCTCATATATCTATATTTATCTATCCATATATATGTACCTATATATATCAAATATAAAGATATGTTTATAGCAATTGTATATACATAGAGAGATAGTATGTAGTATGAAGAGAGACATAGATATTATTCTTCATTTTAGAATGTTATCTTGGTATGTTTAAAAGGAAAAACTTAAGATGTGTTGCAATTGCAGTATGAGTTTCAGGTATGTACATGTTATGTGTGTGTGTGAGAGACACACACAAACACATTTCAAATATGTTTTATGTTTAAGCTCAATATTCAAACACAGAAATATAACATCTATTCTTAATATGTTTTATGTAAGTACAGCAGCAGCATTATTAAATACTGTATTTCTATGGTGATTGAAAATTAGTAGGCAGAGAATTTTTGTAATGGTTCTTAATAATTTTTGTAATAGTAAATGATTACTTTTTGTTTAGTATAGTTTTATAATCTATACATGAATAAAGTGGATATTTCTATTCATATAGAAATGTGATTTACTCTCATGTACTTATCTACATGCTAAAACCATAAGTTATCAATTTTAGTTCTGTGCCAAGGCACTTTTACTGAATAAAAATAATCAGCTAATTTTATATTTTCCTGATTCAAATTTATATGCCCGTGTAATGTTCCGGGGTTTTTTTTTTTTTAATTTCTGTAAATCAGAATATTCAGATGTTGAAAAAGTCTTTGCCTTCAGATTTAAAAGATACCTTTGAAATGTAGCATATCCCAAAATGCAACCCAGAGGCTGGCAATGTCAACATTTTTCTGTTTTAAAAAACCTCTTATGAAAACTATTGCCATACTAAATTTTTTACTTGCTGATGACTTACAGCTGGAAAGGATTCTGTACATATAAGACATCAAATATTGAGGATACTGGAACTTTTAAATTAATGGCAAAGAAAGTCAACAAAGGAAGTTCATATGAAATCAAACTAGTAATATGATTACAAAAAAAAAAGTTTAAAATTTTTCTTGGCCCCAGTCTTATCATTTCTGAGCCAAATACAATTCTATCGAAATCACCTGAAACTGAAATCACCATTCTAGGCTGGTTTTCCCATAAAGATGGACTGCTCCAAAAAGAGGAATCAAGAAAGAATTTGGCTCACAGTGAATTATTCACTTTGTCTTAGTTAACTAAAAATAAAATCTGACTGTTAACTACAGAAATCATTTCAAATACTGTGGTGATAATAAAGTAATGACTGCTTTTCAGCTGGAGGGACTTTTTTTTTTTTTTTGCTGCATATATAGCTGTGGTACATTTTAATGTGAAATGATGACTGCATCAGCTTATATCCATGGAGCAGATTTTAGCATTCAGCTTGGGTCTCCCAGTCAATATCTACGAGTCTCTTCTTAAGGAGATCGATGACACAGATACATACAGACTAACAAATGTGATACCAATAATCAAGAATTCACTCAGTTAAGATTTTGCCCACTGATTTCCACACAAGAAACCTAGAATTTACTAGATTCTTGTGCCTGTGAGGCTCCACTCGTTTCCCTGAATCACAAAAGCTACAGAGTATTTAGATAGAAATATACCTACTCTTAACATGAACCATTTTAAATATATGTATTACTGTGTCCACAGGAGTACACTTTAAAGCAGGAACTTCACTCTTCAATCTCTCCAATCATGTGTTCCCTAAAGTGGCATGTGGTTCCCTAAAGCTTAATAACTGACATTGCCTTAAAAAAGGGGTTTGCTTCCCGACTAATGTGGAAAAAGTCTGAAAAATGATTTTAAATCTTTCACTAAATTTCTCATTTGGTCACGTGGAGGAAAATGATTTCACCAAATAGATACTCTCATTAATTTTTTAATGTAATTTATCAAAGAAATGAAATATTTAGATAAATTCCAGATTTCCCCCACCATGAGCTTCTCCGAAAGTATACTCCATCACAGACTGCTCACTAAGAAGCTCTACTGCAGTCAAAGTGACCGAATTTAAGGGGACATAATGACTACTTCTGCTACACAGAAACATTATCCATCTCTAACACTTCCCTATGAGACGGAAGACGGACTTCTAATCAGGTACCAGAGAGGGCTCTGCCAACTTCAGGGCTTTGATGAATAAGAATGGTTGAGAGCGCTCATCATAAATGAATTCAGTATAACTGAGTGAGAAAGTGAGAGAACCAGAGAAATAAATCCTCATGTAGAAAATTTAGGGGCATGAAATGCCAAATGCCAGTTAACCAAAGCTTTCTTTGTCATAAAGCAACTTCTATAAAAATTGCTGAAAATAAATTCTTCATGGCTCAATGTGAACCAGTAATTTCCATTTCTATTACACTGTTGTTTACCCAAAAACTATTTTTAATGACTAAGACTCAGAGTTTGCCAGAGTGTTTTCCACAAAACAACTGTTTTGAGATACTCCAGATCTGTAATCAAGTAAGTCTGAAAAACCCCAAATACCTCACTCACCTCTTGGATATGCATAAAGCACACTAATATATAACGTTCTAAAAAGCCAATCATTAAAACTGTTTTATATTGTTTAAGCATTTCCTAGACATATTTGGCTACAAATCTAACATCTAATTAAACAGTTTGGGAAATGCCATCACATAATGTAGGAATATTACTAGTCATTTAAGAAACTAGAAAATATTTACTATATTCTAGGCAGTTGGCTAGCAGTTGGAGTTCTAGTCTCTAAACAAAATACTGACTTATTTCTGTGACTTTTTTCTTTTAAGCAGCTCTGTGCTTCACAATTTTTTTTTCCTGGTTTGTTTTCCACTTTTGTCTGTACTTTATTCCTTCACAGATGTGAAAGGCTAACAAAAGTAAACTAGTTATATTAATCAGCCTCTGCCTCAGTTCTACACTTCAAATACAGTATATACTCTATCAACAATTCTTGGATAATAACAACCTGTACTTGTTTTTCAAACAATAAAACAGGCCGGGCACCGTGGCTGGCTCACGCCCATAATCCCAACACTTTGGGAGGCCGAGGCGGGCGGATCACCTGAGGCCAATATGGTGAATTCTCGTCTCGACTAAAAATACAAAATAATTAGCTGGCCGTGGCGGTGTGTGCCTGTAATCCCAGTTACTTGAGAGACTGAGACGAGAGAATCGCTTGAACCCGGGGGGCAGAGGTTGCAGTGAGCCAAGATCACACCACTGCACTCCAGCCTGGGCAACAAGAGCGAAAACTCCATCTTAAAAATAAAATAAATAATAAAACAATGATGAAAACACAACTAACTACAGCACTTCAGAGTTAGTTGACAAATCCACCTTTTCAATCTACATTTCAAAATGTTCAGAAAGACACCATCCTAGGGGAAGTCAACCAGCAGCAACCTCTCTGCTAATTTTTGTACACAGAAACTTGACCTGACTGCACAAAGATTTCAATAGATGTCTCCCTCTAAAATTAATATTGGATGATTTGTCATCTTCCATTTAATACCAAAAGGGTATCAGCCACAAACTGAAATATCACTCATATGCAAATAAATAACATTCAAGACTTTTATCGTTGTGGTTATTAATCTTGTAATGGATGGACATAAATCTATTTACATTCTCATCCTATCCTCAAATTTCACTATCCTCTCCTCTCATTCTTACTTTGTTCTACTCATATTCTCACTCTATCCTCCTATGCATAAAATATTATGTATTCTAATGAACAGAGATACCATTCGTGGGCAAGGAAAAAACACAATGAACTGCTCTTTATAATAAAAAACCATGATCTTGACACAGATGTTATCAATCAATAAACTTTACACAGCTTTACACTAAATTAATGCAAACTGCTGATGAGTGGGTGGGGGGTGGTCACTAAGCAAACAGAAGCATGTAGGTGTTAGGAAGCACGAGAAACATATATCAGTGGGTAGGGAAGGCAGCTCTCAAAGGCCAAGAATATAAGTTTTAGGTCTATATGGAAAAAGCTGTGGTCACATTCGAAGGCTTCTGAACAGAAGAATGATTAATTTCATGCTTAAAGAGTTCATGTGTAAATAAACTGGATGGATAAGAAACTCAAAATCAAGAATTTTAAGACACTGGGTTAAGGTGATTGAGCTAAGTCAAAGCCAACAGGGCATGGGCTAAATATTGACATGGGATGGGATGAAGAGGCCAACAATGTTTCAAAGCAGAGGTTGCCGGAGCTTCAGGAACCAGAAGAGGAAGACTTGAGGTGAAATCTGAAACTGCAATCCCCATGCCTGGCTCAAAAGATGTGATACTGACTAGGAAAAGGCTGGAGAGAGAAGCTTCTTTTAAAGAGGTAATAAGGGATTGTTTTGATGTGCTGGGTTGAGGTGAAAATGACAAATATTCAGGTGGAAGTGTCCAGCATTCAAGTAGGATAACTTGGAACAGAAAGCCCAAATTATGTCATGGTGAAATGAGGATAATGTCTTATTAATAAAAACACGTCTTACTAGTCTTTCCTGGGGAACATGAAAGATAGAATTTCAGAAATTTAGAGAATGAAAAAGGAAAGATTACAAGGCAATAAGTTGATTAAAATAGACTAAAATAAACTAATCAGTGGCAGCTATCTTAAAGCAAGATATATCTTCTACAGCACGATCTACCCAAATGCAAATCTGGGCAGAGAAATACAAAATATTTTTAGGACTGACAAAATTTCAGCTATATGTCTTTTTAAAAATGCTGCAGAGAGAAATTTAGATGGATTGGACAAATATTCGCATAAGGATTCCACAGCCAACGTACACAATTTTCCAACTACTATGGTTAGCACTGGGCTCAGGCACTACCTTTACCAACCAGCAGATTTTCAGTATTGCCCCTGGCAGACATCCCATTAGCAATCTCTCCCCATTCCCAAACATTCCCAACTATTCTAGTCATGCCAATTCAACCAATGTCCCTTAAGCCTTACATAAACATTGACTTACACCGAAATGTATCCTATGGCTCTTACTAACTGTAACTTACTTAAATCACCCAAGCCTCTGTTTTCCCTGCTATAAAATGTAAAATAGCTGACAAAATACCTATTTGTATTTTTTGGAAACACGGGATAAAGCAAGGCAAGCAAAAAGAACAGCAGAGACAATGCTTAATAAATATCCTAGTAGGATCACCTTAATCCATGAAGAAAATGGAGTTTAATTTTTTTAATACAAAAAAACTCAATGAAGTTATACTTACGTTAAATTGGTGGTTATTTTAGTTCAGTGGTTTTAAAACTCAACAATGAAACTTTTCAAAAAGAGTTGTTATACAGAACAGAAAAAAGCAGCCACAATTTTAAAAAAGATATGAAGACCCAGATTCTCACTAACTCATTCAGCTCCCTTCATACTCCCTCCCCACAGCCACCCCAGCTCCTGAGGCAGGTTCCCAGGGCTCCAAGGAACATACTTTTAAAAAATCAGTATTTTGAATACATAATAAGTGATGTAACTTAAAAGTATGGTGAGAAAGTCCCATTGCCAAGAGAAACATGTTAATTTAATTTTTTATTTAAAAAATCATCACTCGTTTCATTGTGACATCTTGAAGAACGCTGAATGGCTTCAAAATAACTGCATATGCCAAGATTTCTGGAGTGGGCACGTTTGATCTTCTTTCATAATGAAAACTGACAAACCTTTTTAAGGGGATAGTATTGTTTCTTCACTCTCCCCCCTCCTCACCCCTGCACACACATACATTTCTCCTTCCTGGGGAACTCCAAAGAAAACAAAGGCCCTTTAGCAATCAAGTAGATTGTCTCTCTTGATGGCATCCCATGAGTTATGGAATTACATACTGCAGGCCCAGGTGGATTAGGGCCCCTAGAAAGTTTGCTTGATCAACAGAGTGCTGTTGATTTTTTCAACTGAATTAATTACTCTTGGAGTCCAAACTCTCCAGTGTGCCACAGTCCTCATCACTTCCTGTATCTTAAATATTGCATTATCTGTCCCCTAAAAGTATTTGAACATGTGACCCAGAGAAGGGGACTTACAACTTGACTAGGCAACTTCTGTCACACTGGATTCATATGAAATTCCACTGCAAGTGACATCACCAGATTGGGGACCCTGAAGTGTTTGAGTATCTTCTCCACATCTGGTCATTTAGGCTAAGAAATTCCTTCTTGTCTACCAGGTCTTTTAGCATTCATTTTGTAAGTCATTCAACACCTACTTACTGAGAAGGAATACTGGGCTAGACAGTGTGCTAGGGGCTGGGGAAACCGCAATGCATAGGAGAGAATTCCCATCTCCAAGAGGCTCACAGTCAAACAGACATAAATAGGTGATTACAATACACACTAACAACATAGTTTTAGAAACAACTAGCAGAATTATATAGACGAAGATGCCAGGAAATGCTTCTCAGAGAATCTGGCTTGGCAAATATCTCAACAAAGAGGGCTGAGCAGGGATGAGCCGAAGGAGAGGATGGAAAGTAGGTTGTGGGTGAGTTTTCCAGGCAGCATGTGCAAAGGTCCAGGAGAAAGAGGAAGGAGCCTGTACTTGGAGGAATATTCGATTACTATTATCAGTGTCACACTTGCTATTCATCTAGACAGAAGCTCCTGAAACAAAAAGGATACACTTCAAAAGATGCCAATATATCCATGACCACACAAAAGAGTGTCTAGTCATATAATAAAGGGTGTACATATGCAGGCAACTCACATCCTGCCAAATATTAAATTTCTAATTTTATTATAATTTCAAATAAAACATTAGATTTATTATTATACAGAGTCATACTCCTTGACTGGGAAACTCTCAACTCAATAAACATTCTTTAGTCTCATGTCTTTTCTAAAGGAAAGAAATTAATGTTATATTCTTGGGTGAAAAAAAATGTGAGGTCTCAAAAGAGTATAATACAATTTGGGGATGCATATATATTTTACATGTATATAGACACATAAAAATCTAAAAGAATAAATTTTAATATGTTAACAGAAGACAGAAGTCATGTATTTTTTACTTTCTTCTTTTTGGCATATCTCTTTTTCTAACTTTTTTTTTTTCTTTTTACAAAAAACAATTGTTATTTGTGTACTTTTAAAACCTCACAGTAATATTTTCACACTACCTTCTTGGCTGAAAGTTCACACTCGGAATTCCAGAGCAGTCCATGGCCAGGCCCACTGGGCTCCCCTTGCTCTCTCCTTGGCTTTGGTAACCACTGGCCCCAGGGACTCAGCCTGCTTTCCTATCCATCCCCTCAGTAGCTGTCACCATGCAGGTTACCCCTTCTGTTTCTTCTACCACTAACTCCATGTCTGACTGCAAGTGAAAGGAACAGAAGCCCAAACCTTTGGGTTTTAAGGAGTTTATTGCTAATCTGTAAAACAGAAAGAGACAGGAGATAAGCATGACAAAATATAGGGAAGAAATGACTTTTGCCTAAACTTCCAAATTGTGTACAATTGAAGCCTCTGCTTTATAGCTCTTAGCACACCTCTCAAATAAGAAGGCAGTACTGGGAAGGCTCTGAACCTGTGGCAGAACCACTGATAGCTGTGGAGCTATTCCAAGGAGTCTGGGAATCAGGGGGATTATCAAGATCATTGTTAGAATAAATTAATCTTACTGTATATATAGCAGAAGTTTTCAAGCATATGTAAATGCTACTAATAACCAAATAATTACACCTTGTTTTTCTTTAAACTGTAACTCTCAAGTATGTCTCTACATAATTTTTTGATGGTAGTGTCTGCATGCTCAAAAAGCTTGAAAACACTACTGGAGAAGAAGGTCTCGGGAGTGTGATGAAATACGTTTACATGGCAGCTTCATCATTTAATTGGTGAAAGTGACTATGTGTCTTAAACTCTCTGAGCCTCAGTTTGCACATCCAAAAGCAAGGATATAATGCCATGAACCTTTCCACCTCAAGTCCACAAGGCAGAATAGCAAGATGTTAACTGCCACTCTGAGGACCACCAAATAAAAGGACAATTTATTAGGCCACTTGCCAGCATGGACACAATCGACTCTTGGCATTTCTTATTATCCACAGAAAAATTAAAAGTATAAATGTAGAACAAAATTATCGTGTTTTTTTTAATAGTAACATGTAAGATCAATCTTTGTCTTTAAAATACCGTGTATCTCATTCTTGGAAAGCGTCAAAATGAAAATGGTATAGTAAGTTTTACCTACAACTTGAATTAAAATTATTCTTGAAATATGTTCTGAATGGTTAGATGAAATGGTAATTAAATACAAATAGAGATAATCATATACTCTCTCTCCATAAGGCTCCCACCTCCTTCAATGAAGTCTAGTTCACCTAAAATGACACTATTAACATTAATTCAATATTCTAAGTTGATAAGCACATTAAATCAAAACACAGCAAGATTATTTTAAGAGTCTGACTGAAATGTCAGGATGAGAAATAGATTAATAAATATTGGCTTCTAATGTTGGTAATGAAAACAAACACGTTATTTTCAGAAAATAAAAGGTCTTCGCCATTAGGTACAAATCATAAAGGGATTATCTACAGTTACTACACTGTAACAACTTTTTACATATTGTATTATAGAACAAGCTTTTGAGAAGACAAAGCAACACATCAGCAGTTTAACCAATTGTCTTTCTCTTTTAACAGGCTGGTCTACATTAGATTAGATATAAAAGGCCCAGGTATTACTTGTGTTCGATCTTAGCCAAATGGCTGAGAAACATCCAGGTACATTTAAGTCAGTGACAAAAGAAAACACTATCCCTTAGTAAAATTACATAAAATAGGAAACATCTCTTACTTTAAGAGCAACCATGGTACTTGTTCCTATGGTGAAAACTGATGTTATCTCGATTAGTTAATTATTCATCCCAACACCTGGTCTTGCTCCCTTTTCCACCTCTAGCTATGTTAACAATAGAGTTCAGTAATTTGCTGATAAAGAATCTTAACTGCAGTATCTAACAGACCTTAGTGATTAAGCATATGACTTACCCTTTGTACAGAAGTAAACTGAGGCCAAAAGAACTGAGGTATCTTATTAAAAATCAGAGAGCTAGTTAGTTGAAAAGTCCACCTGTCCTTCCTTTCCACATGTCTCACCAGAAAAACAGCAATGGTGAAAAGTCAACTCTGTTTTTAATGGGCCACTTTGTATATTTTAACTGTTAAAATAATCCAAGAGGATAGTAGTCATATACGAAGATCCTTTAGATATAATGTGTAGGACCAGCATTAATTTAATCAACCAAGTCTCCTCTCATTGAATTGTTAATTCATAATTACAAAGATGACATTACAGTAAATTAAGAAATACTGTAATTTCATTCTCTCCAAAAAGTATACATTGAAGTTTGGTGAATACTGTTATATTTTCAACTAATAAATCAATGTGCCAATTCTGGGTCTTAGGCATATTGTATATACTGGAATGATATTCACTTTAATTAAATTTGTTTTGAGATGTAGAATGTAATACAGATCCTACGTGTTTTTAAAAGTTCACATCAATTTCAAGCTTTTAAAAATGTATGTACACAAGAAAGCTTCTTTTGCAATTTATATGTTTACAAATGTTGCCATTAGCTAAGCTATATTTTGGAATGTGATCAAACAATATTGAATGTCAAGTCTTAACAGCAGGGCTGGTCTAAGGAATTCCCTCTAAGCTAAATCTGATCCTTTCATATGTGGCTACTGCTCTTTTAAACTACTGTATCCCTAAAGGGCTAAAAGGAAGAAAATCCTAACTTAATAAGTGAAGGCAGCAAGGCATAGTATTTGAATGGCTACCTTTCATTTTAACTCTACTTCTTAAATTCAAAATTGGATTTGGGTTTGTTTCAAGTTGTTCACAATTTACTAACGAAATGTGCATCTCTCATTCTTCCCCCAAAAGAAAGAAGTCATCCACTCCAGCTACATATAAGTCTCCAATTTCTGTCTTACAACTAAACGTGAAAACCGAAATACCACTCATTGAAAAAAAAAATGTACAGAGAATTGGCAGGCTGCATGTTTATGTGAACCTTCAGAAAACATGGAAACACGCAGCCCCAACTCACCAGGAAAATCAACACTTGTGATCAAACTATTTTGTGACATTTTATGTCTTTTATACATTTCACTTCATATCCAGTATTCCAGTTTTGCACCGGCTTGCCTGTATCAACCCCAAATCGCCTGAGAGCAATCTAGTACTGTAGCAGAACCGTTTCAACATGAAGAGTTCTGCTCATCGCCTGTGGCGTGGTCTTCGAAACACCTGAATCAAACATTGATTCCCCTCTCCCTGCTATTTAAAACCGAGGGACGTCAGGCTTGGGTTGTAGGTAAAGAAAAGCCACAGTAATCAAACAAGCAACCAAAATACCCGAACACGGAACACGCTAAGAACAAAGGAAACACAAGAGTGTGAACAGGAAATGAAGCAACTCTACACCCATAAATACCTTCTGGGGCCGCCAACATAGGTAAAAGTAAAGGTGGAGTCTGAGTATCTGAAATCTGAAACAGAAAGTCCTGTCAAAAGCTACCCCTGGAGTGGATTTGTTTTAACCCCGATCAGGACTTGGGCCCTCCATTTGGTGGAGTCAGGGGAGGCCTGGCCGGGCGGGAGGCGAGGGCTAGAGGGCGGCGAGGTCTCTCCGCGCAGCGTCCGAGGGGATGCGGCGCGCCCCCGACTGGGTGCAGCGGCAGGCCGCCCCCGGCAGCAAGTGCCGGGTGCCATGGCAACGGCGGGAATTTCCCGGTCGGGGAGGCCGGAAGCAGCCCCAGCCGGGCTCGCGGCAGCGAAAGCAAAATCCGATCTCTCTCCCGGGGGAGCAAAATGGACGAAAGGCGACCCCCCAGGCAGGGGCGCTGGGTGCCTTGGGAATCCGAGGAATCCCTTCTCTTTGCCAGTCGGAGGGGACTAGATGGAGCCGAAGGGGCCGGAGATGGGCCGAGCGCTGCCCCCCGGGGGTCCTCGGCGCCGGGCGCAGCTTAGGAGCGCAGCGCAGCAGGCTCCATTCCCGGCCGCCGCCGCTCAGCCCATTACGCAAACCTGGCGGGTCCAACCAACCCCGCTCTGCCGCCGCTGCTGGAACCCAGGAGGCGTGCTTGCAGGCTTCGGGCACT
Source organism: Homo sapiens (assembly GCF_000001405.40). Lineage (NCBI taxonomy): Eukaryota > Metazoa > Chordata > Mammalia > Primates > Hominidae > Homo > Homo sapiens. Next base: position 149,607,849 of record NC_000001.11, on the reverse strand, counting down.
ACGCGGGGCTGGAAATACCACGCACTGCCCCTTCGCCTAGACCCCCGCTCGGGCCACGCGGGTTCTGCCCTCAAAGCTGGTAGCTGCCCCATACTTGGGGGTGGGGGGAGGGGAAGGGGCGAGGCTGGCGCCCCCTCCCGCTTTTGGCTCCCGCGTTCGTTGCAGCAGCTGTTGCCAAATGAACCCCGGAATGCGGACGTGCAAACCCTCCACCCCACCCCCAGCCACACACGTCGCGGTCGGAGAACTGAGAAAGGGGCGCTGGGTCCGAGGTTCTGGAAAAGCAAGAACTCACCTGCAAACAGGCAGTCCTCAGCTCTGGACTTCTGGATCACGACGTCGATATCCTTCTGAATTCGGTCTTGCCTTGAACACATCCCCATTAAATAAATCCTTGGAAAAGAAGCAGCCGCTATTTCCACCCCACCCCCCTCGCACGCTTTCAGCTTTCGTAAATATTCAGTTAAAAATGAAACCTCTGGCCGAGGCAGGGGCTGAAGGCCAAGTGGTTTTGGAAGTGATCCTGGGTGAGAGGAGGAGGAGGAGGAGGAGGAGGAGGAGGAGGAGGTGGAGGAGGAGGGGGAGGTCGGCTTTCCATTTCCAGATGTTACCGTCCAGCTGCTGCTCGCCGCTGCTGGATTCCAGTTTCCTCCCCTTCTGGCGATGGATTGGTGATGACACCGAGTCTCACTTTCTCCTTCCCCCGCCCGGACCAACCGCCGTGGGGGGCCGAGGGTGCCGGGGACGGCCGGAGAGCGATCACCGGCTGGGCGGCGGGAGCCGACGAGGGGCGAGCCCCGCTCCGGCTCAAGCGCGCACACCCCTCACGGCCCGCACTCCGGCCTTCCACACCCGTGCACACTCTCGCCCGCGGGCGGCGGCAGCCGTGCCCAGGCTGCTGCAGCGCCACCCGCCCGCCGCGGACCCTCCGCGCCCTCCGCCTAGTCACCCGGCCCGGCCGCGGGCCGCCGGGGCTCGCAGAGTGTCAGCCATCCCGGGCAGGAGTCGCGTCTCCCCACCCCGACCTCCACTCGCGCCGGGAGCTGAGCGGCAGTGTAGGTAGTGAAGACTCCCTGGGGCTCCCAGCCTTCCCTCTCCGCGCTCTCCCCCCGTCACTTTTATGAATTCGACTCCACTTTCTAAAGGAATTATGAGTCTTGTGGCAAACACAAACCGGAGTGGCCGGGAGGGGGAAAAGGGGGGAAAAGAAAATCTTTAAAAATTAAAAAAATAATAAAACGAACAAATCTCTACTTGTTGCCACATCAGATAACACGGAAAAAGCCTTGAAATTACTCCAGATGTGCACCCTCCCCTTCCCTCAGTGCCTGAGTCTTTTTCTTCCAGATCGAAGTATTTCAGCCCTTTTGGGGCGCCGTTTGCGAAACACAGCCCCTTTTGAGGGACTTCCTCCTCTTGAAAAGACTCACCAGTTCTCCCTTCCTAGGTGTTTCTGTTCATGAGAAATTGTCAGAATCAACTGGCACGTTCCAGGGTCTTCCTAAAGGATGGAAACCTGTTTGGCTTGCTTTTTAAAACCACCTCCTTTGACAGTCAGCCCAGGGAAAGCTACAATCCAGGTTTTCAGAAATGAGATACTGCTCTGATTCTCACTTTCTGTTCTGCCTAAGGACACCTCAGGCTGACGTAGCTGCCCCACCTCTATATTGGTTTATGCCCTAGGAGGGGTCTCCAGCAGGCACTTTTCTTGTTGATCTTTTCTCCGCTGAGAAGGCTCCCGCCAGTAGACCATGACTCGTTTTGCTTTGCATTCTCAGTGCCACGTACAGTGCCTGGAATACAGGAGGGTGGCCTAAATGTTGGCTGAATGCATGAATGGTCATTTCTTGCAGCCTCTTTTCATTACCCTGTCTCATCAGCTTTCTTATCAGAATAAGTGCCCAAGAGTGCCAAACGGTTTCAGACCCTTAATCAATTTAGTTCTGATTCTGACCGTGACAACATGATGTTCAGCACGGTAGGAATGACTGCCATCTCTGAAGGAGTCTTAAGATTCTGTAGAATCAGTGAAAGATTCTATGTTCTAACGCCTTTATCTTTCAGGAAAGAAATTACAAAATAGTTTCATTGTCCAGTCATATTCACTATGAGTTATAAGAGGAAACATTCTATCTAGAATTAGAAATACCATTTGACCCAGCCATCCCATTACTGGGTATGTACCCAAAGGACTATAAATCATGCTGCTATAAAGACACATGCACACGTATGTTTATTGCGGCACTATTCACAATAGCAAAGACTTGGAACCAACCCAAATGTCCAACAATGATAGACTGGATTAAGAAAATGTGGCACATATACACCAGGGAATACTATGCAGCCATAAAAAAGGATGAGTTCATGTCCTTTGTAGGGACATAGATGAAATTGGAAATCATCATTCTCAGTAAACTATCGCAAGAACAAAAAACCAAACACCGCATATTCTCACTTATAGGTGGGAATTGAACAATGAGAACACATGGACACAGGAAGGGGAACATCACACTCTGGGGACTGTTGTGGGTTGTGGGGAGGGGGGAGGGATATCACTGGGAGATATACCTAATGCTAGATGACGAGTTAGTGGGTGCAGCGCACCAGCATGGCGCATGTATGCATATGTAACTAACCTGCACATTGTGCACATGTACCCTAAAACTTAAAGTATAATAATAATAAATTTAAAAAAAAGAACAAAACATCACATTGTACCACATAAAAAAAAAAAAGTTGGATTTTGCAAGGAAGATAGACATCTGAATAAAGTTTGGCCAAGCAAGGAATCTTTGTTAGTACTACTTCTTGTTTAAGGAAAGAAGAGACACTCATCTTTCCTTCAAACAATATAAGTCTCTTTTCTTGTTTGATCACCTTTTATTCATTAAGAACCAGTTGAATCATCTGTTGGGACTTGGTAGCAGAGGATATTTCCTGGATAGTGTGAGCTATCAAGCCTTTAATGTGGGAAGTTTAGTTTCTATAAAAATAAAATTAAAAAAGATTAATAGTTGGAACGAACTATAAAGACAGTTTCTGAGCCCAGAGGGCAGCTGATCAATAAGATTTCTAGATGCTGGGCTTGTAGTATCTTCAGCTGGAGTGAGAAGAGGCATTGGATTAGTTTGCAGTTTGAATGCCATAAAGATGGGCCACACACAAGCTGTTGTGGTAATTTTTCTGAAGCTTATGTCAAGTCATCCAGTTTCAGTTTGAAGGACTTCAAGAAATGAAAAGTTTATAATTTTAGTGATTCCAAGCCAGAATAGCAGGAAAAAAATGAAATATTAATTTGGAGTGTTGTAGCTAAATATTGTAGTAAACTAGAAAAATTGAGGATCTATTGCAGATTGCAGGCAGATAATAAAACCTCAGAAAAAAAAAAACAGCTAGAATCTAATATTGGGTGCACTGCAGTTTTCTCCCGAAACATAACTTTTCTCTCTATATTCACTCTCATTTCTGTCAAAGATAATCAAAGTCAGATTGATTTGTTTGCTAAATAAGTTTAATCTCATTAAACTTGTACTGGTTATGTACACAAGTGCAGTTAAGAGTAGTGATTGACCATTTAGGCTCTTCTAAAGGTTGCGTTTGTCAGATAAGAAATCTCAGATTAAACTTTTTGTTTTTGTTTTTTTAGACAGAGTCTCCCTCTGTCTCTCAGGCTGGAGTGCAGTGGTGCGATCTTGGCTCACTGCAACCTCCGCCTCCTGGGTTCAAGCGATTCTTCTGCTCAGCCTCCCGAGTAGCTGGGATTATAGGTGCGTGCCACTATGCCTGGCTCATTTTTTGTATTTTTAGTAGAGACAGGGCTTTCACCATATTGGTCAGGCTGGTCTTGAACTCCTGACCTCGTCATCCACCTGACTTGGCCTCCCAAAGTGCTGGGATTACAGGGGTGAGCCACTGTCTCCAGTCAGATTAAACTTTTAAAAGCCACTTGAGGCTGGGATACAAGCCCAAAACTTGTCATTAGTCTGCACCTGTTACATTTATAGATTTAGATAAATTTCTCTCTTCTTGAGGTCCCTAAAATATCCCAAGGTTTCCAGACCTGCCAAGCAGTGACATTCTTTACTTACCTGTAAGTCTGGGAACCCTAGAGCCAGTTTTTCCAAGATGGTACTTTATTGGTTCCATAAAGCCAACCTTAGTCCCCTAAAGCCTTCTGGTCATATCTGAAAACATGATGTTTCAGTCAAAGCCTTGGTGATATAACCTGTGTTTCCAGTTTGTCCTGTTACAAAGACAACAGATTCTTATTAAACTTATGCAAATAAATACATTGCCATAAAAATAAGAATATGCACAAATAGTTTCCAAATTCTGGAGGGATAAGTTAGGGAGAAAAAGTAAATGTTTCCATTTTGCACAAAAGTATTCTTTACTGAATTGGTGTAAGCTAGAGATAGCTTAAAAGAAAGTTTTCTGAAATCTGGAAAACAAAACATTTAAAGAACTAGCAATGTTTCCAACAAAAAGTCATTTTAAAAATTATTCTCATCAGTTCATTCAGTACCATGTAATTAAATCTTGTTTTGCTTGATCTTGGGTTAGTAGTTACATGAACCCGTCAGTTTTATTAGAGTTCTGGAAATTCTTACCAGTCCAATTGTATGACGTTAAAGTTGTTCAGAAACCTGTATTCCAGAATACTCATAAGAGTATTTTCCATAAATCTCCTTGAAGAAGAAGCCATTTTGGACTGTAGCTAATTTCAAATGCTTTTAGAGAACAATTAAATTAAAACAATAACTGTCTACAGATGACAAGGACTTAAAGTGTCCATGGTTAAAAAATTTAATGAGAGTTCATTACAATGATGCAATTTATAAGAAAATTTGGTTAGCATGGCATACAGCATTTTAACATAATAACCAAAATTATGACTGATAACATACTAGATTTCTAGGAATCTCATACAACTTTTGTACACTTATCCCAATAATATATCCATAAATATAACTTAAAGATGGCTTAGCATCACTTTTTATTTGAATGTTACACATATAATTTAGCATATTAAATAAATCTAATTGGTTTAATCTCTCTTTCATACAAAAAAAAATATACTTTGTGGCTTTCTGAGGGTCCAATATGGAGAATCCTAAGTTAATTTGAGGTCAAAAAGACTTAACTTAGAATGTGATTTTGGGAAGATTGTCAAAAATGTCAAAAAGTTTAAAACATTTAAAACAAATATGACCATAGTTATCTATTTAATAAAAGCTCCATTAAAAGATTTTAAAGGCAAATTCAGATTACATAGTTGTGAACAAGAACTTAGCTCCTTTAATATTGAGAAGACTCACTTTTCTTAAGTAACCAAAAACCTAATAAAACAACATGAAACTCAAGAAATTATCTTGATGAAACAGAGTCTCTGTTTCTGAGGCCAATTACTGAAAAGGAAAAAAATACCCTTTACATTCTCAGACCAACATTCCAAGAAAACTTTACCATTTTAACGGAGAAGATCAAATTCTACTTTTGAATCAATGTATTACTAAAACTAAGTTTTAATAAAACCTTATAAATAAATCTATCCAATCTCAGTCAGCTTAGACCATACAAGATAAGATTTTCACAATCCTTCTAGACATCTTTTCTTATTTACTTTTGCAACAGACATACACCAGACAATTAAGCAATTTACTTTTACTACATATTCTACTCTTAGGTTGAATTTATGGTTTTATGGCCTTAAACATCTAACAGTAACAACACAAACTTGTCTAATCAGCAAAGCCAGGTAAAACAAGTGTATGCTGACAATTCTGAAAATGTTTCTATTTTTATTTTACCAATATTTTTTAAACTAGTTTTCATTTACTAAGGAATATCCCAGATTATGTGAACTTAAAAAAAATTGGGTCAGTTTCTACTTTTCTGAAAATTTTATACATTCTTATTTGTTTGAGTGCTCATTTATCCCTAGCCAATTTGGGTATTTTAGTTTGGTAATAACGTTGGAAGTAGAAAAATATCACATATACATAACATAATAACATAGATACACACATGTACACATACACAAACATATAGACTGATGTAACCAGATCTTATGACTTCTCATTTAAAAAATTTTAACCAGGCCAGGTGCAGTGGCTCATGCCTGTAATCCCAGCACTTTGGGAGGCTGAGGTGGGTGGATCACCTGAGGTCAGGAGTTCGAGACCAGCCTGGCCAATATGGCATAACCCCGTCTCTACTAAAAATACAAAAATTAGCTGGGCGTGGGGCATGGTGGCGCCCGGCTGAGGCACAAGAAGCACTTGAACCCAGGAGGTGGAGGTTGCAGTGAGCCGAGATTGCCCCGCTGCACTCCAGCCTGAGCAATGAAGTGAGACTCTGTCTCAAAAAAAAAAAAAAAAAAAAAAAAAAAAAAAGTTTTTAACCATGAGGCAGTAAAACAGAGTAATACAAAAATACAAACTCACTGGTTTATCTCCGCTTTATATTGTTATCCAAATTGTGTTTCTGGTGAAAAAGGGATAAGTTGAGTTGACCTACATAACAAAGGCTAAAGCTTTTTACCAATATTTTTGGAGGAGGTTTTTTAAGATTTTTTTTTTTTTTTTTACTTTATCAGTTTCCAAACAGTTTCTTTTTTTCTCCTATTATCAGCCCCAGGTGCTTGTTTTTGAGGGGCCTCTGAGTCCCTTGAGAGCCCCCTCAAAGGAGGGTAGGATAGGGGTCCTGAAGTTCAGCAGAAAAGAAACGGGTCTGGCAAGAGTGGACAGAGAAATAGTCAGCAGAGACTTGAGAAGAGGGGTTTCAGGTGACAGAGCTCCCATGGGAGAAGCAGGATCCAATAGAGAGAAGAGAAAGAGCAGAGTGGTTTTATAGAGAGCCAGGAAGAACAATTTGTAGCCCAGGGAATCAGGGAATAACCCCTCACTCAGAAAAAGAGAGCCAGAAAGAAGAGAATTCTAGTCTAGGGACTCAGAGAATAGACCACTCAGAACAAGAAGCCCACACGAAGACCTTCCTGCCCAGAGGATTGCTTTCAAAAGAAGCCTGGGACTCTACCCCAGCTTCAGAGAGAATATTCATCCCTTCAGATTCAAAATCTGTCCTTAGCCATCAACGGGCTTTTGTCTGGAGCAATGGCTCAGGAATATGATTCACCAATGGATCCCTAATCAGTCAGAAATGACAACAAAGACTTCAAAGGCATGCATTTAGGGTTCTGAGTGAGAGGCCCAGGATCCAGTGATGAATCTGTCCTAGTTGAGTTTCAACACCATAATTGTTAAAGAAAAAATTATTCAGTGATACTTCAAATGCACAGTAAAGAAGACTTTATTCAGGACCATCACCATAGATATAGGAACCACTGCAACACAGTCTTGGAGCTGGGGAGAGAGATGGGCTTAACTCTGAATACAGCATGGGGAAGTGGGAATTTATAGCCCAGGAGCAATGCAGGGGTCAGTGAATGGAAAATCACTAAGAGGAAACATCAGGAGTAAGGGAGATTCTGGCTAAACCGACCTAAAAGAATTCTTGCTGAAGACTGGCCAGGGTGATCAGACATCACCTGCAGAATGGTGAAGAATGAAGAACTTGATCAGATATTGAGAATGAGGGGTTCTTTGGTAAACTTGGCAGTGTTCTTTGCTAATGCTGGATTTTGCGAGGAAGTGCACAGTTTAGCCTAGCTGAAGATTTAGAAGCCTGACTAAAGTTGGCCAAGCAAAGAATCTTTGTTATCAACATATTCCATCAAACCTCACATCCCTGCCTTAAATGATCAAACCATCCGCACTCCTGTATGCTACTGTTCTCCATGAAAAGTTACTTCTTCTTTGCCTTAACCAAAATCCAGCCATTCTAGAAAGACACCAGAAGGCTTTCTGCAGCATCTAAAATTCCCCACATTCTAGGCCCAAATCCTTTTCCTTTCCCTGTTGCTTTTAGATCCACATTGTGTAACCCTCATCTAGAAACCTCAGTTTCTTGGAGTCATTTTTTTTGGGGGGACGGAGTTTCCGCTCTTGTTGCCCAGGCTGGAGTGCAGTGGCACGATCTCAGTTCACTGCAACCTCCATCTCCCAGGTTCAAGCGATTCTCCTGCCTCTGCCCCTTGAGTAGCTGGGATTACAGGTGTCTGCCACCATGCCTGGCTAATTTTTTGTATTTTTAGTAGAGACAGGGTTTCATCCTTTTGGCCAGGCTGGTCCCGAACTCCTGATCTCAGATGATCCACCTGCCTCAGCCTCCCAAAGTGCTGGGATTATAGGTGTGAGCCACTGAGCCAGGCCATTCTGTCTTTTTATATAATGTAACTTGTACTTTTATGTAGTAAATTATCACAAAGGTGTCAGACACTCTGAGGAAGAGTATTTTACTGTATCATTCCCATTACCCAATCAGGAAGTCTTAACAGGCAGATTTTAACAAAAATATAAGACACAACTGTGCCCTAGCTTTTCTCACATACTTCCTACCTCACACTTCACACATTTCTTTTTCTCAGCACCCACTCTTAAGTAATAATTTATTTCCCCTGAATATTATTTACCTTCTGTGGGCTACTTTACATATCATCCGAAAGCATGATCAAAACAGTTATATTTGTGAATAATTTTATTTTGGTTTATTTCTTAGCAGAAGGAGGAGTTAATAGTAACATATGTAGGCCGGGCACGGTGGCTCACGCCTGTAATCCCAACACTTTGGGAGGCCGAGGCTTGCGGATCATGAGGTCAGGAGATCGAGACCATCCTGGCTAACACGGTGAAACTCTATCTCTACTAAAATACAAAAAAATTAGCCGGGCGTGGTGGCGGGCACCTGTAGTCCCAGCTACTCGGGAGGCTGAGGCAAGAGAATGGCGTGAACCCAGGAGGTGGAGCTTGCAGTGAGCCGAGATCGCGCCACTGGGCTCCAGCCTGGGAGACAGAGCGAGACTCCATCTCAAAAAAAAAAAAAAAAAAAAAAAAAAGGAACATTTGTAATCTCCCAGAGATTGCCAAGGAAAACATTCTCCTGGCTGAATTTATGTAGAGTTCATCATCTAAGCATAAAATATTTTATAAAGGAATGGGCCAATCAAATAACTGCTATGCAGTTGACACCATAAACCAAGTTAGCTTAGTACCACTCTAAATAGTTGCTGGGAATATAATGATTTTCAAAGACATGATCTCTAGAAATAAATAACTAAAAGAGAAGCACGGTGTCATGCATTTATGCATACACATAAGCAGGGACTAGAGATCAAGAATAGAAATAAAAGAGGTTTTTACGCTTGGGGTGCTAAGGTCGCAATGATTTATTTGGAGAGAAAACGGAAGCCCTTCTTTAGTAAATGCAAAGCACCATGTGTTTAATGAAGATACATGACCTAAGCTTTGAAGATCGTTTAACTAATTCAATAACCTTGCCAAGTATCCATTACTACATCTCAACAATCAAATTTACAGTGACATCTTTGAGTTAAATCTCTCCATAGATGTCTGGAAACAGCTTAATTCTGTTAACTGCTGCCCATTGAATTATGCTTTATTTGGTCGTAGAATTTCATGTCATCTGTTAGTCTCCCTCACAACTTGGGAGATGTTATTCCTGTATTGTCTGTTCTCGTTGATGAAGAGAAGTCTGTGATAAAGTAATTGTCCTTCCTTTGCAGGTAATCTGCCTTCCATCTCTGGTTGATTTGAAAATATTGTATTAGTCTTTAGTATCTTGCATTTTACTGTGGTATGTCTACATATGGATTTATACTTACTGAGTTTGCTCAGAGCTTGGAGTATTTCCTCAGTCTTAAAGGCCCTAGTTGTGAAAATGTTACTACAGAAAAACTTTCTTTTTTTAACTTAAAATCCTTTTTATTGGGAAATAAATGTAAGATTATAGATAAGTTTGAAAATAAAAGAATTGTTAGAACAAAAAATACTCATATGCCTGTTACCCTAATTTGTCTATTATTATTTTATTAAATTTAGGTTACCATTTGTTCTCTCTCTCTCTCTCTCTCTCTCAATATATATCCCAATTTTCAGTCTTTAGATCTAAATCTTTCAGCAACCTGGACTATCATGGCCCCAGTGTAATGCTTGGCTTTGTACCTCATGAGGGAAGAAATTTTTTTTTTTAATCTTAAGTTCTAGGGTACGTGTGCATCACATGCAGGTTTGTTACATAGGTATACATGTGCCATGTTGGTTTGCTGTACCCATCAACTTGTCATTTACATTAGGTATTTCTCCTAATGCTATCTGTCCCCCAACCCCCCACCCCCTGACAGGCCCCAGTGTGTGATGTTCCCCACCCTGTGTCCATGCATTCTCATCGTTCAACTCCCATCTGTGAGTGAGAACATGCGGTGTTTGGTTTTCTGTCCTTGTGATAGTTTGCTGAGAATGATGGTTTCCAGCTTCATCCATGTCCTTGCAAAGGACATGAACTTATCCTTTTTTATGGCTTCATAGTATTCCATGGCACATATGTGCCACATTTTTTTAATCCAGTCTATCATTGATGGACATTTGGGTTGGTTCCAAGTCTTTGCTATTGTGAATAGCACCACAATTAACATACGTGTGCATGTATACATCTTTATAGTAGAATGATGTATAATCCTTCGGGTATACACCCAGTAATGGGATCGCTGGGTCAAATGGTATTTCTAGTTCTAGATCCTTGAGGAATAAACACACTGCTTTCCACAATGGTTGAACTAATTTACGCTCCCACCAGCAGTGTAAAAGCATTCCTATTTCTCCACATCCTCTCCAGTTTCTGTTGTTTCCTGACTTTTTAATGATCATCATTCTAACTGGCATGCGATGGTATCTCATTGTGGTTTTGATATGCATTTCTCTGATGACGAGAGACGATGAGCATTTTTTATGTGTCTGTTGGCTGCATAAATGTCTTCTTTTGAGAAGTGTCTGTTCATATTCTTTGCCCACTTTTTGATGGGGTTGTTTTTTTCTTGTAAATTTGTTGAAGTTCTTTGTAGATTCTGGATATTAGCCCTTTGTTAGACGGGTATATTGCAAAACTTTTCTCCTATTTTTTAGATTGCCTGTTCACTCTGATGAGAGTTTCTTTTGCTGTGCAGAAGCTCTTTAGTTTAATTAGATCGCATTTGTCTATTTTAGCTTTTGTTGCCATTGCTTTTGGTGTTCTGGTCATGAAGTCTTTGCCCGTGCCTATGTCTTGAATGGTATTGCCTAGGTTTTCTTCTAGGGTTTTTTATGGTGTTAGGTCTTTCATTTAAGTCTTTAATCCATCTTGAGTTAATTTTTGTGTATGGTGTAAGAAAGGGATCCAGTTTCAGCTTTCTACATATGGCTAGCCAGTTTTCCCAGCACCGTTTATTAAATAGGGGATCCTTTGAGGGAAGAAAATTATTTCTAATATTTTAATCCAGCTATGTATGTAAAAAGAAGTCTTTTTCATATTTTATCTATTAGTTCTGTATGATTGGAGTATGAGTCAAAACATCTCAATATAAATAAAAAGTTACATTTCAGTAATTTTTTTTTCTAAAATTACAAAACACTAGTGGTCAAAAACACTACTATTTCCAATTCTCTTTACTTTGTTAACATTACTTTTTGTACTTATGAGAGAAGAGTTTGCAATCCAAAAAGAGCAGGAAGGAAGAGAGATTAGAGATTTTTTCTCCCACTTGCTCTATACATATGAGATATTTATACATCTATATATCAACATTTGACGTTTGAATAACACTGGTTTAAACTGTGTGAGTCCACTTATAGGTGGATTTTTTCAGCCAAATACAGATTGAAAATATAGTATTTGTGGGACGTGAAACCCACATATGTGGAGGGCCAACTTTTCATATGCGAGCTCTGCAAGGTTGACTGTGGGACCTGAGTATGTGCAGACTTCGGTATATGCAGGGCTCCTGAATGCAATACCCCACTAATACTGAGGGATGACTGTATATGTCTCTATCTATCTACTCTATCATATATATATATATATATACACACACACACACACACACACACAAATATGTGTGTATATATATGTATGTGTGTATATATATATATATACTTCCTATATTACTTTGCTAGGGTTGTTATAACAATTACTGCAGACTGGATGAGTTAAACAACAGAAATTTATTTTCTCACAGTTCTGGAGGCTAGAAGTGTGAGGTCAAGGCATCAGATGTGTTAATTTTATTCTGAAATTTCTCTCCTTGGCTTTTAGATAGTCATTTTCTCATCTTGTCTTCTCATGGACTTTTTTCTGTGCACATGTATGTCTGTACCTAAATTTCCTCTTCAAATAAGGACACCAGTGATATTGGATTAGGACCCAGACATGTGACCTCATTTTACATTAGTTACCTCTTAAAAGTCTCTATCTCCAAATATAGCCACCTTCTGATATACTGGGATGGCAGGGGGCAGGGTACAGCATATTAATTTGGGGAAAGGACACAATTCAGCCTATAACATATGCAATATATTCTTCTCTGATCTATATTATATAACTTTTACATATAATACATATATAATTTAATATACATTTTAACCCCTTGATTAATTTTCTCACTGCAGAGAAAACAAGAATTAAAGAAAAGCTTCAGGTGATACCGTTTTTGAATGAGTAAGAATTGAGCCTACCCTTAACACAAGAATGAAGTAGAAATAAACTGACTTAGGGAACAGCATAAAAAAGTTCTCTTATGAGTCAAGATTTCAGTGTGATGTCATCATTTTTTCCAGGGATTAAATGTTAGAATATATTGCATGCCCATATTGAGGTGGAATCATAAACTTATTTCAGACTTATTATAATGGCTCATTTTCTTATGCCTTCACCATTGAACTTGTACTTAGCTGGGGATTGAGCTGAAAGTTTGCCTTTTCTGTATCTAGCATAGTTGCACCAAATCTGACCTTAATCCCAAATTTTCCTCTCTGTAATATCTTGTTTCCAAATGAGGCTCACATTGAATTTTCTCTTGTTAGAAATATAACTGGCAAGACCAATCAAAACCATTCATTCCATTCAGTTGCCTGTGAACAAGCTTGATTTGCTTTGTTATGAATACAGCTTCTTGTGGGTTAAGTAGAAAGCTCTTTTGTAAATATCCCTCAGTTTAAGTACATATGGTTTACATTTCCAGGTAAACTATAAATTCTCTGAGAAAGGCCCAGCACGGTGGTTCAAGCCTATAATCCCAGCTCTTTGGGAGTCTGAGATGGGTGGATCACTGGAGGTCAGGAGTTTGAGACCAGCCTGGCCAATGTGGTGAAACCCCATCTCTACCAAAAATACAAAAATTAGCCAGGCGTGGGGGTGCACGCCTGTAATCTCAGCTACTCAGGAGGCCAAGGCAAGTGATTAAACCCAGGAGGTGGAGGTTGCAGTGAGCTGAGATCGCACCACTGCACTCCAGCCTGGGTGACAAGCTGGACTCTGTCTCAAAAAAAAAAAAAAAAAATTCTGTGAAAAGATCTGTGATTTCCATTCTCCTTTATAGTAATTGTTAAGCACTCACAATTCGATGGTTATAACAACTATCAAAGAAAAACAATTATTTTAATAAATATTTTTCATCATTTTCTCCTTTCTAAGCCCTATGCTATGCACTAAAAACTGCAGAGAAAATCAACACATTCTCTACCTCACAGCAGATTTCTTGGAGAGAGATAGGGGTGGGGAGGGGAATAAGGGTTGCTAAATGTTGTCAACTTTGTAATACAACTCACAAAGGGAGATAGTTATTAGGGAGGCAAAGTGCTCAGGCTCAGATTTCAGGTTGCCTAGATTTGAATTCTGTCTTCACTGCTTCTTTTATGATTTGCCCAAATTACTTAAGCTCTTTAAACCACAGTCTCCTCATCCTTAAGATAGGGATAATAAATAGAACTTATCTCATAAAATTACTGTGAGGATTATAAGTGATTATGAAGTTGATTAAATTTCCCCAGTGCTTCATACAAAGAAAGGACTCAAAGGATATGCTAGTTCATAGTAGGGGCATAGAAGAAGATATCCCTTCTCTCCTGGGATATAGGTTATACATAACTGTCCACTATAAAATTGAAGATAGGCTAGAGAAAAGCTAAAAATGAAGAATCTAATAACTCTTTAGCCAAGAGAAAATGAAACATGAGGGAAAGGGAGAAGTTCCAAATGAGGTCCACATTTGTCGTGGGCCACTGAATGGTGGTGCCATTCAGGCAGAGGAAACCCAGAAGGAGGAGTCATTCTGTAGTTAGAGGGCACTTAATGAGATAATATTAGAGATAACTGAGGTTGAGTTGTTGGTACATATCTGGGTGCAAAGTCTCCATAGGTCCGGAATTTTGAATAGTTTTCTGGAGTCATCTGGTTATTGTTAAAGCCAAGAGAATTGGTGAGATCACAGAATACAATAATGATCAATAAGAGGGAAGGGAAGAGAGCCAAGAACGGGAGACTGGGAAGCATACACATTTAATTAAGGTTTGGTAAGGTGAAAGGTGTCAGCAGAGAATGTAAAGGTGAAATAATGAGAGAAAAAGGAGGACATCAAGGAGAAAGTCGTGTTTTGAAAAAAACAAAAAGGACACATTTTCAAGAAAGACATTGTCAATAGTTTAAATGTCAAAAAATAGTAGAGTATAATGCAATTAAAAAAAACAAAATCTATTGCTTTTGTTAATTAAATAACTAGTAACCTCGGCTGCAGCAGTTTCAGTAGAGTGAGGAGAGTTGACACCAAACTGCACCAGTGGAGTGAAAATAAGTGGGAAGAAAGAGTGAGGAAGTGGAGGACAGTCTTTTTTTTTTTTTAATAAAATATTTTCCCAAGCTGTCTTTTCTGGAACTTCCAACATGTCTGCTTAAGAGCTTGTCTAAGTTGAATTCATTCGAACTTCTTGAACCTAATAAGTTTCTTTTTGCTGTTTTTTTTTTTTTTTTTTGAGATGGAGCCTTGCTCTATCACCCAGGCTGGAGTTCAATGGTGCAATTTCGGCTCACTGCAACCTCCTCCTCCTGGGTTCAAGCAGTTCTCCTGCCTCAGCCCAATTAGTTTTAAAGACGCTGCATATATTGGCAGGGAAAACCTAGAACACAAAGTCAAACTTCCAATTATCTCCCTTCAGTGTTCAAATCAAGAGTTCATTTGTTGCAAGGAATGGGGATCTGGACACCAGGGAGAAGAATAGAGTTTTAGGAGGAGAGTTCTCCTAAAACTAAATGGAAGGAGGGTTCTTTGAGATACCAAGGACTTGCAGGACTTTATTTACAATGAAATGTTAGTTTCAGACAGCCCAGGAGGAATAGGTCTATTAAAGGAAAGCAAGAGTAGTTGGCGTAAGGAAACAATTTGCATTGGAGCCTAAGAGTGAGTATAGTAATGACCACATGAGAGACCCATTTGACTCAAGTACTTCAAAGCATTGCCAGTGTTAGTCTTTGCTCCACAATCAAGTGGGGAAAAAGTGAAATGTCTTTGAAGAGCATTTCCTGTAGGTGGCCTTTGAGGAGGTCCTGAAAATTCCAAACCTGCAAGTATTAATGGCAAAGAATAAAAATTTCTTTATGTAAAATACTTTTAAAAATCTTTCTAAATAGCAAGACATTATATATTACCATTGTTAAAAGATAAACGAATTGTGAAATATCATTAGAATTATATGCAGCAGATAAAATGGTCACTTTTTCTTTTGAGACAGAGTCTCGCTCTGTCGCCAGGCTGGAGCACAGTGGCGTGATCTTGGCTCATTACAACCTCCAACTCCCTGGTTCAAGTGATTCTTCTGCTTCAGCCTCCCGAGTAGCTGGGATTACAGGCACGTGTCTCCACCCCAGCCAATTTTTGTATTTTTAGCAGAGACGGGGTTTCACCATGTTGGGCAGGATGGTCTTGATCTCCTGACCTTGTGATCCACCCGCCTTGGCCTCCCAAAGTGTTGGGATTACAGGCGTGAGCCACTGCGCCCAGCCAAAAGGTCACTTTTTAAACTTAAAAATTATTAAGGAAACAGTGAAAACTTAATGTTTAAAAGAGTAGAAATAGGGAAAATTATTACACAGAAAAAGATAAACAACAGAGAAAGATAAATAAATTGCCAGTGAATATGTAAACAGTTGCTCAGCACCAGTGGTAGTTCAAATCCAAGTAGCACTGAGTTAGCATTTGTTAACTAATAAATTGGCAAAAATTATATTTTGATAAAACCCAGTGGTGTTGACATCCCAAGAAAAAGGGCTATGCTCACACAGCCTTGGAGCATGTGCACATTGATGATTTTTTTGGCATAAAAATTAGTGGTTTCTATTAAAATCAGCAGTGTAATTCACAATCGCTAAGACATGGAATCAACCTAGGTGCCCATCAACTGTGGCTTGGATAAAGAAAATATGGTACATATATGTCATGGAATACTTTGCAGCCATAAAAAAGAATAAAATCATGTCCTTTACAGCAACATGGATGCAACTCGATGCCATTATGCTAAGCGAATTAACACAGGAATAGAAAACCAAATACCACATATTCTCACTTATAAGCAGGAGCTAAACATTGAGTACACGTGGACACAAAGATGGGAACAATAGAAACTGGGGACTACTCGAGGGTAGAAGGAGGGAGGGGGTAAAGGTTGAAAAACAACTACTATGTCTAGTACCTGAGTGATCGGATCAATCATGCCGCAAACCTCAGCATTACACAACATACCCATGTAACAAACCTGCACATGTACCCACTGTATCTAAAATCAAAAGTTGAAATTATAAAAAATAAAAAAATAAAATCAACAATGTATATTTCTCTCACACAGCCATCACGATGATGTATTTGGAATAAGATATGCATAAGTATGTTCGTTGCAGTGTTGTCTGCAAGGACAAAGTGAAAACAATCTGAATAACCAACAATATGACACAGAGTAAGTAATTATTGGTACGTCTGTACAATGCCTCATGCAATCACCACTGACAGCGTGGGAAAGAGAGACATCTATTATGAAAAGACCACTAAGACATATGATTACATGATAAGTGCAAGGTTCATGAATAAATAGCATGTATACTAGTATAGCATACTTCTTTCTAAGAAAGAAACCATAACACATACAAGAATGGACAAGAAGTTATTAACAATAGCTAACTTTGGTGATAAGACTGTAGGTTGTAAAAAGCCAGACTTTCATTTCTCATTTTAAACCCAATGAATTATTTAAATCTAACCCTACTGCATTCATTATCTTTATAATAAAATAAATATGTATAACAATGAAACATAGTTTTTAAGTATTTGGGACATAAATTAAACATTAATAGATTACACCTCTTAAACTTGGTACTTTAGTATCCCATCTCTCTGTGAGAACTCTGAAAGCTTCATCTTCCACAGTTTAGGTAATTCTTTGGTGTCTTATTTTGTTATTTTCTTGCCCTGAGATTAGCAATGTCAGATCTCCAAACTGCTAACTCTTCTCTTTGGCAGATCAAATGCTTCTTCTTAAAAAAATTAAGTTTTTAAAATGTATTTCATAGGATTTTTGTTCTCTCTCTCCCTCTTTTTGTGCATATGTGTGTGTGTCTGATTAGTCTTTATTATCTTAAAATGGTTAGTCCTGATAGACCTGTTTCTTCAAAATTTCTCTCAGTTCTTTGGCAGTTTGCTCTTAGCTTATAATTAAAGATCAATTTCTGACTTGTCTTGTTCTAGAAAACCTCAATGGAAATTACAGCAAGCTGAATAGGATATTAATTAAAAACATAAACCTGGTGAAACCCGAACATAGAGGCTCCAGTTCAAAGATGCTTCCAATAGTTGACATGGCCCTTCATTCCTTAAAACCAGCTATTTTTCTTTCGAATTACATTACCTTTAATTCTGTAAATTGGATGTTATATAGTACCATGAAAACTGCTGTGAGTAATTATAATACTCATTGCTGAGTGATGTGACTTCTTTCTCAAGGCTATTTCTGAGGGAAATTGTACAATTAGATCTTTAGGTATTGTGACTTGTTTTGGAAATCATGGTGGCCCTCCAGGGAGCTAATGAATCTTTAATTATTTAGAGGTTCACATGAGACCCCTTACAGATATAAGCACATTAGCTCTGTAGCTAAGGGAACATTTAAAAACAGTAACATGAAATGTGTCAGACATAGAGGAAAGATGAAGAAGCAAGTAGAAGCTAATGCAAACAGAGGAACTGCCAGCTCTCTGTGGCACTCTAGCTCTCTCTGTCAGTATTTGGTTGGCAATGTAGACATAGTGGATGAGTGCAATTACATATGTTAGGCTCATTCTGAAATGCAGGAGCATTTTAGATTTTCATGTAGAAGCCTGACAAGCAAACTACATCTAGGATATACTTTGATAACTTTGAGTTGAGAGCCAAATTTTTTGAAGGTAAACCATCTCCCTGTTTTAAAGTAGTGTTTAAAATTATAAAAATTTTAATACATCTGTAATATAAAATATTTAGCTATAAATACTACAAGTGCAAATGAATCTTTTTTTCTACTTCTGCATTCAACTTTTCTCTTCTCCCTTTAGGGAAAACACTTTTGTGTAAAGGCCTCCAAAATATATGTAGAGGCGTATGTATGTTAAAAACATGTATACATATAATGCATAACCAAACAAATGAAATATCCTAAACATATGGACCTGAAAATTGCTTATAATAAATTTGAACTGAACATATAGGCATAAATGTGGTTCAGAAGTGTCCAGTTGAAGCAACTTCACTTTGTTAGGTCAACAAAAGTTGGGGACACCAAGATCTACTCCTCTGATTTTGTTCTAGCATTATCTTAATGGAAATGTTTACTGAAATGGAAATACATGTAGTGGACATCGTGGTGGTGTCTCAAGCATTCAGTGTTCCCTGCTCTCACACACTCCTAACCAAATAATGAATTTCTCAGCTTCACAATGTTTAAGTGACATGAGTCCCATGCCCAATTCTTGGTCATTGTAATTGGTGCATGAAGGAACCTGTGCCTTCTGCTAATCAAATCAGAATGAAGTACAACTTTTTCATTCCATGATTGAAGGGGTAAATGCCTTCTTTCCAAATGCAGCAGAGGAAGCACGAGGTACTAGGATTGGAAGTTGTCTACTCATGACATGATATTTTAAGCCATAGAATAAAACTGAGACCTAATGTCTTAGTCCTTTCAGGTCGCTATACCAGAATATCACAGCCTGGATGGTTTATGAACAACATAAATTTATTTCTTACAGTTCTAGAGGCCAGGAAGTCCAAGATCAAGGTGTCAACAGATTCAGGGTCTAATGAGGATTTGTTTCCTGGTTCACAGACAGCTGTCTTTTTGCTGTGTCCTCACATGGTGGAAGGGGCTAGGAAGTTCTCTAAGGTCTCTTTTATAAGGGCACTAATCCCATTCATGAGGGCTCTGTCCTCATGACCTAATCACCCCCCGAAGACCCACTGCCAAATATCATCACACTAGGGATTAGATTTAAACATACAAATTTTGGGGGACTACAAACATTCAATCTATATCACTTAAGGTAGAGTGAAGAAACAGGGAGGACAAGAAGCATTTATTTTGTGTCATTATTAAACTTCTGCATTAAACTATCTTGAGCCTATACTATTGTTCAAAATCTCTTTATTATACAAGCCATTTTGAATTTTGATTGTTTGCAACCAAAATTAACCTAATAAGTTAAAATGTACTATAATGTTACATCATAATTTGTCTGTACTAGTAGTATTTGCTAGAGTGTTTAGGGGAATACTTGCTTGTTAACTTTTTAGTAAATATAACACTCCATGTTCAAATACATTTGGGAAATGCTGAGCATTTCACACTTTTAGAGACTCAAAACAGGCAGCACATTTTTAAAAAATAAAAATAAAACCAAATAGCATTGCATTTGGAGAATGGTACAAAAAAAGAGAATTTGATAAACCGGAGTTATCAGAACTCAGTGGATACTATGTGTTAGACATTATTATAAGCCATTAAACATTTTACAAGCTTGATACCTGAGTTAAAAATTAATAACCCAAAGACACATTGGAAGAGAAAAGTTGACATATTTTTATTATATTAATGACCTAAAAATATCATAGCAACTAACGTCATTATAGTCAACAAGTGAATGAACGTAAATAATATTAAATAACTATTAGAAAGTCTCTCTGATTAAGCATGGAAATAAATAGGCAGTGCTTTTGACCAATAAATGGAGGACTTACAATATTTTCCAATACAAAACAAAAACATTCTAAATGTGAAGGTATTAGGCCCAAAATATGTTAGTCAATTCATGACAGCAGAAATTCAGCAGGTCATATTTTTGGGGTAATGTAAATGACAATAGAAATCATGGACTAAAGTGTAACAAATAAGTAATATCTAGGCAGGTGGAAATTTTAAGATCTTTTAAATTAACTTCTGGACTATAGCAAAAATTCAAACTAAAATTCATCAGGGAGTCAGGGAAGGTCAAATGAAGAAGCATGGGGATTGAGGCAAAAACCCTGAATTATACCAATATTATCTTTTTTTTTTTTTTTTTTGAGACAGGATCTTGCTCTGTTACCCAGGCTGGAGTGCAGTGGTGCAATCATAGTTCACTGCAACCGCAACCTCCTAGGCTCAAGGGATCCTCCCACCTCAGCCTCTTGAGTATCTGGGACTACAGACCCTCATCACCAAAACACCCATCTAATTTATTTATTTTTTGTAAAGATGAGGTCTCACTTTGTTGCTCAGGCTGACAAGTATTATCTTAATGTTATAGAAAAAAAGTAATTCTGGCCATATATAGGTATTATTCTTTGCAGTGGAATATCATTTCAGAAATTTGTGCCAAACATAAAATTAGTTTTCTAGTAGTAAAAAGTAATTAAACTCTTTAAATTATTATTACCCCTAGTATACTGGGGAATGGGTGTGTGTTCCAAATGAAAAAACTTGGGATGTCTAATGAGATGCTGTTTTCTGTCGCAGAAAATCTATGTAAAATGTTTTTTCTCACGTGTACACTGTTGATATTTGAGACAGCACATGTTAACACTTCAAGAAGTAAAATAAATGTGTTGATTATATCCACAGTTTTCATATTTATTAACTACATATTTCATTTTTAATGTAATGCCTGTTGAAAAACCTGTAAATAGTTGTTTCTTAAAATTGACATATACTGCCTAAGATTTTTCTGTATATTTTCATATTTCAATTTTCCTGTGAGGTTAGAATGAACACTTTTAGCTAAGACATTTGGGCCTCCAAATCCTAAACCTTTCAGAATGTTAGTTTATTATTTGGTTTTTACCTAAATTATTTTCTGCTTATTCAAGAACCTTAGGTCTATCCAGTTACATTTTTATTTTTTTATTTTTATTTTTTTATTTTGAAACAAAGTCTCACTCTGTTGCCAAAGCTGGAGTGCATTGGCATGATCTCGGCTCACTGCAACCTCTGCCTCCCAGGTTCAAGTGATTCTCCTGCCTCAACCTCCCCAGTAGCTGGGATTACAGGGGCATACCACCACACCCAGCTAATTTTTGCATTTTTAGTAGAGATGGGGTTTCACCATGCTGGCCAGGCTGGTCTCAAACTCCTGACTTCAGGTGATCTGCCCACCTCAGGATCCCAAAGTGCTGGGATTATAGGCGTGAGCCACCATGCCTGGCTGTATCCAGTTACATTTTTAAGACCAGCCAGGCTTAATATATATTTGGTCTTTAGCTCAATTCAATTTGTTGCATTTTGTCCATTGTACTTCATGTGACACAGAATATATCTTAATTTAAAAAGACATATGTTTGTTGAGCTATCTGTTACGCTGGTATATCTTGGAATTTTAAAAAATATAAACCACAGAAGCCAATTATGGCTGACATTAACAATAAATAGGTTTATCACAGAAATAGTGGGGAACTTGTAGAACTGTTGAGAAGGCTAGAGAGCCAGATCAAAGCTAGGCAGCCAGGAAATGTACCCCAAACCATGCTGTAGAACTCATCCAGGGAGGAAACCACTGTCACCACCAGTAAGAAGTAACACCAAAGATGCAGAGAGCAACAATTGCAGCAATTGCTCAATCCTAGGCTAACTGCAAAGCCACCAGCACCACTCCCACTTGTTTGCTTTGCAACAGATATTGTAGCAGCTGCTACATGGCCTCCACCAGAAACAAGAGAAAGCATAACTGAATCTGCTTCTTTTTTTATTAATTCCGAAGTCGAAATTCAGCACTGGCAAACAGATTGGCAAAACCTAAGTCATATGCTTGTACCCTAGCTGCAAAGGAGGCTGAGAAAGCAAGCATTTGGCATTTTAGCTTCTAAAGCAGGAGGTGGTTTCTTGTTTTCATCAAAACTGAGAGGCTGAGGAATTCCTCAAACACAGAAACAAACATCAAATAATAAATATTCATGCTTTAACTTGCTCAATATCAATATAAACTTTCCCTTTTGAAAGTAAACACGAAAGACCCAAGCTTCCTTCTAACAGAGTGCAACTATTTCTCTAATAATTGAACATGTACCTACAATCTCTTGAACAATGAAACAATAAAAAATTCTCAATCACAGCATGTACTCTAAGTCTAAGAATTCTGGGTTATGTCCATTCCTCTACGAAGTTCTTCACTATACTCTCTTGACATTCTGCCATATATCATTTAAAAATTAAGTTAATCACCCTCAATAAGCCCTGTTTTAAAAAGAGGGATAAATGGAGAGGAAGGAAGGAAAGTTGTTAAGATACATAAGTATGCACAGGACAATACAAGAGAAACAATGTGTTTGGATGTCAAGGCTCTCCTTTCTGCAAGTGGCCAGCAGGTCACTATTGGCATCTATGGCCATGTGCCCTCAGCTAACACCTCTGCTAGTCAGGGTTTTGCCTTGTGAGATGACCAAATATTCATTCCTGACAGAGAAATGTCCTTGGTAATCTTTTTGTGTGAGCGTGCCATGGTCATTGTTAATTTCTTTCATTTAACAAAATAATAGACTTTATTTTTTGAGCAGTTTTAGCTTTATGGAAAGATCGAGCAGAAAGTACAGAGTTCTCACATACTGTCACCTTTATCCCACCCCCAGTTTACATTAGGGTTCACTCTTTGTGTGGTACAGGTCTAGGAGTTTTGCAAAACGCATAATGTCATGTACCCATCATTACATTATTACCAACGTATTTTCAATCCCCTAAAAATCGCCTGTTTCAGAACTATTTATCTCCCTACCCATCCCCAAACTCCTGGCAACCACTGAGCTTTTTTGTTGTTGTTGTTGTTACTTAGTTTTTATTTCATAATCATAAACTTAACTCAACTCTGCAATCCAGCTAGGCATGGAAGGGAACAAGGAAAACATGGAACCCAAAGGGAACTGCAGCAAGAGCACAGAGATTCTAGGATATTGCAAGCAAATGTGGTGGAGGGGTGCTCTCCTGAGCTACAGAAGGAATGGGTCTGGTGGTGAAAATAAAACACAAGTCAAACTCATTAGAATTGTCCACAGTCAGCAATGGTGATCTTCTTGCTGGTCTTGCTATTCCTGTACCCAAAGTGCTCCATGGCTTCCACAATATTCACACGTTCTTTCACCTTGCCAAAGGCCACATGCTTGCCATCCAACCACTCAGTCTTGGCAGTGCAGATGAAAAACTGGGAACCATTTGTGTTGGGTCCAGCATTTGCCATGGACAAGATGCCAGAACCTGTATGCTTTCGGATGAGGTTCTCATCATCAAATTTCTCCCCATAGATGGACTTGTCACCGGTGCCATTAGGGCGTGTGAAGTCACCACCCTGACACATAAACCCTGGAATAATTCTGTGAAAGCAGGAACCCTTATAACGAAATCCTTTCTCTCCAGTGCTCAGAGCACGAAAGTTTTCTGCTGTCTTTGGAATCTTGTCTGCAAACAGTTTGATGGAGATGCGGCCCAAGGGCTTGCCGTCGACGGTGATGTCAAAAAAGACGACGGAGTTGACCATGGCTGATAGTACAGGGCTCACAGCGATGGTGGCGTCTGCAAAGATAACCACTGATCTTTTTACTGTCTTTATAGTTTGGCCTTTTCCAGAATGTCGTATAGTTGAAATCACAGTATGTACCCTTTTCAGACTGGCTTCTTTCACTTAGCAAAATGTCTTTGTTTTTTCTGTATCTTTTTGTGGCTTGATAGTTTTTTCCTTTTAGCACTGAATAATATTCCACTGTAGGAATATACCACAGTTTGCTTATGCAGTCACTTATTGAAGGACATCTTGGTTGCTTCCAAGCTTTGGCAGTCTTCATTTCTTTCTTTCTTTCTTTCTTTCTTTCTTTCTTTCTTTCTTTCTTTCTTTCTTTCTTTCTTTCTTTTCTTTCTTTCTTTCTTTCTTTCTTTCTTTCTTTCTTTCTTTCTTTCTTTCTTTCTTTCTTCTTCTTTTTTTTTTTTTTGGAGACAGAGTTTTGCTCTGTCACCCAGGCTGGAGTGAAGTGGTACAATCTCAGCTCATTGCAACCTCCGCCTCCCAGGTTCAAGTGATTCTCTTCCTCAGCCTCTGGAGTAGCTGGGATTACAGGTGTGCACCACCACGCCTGGTTAGTCTTCAGGAATATTTACAGGACTGTATAGAATTAGGAGCCATCAAAGGGGATCCCTGAATTCTTTCTGTTTTTCTTACAAATACCAGTTTTAAGGTCAAGATTTACTACCCCATGCAACAGTGTAGCCGCATTTTAAATTTTAAATTTTTGACTGTTTGTTTAAAGGTCTCAGGCAACCTAAAAGGCTAGATAGAAGTCTCTCATCCTCTAACGAAGGATGGATTGTAAAATGGAATACTGCTAAGACTCTCCCTTTGGGTACTAATTCTGCAAAAACCTAGAATCTCAGAGACAAGAGACAAGTATTTGGAGTGGATCATTAGATGTAATGACAAAAGGAGTCACTTCAACATTCATAACAAATATCAAAGATTGTTGTATTTTTTATATGGGAGACACCAGACAAGCTTATACTTAGTTACTAGTTCAGAGGATACACCACCACATCCTCTAGCATGAGTACAATCTTATAAGCCATTGTCTCCAGCTGGCACTGTGATTGAGTCTTTAATAAAATATTCACCATTCTATAATAATAATAATTTTGGTTAGTGATAGGATAAATGGTGGACCAGGTGAGTCCAATGAATATCTACTCATTTGTTATACAACAAGTTCTTTTAATAGAAGGATGTAGAACAGGATATTATGGCAGTATATATAAGGCATTCAATGTACCCGTGGAGAGTGGCGATCAGAGAAAAATGATGTCAGGTAAAGCAAATGTAATTCAAGGATGAAGGTAGATTCCATTTACAAAATTCCTTGTTGCCTTTATCATAGAGGAGCTCCAATAAAATCAACAAGTCTGACAAAAGGTGACTGATTTATTCACCCAGGATATGTTATTGTGTGCTTAGCCTTGGACTTTGTTGCTTGTGTGTTGGACACCTAATAGTCTTGACAGCTAAATAGGCTTTTGTAAGCGAGAGTGGTAAAGTCCAACATGTTGCTAAACCTATGTGTATTCTCTACTGCTACCACCAATGTTGCTGTTTATTAGCCTTCTGAGCAAGCAATGTAGTGCCTGGTGAAAGAGATTGTTTCATACCTTCATATCTATTTGATAACCTTCCTGATGATAGTTTGGTGAGCATTCGTATTAAGCACAAATATTCTTACACTCTGGCTCATTTTCTGTGGTTCATCTACATATTTTTTCCCCAAAACTCATTGCCACCAATCCTTCAGTCTTTGTCTTTCCGAGTCCCTAATTATCTTTTCTTTTCTTTTCTTTTTTTTTTTTTTTTGAGACAGAGTTTCGCTTTGTTGCCCAGGCTGGAGTGCAGTGGTGCAATCTTGGTTCACTGCAACTTCTTCCTCCTGGATTCAAGAGATTCTCCTGCCTCAGCCTCCCAAGTAGCTAGGATTGCAGGCACACACCACCACATCTGGCTAATTTTTGTATTTTTAGTAGAGACGGAGTTTCACCATGTCAGCCAGGCTGGTTTCGAACTCCTGACCTCAGACAATCCACCTGTCCTGTCCTCCAAAAGTTCTGGGATTACAGGTGTGAGCCATCAGGCCTGGCCCCAAGTCCTTAATTATCTAGACAAATTATTAGCTGCCACATATACATCAATAATATCTCTCCTAGACATCGTGGACAACCAATTACATAGGCTGAATTTCTTTTAAAATTGCATTCACGTAGGTTATAATGCCTAAGCAATCTACTTTTGGCTGCTGCTGTGATGTTGTACAGTGACTTCTGTAAATCAGGCTCAATTTTTCCCTCACTAATCAACTGGCCATAGAGAACTTCCCATGAAGACATAGGTATAGATTCTATTATTCCTACCTGCTGATGAAGCAGGATAGTTAATTGGAAAACACTTATTTCATGATAAGCAGCTCATGTTGTCATATTTTTTTGCATTGATAGGACTTCAGTTTCTACAATGGTCCAGGATCAATCAAGAGTTCTTTAAAGAAAACATTTATTTTGTCAAAGAAAGAAGCATTTTGTTCCAAATCCTAAGAACAATAGTAGTGGTGTGTCAGAGGCTCTATTGCATCTGGATATAAAAACAAAGGGGCACAATATTCCTGACCAGTTGGGAATTATTATCTTGATCTCAATCCCATCAAAAGGTGGCAGCATGACAAGTCATGAAGTAAAAGGACCAGGTGATAAAATGAGGTCTCCAAAATCCAAAGCATCAAAGTTCTCAGTTAGTGGTCAGGGCTGCAAAGTGCCATAATTTTTCACTTTGGAAGGTATATCTTGAGAATATTGAGTGTATGAGACAAGTTAAAAGGTCATGCAGCCAGACGCGGTGGCTCACGCCTGTAATCCCAGCACTTAGGGAAGCTGAGGTGGGCGGATCATGAGGTCAGGAGTTCAAGACCAGTCTGGCCAATATGGTGAAACCCCATCTCTACTAAAAATACAAAAATTAGTGGGGCATCGTGGTGCCCTCCTGCAGTCCCAGCTACTTGGGAGGCTGAGGCAGCAGAATCGCTTGAACCCTGAAGGCGGAGGTTGCAGTGAGCTGAGTTGGCGCCACTGCATCCAGCCTTGGCAACACCGCGAGACTCTGTCTCTTAAAAAAAATAAAAAAATAAAAATAAAAAAATGTAAAAGTTCGTGATTAACACCTCTGTTAGCCTCTGATCTTTATAATAATTATCACACACACACAAACCAAACACCACACATAGAGGAAACAGTAAAAGATTAAAGGACACAGCTAAAAATACATTTGTATTATTACTTCCCAAAGTTCTAAAATTATCAGAAGGGACTAGTGAATCTTTAAAAAATATTGATTATCCAACACTTTTTAATAACCAGTATAATTGCATTGAAGGCTACTGAACATGCACATGTTCCTAAAATTTTTCTGTTATGGTGTCTGGTTTGCGAAAGGAACAAAATTAAACATAGTTCCTTGGCAATTTTTCCCTCTTCCACTCTACTAATTGGCGTATGTGCGATGTGTGTTTATTGTAAAACAGGAATAAGATTCAGAGGTCAAGAATCAAAGTGAGTCAGAGTAGGAAAAGCCAGACTCAAGCATAACAGAAGGGCAGAGCCTGTCAAACCCCAAAATTAAAGGGTAAATTTCAACACAAGTAGAAGTGGTTCAAAAGCTAAGGGCATCCTCATAGTTCATGAAAAGCAAGTATTCACGCAGGTAGCAGACTCTAATCTGCTTCAAGCCAATGTGCTATTCTCTTCGTGTTATTTATATCCCTCAGAATACCTCAAAGTTCCCAAGAGCAGTCAGTATTTAACTCTAAACTATATCATCTATATGATATATTTATTATATATAATATATATATTTATTATATGTATAATACATATTATATATTTATTATATATTATATTTATATTGATTATATAATATATATATATATATATTATTATATATTTTTTTGAGACGGAGTTTTGCTTTTGTTGCCCAGGCTGGAGTGCAATGGCGCTATCTCGGCTCACCACAACCTCTGCCTCCCAGGTTCAAGTGATTCTCCTGCCTCAGCGTCCTGAGTAGCTGGGATTACAGGCATGTGCCACCACGCCTGGTTAATTTTGTATTTTTAATAGAGAAGGGGTTTCTCCATGTTAGTCAGGCTGGTATTGAACTCCCATCCTCAGGTGATCTGCCTGCCTCGGCCTCCCAAAGTGCTGGGATTATAGGTGTGAGCCAACGTGCCCAGCCAACTATGTAATATTTTAATTGTGTAGTGATAACCCTCATCAAAAGAAGTATTCATTATGGTCAGTGTACTCTGCTTATTTACCACTGAAGCTTAACACAAAATTGTTGAAATAAACATGCATATTGAAGTACTTAGCTAGCTATTGAGGCAATACAGGTTTCTAGATTTACTCATTTTTTTCACTGTACACACATGTCATGTGTGTCATGATAAACCCATGTGTGTGCATATATTGATTAAATATTATATTTCTTTTTACTTTTATTATTATTATTGAGAAAAGGTCTCACTCTGTCGCCCAGGCTGGAGTGCAGCGGCACAATCTCGGCTGCCTGCAGCCTTGTCCTCCCAAAGCCCTAGACCCTGTAACATAATGGAATATGTATGTTTCTAATTTGTGCAATATGGAAGCAGGAATACTACATAGAACTGTCATCTTTTCCTATTGCATTTATTTTGGTGTGGAAAAATATAATAATTGGCTTCAGTCAGTAAGTCTATTTCATTCAAGAATATTTAAATATAATCCAAACCATCTTAGGTACATTTTGTGATACAAGAGGATGGTATCTTCTATTTGGAAATATAAAATCCCAGGGTCTCACAGTTTAAGTATACTTTCCAGGGGTATGTATAAAACAAGAATCCCACTTTACAAAGTTAATAGAAAAAATATATGCTAATTGGAAGGAGAGGCTTCTGATTGAGGATAAAGTGGAAATTTTCACATACTGCTAATTACACTTTAATGGAGTAAGAAAAAAAGAATTGGAAATAGTACCCTATAAAACTTCTGAAATGAAATTACAGTTTCTCTCTCTCTCTCTCTTTTTTTTTTTTTCTTGAGACGGAGTTTCGCTCTTGTTGCCCAGGCGAGAGTGCAATGGCGCTATCTCAGCACACTGCAACCTTCACCTCCCAGGTTTAAGTGATTCTTTTGCCTCAGCCTCCCAAGTAGCTGGGATTACAGGCATGCACCACCATGCCCGCTAATTTTTTGTATTTTTAGTGACCCACCACGCCTGGCTGTCTCCTCTTTTTAGAATTAGGAGAACTGATTTTTTTCAGTGCTAAACTGGCACTGTCCTATGTTTTCAAGAAAGCAATATGGTGAAACAGAAGAGTCTGGATAGCATGTTTTGTTAGCTGGCGTCTAGTTCTTTAAGTTCCATGAGTCTATTGTGTCTTCTTTACATCTCAAAAAGAAGAGAGAAGAAACCTGCATCTAATTACTGAAGCAGTTTCATTCAGCAAATGTAATTGCATCGCAGGCACATCTCAAATTAAAAATCTTCATCTTGGTCTCTGTCATTTCCATTTTAAACTGGGACTGAATAACCTGTTTTGCCACTCAAAATAATAGCCAGTGTCTCTTTCTTATTAAAATATGTGATCTTTTGCTTGATTACCTAATTATGTCACCTGCACCTTACGTGAGGCAGATAGAAGAGTCTTCCAGTCTGCCAGAGCAGATCTACCAAACTAGACTGCACATACAAATTACCTGGGGATCCTGATAAATTGCAGATTCTGAGTCTGCCTTCAAACGGCCTCAAGTCAAGCTGATGGTATTAGTCCCAGGATCCCTCACTGAGTAGCAAGGTCTTAGAATTAAAAAGTGTGCAAGTATAAGGCCGGGAGCAGTGGCTCATGCCTGTAATCCCAGCACTTTGGGAGGCCAAGGCGGGTGGATCACCTGAGGTCAGGAGTTCGAGACCAGCCTGGCCAACATGGTGAAACCCCGTCTCTACTAAAAATACAAAAAATTAGCCAGGTGTGGTGGCACGCACCTGTAATCCCAGCTACTCAGAAGGCTGAGGCAGAAGAATTGCTTGAACCTGGGAGGTGGAGGTTGCAGTGAGCCAAGATCACGCCACTACACTCCAGCCTGGGCTCCAGCCTGGGCAACAACAGCAAAACTCCATAAAAAAAAAAAAAAGTGCAAGTTTATAAACATGGAAACGTGGACAATTGTAAGCAATATTAGAGAACTGTAGAAAACAATTTTTTAAGTGATATGTTTAACCTATTTAGAATAAAACCCATTATGGTCCTAGGAATTTCTGGAACTGCCTTACTTGTGAGAAACATGATCCTAAGATGCCCATTTGTTTATCAGTACATCAATTTTCTCCTTCTTAAATTGGTATCATTATTTTCTTCCAAGAAGCCTAGCACACTTTTGTTGTTGTCATTGAAAGAGGGCATATAAGGGTTATGGCTGCTATTTGGAGAAATGCATTAGAAAATAAAAAGCTTGAAAAAGTTGTATTACTGAGAAAAAAGTTGAATGAAAATAAGAAAGATTAAATTGAAATAAATAATGAATCAGTAAGGTATGCACTGTTAAACACTTGATGAGATTTCCCAAGTATCGACATGCTGATAACTTGAAATAAGAATGGGAGAAAAGGTCAATCTGAATTCTTAAAATGTTGAAGGCTGGGAATAAGAAGTAATATATCACAGAATCTGATAGAAAAATTTTTATTTATTTTATGGGAGAAAATGGGAGACTAACATACAATAGGAATAGGAAAGAATTAATAGAAATAGCAAAAAGAAGTGTATCTGCAATTATTAATATAATACAAGAGGACATTGTGTAGAGATATTTAAAGAAAGATTGATGAAATTTAGATTTATGGTGAAATATCCTAATAAAGACATTATTTATAATCAACTGTTCATCATTATTATATAATTCTGACAGTTTTAGGATATAAATGTAAGGCAGAATGATCTAATATAAAATGTATAAATGGGACAACATATAATTTTGCTTAGGAAGTTGAATAAATAAAGTAGTGATTTACAATTTGCATTAATATAAAAAAATTTAAAAAATGGTTTACATTTTGTTTGAAATGGATGATAAACAGGAAAAGAGTAATTTAGTACATTGAGTAATTTAGTACATTGGTCACCAAAGAAATACAAATTGAAACTATAAGATCCCTTCTCCCATCTTTGTCAGATTTGTAGGTATAAAAACAGTAGTAGTTGTATTGGTTGGAGAACAGAAAGATGACACTTTCATATGCGGCTGATTAGAGCACAGATTGGTATATTATTTCTGAGATGCAATTTGAAAATATGTACCATCAGCCTCAAAGATGATTATGACCATGTGTCACTACTTTCTTGGAAATCATTATTAATGCATGTATAGATTGATGTTTACTGTAGTATTACTTAACATAATGAGTTGAGTACAACCTTCACTCCCAAAAAACATGAGGTAGGGGTGAACTAGTTAAATATACAATCACAATGAGCTATGACAAAATGCAGTTACTTAAAAGCACATTTATAAGACTATTAATGGCAATAAACATGATTTGATATAATGTTTTCAAAAATTAGGGGAATTCTATTCCCAGCATTGTGGTAGACTAAATTTGCTGAATCACTATCCTGCTATATGAAATCTACAAATACCAGATAAAATGTACATGTCATTTTTCAAAAGTATATTACTGACTTGAATAGAAACTAAGGTGAACCACATAGGCCAAGCATAAGGAGAATACATAAATCCAGAGAGGTATGCAGACCCCCAAACCAGAAGCTTCCATAAGGACAGTCCTGGCCCTAGTACCCTGAGCTTCAATTTTTATGACCACCTGGGATATGGGAGAGTGTGAGACAAAACCTAGTGCCTGCCCATTATAGCAGTCTTACAGGAGAAAACTGCTGAAAGCCAGAGATACGAAGGACTATAATTTCAGTGAAAGGATAAACTAGATAAAAACCTGTTCCTCAGCGGGAGACAACCAGGAAATTTTCCTGCCTCAAACTCGGTGCCATTTAGAGGAAAAATGAGAAGGCCATCTTCACATGAATTTGTGGTTTAAATTTTCACTGTAAGTATAAGTTAAAAAAAACCCACACATGAAACTGATAATTTATTTTATAGTTATCCCATGTTGGTATTACCACCAAACACAAGACGAAGGCAAAGTGTCTTTGGAGAAACCCACATTCAGCCCATGTCTCAAAGAATGGCCACAGGTAAAATTTCATCCAAAATGAGAAAAAAGTAAGACTCTTACAAAACTCATGAGGAAATAAACATCATGAGCAGAAACAGAATTATGCCCATAAAGATTTCAGATATTAGGATGATTATATAACTATAAAAGCTGTGTTTAATATGTTTAAAAAATCAATGAGGTGTGCCAGGAATATAAATTGAGACAGTGTATGTATCTTATATTAAGCAGATTGAAACTGAATTTAAGAGATCTTTTAGAAATAAAAAATATAATGAAAATTAAAAACTAAATGGACAGGTTAAACACAATATTGGATAGAACCAAAAAGAAAATAAGTGAGTTGGAAGTTAGACTAAACAAATTATGCTGAAGACAGTACAGAGGAGGAAAGGAAAATGGATATGTGAAATAGAGGTTGAAAAATTAGAGTATCTAATCATATCTGCAAAAGAAAAATTGAATCGGGGGAAGGTTATATTTAAGGTTATATTTAATATCTGAGGGCTTTTCGTCATTGGAATTTATTAATGTTCAAGGAAACCTGGAAAGTTTTCTAACACATTAAAGGAGCTTTAATTATAAGTTCCAAATTCTTCTTAGAAGAAGAGAACCAGCAGGCCCAGACATTTTTACTGGTGAGTTCTATCAAATGTTTTCAAGAAATGGATTATTTCCATTTTATAAAAACAACTCCAGAATAAAAAAAGGTCCATTTGTTCGTTCATTTCATGAGGCCAGTACAACCTTGATACCAATATTATATGAGAAATGTGTAAGACAGGAAAATTACATGCCAACTTTCCTCATGAACCTAACGGCAAACATTTTAAATTAAAAGTTAGCAAATTAAGTTTAGAAGTCTATAAAAAAGATAATATAGTATGAAAATTGTGTTTGTTCCATGAATGCAAGGATTTCTAACAATAGAAAAAAAAACTATGTATAATTCATCACATTAACAAGTTAAAGGAGGAAAAGCAAATCATCATTGTAGGAGAGGCAAAAAGTGAATTCAATAAAATAAAATATTTAACTTTGACAAATCTTGTTTAGCAAACAAGAAATAGAAGAGCTTTCAGTGTTTGCTTATAAATCAGAAACTATTCTTCGTCTTTCAAGCAGAGGTGATTTAATACAGGTGATTGATTACACAAGTGATGGAAGCCAAACCAGGCTTGGTGAGTCAGCAGCCCATATTTAATATATTTATATATTAAATATTTAATTATACTTCAAAACTTTTATGTACACTATAATCTCATTATTGTTTTCTATACTATTATATGCAATATACAAATACAGAAATACAGAAATGTACCTCAGTTTGAAAGAGAACTTGAATATGAGGCAAAAAGATACCCCCAAATTATAGTTACATTACAAGAATTGAATTTAAGAAGGAAGAAGCAAATTGCAAGAGATAAGGCCAAGCCTCTTTAGTAATGATCATTCTAAATCCAATTGGTATAAATTTAGGGACGCACAACTGGATTGCAGTGTAACTAAGAAAGTTTGTGTGTCAATAACCATATTTATCCTATGTGAAGAAATAATAGTTTCATAGGAGAAGGTTAATTGGCATGGAGTCTGTAAAAGAGAAGTTTGGATAGATGATTGAGCTATGTATTTGTCAAATAATATCTAAAGGTAAAAAGAGATCTAGTTCACAGAGGCGAATCTCTGATTTTTCAATTTGCATTAACAGAAACAACATTGGAAGGGAGTATATTAAGATTTTAATAGTGACGATTTCTGCCAATGGTTTCTGTTTTATTGTTTACTATTTTCGGTATATTTCCAATGTTTCTTAATAAGTGTTTATTATTTAAAAAATGAGAAAACAGCAATGAGTAATTCAGTAAAATAAAATTTTTCAAAATTGTGACTGCTATGATTATGAGCCAATTATGAAAGAAAGAGACACAGATAGAAATAGGGTGACCAATCTTTCAACTTACTCAGGAATGAAGGATTTTCTGGATGGGGGATTTTTGTTGCTAAAATCGGGACAGTAGGGGACATGTTGGGACTGTGGAAAAACCCTACAGGGATTTATTTCCTAACTATGAATTTCTATCTTGGTCTAGAGACGACTGTTCTCATAAATAGGTAGAGTAGATGTGGTATTTC
Source organism: Homo sapiens (assembly GCF_000001405.40). Classification (NCBI taxonomy): domain Eukaryota; kingdom Metazoa; phylum Chordata; class Mammalia; order Primates; family Hominidae; genus Homo; species Homo sapiens. Next base: position 149,573,502 of record NC_000001.11, on the reverse strand, counting down.
TGGAATGAGATTTAACATCTTTACATAGCTTGCCCTATTAAAAGTAGACAAATGCTTGTGAGAGAATATCATATACTTTTGAAAGCTAATGTCTTAACTAATTCGCTGTGAGCAAAGCTCTTGAAGACTGTGATGTAACAGAGATTCCTAGGTATCAGTGAAGATACGGAGATGAAAAAAGGGAAGTTGAAAAAAGAAGCTGAGAGATAAGCATGGAAATCATTTTCCAACCTCATTTTTCCAATCTCCATTTTCCTGTATTGAGAAGTGAAAATATGTTTTCTAGAGATAAAGTTCTAGAAATGAACTCTGACATAGATATTTTAAAACCCATTTCAGAAACAAAATAATATGTGAACCTAGAGTAGTTGTAATTTATGTCCTTTTGTCTGTCTTTATCCTGTAGTTAAGTTTCCCTTGGGATCTCTTTGGGAAAATGGAGTACTGCATTTTACAAGGCAGGACTTGAATTTTCTTTCTTTTCCTTCTTTCTCTCTTTCTTTCTTTCTTTCTTTCCTTTTCTTTCTTCTTTCTCTCTTTTTCTTTCTTCCTTTCCTTCCTTCCTTTTTCTTTTCTTTCTTTCTCTCTTTCTTTCTTCCTCTCTCTCTTTTTCTCTTCTTTCTTTCTTTCTTTGTTCCTTTCTTTCTTTCTTCTTTCTGTCTTCTTTTCCTTCCTTCCTTCCTTCCTTCCTCTTCTTCCTTTCTTTCTCCTTTCTTTCTTTTTTTTTTTTTTTTTTGACATGATCTCACTTTGTCACCCAGGCTAGAGTGCAGTGATGTGATCATAGCTTAATGCAGCCTCTCTCTCCTGGGCTCAAGCAATCCTCCCACCTCAGCTTCCAGAGTACCTGGGGCTACAGCTGCGTGCCACCATGCCCAGCTAAAGGACTTGAATTTTCTTACATATCTTGGCCCTATAGAGTGGCTCTCAACCTTGGCTGCACATGTCTATTACCTGAGAAAAGTTTTAAATAACCTAATACTCAGGTCACACCCTAGACTTTAGGGGTGAGACAAGCATTAATATTTTTTAACACTCTTAGAATTAAGAGCCACTAATATTGTAGCACTGCAATTCCTATAAAGAGAACAGATGTGAGTAGATTTGTTACAGTATTGTTGTATTCATCTGTTTTCATGCTGCTGATAAAGACATACCTGAGACCGGGCAATTTACAAAAGAAAGAGGTTTAATGGACTTACAGTTCCACATGGGTGGGGAGGCCTCACAATCATGGTGGAGGACAAAGAGGAGCAAGTCACATCTTACATGGATGGCAGCAGGCAAAGAGACAGCTTGTGCAGGGAAACTCCCATTTTAAAAATGATCAGATCTCATGAGACTTACTCACTAACACAAGAACAGCACAGGAAAGACCCATCCTCATGATTCAGTTATCTCCCACTGGGCCCCTCCCACAACATGTGGGAATTATGGGAGCTACAAGATGAGATTGGGTGTGGACACAGCCAAACCATATCAATTGTCATCACTCAAGGCAGATGAGTATATAGAAAGCTATCAGTTGTAAGGAATTGGACTAAGTTTAAGAGAATAATAATTAAGATAGAACAAATGTTTGGTCCTGCTTAAGGGCTAGGATAGATGAGGCACAATAGAATCATGTGGGGAGCTGTAAAAATGCCCAGGCCCTACTCTGTGTCAATTAAATCAGAATCCAGAATCTCTGCTTGAGTGTGTCTAGAGTATTGGTCAAAGGAAACAGTGATTTTGATGTGCAGCCAGTTAAGAGCTGATATCCTCAAGGATCATGATGTGACACAGCTGTTTCAGAAGGGTAAATCTCCATACTCCCACTTTAGAAGAAAAGAAAAGGCAAAATGACAAAACAATCAAGCAAAAGGGCTGGAAGAGCTGGTAGATAACAGGGTGTCAACTTGAATTAATTCAGCTCTTTGGTAAAGATTAGCTGGAGTAAAGAAATTCCAGTTAGTCAAATGGGATGAATGTCCTTTTATGGAAACCATATCATGCTTTTTGAATGATCTGAGAAAGACTGGAAGCATTAGAGGTGAAGTATATCCATTTGCTCAATGGGAAAAGATTTTGTTTTATTTTATTTACATAATGTGATATGCTTGGCCATCTGCAGTAGTGCCTGAAAGGGGATGTAAAACGGAAAATGTAGTCAGTGAGACTGATTAATAACCATGGGTAGAAAAATAGGCCAAGTGGAAAAACTTATTCATATAGTTGCTTCATTTTGCTGACTGCAAAAGGATTTGTTTTGGAAGTGATTTCTGCTCTTTAACCTAGTGGATTGATAGATCACAGAAAGGTCTTAGAAATGACATTACATAATTTTGTTCATAACATGAAATTAGCTTGAATCAAAAAATGTATACCATTTTTTGTATCTACCTTCTAAGACATTTGTCTTGAGAAATTAATGATTCTACAACATAAATAGTCATTGTGAAAGGAAGGAAAAAGATAACAGAGGGCTTTCATAATAATCATGGACTCAAGATTATCTAATTTAAAAAGACATATCTCATTTTCCTTTACTTAAACATAAAACAAATGAGAGAAAACAGAAATAGCTCATAATTTTATTTATCTGATAAAACATGCTGACATAAAAATATAATTCATGCACCCAGTAAGAAAATCAAAAAATTAAATAAAGGTAAAAATGAAATATAAAATTCTCTTTCCTCTAGTCTCTTACCCCCAGACATCTAGAATCTCTCCTTAAGATAATCACTGTTGACAATTCCTTGAGTATCTTTTTAAAAATGACCTTAATACACATCCCCCGTATAGAATATAGATCTTAAACAAGTTAGAAAATAAAATTTTATCTTTTAGTATTACACAAAAGGATGTTCAGAACTAGGCTTTGTATTTTTTTTTTCTAGAGATGAGGTCTCACTGTGTTGCCCAGGTTGGTCTCAAACTCCTGGGCTCAAGCAATCCTCCCGCCTCAGTCTCCAAAAGTGTTGGGATTATAAGCATGAGATGAAGTCTTGCCTGGCCTAGGCTTTCTATTTTTGTTTAATAATTTACCTTCAAGATATTCTTAACTTTTAACAACTGTATTGTATAAATATATTTTTTATTTAAACAATAGGCTACCAATAACATTAATAACATATCTTGGTTTATGTATTTTACAAGATTCTCCATGTGATAAATTCCAACCTGAGAAGTTGCTATAGAACATATGAATTTAACATTTTTTAATTGCTGCGATCTAATATGATCCTAAAACATGGCCCTAGTTTATATTCCTATGAGAATGTCTAATACCTACACTCTTGCTAACATTGACTGCTATTGCATTTTAAAGACTCATTAATTTGATTGGATTGATGTTGAACATCTTCTGTTACTCTTGGCCATTGCATTTCTTTTTCTACCTATTAATCTCCCTTGTATAATATTGCATTATTTGTCTTTTTTGTCTCATTTATCGACAAAGATTAAAGTTATTGGCAGTAGTGAAAATGGAGAAAAAAATCAAAATTCAAATACTGTAGAGTACAATATTTTGGAGAATAATTTGATTCTATATATTGAAATTTAAATTGTCTTTAATCTTTGACCCAGTTATTCTCTTTCTAGTAATTTTTCTACCCAAATAATAATTCAGGAAGAAAACCTTTACAGAGATTATTCTTATAATGTTTGTGATACAATATTTACGGGCAACATAAATTCTCATCCAGAGATCGGAGTAAATATTATATAGTATATCTGTAGAACGAAATGTACCTTGCTGTTTAAATGAATAAATTAGTTATTATCATAAAATAAATGTCATGTAAAGACATTTATTTTATGGTGTATAAAATTAGAAAAACAAGTTATTAAAAATAACATGATTTTTTGTAAAATGCTTTTATTTTGTTTTTAATTGACATAATAATTGCACATGTTTATGGGGTACAGTGTGGTGCTTTAGTGCATGTGTACATTGCATAATGGTCAAATTTAAAAATTAAATGTATTGATAGAAGAAGTGTTTGGATATTTGTATCCTAAATGCTAACAGTGATGATATCTGGAATGTGGAACTGCTGGTAATTTTTCCCTTTTTCTTTTAGAGATTTTTGTACTTATTTTTAATAATAAACATATACTAATTTTATAATAAAAATAACAATGAAGTCCTTTCCATTTTGAAAAATTAATTCCAATAGAAAAATACTGTACTCGAGCCACTTTCCAGGGTTTTCTTATTCTTAGTGCTGGTATAAGGTACCAGTGATATTATATTTTCAGATATGTTTGGCTTTTCTGCCTTATGGTTGAAGATGAGCTTAGGAAGTATTGCTGCCTAATTTTCAGGCTTTTGAGCCAATGCTTGGTGCACAAAAAGCACCACATCAACTTTAAACAGAATATTCTGCTTCTTTAGACTGTATTTCCTACTTTTTATAGTATTTATTAGCGCCAGAACTCTGTGACTGTTTCCCAAAGAACAAGAGAGAAAGATCAAGGAAAGTGAGAAGCAATGAAACTAGATTTAATTAATACTCTGGCTTGTCAGCAGCTTTCATGAAAGATTTGTTTGTTGAAGAAGTTGAACCTATTAGCTTAAACAGGGATTAACTCTGCCAACTCTGACAGAGCATGGACAATTAAGAGTTTATTGGAAATTAATTGAAAATAATACAGTGTTGTGAGGTGGGATGAAGATGATTTCCTTTAAGGAAATTATGCCAAGTGTTTTGAATCAGCCAAGGATAAACAAATGCAGACTATCATTTGATGGAGGTATTATAAACTGATAACATGATTCGAAGTATAAGAATGGCAAATTGTGAAGAATGAATAAAATTACAGAGATAAATAGCAAAAATGTGAAACTAAAATAAAGAGGAACAGTGAGTAAACGGGGTTAGCTGAGAATATGGTTTAACAGGGCATACTCTATTCATTTATGAAGAAATTTTAATCCTCAAAATGCTACTTGTCTTAGTCTGTGTAGGCTGCTGTAACAAAATACCACAAGCTGAGTAACTTATAAACAACAGAAATTTCTTACAGTTGTGCAGGCTGGGAAGTCCAATATCAAGGCAGATTCAGCATCTGGGGTGAGGTTCACCCTTCTGGCTCATAGATGGCAACTTCCTGCTGTATCCCCATACTTTGGAAGGGGCCAATGAGCTCTCTGGGGTCTCTTTTATGAGGGCTCAAATCCCATTCATGAGAATCTTGTCCTCATGACCTAATCACCTCCCCAAGGCTCTATCTCCTAACACGAGTAGCTTGGGGGTTAGGATTTCAATATACAAATTTGGGGGGACATAAACAGTCAGTCTGTGACATTGCCATTTCATCAGTAAGAATTTTCATGAACTCACTATTAAGATTTATGTTTAGGTTTTTTATGCGGATGTTCTCACTTTATAATATTGTTTGTCTGCATAGTTTAAAGAAAAGGACAATGCCCAATTAGAACAGGAGGTGTCTTTTTTGGCCAGCAAAATATTTTAAGATGCCTTGAGTGTGACCCTACATAGAGATCATCAAGGTAACATCATTTTGTTCTTGTTCTAGATCCACATGTTTCACTCAAGATCCTAGAAAGAAAATGTATGAAAACACATTGGAAGACAATAATCCATCCTTACAATGCTAGCCAATGTTTATTATTGCTTTCTATGTGTGAGGAATTGTGTTAAACACTTAAAAAGATGTTATCCCTCATAATTATCATAACACCTGAAGAAGTAGGTGGGGTGATTTTCTCCAATTTAGATATTATAGGAACTGAAACACTTGCCCACTAAACAGGCAATTGAAAGAGATAGGATTTCTATAGAAAATTGCCAGCTCCACAGCTAGTGTTCCTATTCTCATCATTAGTGTTCCCTTAGTGGTTTTGATATTACACCTAATACTATTTAATACAAAATTAAAGCATCCACCCTATTCTGGGATTTACTGTCAAGAATAGAGCACTGAGCCTGATAAACAGCATCCACTTTGGAATGCATGTTTCTATCCAGCTACTTAATATGACATAAGTTCATTGGACATTAAGGCCAGATTTCTTGACATGCTTTACCCTCAAATTAACAAGTTTGGCTTATTCAATTGTGGACCTTTAACCCTTAGGCCAGATAGTATATGAGGCCTAGAGTAGTGGAAAAAGGTAACTGGATTTACAAAATTTGACTCTTCAAATTCTGTAAGAATTCAATATATTGAGGAAAGTTTAGGTGCATAGTAAAATTATAATTTCATATTGTTGCACAGACTCAGGCAGATGAAAGAGACTCCAATAGTGGTCAGGTAGTACCCACACAGTCAGTTGATTGTCTCTGTGCTGAAAGGATTTAAGAATGAAGAAGAGTTTGCTCCAATGTATGTTTCAATATCTCATTGTTTTACAATAATATTTGAAATAATACCTAGGAACCCAACTTACAAGGGATGTGAAGGACCTATTCAAGGAGAACTACAAACCACTGCTCAAGGAAATAAAAGAGGACACAAACAAATGGAAGAACATTCCATGCTCATGGATAGGAAGAATCAATATCGTGAAAATGGCCATACTGCCCAAGGTAATTTATAGATTCAATGCCATCCCCATCAAGCTACCAATGACTTTCTTTACAGAATTGGAAAAAAACTACTTTAAAGTTCATACGGAAACAAAAAAGAACCCGCATTGCCAAGTCAATCCTAAGCGAAAAGAACAAAGCTGGAGGCATCACGCTACCTGACTTCAAACTAGACTATGAGGCTACAGTAACCAAAACAGCATGGTACTTGTACCAAACAGAGATATAGACCAATGGAACAGAACAGAGCCCTCAGAAATAACACCACACATCTACAACCATCTGATCTTTGACAAACCTGACAAAAGCAAGAAATGGGGAAAGGATTCCCTGTTTAATAAATGGTGCTGGGAAAACTGGCTAGCCATATGTAGAAAGCTGAAACTGGGTCCCTTCCTTACACCTTATACAAAAATTAATTCAAGATGGATTAAAGACTTACATGTTAGACCTAAAACCATAAAAACCCTAGAAGAAAACCTAGGCAATACCATTCAGGACACAGGCATGGCAAGGACTTCATGTCTAAAACACTGAAAGCAATGGCAATAAAAGCCAAAATTGACAAATGGGATCTAATTAAACTAAAGAGCTCCTACACAGCAAAAGAAACTACCATCAGAGTGAACAGGCAGCCTACAGAATGGGAGAACATTTTTGCAATCCACTCATCTGACAAAGGGCTAATATCCAGAATCTACAATGAACTCAAACAAATTTACAAGAAAAAACAAACAACCCCATCAACAAGTGGGTGAAGTATATGAAGAGACACTTCTCAAAAGAAGACATTTATGCAGCCAACAGACACATGAAAAAATGCTCATCATCACTGGCCATCAGAGAAATGCAAATCAAAACCACAATGAGATACCATCTCACACCAGTTAGAATGGCGATCATTAAAAAGTCAGGAAACAACAGGTGCTGGAGAGGATGTGGAGAAATAGGAACACTTTCACACTGTTGGTGGGACTGTAAACTGGTTAAATCATTGTGGAAGACAGTGTGGTGATTCCTCAAGGATCTAGAACTAGAAATACCATTTGACCTAGCCATCCCATTACTGGGTATATACCCAAAGGATTATAAATCATGCTGCTATAAAGACACACGCACACGTATGTTTATTGCGGCACTATTCACAATAGCAAAGACTTGGAACCAACCCAAATGTCCATCAGTGATAGACTGGATTAAGAAAATGTGGCACATATACACCATGGAATACTATGCAGCCATGAAAAAGGATGAGTTCATGTCCTTTGTAGGGACATGGATGAAGCTGGAAACCATCATTCTCAGCAAACTATCACAAGGACAAAAAACCAAACACCGCATGTTCTCACTCACAGGTGGGAATTGAACAATGAGAAGACATGGATACAGGAAAGGGAACATCACACACTGGGGCCTGCTCTGTGGTGGGGGGCTGGGGGAGGGATAGCATTAGGAGATATACCTAATGTAAAAGATGAGTTAATGGGTGCAGCACACCAACATGGCACATGTATACATATGTAACAAACCAGCACGTTGTGCACATGTACCCTAGAACTTAAAGTATAATAAAAAAAATTAAAATATTCTGAAGTCACAGTGACTGTCTTGGCTTCTCTTAATTTATGAGGACCTTTGTCTTATAGACTCTTTTTTTTAAAAAAAGATGGGGTCTTGCTATGTTGTCCATGCTGGAGTGCAGTGGCTATTCACAGGCTTGATCATTGCATACTACAGTCTGGAACTCCTGGACTCAAGTCTCCCAGTGGCTGGGAATACAGGTGAGTGCCTACCACACCTAGCCTGATTTACAGATTTTTGACATCTATTATAGTTAAATGTATTTTCAGCATTTGCATATTAAAGGAATAATATTGATGCTTAACTTCATTAGTGATCAGGGAATTCCAAATTTAAAAAAAATTTTTTCATCTCTTATAGTATATTTAAAAATTCATTGCTGATAAGGATTCAGGGACGCCAACATTGTACATTGGTAGTGAAAATGGAAATTGGAAACTTTCTGTAATCTGACAGTAATTATGTTTTTAAAAATCCTTTTGAACTTGCAGTTCTACTTTTGGGATTTGAATTTATGGAAAGTAAAGTGCCAGTGAGAAAGAATATTGTTGCCCCTTGAACAACATAGGGTTAGGGGAGCTGGCCTCCCACACAGTGAAAAATCCGCATACAACTTTTGATTCCCCCCAAACTACTAATAACCTATTGTTGACCAGAAGGCTTACTGATAACATGCATTACATTTAAGACATATTTTGCATGCTATGTGTATTATATACTGTATTCTTACAATAAACTAAGCTACAGAAAAAAAATTATAATCAAGAAAATTGTAAGGAAGAGAAAATATATGACCCATTCATTAAGTGGAAGTGGATCACCCTAAAGGTCTTCATCATTGTTGTCTTCATGTTGAGTAGGCAGAGGAGGAGGAGGAGGAGCTGGTCTTTGTGTCTTAGGGTAGCAGAGGTGGAAGAGGGTGAAGGGATGGAAGGGGAAGCAAAAGAGGCAAGCACACTTGGTGAAACTTTACAAAAATACATCGTTATTTCTGTCTATTTTGCTTTTTCATTTCTCTAAAAACATTTCAGTGTAGTACCTATCCGTCTTCCACCATTTGCTTTAGTTTCAGTTCCTGTATCATGGAACGGTCTATGTCATAAAAGAAGTCAAAAGTAGTCTTGAATAATCAAAGCTCTTTTGCCAGATTGTTGAATGCCAATTTGTTTTCTGGCACTGCTTTTCCTATGTCTTCTTCCTCATTATCTGGCACTGGTTAGGAAGCACTCATCTCCATGAAGTCATCTTTTGTTAATTCCTCTGGTGTGGTGTGTATTAGCTCTTAAATTCCTCCAAGATCCATATCTTGCAACCCTTCACTCCACACCTTTTTTTCCCTTCATATCCATACTTCTTTCCATGGTTTTCTCTAAATTGGATTTGTCGTAATTCTGTAGCTATGCACAACATCTGGACACAAATTGTACTTTTGTCCAGCACGAATTTATTGTTTTGAGTTTCATGGTTTTCTATATCAACTGATGACATCTTGAAAGGTGTAAGCCTTCCAGACTTCCATGATGTTCTCTCTATTGGGTTTCTCTTTTGCAATGTTGACAAACCTTTCCATAGAGTGCCATATGTAGAGCCTTAAAGGTCCTTATGACTCCCTTATCTAGAGGCTGAAGTAGAGATGTGTTTGGGGGAAAAGGAGAACACTTCAGTGCCTTTGGTGTTGAACTCATGGGGTTCTGGGTGGCCAGGGGGCATTTTCCAATTAAACAACAACAACAAAAAACTTTAAAAAGCAGTCCCTTACTGGCAAGGTACTTCTGACTTCAGGGACAAAGCATTGATGGAACTAATCCAGAAAAAGCATTCTCATAGTCCAGGCCTTCTTGTTGTACAACCAAAAGACTGGCAACTAGTGTTTCTCTTTTCCCTTTCAAGACTCAGGGGTTAGCAGCTTTATAGTTAAGGGCAGCCCTGATCATAAACCCGACTACATTTGCACAAAGCAGTAGAGTTAGCCTATCCCTTCCTGCCTTAAATCTTGGTGCTTGCTTCTCTTCCTTACTAATAAATGACCTTACTAATAAATGATTCTCCTGCCTCAGCCTCCCTAGTAGCTGGGACTACAGGTGCCCGCCATGACGCCCGGCTAATTTTTGTATTTTTATTAGAGACGAGGTTTCACCATGTTGGTCAGGCTGGTCTCAAACTCCTGATCTCAAGTGATCCACCCACCTCAGCCTCCCAGAGTGCTGGGATTACAGGTGTGAGCTACCGCGCCCAGCCCGCACCTGCAGCTTAATCCCATTTCGCTGGTGCAACTTCATCCTTCCGTATGCTCAGGCCAATAAACAGTACTGTAAGCTGGTCGTTCTTTGACCCCCATACATCCTATTGGTCGGAAAATTATGTTTTCTCTTTGGTTAACCGCAGACTTTGATATGCACACTCTTTCTTGGTCTGAAACCCACCCAATAGTCCCATACGTAGATTTTTGGATAAACATAGAAATGGACCCTTCTGATCTGAAAGTTTGAAACTCGATATTTGTTTTATTTGAGTTCTTTCCTTCAGGCCTCTCAAAAAAGATATCAAAGAACTGAAAGTCACCCAGACAATGAGATGTCGGACCCCTCATTCATCCTGATTGCTTCCTTACCCCTCCCTAGTTCCTGTTTTCTTTCTTTTCTTTTTTCTTTTTTTTCTTTTTTCTTTTTGAGACAGAGTCTCCCTCTGCCTCCCAGGCTGGAGTGCAGTGGCGCTATCTTGGCTCACTGCAAGCTCCGCCTCCCGGGTTCACGCCATTCTCCTGCCTCAGCCTCCTGAGTAGCTGGGACTACAGGAGCCCGCCACCACGCCCGGCTAATTTCTTTTCGTATTTCTAGTAGAGATGGGGTTTCACCGTGTTAGCCAGGATGGTCTCGATCTCCTGACCTCGTGATCCGCCCGCCTCGGCCTCCCAAAGTGCTGGGATTACAGGCGTGAGCCACCGTGCCTGGTCTAGTTCCTGTTTTCTTACACATTGTCACATTCTTTCCCTGCCATCTAAGCCTCTAGTTTTGGTTGGTCAGGGAGATGGATTTGAGACTGAGTTCTCATCTCCTCCGCTGCAGCACCCTATTAAAGCCTCTTCCTTGGCAATAACCGTCTCAGTGATTGGTTTTCTGTGTGACAAGCAGCGGGAACCCCAGGTCTCTGAACTTTGGCAAAGGAATCTCCTGATAAAGGCGGGATCGATTTTACTGACCAAGCTGAAAACGATCAGACGTTTGAAAGCCTTAATCTCAGAGCCTGTCGGAGTTTGGTCTGCCCTTGAGGCTTTTCTTTGGGCCTACCAGTCAAAATCAGCCTGGCCAAACCTGTCTTCAAGGACCAGGGGCAGGGCCGGCTTCTCCTGCCGGGTCGGCAGCCACCTTCCCCTTCCCTGTGACTTGAAGAGAAGCTTCAGGGGGCGTTTATTCAATTTGCGAGAAGCCCGCGAGGCGCAGGTGCGCGGTGACTCTGTGGTTCCCACCGCACCCGCTGCCCTCTTTGGTCCTCTCGCTGTCACCGGCGGGCAGTAACGTTCCGGGTGAGCTAGGGCTCCGAAGACACCAGGCAGGGAGGGACCAGTGGGTAAGGGCACCGCCCGTTTAGGTCCTGCGCAGGAGGGATCCGAAAAAGGTCTTGAAGAAATAGAAAGGGAGGGCCAGATGCGGTGGCTCACGCCTGTAATCCCAGCACTTTGGGAGGCCGAGGTGGGTGGATCACGAGGTCACGAGTTCGAGACCAGCCTGGCCAAGATGGTGAAACCCTGTCTCTACTAAAACTACAACAAGTAGCCAGGCACGGTGACGGGCGCCTGTAATCCCAGCTACTCAGGAGGCTGAGGCAGGAGAATCTCTAGAACCCAGGAGGCGGAGGTGCAGTGAGCTGAGACTGCCCCGCTGCACTCTAGCCTGGGCAACACAGCAAGACTCTGTCTCAAATAAATAAATAAATAAATAAATAAATAAATAGGGAGAGTTGGAAGTAGATCAAAGAGAAGAAAAGAAATCCTAGATTTCCTGTCTGAAGGCACCATGAAGATGAAGGCCACCTCTTCTGGGCCAGGTCCTCCCGTTGCAGGTGAACCGAGTTCTGGCCTCCATTGGAGACCAAAGGAGATGACTTTGGCCTGGCTCCTAGTGAGGAAGCCATGCCTAGTCCTGTTCTGTTTGGGCTTGATCCTGTAGCACTTGATTGTCTCTCCTGGACTTTCCATGGATTCCAGGGATGCAACTGAGAAGTTTATTTTTAATGCACTTACTTGAAGTAAGAGTTATTTTAAAACATTTTAGCAAAGGAAATGAATTCTGACAGGTTTTGCACTGAAGACATTCACATGTGAGGAAAACAGGAAAACCACTATGCTAGAAAAAGCAAATGCTGTTGAGATTGTCTCACAAACACAAATTGCGTGCCAGCAGGTAGGTTTGAGCCTCAGGTTGGGCACATTTTACCTTAAGCGCACTGTTGGTGGAACTTAAGGTGACTGTAGGACTCATATATAAATACATACATATAATATATATACATATTTATGTGTATATATATACACACACATACACACACACACACACACACACACACACACACACAGGGTCTTGCTATCTTGCCCAGGGTGGTCTCCAACTCTGGGTCTCAAGCGATCCTCTGCCTCCCCTTCCCAAAGTGCTGGGATTACAGGTGTGAGCCACCTCGCCCAGGCCATTTTAATTTTAATTTAATACTTTTAATTTGAATACACAATCCAAAAATCATATAACAAGTACAGGAAACCCACTTTATGCCAAGTTTACAAAAACAGGAAAGATATGTCAATGACAAAGCGTCAAAGTGGCAACATCCTAAAGTACTGAGAGAAAAAAATTTATTCTAGAATTCTATACCAAATTGAAATATCTTTCAAAAATGTGACTGAAATCAGGACATTTAAAGACATACAAAAAAATGACAGAATTCACCGAACCACACTACAGGAAATATTAAAGGAGTCCTCCAGGCCTAAGGATAAGGATATCAAACAGAAATCTGAACCTACACAAAGAAATGGAGACGACTGAAAATCGCTATGTACGTACTTGGATGTTGGGGTTTATAACATGTCCAAAATCAAATTCCCTGACAACACTAGCATAAAGGCCAGAAGGGGAGGTATAATGTCACTTGATGGCAGACGGATAAAGATGTATTCTAGGGACCCTAAAGCCATCACTGACATAACAAAAGAAAGAGTTACAGCTAATAAGCCAAATAAGGAAAGAAAATAGAATGATATATATTAAAAAAACATGTAATCGCTGGGTGCGGTGGCTCATGCCTGTAATCCTAGCACTTTGAGAGGCCAAGGCAGGCAGATCACTTGAGGTCAGGAGTTTGAGACCGGCCTGGCCAAAACGGTGAAACCCCGTCTCTACTAAAAATACAAAAATTAGCCCGATGTGGTGGCTCGCGCGGACCTGTAATCTCAGCTACTTGGGAGGCTGAAGCAGGAGATTCGCTTGAACCCGGGAGGCGGAGGTTGCAGTGAGAGCTGAGATGGCGCCACTGCACTCCAGCCTGGGTGACAGAGCGAGACTCTGTCTCAAAAATAAATAAATAAATAAACAAACAAACAAACAAAAACTGTGTAATCCCTATGCTGGAGCAACTGCTCTCCAGGCCTCTACCCTATAGAAATACACAAATGGCCAATGAGAAGTGTACAAGAATGATCACTGCCGCATTATTTGCAATCATAAAATAGTAGCGCCAAAGTAATTTCAAAGATACATGAAAATCGTTTTATTTATTTAAGAAACACAAACAATTGAACAAACAATGGAAGCAAGTCCTTTTGCCTAAAGGAACACAGAGGGTCATGCGGATGTTGCTCCTCCAAGGATTTCGGTGTTCCCCAACGGCTAGTTTTGGGTCTAGTTCTTCTGGAAGATCTTATTCTTGGGGAGCTACAGGTTCTGGCGTTTGGGGCTCTTTCAGGTTCTATCTCCATTTTCCCCTCAATTCCTCCCCATTCTGCTATAATAAAAAAAAATTCTCACCTCCGGAAGATCCCGCCTGTGCCTCCCCGCCAGCCTTTCAGGAGGTCTGGACGTCTGGTCCACCGCTCCCCGGCTTCTTTCCCCGCTTTTGCTTTTCCCCTCCCCTGCTCCCGCCCTCCGGCCTCAGGACCCGACCACCGCCCAGCTGAGCCCCCGCGGCTCCACGGCGCAGAAGGTGCACTGGAGGCCCTGCCCGTTGCCGCCCCGCGGGGTGCCAAGAAGTCAACGTAAATAAATGCTTTGTAAAAGGAACTTCCCCATGGAAAAATCTCTCATGATTTCCATTCTCAAGGCTCTTCAAAGGACTAAAAGCTAAAAGGATGGATTCATTCGACAAGTCCTAGTCCTGCGCCCTGGTGAGTGCCAGACCCTGCTCCCCGCGAGGGGGACCCACGAGCCACCCTCACCACGATCCCTGCCCTGGTGGAGCCCCCGTGCGGAACACAGGATCCGAAGATGGCAGCGGAAGCTCCGCAGCGGCCCCAAAAGCGACTGGGCAGGGAGGGCACAGGCTCCCTCACTGGGTGAAGGCGGCGCAAAGAACGGGAAGAGCCATCCCGGGAGCCACCGGGCGTTCAGCCTCCCTAGGGCCCCCAGGCGGCTTGGGCCGCGGTCTCAACCGGGGCGTTTCCGGGGGTTTCTGAAGCAGGCGAGGGGCAGGGCGGGCGAAGGCCATTCGGCTATCCTTCTGGCTCCAGAATCTCCCAACGCGCAGGTGTCCAACGTGACCAGCGCGACTTACCGCTCCAATCTCTCCGGTCTTCCAAGGCCTTGCTCAGTCGTCCTGCTGGGCGGGCCCTGAGGATGCAAGGGACGGAGGAAGTTTCGTGCGTGCGCCCTTCCTATAGCGCCCAGTAGAACTGACAGTACCTGTCTCTGTGGCGCAATTGGTTAGCGCGTTCGGTTGTTAACCGTAAAGGTTGGTGGTTCGAGCCCACCCAGGAACGCTTGTTCGAGCTTTTAAAGTATTAATGCATTGTCAATCACTAGATAAATGGGGAAGATTTTATCTTCCCGGAGTCCTAAGCCACTAATTTGTGACTTATCCATGTCAAGGGCCAGCCTACCTCCCCGACCGGATTCTTAACCGGGTATCTCCTGAAATCCTGGGTTTATACGTGTGTAACTCAGGAATCCTGAAACAGAGACCTAGGAACCCACTTCTGGTGTGATAAAATTCTAATTCAGTCCGTTATACGCTTAAACGAGTAATTTACATGCCTCCATTTTTTCATATTTTAATAATAGGTCAGTAATACCCCGAGGATGTGCCTGGATTTACTGATTGCTCAATAATGTGACCAGTGGAATCATTCATCATCATAGTGATCCTCTCCATCATTTTTGAAAAGAGTATTTTTCCTCAGTTTGTGCATGATTTATTTAACCCTTTTCAAAATGTTTTTGTTAGCCAGGCGTGGTGGCATGTGCCTGTAATCCCAGGTACTTGGGATTCTGAGGCAGGAGAATCATTTGAACCTGGGAGGTGGAGGCTGCAGTGGAGGCTGCACCAGTGGAGGCTGCACCGCTACACTCCCGCCTGGGCAACAGAGCAAGACTCCATCTCAAAAAAAAATAAAAATAAAAAAATAAAGTTTTTGAGATGAGGTAGGTTTCATTGTTTTAGGATTACAAAGAATGCTGCAGCCACCTTTCTTGTACACATATCTTTGGTCATTGTGGAAATGTCTACACCGCAGATGTTTCTATAGTGTAGGGAAGTTGATGCACTATTGCTACATTATAGGGTTTACATGATGCTTCTAATTTGAGTACATTCCGCAAATGTATCTTTCACGGGAGCCATACCAAATAATATTCCAATAGCAATATTTATAGGAGGAAAAATGTGCAGAAGTGCAATTGAGCTTCGTGCCTCTCCATGGGGCCCATGTTCATAAAATGGTGGCATTAGCAATCATCTGAGAGTGGAGTTTGTGGCCCTCTGACATCAAAAGCTGAAGCAGAGGACATGAAAACCCTCACTGTGCATCCTCTCTAGTCTGGCCAGAATCATTCCTAGGTCGGTGGTCTCTTATCAGGAGGGAATGCTGCTTGCTTGTTTTGTCAAAATCACAAAACTGAGGAAAAGCATCAGGCCGTTGGTTGATAACAGTGGTGAAGCAAGTCTTTCCATAGGGCTGGTTTGTTGTTAACCCTTAGGGAAAAAAAAAAGCCTTTTTTTTTTTTTTTTTTTTTTTTTTTGAGACAGAGTCTCTCTCTGTCGCCCAGGCTGGAGTGCAGTGGCGCGATCTCGGCTCACTGCAAGCTCCGCCTCTCGGGTTCAGGCCATTCTCCTGCCTCAGCCTCCCGAGTAGCTGGGACTACAGGCGCCCGCCACCATGCCCGGCTAATTTTTTTTATTTTTAGTAGAGATGGGGTTTTACCGTGTTAGCCAGGATGGTCTCGATTTCCTGACCTCGTGATCCGCCCGCCTTGGCCTCGCAAAGTGCTGGGATTACAGGCATAAGCCACCGCGCCCGGCCAAAAAAGCCTAATTCTTACCAGCTGGTGCCGTGCAGTTCCAGGCTCTTGGTGTCCCAAACAAAGACACCAAGAGCCTGGAACTGCACCAAAAACCAAAACCAAGGTAGGGGCAAGATGATAATCACAGAATGTCACCGGTATATGTTTAGGTTCAAATACTATTATGAGAAGTGGCAGGTAAAGGAGGTAGGAAAAAGAAAACACATCATGTAATTGACTGTTGTATGGAAATATTTGATGCTGAAAGTTATAATTTAAAAGTATAAACCAAATATTAGAAGTGTGTCTAGTTCAAAGGGAGGAAAACCATCAAAAACATTTTTAGTGCAATATTTAACATGAGCTATACAACCCTTCCTAAATGCCAAAGGCACACACAGACACACACACAGACACACACACACACACACTCTCACACTTACGAAGAATACAAATGACTAGAACGAAGAAATGTAAATACATTCTGCTACATATGGTAAACATAGCCTACAATGTGGAAGAGATTAGAAAATAAACATGGAAATGAAATGTTTTTATTAATTCACATCAGTACCCACCAAAACCAATCAGCATAATCAAATATTATAACACTGAATGTAAAAAACAATCCAAAAGTCCAGAGTGATAGGCAAAAGGTTTTAATTGTATAGATTAAAATTAACTTTGGACAAAAATTAAAACTCAGGCAGAGAATGTTTTCTTCTTTTTGCAACAGCAGACACTAGTAAAAACAAAGGCACAGTAAAAATTGAGACCCAAATTTTGCAGCGTAGAGATATGAATATAATAATAGACACAGGCAGGGAGGATTAATAAATGATAAAATGTTTAGAGGATGATCATTAGAATACAGGATATTTATACTCTTGAAAACCGCTTTCCCAAGTACTTCATTATAAGTAAGGTGTCTCTAAAAGGGACAGATCTCCTAGACCCCTCCTTAACCAAGTAACCAGTCCTGATATCATAATGGTGATGGACAAACTAGACCTTCTCTGCCCGCAGATGGGCTGAGGTTGGAAACTCACAGCATTGTCTCTGCAGTGTTCCCGGCAAAACGTTTAGGCTGAATTTAATCATGAAGACATTTTCAGACAACTTCAGAATGTAGATCATTGAGCCAGAGAGCTGACCTGTCCTCTATAAACAAGTCCATGTCACCACCATCCATGACAACAACAAAAAGATGAGGAAATATTTGGGGTTCAAAATAACTAAAGAAATGCAGCTACATTATCTTTTTACTTTTTTTGAACCCAAAATATATCTTCTCCTTTTTGTTGTGTGATTTGTGGTGATATGGACTATGTGAAGGAGACAGGTCAGTTGTCCTGCTCAGTGTTCTACATTCTGCAGTTGTCTGGTGATTACCTCCTATGAAACTCAGGCTAAGCGTTTTCTGCAAGAACATGGCATTGTTCATATTCTGCACCGGCAGAGTCCTGGGTGACATGCTGTCTCCTGCCAGCGGCTCCTGACTCCTGTTCTCTACAGGATGGAATTGAGAGGAGCAGGGCTAAGGCCTCCCAATGCTGTTTGTCCATCTAGCTGTGGTCTTCCTAAGTACTGACACCAATTGGAGGCTGAAGGACTGTGGCTTCTCTAACCAAAGGAGCCTAGCGGGTTAACAATTGTAAAGAGCAGTTGGTGGTTCTGAAATACAATCCTCAGCCAAGGATCCCTCCTGTGTTACAGATGGATCAGCTAAAACAAGCCAACACTGAAGACACAAAGAATGAGGTTAGGTTCATTGAAACCAGGGTAACACCTTTGGATGAGCTAAACACAAAGATGACACTGACCTTGAGCAGGTATAGAAGCTCAGAGACATGCCTGCAAAATGAAATCCCTGAGGAATTTTGTAGCTACCCAAAGATACGTGGTTCAAATTAAAATGTCCGACTGATCACTCCCGGCATGTGCTGCACAGTTATGTGAACGTGTCACACCTAACGTGGGTCCATTGTCTTCAGACTGAGCACAGGTTGCCACTGGCATGGTTTGAGAATAGGAAAAGAGCCATGCCCACTGACCCATCCTATGTCTGGGCTTCCAAATGGAACTGTAGTTTCATTCAAATCTTCACGTGCCTATAGGTCCTGCCTGCAGGAATGACATCTCTCGGCTTAGTAAGGGCTGCCTATTGTGGGAATATGACTAACATCTGGAACACCAGATGGAGACTTGTCACCGTCAAAGTAAAAAACCTATTGTCCAAGTAAAGGGCGAAGCTGATATGCTCTTCCTCAAATGAGTAAAACACACTTCTGTAGTGCTGGAATGAGTCAGGTAGTTCAAAGTACATTGACGGAGTCGAATAACATCCATCCAGTGAGTCCTGTAAGACTTCAGGCTCTTCCACTTCCATCAGCACGCTGTTGAGCCTGGAAAAGGAGACAAAACTAAAGAAGCAGCCAGGGAAAATCAGACACCACAGAGCCCCACTAGATTTCAGAAGTCACATAAGGAAGTGGTTAGAAAAGAAAAAGGATAGATCCATTAATGAGGTAAAAAAAAAAATTTATTGCCTTTATGTTGGGATAGAACAGGGCCAGGTAGAAAACAATGAAAGAGAAAGACAGAGAGAGAGAGACAGAGACAGAGACAGAGAGAAAGTGACCTAGTGAATTGGCCAGGTGACATACTGGTAAGGGAGTAAAAGGACACTCTGAGTTAGTGCCCTCATGACACACAGCAAACTGTGATCATGAAAAGAGTGAGCTCAATAGTTTTCCATAAAATATGCTCAAAATTCGATGCAGTGGCCATGAGAGTACAGCTTTTGAAGTATGGTCAACCTATGGTACGCTAGTAAATGATAAGGGGAGGAAGAAATGGAAACCTAAACATCTACTGCAATGAAAACCAACAGCAATGACAGTAGGAGTAATTCAGCCTTCGTTGAAAACATGACATCAAACACACTCTGGTTTCCCTGAATCTGTTGCCTCCAGGTGTTAACACAGAATTAAGCATCCACAATTGCTGAAAGTCACCTGGGGCATGGTGGGTTTTGATCTTCTTCCCCTTCTTTTCTTCCCCTTCTTCTTTCCTTCTTTGATCTTCTTCCCCTTCTTTTCTTCCCCTTCCCCTTCTTTTCAATTTCTGCAATAAATTCAGACATGGACAGACACATTAAGCTGATTCCCCTACACACATAACAATCCACTGTCTAATCCTCACACAGGGACCTCAGGCTCCTCAGCATAAGAATAGGACACTGTGAGAGATATATTTCAGGAGGCCTGAAGGCTGGTCATGATAGAAATTCCTCGGTTTTTCTCCCAGAAACTGTGGGTAAAATGTCCCTATTCTAGTAGATCGTTATCCCAATATCATTTGTCCCAAGTTTGTGCAAACAGTTATGCCATATTTTTCCAATCAATTTAAAGCAAATACCCTCAAATGATTTCTGGGAGAAAAACTGCAATATTTAGCCCTGTCTCATCAAATACTCAGATTGTTCATGGTTGTGAGGACTTTAGACACTGAAATTAGAGTGAAAAAGGAAATCTACAAACCCTTGAGTCAAAATCATAGTTCTCTGAATTTGTCACATCTGCCCAGGTCCAATGTCATGAGAGTAGAATCAGAGTGCCACAGGTATGGCCTGAGACTAGGAAGAGAGCCATGCTCACTGACCCATCCCATGTCTGGGCTTCCAGGTAGAACTAGAGTTTCATTCAACCTACATGTGCCTATAGGTCCTCACTGCGGCAATGACATCTCTCAGCTCAGTAATGGCCACTTGGAGCAGGAATATGATCTTTATATGGAAGACTCAGTGGATGCTTATCACCTTCATAGAAAGGTACTCACCTCCCACGTCAAGAGAAAAGCCAACATGTTTTTCCTCCAATGCATAAAAGGAACTTCCATAGGGCTGGCAGGAGTCAGGCTGTTCAAGACAACTGGAAGGAGTTGAATAACATCTATCCAGTGAGTCCTGCAAGACTTCAGGCTCTACTACCTCCAGCAGCTCCCTGCTGAGCCTGGAAAAGGAGGAAAAAGTAAAGAATAAGCCAGGGGAAATCACACACAACAGAGCCCCAACTAGGTTTCATGGGTAGCATAAGGAAGTGGTTAAGAAAGTAAAAGGATAGATCCATTAATGAGGTAACAAATTATTGCCTTCATGTTGGGACAGAACAGGGCCAAATGGAAAAGAATGAAAGAGAAAGACAGATAGACACACACACACACACAGACACACACACAGAGAGAGAGAGAACGAGCTCAGTGAATTGTCCAGGTGACACACTGATGAGGGAGTAACAGGACACTCTGAGTTAGTGCCCTCAGGACACACAGCATACAGTGATCATGAAAAGACTGTGCTCAATAATTTTCCATAAAATGTGTTCAAGTTTCCATGCAGTCGCCATGAGAATACAGTTTTTGAAGTCTGGTCCACCTACAGTAGGTTAGTAAATGATAAGGGGAGGAAGAAATGGAAACCTAAATATCTACTGCAATGAAAACCAACAGCAATGTTAGTAGGAATAATTCAGGCTTGCTTGAAAAGATGTAATCGATAATGTCAGCCCGCTCTGTTTTCCCTGAACCAGGAGTCTCCAGATGTCAACACAGAAGTAGCTGTTCACAATTGCTCAGTTACCTGGGGCATGGTGGGCCTTGGTCTTCTTCCTCTTCTTGGTCCTTTTTAATTCCTGCAATACATTCAGACAGGGACAGACAAAATAAGCCAATTCACCTACACCCATAACAGTCCACTGTCTAATCCCCACACAGGGATCTCAGGCTCCTCAGCATGAGAACAGGACAATGTGAGAGATATACTTCAGGAGGCCTGAAAGCTGGTCATGATATTCTTTGGTTTGCATCTCAGAACCAAGGGTGAAATATCCCCATTCTGGAAGATCGTTATCCCAAAATCACTTATCCCAAGTTTGTGCAAACAGTTATGCCTTATTGTTCCCATCAGTTCAAAGAAAATGCCCCAGATGATTTCTAGGAGGAAAACTGCAGTATTCAGCCCTGTCTCATCAAATGCCCAGCTCGTTCATGGATGTAAGAATTTTAGACACTGAAATTAGAATGAAGGAGGAAATCTACAAACCCTTGAGTCCAAATCATAGTTCTGTGAATTTTTTACATCTGCCTGGGTCCAATGTGCTGAGAGCGGGCTCAGGTTGCCACAGGCATGGCTGGAGACTAGGAATAGAGCCTTGCTCACTGACCCATTTCATGTCTAGGCTTCCAACTGAGACTACAGTTTCATTACAACCTATATGCGCCCATAGGTCCTGCCTGCGGCAATGACATCTCTCGGGTCAGTAAGGGCCACTTGGAACAGGAATATCACCCCTATCTGGAAGACCAGGTGGAGGCTTATCACC
The DNA here is from genome assembly GCF_000001405.40 of Homo sapiens. NCBI lineage: Eukaryota > Metazoa > Chordata > Mammalia > Primates > Hominidae > Homo > Homo sapiens. The sequence goes on along the minus strand of NC_000001.11, from coordinate 149,551,518 downwards.
TTCATAGTAAGGTACTCACTGTCCACGTCAAGAGCCAAGCCAAGGTACTGTTCCTCCAATGAGTAAACAGCACTGCTGTAGGGCTGGCCTAAGTCAGGCAGTTCAAGATAACCTGAAGGAGTCGAATAACATCTATCCAGTGGGTCCTGCAAGACTTCAGGCTCTTTCTCAGCCAGCAGCTCCCTGCTGAGCCTGGAAAAGTAGGAAAAAGTAAAGAATAAGCCAGGGGGAATCAGAAACCACACAGCCCCAGCTAGATTTCATGGCTAACATAAGGAACTGTTTAAAAAGAAAAAGGACAGATCCATTAATGAGGTAATGAATTATTGCCTTTATGTTGGGATAGACCAGGGCCAGGTAGAAAAGAATGAAAGAGAAAGACAGGGAGAGGGAGAGAGAGAGAGAGAGAGAGAGAGAGGAGAAAGTGAGCTCAGCGAGTTGGCCGGGTGACACACTGATGAAGGGGTCAAAGGACACTCTGAGTTAGTGCCCTCGGGACACACAGCGAACAGTGATCATGAAAAGAGTGGGCTCAATAATTTTCCATAAACTTGCTCAAGATTCCATGCAGTTGCCATACAGCCTTTGAGGTATGGTCAACCTATAGTAAGTTAGTAAATGTTAAGGGGAGGAAGAAATGGAAACCTAAACATCTACTGCAATGAAAACCAACAGCCATGTCAGTAGGAGTAATTCAACCTTCGTTGAAAACATGAAATTGAACACACTCTTGTTTTCCCTGGACCTGGCATCTCCAGGTGTCAACACAGAATTAAGCATCCATAATTGCTCAAAGTTACCTGGGGCATGATGGGTCTTGGTCTTCTTCCACTTCTTGGTACTTTTCAATTTCTGCAATAAGTTCAGACATGGACAGACATATGAAGCTGGTTCTCCTACACACATAACAATCCACTGTCTAATCCTCACACAGGGACTTCAGGCTCCTCAGCATGAGAATAGGACACTGTGAGAGATATTCTTCAGGAGGCCTGAAGGCTGATCACCATAGAGATTCCTTGGTTTTTGTCCCAGAAACTGTGGGTAAAATTCCCTATTCTGGTAGATCGTTATCCCAATATCATTTGTCCCAAGTTTGTGCAAATGGTTATGCCATATTTTTCCAATCGATTTAAAGCAAATACCCCCAAATGGTTGCTAGGAGAAAAACTGCACTATTCAGCCCTGTCTCATCAAATACTCAGATTGTTCATGGTAGCGAGGATTTTAGACGCTGAAATTAGAGTGAAGGATGAAATCTACAAGATCTACAAAATTGAGACAAAATCAGAGTTGTGTGAATTTGTCACATCTGCCCAGGTCCAGTGTCATGAGAGTAGGATTAGGGCTCCACAGGCATGGCCTGAGACTAGGGAGAGAGCCTTGCTCACTGACCCATCCCTTGTCTGGGCTGCCAAGTGGAACTAGAGTTTCATTCAACCTACATGTGCCTATAGGTCCTCCCTGTGGCAATGACATCTCTCAGCTCAGTAAGGGCCACTTGCAGTAGGAATATGACCCTAACCAGAAGACTCAGTGGATCCTTATCACCTTCATAGAAAGGTACTCACCATCCATGTCAACAGCCAAGCCAACACACTGTTGCTCCAATATGTAAAAGGCACTTCTGTAGGGCTGGCATGAGTCAGTCAGTTCAAGACAACCTGAAGGAGTTGAATAACATCTATCCAGTGAGTCCTGCAAGACTTCAGGCCCTTTCTCATCCAGCAGCTCCCTGCTGAGCCTGGAAAAGTGGGAAAAAGTAAAGAATAAGCCAGGGGGAATCAGAAACCACACAGCCCCAGCTAGATTTCATGGCTAACGTTAAGGAAGAGTTTGAAAAGAAAAAGGACAGATCCATTAATGAGGTAACAAATTATTGCCTTTATGTTGGGATAGAACAGGGCCAGGTAGAAAACAATGAAAGAGAAAGACAGAGAGAGAGAGAGAGACAGAGACAGAGAGAGAGACAGAGACAGAGACAGAGAGAAAGTGACCTAGTGAATTGGCCAGGTGACATACTGGTAAGGGAGTAAAAGGACACTCTGAGTTAGTGCCCTCATGACACACAGCAAACTGTGATCATGAAAAGAGTGAGCTCAATAGTTTTCCATAAAATATGCTCAAAATTCGATGCAGTGGCCATGAGAGTACAGCTTTTGAAGTATGGTCAACCTATGGTACGCTAGTAAATGATAAGGGGAGGAAGAAATGGAAACCTAAACATCTACTGCAATGAAAACCAACAGCAATGACAGTAGGAGTAATTCAGCCTTCGTTGAAAACATGACATCAAACACACTCTGGTTTCCCTGAATCTGTTGCCTCCAGGTGTTAACACAGAATTAAGCATCCACAATTGCTGAAAGTCACCTGGGGCATGGTGGGTTTTGATCTTCTTCCCCTTCTTTTCTTCCCCTTCTTCTTTCCTTCTTTGATCTTCTTCCCCTTCTTTTCTTCCCCTTCCCCTTCTTTTCAATTTCTGCAATAAATTCAGACATGGACAGACACATTAAGCTGATTCCCCTACACACATAACAATCCACTGTCTAATCCTCACACAGGGACCTCAGGCTCCTCAGCATAAGAATAGGACACTGTGAGAGATATATTTCAGGAGGCCTGAAGGCTGGTCATGATAGAAATTCCTCGGTTTTTCTCCCAGAAACTGTGGGTAAAATGTCCCTATTCTAGTAGATCGTTATCCCAATATCATTTGTCCCAAGTTTGTGCAAACAGTTATGCCATATTTTTCCAATCAATTTAAAGCAAATACCCTCAAATGATTTCTGGGAGAAAAACTGCAATATTTAGCCCTGTCTCATCAAATACTCAGATTGTTCATGGTTGTGAGGACTTTAGACACTGAAATTAGAGTGAAAAAGGAAATCTACAAACCCTTGAGTCAAAATCATAGTTCTCTGAATTTGTCACATCTGCCCAGGTCCAATGTCATGAGAGTAGAATCAGAGTGCCACAGGTATGGCCTGAGACTAGGAAGAGAGCCATGCTCACTGACCCATCCCATGTCTGGGCTTCCAGGTAGAACTAGAGTTTCATTCAACCTACATGTGCCTATAGGTCCTCACTGCGGCAATGACATCTCTCAGCTCAGTAATGGCCACTTGGAGCAGGAATATGATCTTTATATGGAAGACTCAGTGGATGCTTATCACCTTCATAGAAAGGTACTCACCTCCCACGTCAAGAGAAAAGCCAACATGTTTTTCCTCCAATGCATAAAAGGAACTTCCATAGGGCTGGCAGGAGTCAGGCTGTTCAAGACAACTGGAAGGAGTTGAATAACATCTATCCAGTGAGTCCTGCAAGACTTCAGGCTCTACTACCTCCAGCAGCTCCCTGCTGAGCCTGGAAAAGGAGGAAAAAGTAAAGAATAAGCCAGGGGAAATCACACACAACAGAGCCCCAACTAGGTTTCATGGGTAGCATAAGGAAGTGGTTAAGAAAGTAAAAGGATAGATCCATTAATGAGGTAACAAATTATTGCCTTCATGTTGGGACAGAACAGGGCCAAATGGAAAAGAATGAAAGAGAAAGACAGATAGACACACACACACACACAGACACACACACAGAGAGAGAGAGAACGAGCTCAGTGAATTGTCCAGGTGACACACTGATGAGGGAGTAACAGGACACTCTGAGTTAGTGCCCTCAGGACACACAGCATACAGTGATCATGAAAAGACTGTGCTCAATAATTTTCCATAAAATGTGTTCAAGTTTCCATGCAGTCGCCATGAGAATACAGTTTTTGAAGTCTGGTCCACCTACAGTAGGTTAGTAAATGATAAGGGGAGGAAGAAATGGAAACCTAAATATCTACTGCAATGAAAACCAACAGCAATGTTAGTAGGAATAATTCAGGCTTGCTTGAAAAGATGTAATCGATAATGTCAGCCCGCTCTGTTTTCCCTGAACCAGGAGTCTCCAGATGTCAACACAGAAGTAGCTGTTCACAATTGCTCAGTTACCTGGGGCATGGTGGGCCTTGGTCTTCTTCCTCTTCTTGGTCCTTTTTAATTCCTGCAATACATTCAGACAGGGACAGACAAAATAAGCCAATTCACCTACACCCATAACAGTCCACTGTCTAATCCCCACACAGGGATCTCAGGCTCCTCAGCATGAGAACAGGACAATGTGAGAGATATACTTCAGGAGGCCTGAAAGCTGGTCATGATATTCTTTGGTTTGCATCTCAGAACCAAGGGTGAAATATCCCCATTCTGGAAGATCGTTATCCCAAAATCACTTATCCCAAGTTTGTGCAAACAGTTATGCCTTATTGTTCCCATCAGTTCAAAGAAAATGCCCCAGATGATTTCTAGGAGGAAAACTGCAGTATTCAGCCCTGTCTCATCAAATGCCCAGCTCGTTCATGGATGTAAGAATTTTAGACACTGAAATTAGAATGAAGGAGGAAATCTACAAACCCTTGAGTCCAAATCATAGTTCTGTGAATTTTTTACATCTGCCTGGGTCCAATGTGCTGAGAGCGGGCTCAGGTTGCCACAGGCATGGCTGGAGACTAGGAATAGAGCCTTGCTCACTGACCCATTTCATGTCTAGGCTTCCAACTGAGACTACAGTTTCATTACAACCTATATGCGCCCATAGGTCCTGCCTGCGGCAATGACATCTCTCGGGTCAGTAAGGGCCACTTGGAACAGGAATATCACCCCTATCTGGAAGACCAGGTGGAGGCTTATCACCTTCATAGTAAGGTACTCACTGTCCACGTCAAGAGCCAAGCCAAGGTACTGTTCCTCCAATGAGTAAACAGCACTGCTGTAGGGCTGGCCTAAGTCAGGCAGTTCAAGATAACCTGAAGGAGTCGAATAACATCTATCCAGTGGGTCCTGCAAGACTTCAGGCTCTTTCTCAGCCAGCAGCTCCCTGCTGAGCCTGGAAAAGTAGGAAAAAGTAAAGAATAAGCCAGGGGGAATCAGAAACCACACAGCCCCAGCTAGATTTCATGGCTAACATAAGGAACTGTTTAAAAAGAAAAAGGACAGATCCATTAATGAGGTAATGAATTATTGCCTTTATGTTGGGATAGACCAGGGCCAGGTAGAAAAGAATGAAAGAGAAAGACAGGGAGAGGGAGAGAGAGAGAGAGAGAGAGAGAGAGGAGAAAGTGAGCTCAGCGAGTTGGCCGGGTGACACACTGATGAAGGGGTCAAAGGACACTCTGAGTTAGTGCCCTCGGGACACACAGCGAACAGTGATCATGAAAAGAGTGGGCTCAATAATTTTCCATAAACTTGCTCAAGATTCCATGCAGTTGCCATACAGCCTTTGAGGTATGGTCAACCTATAGTAAGTTAGTAAATGTTAAGGGGAGGAAGAAATGGAAACCTAAACATCTACTGCAATGAAAACCAACAGCCATGTCAGTAGGAGTAATTCAACCTTCGTTGAAAACATGAAATTGAACACACTCTTGTTTTCCCTGGACCTGGCATCTCCAGGTGTCAACACAGAATTAAGCATCCATAATTGCTCAAAGTTACCTGGGGCATGATGGGTCTTGGTCTTCTTCCACTTCTTGGTACTTTTCAATTTCTGCAATAAGTTCAGACATGGACAGACATATGAAGCTGGTTCTCCTACACACATAACAATCCACTGTCTAGTCCTCACACAGGGACTTCAGGCTCCTCAGCATGAGAATAGGACACTGTGAGAGATATTCTTCAGGAGGCCTGAAGGCTGATCACCATAGAGATTCCTTGGTTTTTGTCCCAGAAACTGTGGGTAAAATTCCCTATTCTGGTAGATCGTTATCCCAATATCATTTGTCCCAAGTTTGTGCAAATGGTTATGCCATATTTTTCCAATCGATTTAAAGCAAATACCCCCAAATGGTTGCTAGGAGAAAAACTGCACTATTCAGCCCTGTCTCATCAAATACTCAGATTGTTCATGGTAGCGAGGATTTTAGACGCTGAAATTAGAGTGAAGGATGAAATCTACAAGATCTACAAAATTGAGACAAAATCAGAGTTGTGTGAATTTGTCACATCTGCCCAGGTCCAGTGTCATGAGAGTAGGATTAGGGCTCCACAGGCATGGCCTGAGACTAGGGAGAGAGCCTTGCTCACTGACCCATCCCTTGTCTGGGCTGCCAAGTGGAACTAGAGTTTCATTCAACCTACATGTGCCTATAGGTCCTCCCTGTGGCAATGACATCTCTCAGCTCAGTAAGGGCCACTTGCAGTAGGAATATGACCCTAACCAGAAGACTCAGTGGATCCTTATCACCTTCATAGAAAGGTACTCACCATCCATGTCAACAGCCAAGCCAACACACTGTTGCTCCAATATGTAAAAGGCACTTCTGTAGGGCTGGCATGAGTCAGTCAGTTCAAGACAACCTGAAGGAGTTGAATAACATCTATCCAGTGAGTCCTGCAAGACTTCAGGCCCTTTCTCATCCAGCAGCTCCCTGCTGAGCCTGGAAAAGTGGGAAAAAGTAAAGAATAAGCCAGGGGGAATCAGAAACCACACAGCCCCAGCTAGATTTCATGGCTAACGTTAAGGAAGAGTTTGAAAAGAAAAAGGACAGATCCATTAATGAGGTAACAAATTATTGCCTTTATGTTGGGATAGAACAGGGCCAGGTAGAAAACAATGAAAGAGAAAGACAGAGAGAGAGAGAGAGACAGAGACAGAGAGAGAGACAGAGACAGAGACAGAGAGAAAGTGACCTAGTGAATTGGCCAGGTGACATACTGGTAAGGGAGTAAAAGGACACTCTGAGTTAGTGCCCTCATGACACACAGCAAACTGTGATCATGAAAAGAGTGAGCTCAATAGTTTTCCATAAAATATGCTCAAAATTCGATGCAGTGGCCATGAGAGTACAGCTTTTGAAGTATGGTCAACCTATGGTACGTTAGTAAATGATAAGGGGAGGAAGAAATGGAAACCTAAACATCTACTGCAATGAAAACCAACAGCAATGACAGTAGGAGTAATTCAGCCTTCGTTGAAAACATGACATCAAACACAGTCTGGTTTCCCTGAATCTGTTGCCTCCAGGTGTTAACACAGAATTAAGCATCCACAATTGCTGAAAGTCACCTGGGGCATGGTGGGTTTTGATCTTCTTCCCCTTCTTTTCTTCCCCTTCTTCTTTCCTTCTTTGATCTTCTTCCCCTTCTTTTCTTCCCCTTCCCCTTCTTTTCAATTTCTGCAATAAATTCAGACATGGACAGACACATTAAGCTGATTCCCCTACACACATAACAATCCACTGTCTAATCCTCACACAGGGACCTCAGGCTCCTCAGCATAAGAATAGGACACTGTGAGAGATATATTTCAGGAGGCCTGAAGGCTGGTCATGATAGAAATTCCTCGGTTTTTCTCCCAGAAACTGTGGGTAAAATGTCCCTATTCTAGTAGATCGTTATCCCAATATCATTTGTCCCAAGTTTGTGCAAACAGTTATGCCATATTTTTCCAATCAATTTAAAGCAAATACCCTCAAATGATTTCTGGGAGAAAAACTGCAATATTTAGCCCTGTCTCATCAAATACTCAGATTGTTCATGGTTGTGAGGACTTTAGACACTGAAATTAGAGTGAAAAAGGAAATCTGCAAACCCTTGAGTCAAAATCATAGTTCTCTGAATTTGTCACATCTGCCCAGGTCCAATGTCATGAGAGTAGAATCAGAGTGCCACAGGTATGGCCTGAGACTAGGAAGAGAGCCATGCTCACTGACCCATCCCATGTCTGGGCTTCCAGGTAGAACTAGAGTTTCATTCAACCTACATGTGCCTATAGGTCCTCACTGCGGCAATGACATCTCTCAGCTCAGTAATGGCCACTTGGAGCAGGAATATGATCTTTATATGGAAGACTCAGTGGATGCTTATCACCTTCATAGAAAGGTACTCACCTCCCACGTCAAGAGAAAAGCCAACATGTTTTTCCTCCAATGCATAAAAGGAACTTCCATAGGGCTGGCAGGAGTCAGGCTGTTCAAGACAACTGGAAGGAGTTGAATAACATCTATCCAGTGAGTCCTGCAAGACTTCAGGCTCTACTACCTCCAGCAGCTCCCTGCTGAGCCTGGAAAAGGAGGAAAAAGTAAAGAATAAGCCAGGGGAAATCACACACAACAGAGCCCCAACTAGGTTTCATGGGTAGCATAAGGAAGTGGTTAAGAAAGTAAAAGGATAGATCCATTAATGAGGTAACAAATTATTGCCTTCATGTTGGGACAGAACAGGGCCAAATGGAAAAGAATGAAAGAGAAAGACAGATAGACACACACACACACACAGACACACACACAGAGAGAGAGAGAACGAGCTCAGTGAATTGTCCAGGTGACACACTGATGAGGGAGTAACAGGACACTCTGAGTTAGTGCCCTCAGGACACACAGCATACAGTGATCATGAAAAGACTGTGCTCAATAATTTTCCATAAAATGTGTTCAAGTTTCCATGCAGTCGCCATGAGAATACAGTTTTTGAAGTCTGGTCCACCTACAGTAGGTTAGTAAATGATAAGGGGAGGAAGAAATGGAAACCTAAATATCTACTGCAATGAAAACCAACAGCAATGTTAGTAGGAATAATTCAGGCTTGCTTGAAAAGATGTAATCGATAATGTCAGCCCGCTCTGTTTTCCCTGAACCAGGAGTCTCCAGATGTCAACACAGAAGTAGCTGTTCACAATTGCTCAGTTACCTGGGGCATGGTGGGCCTTGGTCTTCTTCCTCTTCTTGGTCCTTTTTAATTCCTGCAATACATTCAGACAGGGACAGACAAAATAAGCCAATTCACCTACACCCATAACAGTCCACTGTCTAATCCCCACACAGGGATCTCAGGCTCCTCAGCATGAGAACAGGACAATGTGAGAGATATACTTCAGGAGGCCTGAAAGCTGGTCATGATATTCTTTGGTTTGCATCTCAGAACCAAGGGTGAAATATCCCCATTCTGGAAGATCGTTATCCCAAAATCACTTATCCCAAGTTTGTGCAAACAGTTATGCCTTATTGTTCCCATCAGTTCAAAGAAAATGCCCCAGATGATTTCTAGGAGGAAAACTGCAGTATTCAGCCCTGTCTCATCAAATGCCCAGCTCGTTCATGGATGTAAGAATTTTAGACACTGAAATTAGAATGAAGGAGGAAATCTACAAACCCTTGAGTCCAAATCATAGTTCTGTGAATTTTTTACATCTGCCTGGGTCCAATGTGCTGAGAGCGGGCTCAGGTTGCCACAGGCATGGCTGGAGACTAGGAATAGAGCCTTGCTCACTGACCCATTTCATGTCTAGGCTTCCAACTGAGACTACAGTTTCATTACAACCTATATGCGCCCATAGGTCCTGCCTGCGGCAATGACATCTCTCGGGTCAGTAAGGGCCACTTGGAACAGGAATATCACCCCTATCTGGAAGACCAGGTGGAGGCTTATCACCTTCATAGTAAGGTACTCACTGTCCACGTCAAGAGCCAAGCCAAGGTACTGTTCCTCCAATGAGTAAACAGCACTGCTGTAGGGCTGGCCTAAGTCAGGCAGTTCAAGATAACCTGAAGGAGTCGAATAACATCTATCCAGTGGGTCCTGCAAGACTTCAGGCTCTTTCTCAGCCAGCAGCTCCCTGCTGAGCCTGGAAAAGTAGGAAAAAGTAAAGAATAAGCCAGGGGGAATCAGAAACCACACAGCCCCAGCTAGATTTCATGGCTAACATAAGGAACTGTTTAAAAAGAAAAAGGACAGATCCATTAATGAGGTAATGAATTATTGCCTTTATGTTGGGATAGACCAGGGCCAGGTAGAAAAGAATGAAAGAGAAAGACAGGGAGAGGGAGAGAGAGAGAGAGAGAGAGAGAGAGGAGAAAGTGAGCTCAGCGAGTTGGCCGGGTGACACACTGATGAAGGGGTCAAAGGACACTCTGAGTTAGTGCCCTCGGGACACACAGCGAACAGTGATCATGAAAAGAGTGGGCTCAATAATTTTCCATAAACTTGCTCAAGATTCCATGCAGTTGCCATACAGCCTTTGAGGTATGGTCAACCTATAGTAAGTTAGTAAATGTTAAGGGGAGGAAGAAATGGAAACCTAAACATCTACTGCAATGAAAACCAACAGCCATGTCAGTAGGAGTAATTCAACCTTCGTTGAAAACATGAAATTGAACACACTCTTGTTTTCCCTGGACCTGGCATCTCCAGGTGTCAACACAGAATTAAGCATCCATAATTGCTCAAAGTTACCTGGGGCATGATGGGTCTTGGTCTTCTTCCACTTCTTGGTACTTTTCAATTTCTGCAATAAGTTCAGACATGGACAGACATATGAAGCTGGTTCTCCTACACACATAACAATCCACTGTCTAATCCTCACACAGGGACTTCAGGCTCCTCAGCATGAGAATAGGACACTGTGAGAGATATTCTTCAGGAGGCCTGAAGGCTGATCACCATAGAGATTCCTTGGTTTTTGTCCCAGAAACTGTGGGTAAAATTCCCTATTCTGGTAGATCGTTATCCCAATATCATTTGTCCCAAGTTTGTGCAAATGGTTATGCCATATTTTTCCAATCGATTTAAAGCAAATACCCCCAAATGGTTGCTAGGAGAAAAACTGCACTATTCAGCCCTGTCTCATCAAATACTCAGATTGTTCATGGTAGCGAGGATTTTAGACGCTGAAATTAGAGTGAAGGATGAAATCTACAAGATCTACAAAATTGAGACAAAATCAGAGTTGTGTGAATTTGTCACATCTGCCCAGGTCCAGTGTCATGAGAGTAGGATTAGGGCTCCACAGGCATGGCCTGAGACTAGGGAGAGAGCCTTGCTCACTGACCCATCCCTTGTCTGGGCTGCCAAGTGGAACTAGAGTTTCATTCAACCTACATGTGCCTATAGGTCCTCCCTGTGGCAATGACATCTCTCAGCTCAGTAAGGGCCACTTGCAGTAGGAATATGACCCTAACCAGAAGACTCAGTGGATCCTTATCACCTTCATAGAAAGGTACTCACCATCCATGTCAACAGCCAAGCCAACACACTGTTGCTCCAATATGTAAAAGGCACTTCTGTAGGGCTGGCATGAGTCAGTCAGTTCAAGACAACCTGAAGGAGTTGAATAACATCTATCCAGTGAGTCCTGCAAGACTTCAGGCCCTTTCTCATCCAGCAGCTCCCTGCTGAGCCTGGAAAAGTGGGAAAAAGTAAAGAATAAGCCAGGGGGAATCAGAAACCACACAGCCCCAGCTAGATTTCATGGCTAACGTTAAGGAAGAGTTTGAAAAGAAAAAGGACAGATCCATTAATGAGGTAACAAATTATTGCCTTTATGTTGGGATAGAACAGGGCCAGGTAGAAAACAATGAAAGAGAAAGACAGAGAGAGAGAGAGAGACAGAGACAGAGAGAGAGACAGAGACAGAGACAGAGAGAAAGTGACCTAGTGAATTGGCCAGGTGACATACTGGTAAGGGAGTAAAAGGACACTGTGAGTTAGTGCCCTCATGACACACAGCAAACTGTGATCATGAAAAGAGTGAGCTCAATAGTTTTCCATAAAATATGCTCAAAATTCGATGCAGTGGCCATGAGAGTACAGCTTTTGAAGTATGGTCAACCTATGGTACGTTAGTAAATGATAAGGGGAGGAAGAAATGGAAACCTAAACATCTACTGCAATGAAAACCAACAGCAATGACAGTAGGAGTAATTCAGCCTTCGTTGAAAACATGACATCAAACACAGTCTGGTTTCTCTGAATCTGTTGCCTCCAGGTGTTAACACAGAATTAAGCATCCACAATTGCTGAAAGTCACCTGGGGCATGGTGGGTTTTGATCTTCTTCCCCTTCTTTTCTTCCCCTTCTTCTTTCCTTCTTTGATCTTCTTCCCCTTCTTTTCTTCCCCTTCCCCTTCTTTTCAATTTCTGCAATAAATTCAGACATGGACAGACACATTAAGCTGATTCCCCTACACACATAACAATCCACTGTCTAATCCTCACACAGGGACCTCAGGCTCCTCAGCATAAGAATAGGACACTGTGAGAGATATATTTCAGGAGGCCTGAAGGCTGGTCATGATAGAAATTCCTCGGTTTTTCTCCCAGAAACTGTGGGTAAAATGTCCCTATTCTAGTAGATCGTTATCCCAATATCATTTGTCCCAAGTTTGTGCAAACAGTTATGCCATATTTTTCCAATCAATTTAAAGCAAATACCCTCAAATGATTTCTGGGAGAAAAACTGCAATATTTAGCCCTGTCTCATCAAATACTCAGATTGTTCATGGTTGTGAGGACTTTAGACACTGAAATTAGAGTGAAAAAGGAAATCTGCAAACCCTTGAGTCAAAATCATAGTTCTCTGAATTTGTCACATCTGCCCAGGTCCAATGTCATGAGAGTAGAATCAGAGTGCCACAGGTATGGCCTGAGACTAGGAAGAGAGCCATGCTCACTGACCCATCCCATGTCTGGGCTTCCAGGTAGAACTAGAGTTTCATTCAACCTACATGTGCCTATAGGTCCTCACTGCGGCAATGACATCTCTCAGCTCAGTAATGGCCACTTGGAGCAGGAATATGATCTTTATATGGAAGACTCAGTGGATGCTTATCACCTTCATAGAAAGGTACTCACCTCCCACGTCAAGAGAAAAGCCAACATGTTTTTCCTCCAATGCATAAAAGGAACTTCCATAGGGCTGGCAGGAGTCAGGCTGTTCAAGACAACTGGAAGGAGTTGAATAACATCTATCCAGTGAGTCCTGCAAGACTTCAGGCTCTACTACCTCCAGCAGCTCCCTGCTGAGCCTGGAAAAGGAGGAAAAAGTAAAGAATAAGCCAGGGGAAATCACACACAACAGAGCCCCAACTAGGTTTCATGGGTAGCATAGGGAAGTGGTTAAGAAACTAAAAGGATAGATCCATTAATGAGGTAACAAATTATTGCCTTCATGTTGGGACAGAACAGGGCCAAATGGAAAAGAATGAAAGAGAAAGACAGATAGACACACACACACACACACACACACACACACACACACACACACAGAGAGAGAGAGAGAACGAGCTCAGTGAATTGTCCAGGTGACACACTGATGAGGGAGTAACAGGACACTCTGAGTTAGTGCCCTCAGGACACACAGCATACAGTGATCATGAAAAGACTGTGCTCAATAATTTTCCATAAAATGTGCTCAAGTTTCCACGCAGTCGCCATGAGAATACAGTTTTTGAAGTCTGGTCCACCTACAGTAGGTTAGTAAATGATAAGGGGAGGAAGAAATGGAAACCTAAATATCTACTGCAATGAAAACCAACAGCAATGTTAGTAGGAATAATTCAGGCTTGCTTGAAAAGATGTAATCGATAATGTCAGCCCGCTCTGTTTTCCCTGAACCAGGAGTCTCCAGATGTCAACACAGAAGTAGCTGTTCACAATTGCTCAGTTACCTGGGGCATGGTGGGCCTTGGTCTTCTTCCTCTTCTTGGTCCTTTTTAATTCCTGCAATACATTCAGACAGGGACAGACAAAATAAGCCAATTCACCTACACCCATAACAGTCCACTGTCTAATCCCCACACAGGGATCTCAGGCTCCTCAGCATGAGAACAGGACAATGTGAGAGATATACTTCAGGAGGCCTGAAAGCTGGTCATGATATTCTTTGGTTTGCATCTCAGAACCAAGGGTGAAATATCCCCATTCTGGTAGATCGTTATCCCAAAATCACTTATCCCAAGTTTGTGCAAACAGTTATGCCTTATTGTTCCCATCAGTTCAAAGAAAATGCCCCAGATGATTTCTAGGAGGAAAACTGCAGTATTCAGCCCTGTCTCATCAAATGCCCAGCTCGTTCATGGATGCAAGAATTTTAGACACTGAAATTAGAATGAAGGAGGAAATCCACAAACCCTTGAGTCCAAATCATAGTTCTGTGAATTTTTTACATCTGCCTGGGTCCAATGTGCTGAGAGCGGGCTCAGGTTGCCACAGGCATGGCTGGAGACTAGGAATAGAGCCTTGCTCACTGACCCATTTCATGTCTAGGCTTCCAACTGAGACTACAGTTTCATTACAACCTATATGCGCCCATAGGTCCTGCCTGCGGCAATGACATCTCTCGGGTCAGTAAGGGCCACTTGGAACAGGAATATCACCCCTATCTGGAAGACCAGGTGGAGGCTTATCACCTTCATAGTAAGGTACTCACTGTCCACGTCAAGAGCCAAGCCAAGGTACTGTTCCTCCAATGAGTAAACAGCACTGCTGTAGGGCTGGCCTAAGTCAGGCAGTTCAAGATAACCTGAAGGAGTCGAATAACATCTATCCAGTGAGTCCTGCAAGACTTCAGGCTCTTTCTCATCCAGCAGCTCCCTGCTGAGCCTGGAAAAGTAGGAAAAAGTAAAGAATAAGCCAGGGGGAATCAGAAACCACACAGCCCCAGCTAGATTTCATGGCTAACATAAGGAACTGTTTAAAAAGAAAAAGGACAGATCCATTAATGAGGTAATGAATTATTGCCTTTATGTTGGGATAGACCAGGGCCAGGTAGAAAAGAATGAAAGAGAAAGACAGGGAGAGGGAGAGAGAGAGAGAGAGAGAGGAGAAAGTGAGCTCAGCGAGTTGGCCGGGTGACACACTGATGAAGGGGTCAAAGGACACTCTGAGTTAGTGCCCTCGGGACACACAGCGAACAGTGATCATGAAAAGAGTGGGCTCAATAATTTTCCATAAACTTGCTCAAGATTCCATGCAGTTGCCATACAGCCTTTGAGGTATGGTCAACCTATAGTAAGTTAGTAAATGTTAAGGGGAGGAAGAAATGGAAACCTAAACATCTACTGCAATGAAAACCAACAGCCATGTCAGTAGGAGTAATTCAACCTTCGTTGAAAACATGAAATTGAACACACTCTTGTTTTCCCTGGACCTGGCATCTCCAGGTGTCAACACAGAATTAAGCATCCATAATTGCTCAAAGTTACCTGGGGCATGATGGGTCTTGGTCTTCTTCCACTTCTTGGTACTTTTCAATTTCTGCAATAAGTTCAGACATGGACAGACATATGAAGCTGGTTCTCCTACACACATAACAATCCACTGTCTAATCCTCACACAGGGACTTCAGGCTCCTCAGCATGAGAATAGGACACTGTGAGAGATATTCTTCAGGAGGCCTGAAGGCTGATCACCATAGAGATTCCTTGGTTTTTGTCCCAGAAACTGTGGGTAAAATTCCCTATTCTGGTAGATCGTTATCCCAATATCATTTGTCCCAAGTTTGTGCAAATGGTTATGCCATATTTTTCCAATCGATTTAAAGCAAATACCCCCAAATGGTTGCTAGGAGAAAAACTGCACTATTCAGCCCTGTCTCATCAAATACTCAGATTGTTCATGGTAGCGAGGATTTTAGACGCTGAAATTAGAGTGAAGGATGAAATCTACAAGATCTACAAAATTGAGACAAAATCAGAGTTGTGTGAATTTGTCACATCTGCCCAGGTCCAGTGTCATGAGAGTAGGATTAGGGCTCCACAGGCATGGCCTGAGACTAGGGAGAGAGCCTTGCTCACTGACCCATCCCTTGTCTGGGCTGCCAAGTGGAACTAGAGTTTCATTCAACCTACATGTGCCTATAGGTCCTCCCTGTGGCAATGACATCTCTCAGCTCAGTAAGGGCCACTTGCAGTAGGAATATGACCCTAACCAGAAGACTCAGTGGATCCTTATCACCTTCATAGAAAGGTACTCACCATCCATGTCAACAGCCAAGCCAACACACTGTTGCTCCAATATGTAAAAGGCACTTCTGTAGGGCTGGCATGAGTCAGTCAGTTCAAGACAACCTGAAGGAGTTGAATAACATCTATCCAGTGAGTCCTGCAAGACTTCAGGCCCTTTCTCATCCAGCAGCTCCCTGCTGAGCCTGGAAAAGTGGGAAAAAGTAAAGAATAAGCCAGGGGGAATCAGAAACCACACAGCCCCAGCTAGATTTCATGGCTAACGTTAAGGAAGAGTTTGAAAAGAAAAAGGACAGATCCATTAATGAGGTAACAAATTATTGCCTTTATGTTGGGATAGAACAGGGCCAGGTAGAAAACAATGAAAGAGAAAGACAGAGAGAGAGAGAGAGAGAGACAGAGACAGAGAGAGAGACAGAGACAGAGACAGAGAGAAAGTGACCTAGTGAATTGGCCAGGTGACATACTGGTAAGGGAGTAAAAGGACACTGTGAGTTAGTGCCCTCATGACACACAGCAAACTGTGATCATGAAAAGAGTGAGCTCAATAGTTTTCCATAAAATATGCTCAAAATTCGATGCAGTGGCCATGAGAGTACAGCTTTTGAAGTATGGTCAACCTATGGTACGTTAGTAAATGATAAGGGGAGGAAGAAATGGAAACCTAAACATCTACTGCAATGAAAACCAACAGCAATGACAGTAGGAGTAATTCAGCCTTCGTTGAAAACATGACATCAAACACAGTCTGGTTTCCCTGAATCTGTTGCCTCCAGGTGTTAACACAGAATTAAGCATCCACAATTGCTGAAAGTCACCTGGGGCATGGTGGGTTTTGATCTTCTTCCCCTTCTTTTCTTCCCCTTCTTCTTTCCTTCTTTGATCTTCTTCCCCTTCTTTTCTTCCCCTTCCCCTTCTTTTCAATTTCTGCAATAAATTCAGACATGGACAGACACATTAAGCTGATTCCCCTACACACATAACAATCCACTGTCTAATCCTCACACAGGGACCTCAGGCTCCTCAGCATAAGAATAGGACACTGTGAGAGATATATTTCAGGAGGCCTGAAGGCTGGTCATGATAGAAATTCCTCGGTTTTTCTCCCAGAAACTGTGGGTAAAATGTCCCTATTCTAGTAGATCGTTATCCCAATATCATTTGTCCCAAGTTTGTGCAAACAGTTATGCCATATTTTTCCAATCAATTTAAAGCAAATACCCTCAAATGATTTCTAGGAGAAAAACTGCAATATTTAGCCCTGTCTCATCAAATACTCAGATTGTTCATGGTTGTGAGGACTTTAGACACTGAAATTAGAGTGAAAAAGGAAATCTACAAACCCTTGAGTCAAAATCATAGTTCTCTGAATTTGTCACATCTGCCCAGGTCCAATGTCATGAGAATAGGATCAGGGCGCCACAGGTATGGCCTGAGACTAGGAAGAGAGTCTTGCTCACTGACCCATCCCTTGTCTGGGCTTCCAGGTAGAACTAGAGTTTCATTCAACCTACATGTGCCTATAGGTCCTCACTGCGGCAACGACATCTCTCAGCTCAGTAATGGCCACTTGGAGCAGGAATATGATCTTTATATGGAAGACTCAGTGGATGCTTATCACCTTCATAGAAAGGTACTCACCTCCCACGTCAAGAGAAAAGCCAACATGTTTTTCCTCCAATGCATAAAAGGAACTTCCATAGGGCTGGCAGGAGTCAGGCTGTTCAAGACAACTGGAAGGAGTTGAATAACATCTATCCAGTGAGTCCTGCAAGACTTCAGGCTCTACTACCTCCAGCAGCTCCCTGCTGAGCCTGGAAAAGGAGGAAAAAGTAAAGAATAAGCCAGGGGAAATCACACACAACAGAGCCCCAACTAGGTTTCATGGGTAGCATAGGGAAGTGGTTAAGAAACTAAAAGGATAGATCCATTAATGAGGTAACAAATTATTGCCTTCATGTTGGGACAGAACAGGGCCAAATGGAAAAGAATGAAAGAGAAAGACAGATAGACACACACACACACACACACACACACACACACACACACACACACACAGAGAGAGAGAGAGAACGAGCTCAGTGAATTGTCCAGGTGACACACTGATGAGGGAGTAACAGGACACTCTGAGTTAGTGCCCTCAGGACACACAGCATACAGTGATCATGAAAAGACTGTGCTCAATAATTTTCCATAAAATGTGCTCAAGTTTCCACGCAGTCGCCATGAGAATACAGTTTTTGAAGTCTGGTCCACCTACAGTAGGTTAGTAAATGATAAGGGGAGGAAGAAATGGAAACCTAAATATCTACTGCAATGAAAACCAACAGCAATGTTAGTAGGAATAATTCAGGCTTGCTTGAAAAGATGTAATCGATAATGTCAGCCCGCTCTGTTTTCCCTGAACCAGGAGTCTCCAGATGTCAACACAGAAGTAGCTGTTCACAACTGCTCAGTTACCTGGGGCATGGTGGGCCTTGGTCTTCTTCCTCTTCTTGGTCCTTTTTAATTCCTGCAATACATTCAGACAGGGACAGACAAAATAAGCCAATTCACCTACACCCATAACAGTCCACTGTCTAATCCCCACACAGGGATCTCAGGCTCCTCAGCATGAGAACAGGACAATGTGAGAGATATACTTCAGGAGGCCTGAAAGCTGGTCATGATATTCTTTGGTTTGCATCTCAGAACCAAGGGTGAAATATCCCCATTCTGGTAGATCGTTATCCCAAAATCACTTATCCCAAGTTTGTGCAAACAGTTATGCCTTATTGTTCCCATCAGTTCAAAGAAAATGCCCCAGATGATTTCTAGGAGGAAAACTGCAGTATTCAGCCCTGTCTCATCAAATGCCCAGCTCGTTCATGGATGCAAGAATTTTAGACACTGAAATTAGAATGAAGGAGGAAATCCACAAACCCTTGAGTCCAAATCATAGTTCTGTGAATTTTTTACATCTGCCTGGGTCCAATGTGCTGAGAGCGGGCTCAGGTTGCCACAGGCATGGCTGGAGACTAGGAATAGAGCCTTGCTCACTGACCCATTTCATGTCTAGGCTTCCAACTGAGACTACAGTTTCATTACAACCTATATGCGCCCATAGGTCCTGCCTGCGGCAATGACATCTCTCGGGTCAGTAAGGGCCACTTGGAACAGGAATATCACCCCTATCTGGAAGACCAGGTGGAGGCTTATCACCTTCATAGTAAGGTACTCACTGTCCACGTCAAGAGCCAAGCCAAGGTACTGTTCCTCCAATGAGTAAACAGCACTGCTGTAGGGCTGGCCTAAGTCAGGCAGTTCAAGATAACCTGAAGGAGTCGAATAACATCTATCCAGTGAGTCCTGCAAGACTTCAGGCTCTTTCTCATCCAGCAGCTCCCTGCTGAGCCTGGAAAAGTAGGAAAAAGTAAAGAATAAGCCAGGGGGAATCAGAAACCACACAGCCCCAGCTAGATTTCATGGCTAACATAAGGAACTGTTTAAAAAGAAAAAGGACAGATCCATTAATGAGGTAATGAATTATTGCCTTTATGTTGGGATAGACCAGGGCCAGGTAGAAAAGAATGAAAGAGAAAGACAGGGAGAGGGAGAGAGAGAGAGAGAGAGAGGAGAAAGTGAGCTCAGCGAGTTGGCCGGGTGACACACTGATGAAGGGGTCAAAGGACACTCTGAGTTAGTGCCCTCGGGACACACAGCGAACAGTGATCATGAAAAGAGTGGGCTCAATAATTTTCCATAAACTTGCTCAAGATTCCATGCAGTTGCCATACAGCCTTTGAGGTATGGTCAACCTATAGTAAGTTAGTAAATGTTAAGGGGAGGAAGAAATGGAAACCTAAACATCTACTGCAATGAAAACCAACAGCCATGTCAGTAGGAGTAATTCAACCTTCGTTGAAAACATGAAATTGAACACACTCTTGTTTTCCCTGGACCTGGCATCTCCAGGTGTCAACACAGAATTAAGCATCCATAATTGCTCAAAGTTACCTGGGGCATGATGGGTCTTGGTCTTCTTCCACTTCTTGGTACTTTTCAATTTCTGCAATAAGTTCAGACATGGACAGACATATGAAGCTGGTTCTCCTACACACATAACAATCCACTGTCTAATCCTCACACAGGGACTTCAGGCTCCTCAGCATGAGAATAGGACACTGTGAGAGATATTCTTCAGGAGGCCTGAAGGCTGATCACCATAGAGATTCCTTGGTTTTTGTCCCAGAAACTGTGGGTAAAATTCCCTATTCTGGTAGATCGTTATCCCAATATCATTTGTCCCAAGTTTGTGCAAATGGTTATGCCATATTTTTCCAATCGATTTAAAGCAAATACCCCCAAATGGTTGCTAGGAGAAAAACTGCACTATTCAGCCCTGTCTCATCAAATACTCAGATTGTTCATGGTAGCGAGGATTTTAGACGCTGAAATTAGAGTGAAGGATGAAATCTACAAGATCTACAAAATTGAGACAAAATCAGAGTTGTGTGAATTTGTCACATCTGCCCAGGTCCAGTGTCATGAGAGTAGGATTAGGGCTCCACAGGCATGGCCTGAGACTAGGGAGAGAGCCTTGCTCACTGACCCATCCCTTGTCTGGGCTGCCAAGTGGAACTAGAGTTTCATTCAACCTACATGTGCCTATAGGTCCTCCCTGTGGCAATGACATCTCTCAGCTCAGTAAGGGCCACTTGCAGTAGGAATATGACCCTAACCAGAAGACTCAGTGGATCCTTATCACCTTCATAGAAAGGTACTCACCATCCATGTCAACAGCCAAGCCAACACACTGTTGCTCCAATATGTAAAAGGCACTTCTGTAGGGCTGGCATGAGTCAGTCAGTTCAAGACAACCTGAAGGAGTTGAATAACATCTATCCAGTGAGTCCTGCAAGACTTCAGGCCCTTTCTCATCCAGCAGCTCCCTGCTGAGCCTGGAAAAGTGGGAAAAAGTAAAGAATAAGCCAGGGGGAATCAGAAACCACACAGCCCCAGCTAGATTTCATGGCTAACGTTAAGGAAGAGTTTGAAAAGAAAAAGGACAGATCCATTAATGAGGTAACAAATTATTGCCTTTATGTTGGGATAGAACAGGGCCAGGTAGAAAACAATGAAAGAGAAAGACAGAGAGAGAGAGAGAGACAGAGACAGAGAGAGAGACAGAGACAGAGACAGAGAGAAAGTGACCTAGTGAATTGGCCAGGTGACATACTGGTAAGGGAGTAAAAGGACACTCTGAGTTAGTGCCCTCATGACACACAGCAAACTGTGATCATGAAAAGAGTGAGCTCAATAGTTTTCCATAAAATATGCTCAAAATTCGATGCAGTGGCCATGAGAGTACAGCTTTTGAAGTATGGTCAACCTATGGTACGTTAGTAAATGATAAGGGGAGGAAGAAATGGAAACCTAAACATCTACTGCAATGAAAACCAACAGCAATGACAGTAGGAGTAATTCAGCCTTCGTTGAAAACATGACATCAAACACACTCTGGTTTCCCTGAATCTGTTGCCTCCAGGTGTTAACACAGAATTAAGCATCCACAATTGCTGAAAGTCACCTGGGGCATGGTGGGTTTTGATCTTCTTCCCCTTCTTTTCTTCCCCTTCTTCTTTCCTTCTTTGATCTTCTTCCCCTTCTTTTCTTCCCCTTCCCCTTCTTTTCAATTTCTGCAATAAATTCAGACATGGACAGACACATTAAGCTGATTCCCCTACACACATAACAATCCACTGTCTAATCCTCACACAGGGACCTCAGGCTCCTCAGCATAAGAATAGGACACTGTGAGAGATATATTTCAGGAGGCCTGAAGGCTGGTCATGATAGAAATTCCTCGGTTTTTCTCCCAGAAACTGTGGGTAAAATGTCCCTATTCTAGTAGATCGTTATCCCAATATCATTTGTCCCAAGTTTGTGCAAACAGTTATGCCATATTTTTCCAATCAATTTAAAGCAAATACCCTCAAATGATTTCTAGGAGAAAAACTGCAATATTTAGCCCTGTCTCATCAAATACTCAGATTGTTCATGGTTGTGAGGACTTTAGACACTGAAATTAGAGTGAAAAAGGAAATCTACAAACCCTTGAGTCAAAATCATAGTTCTCTGAATTTGTCACATCTGCCCAGGTCCAATGTCATGAGAATAGGATCAGGGCGCCACAGGTATGGCCTGAGACTAGGAAGAGAGTCTTGCTCACTGACCCATCCCTTGTCTGGGCTTCCAGGTAGAACTAGAGTTTCATTCAACCTACATGTGCCTATAGGTCCTCACTGCGGCAACGACATCTCTCAGCTCAGTAATGGCCACTTGGAGCAGGAATATGATCTTTATATGGAAGACTCAGTGGATGCTTATCACCTTCATAGAAAGGTACTCACCTCCCACGTCAAGAGAAAAGCCAACATGTTTTTCCTCCAATGCATAAAAGGAACTTCCATAGGGCTGGCAGGAGTCAGGCTGTTCAAGACAACTGGAAGGAGTTGAATAACATCTATCCAGTGAGTCCTGCAAGACTTCAGGCTCTACTACCTCCAGCAGCTCCCTGCTGAGCCTGGAAAAGGAGGAAAAAGTAAAGAATAAGCCAGGGGAAATCACACACAACAGAGCCCCAACTAGGTTTCATGGGTAGCATAGGGAAGTGGTTAAGAAACTAAAAGGATAGATCCATTAATGAGGTAACAAATTATTGCCTTCATGTTGGGACAGAACAGGGCCAAATGGAAAAGAATGAAAGAGAAAGACAGATAGACACACACACACACACACACACACACACACAGAGAGAGAGAACGAGCTCAGTGAATTGTCCAGGTGACACACTGATGAGGGAGTAACAGGACACTCTGAGTTAGTGCCCTCAGGACACACAGCATACAGTGATCATGAAAAGACTGTGCTCAATAATTTTCCATAAAATGTGCTCAAGTTTCCACGCAGTCGCCATGAGAATACAGTTTTTGAAGTCTGGTCCACGTACAGTAGGTTAGTAAATGATAAGGGGAGGAAGAAATGGAAACCTAAATATCTACTGCAATGAAAACCAACAGCAATGTTAGTAGGAATAATTCAGGCTTGCTTGAAAAGATGTAATCGATAATGTCAGCCCGCTCTGTTTTCCCTGAACCAGGAGTCTCCAGATGTCAACACAGAAGTAGCTGTTCACAATTGCTCAGTTACCTGGGGCATGGTGGGCCTTGGTCTTCTTCCTCTTCTTGGTCCTTTTTAATTCCTGCAATACATTCAGACAGGGACAGACAAAATAAGCCAATTCACCTACACCCATAACAGTCCACTGTCTAATCCCCACACAGGGATCTCAGGCTCCTCAGCATGAGAACAGGACAATGTGAGAGATATACTTCAGGAGGCCTGAAAGCTGGTCATGATATTCTTTGGTTTGCATCTCAGAACCAAGGGTGAAATATCCCCATTCTGGTAGATCGTTATCCCAAAATCACTTATCCCAAGTTTGTGCAAACAGTTATGCCTTATTGTTCCCATCAGTTCAAAGAAAATGCCCCAGATGATTTCTAGGAGGAAAACTGCAGTATTCAGCCCTGTCTCATCAAATGCCCAGCTCGTTCATGGATGCAAGAATTTTAGACACTGAAATTAGAATGAAGGAGGAAATCCACAAACCCTTGAGTCCAAATCATAGTTCTGTGAATTTTTTGCATCTGCCTGGGTCCAATGTGCTGAGAGCGGGCTCAGGTTGCCACAGGCATGGCTGGAGACTAGGAATAGAGCCTTGCTCACTGACCCATTTCATGTCTAGGCTTCCAACTGAGACTACAGTTTCATTACAACCTATATGCGCCCATAGGTCCTGCCTGCGGCAATGACATCTCTCGGGTCAGTAAGGGCCACTTGGAACAGGAATATCACCCCTATCTGGAAGACCAGGTGGAGGCTTATCACCTTCATAGTAAGGTACTCACTGTCCACGTCAAGAGCCAAGCCAAGGTACTGTTCCTCCAATGAGTAAACAGCACTGCTGTAGGGCTGGCCTAAGTCAGGCAGTTCAAGATAACCTGAAGGAGTCGAATAACATCTATCCAGTGAGTCCTGCAAGACTTCAGGCTCTTTCTCATCCAGCAGCTCCCTGCTGAGCCTGGAAAAGTAGGAAAAAGTAAAGAATAAGCCAGGGGGAATCAGAAACCACACAGCCCCAGCTAGATTTCATGGCTAACATAAGGAACTGTTTAAAAAGAAAAAGGACAGATCCATTAATGAGGTAATGAATTATTGCCTTTATGTTGGGATAGACCAGGGCCAGGTAGAAAAGAATGAAAGAGAAAGACAGGGAGAGGGAGAGAGAGAGAGAGAGAGGAGAAAGTGAGCTCAGCGAGTTGGCCGGGTGACACACTGATGAAGGGGTCAAAGGACACTCTGAGTTAGTGCCCTCGGGACACACAGCGAACAGTGATCATGAAAAGAGTGGGCTCAATAATTTTCCATAAACTTGCTCAAGATTCCATGCAGTTGCCATACAGCCTTTGAGGTATGGTCAACCTATAGTAAGTTAGTAAATGTTAAGGGGAGGAAGAAATGGAAACCTAAACATCTACTGCAATGAAAACCAACAGCCATGTCAGTAGGAGTAATTCAACCTTCGTTGAAAACATGAAATTGAACACACTCTTGTTTTCCCTGGACCTGGCATCTCCAGGTGTCAACACAGAATTAAGCATCCATAATTGCTCAAAGTTACCTGGGGCATGATGGGTCTTGGTCTTCTTCCACTTCTTGGTACTTTTCAATTTCTGCAATAAGTTCAGACATGGACAGACATATGAAGCTGGTTCTCCTACACACATAACAATCCACTGTCTAATCCTCACACAGGGACTTCAGGCTCCTCAGCATGAGAATAGGACACTGTGAGAGATATTCTTCAGGAGGCCTGAAGGCTGATCACCATAGAGATTCCTTGGTTTTTGTCCCAGAAACTGTGGGTAAAATTCCCTATTCTGGTAGATCGTTATCCCAATATCATTTGTCCCAAGTTTGTGCAAATGGTTATGCCATATTTTTCCAATCGATTTAAAGCAAATACCCCCAAATGGTTGCTAGGAGAAAAACTGCACTATTCAGCCCTGTCTCATCAAATACTCAGATTGTTCATGGTAGCGAGGATTTTAGACGCTGAAATTAGAGTGAAGGATGAAATCTACAAGATCTACAAAATTGAGACAAAATCAGAGTTGTGTGAATTTGTCACATCTGCCCAGGTCCAATGTCATGAGAGTAGGATTAGGGCGCCACAGGCATGGCCTGAGACTAGGGAGAGAGCCTTGCTCACTGACCCATCCCTTGTCTGGGCTGCCAAGTGGAACTAGAGTTTCATTCAACCTACATGTGCCTATAGGTCCTCCCTGTGGCAATGACATCTCTCAGCTCAGTAAGGGCCACTTGCAGTAGGAATATGACCCTAACCAGAAGACTCAGTGGATCCTTATCACCTTCATAGAAAGGTACTCACCATCCATGTCAACAGCCAAGCCAACACACTGTTGCTCCAATATGTAAAAGGCACTTCTGTAGGGCTGGCATGAGTCAGTCAGTTCAAGACAACCTGAAGGAGTTGAATAACATCTATCCAGTGAGTCCTGCAAGACTTCAGGCCCTTTCTCATCCAGCAGCTCCCTGCTGAGCCTGGAAAAGTGGGAAAAAGTAAAGAATAAGCCAGGGGGAATCAGAAACCACACAGCCCCAGCTAGATTTCATGGCTAACGTTAAGGAAGAGTTTGAAAAGAAAAAGGACAGATCCATTAATGAGGTAACAAATTATTGCCTTTATGTTGGGATAGAACAGGGCCAGGTAGAAAACAATGAAAGAGAAAGACAGAGAGAGAGAGAGAGACAGAGACAGAGAGAGAGACAGAGACAGAGACAGAGAGAAAGTGACCTAGTGAATTGGCCAGGTGACATACTGGTAAGGGAGTAAAAGGACACTCTGAGTTAGTGCCCTCATGACACACAGCAAACTGTGATCATGAAAAGAGTGAGCTCAATAGTTTTCCATAAAATATGCTCAAAATTCGATGCAGTGGCCATGAGAGTACAGCTTTTGAAGTATGGTCAACCTATGGTACGTTAGTAAATGATAAGGGGAGGAAGAAATGGAAACCTAAACATCTACTGCAATGAAAACCAACAGCAATGACAGTAGGAGTAATTCAGCCTTCGTTGAAAACATGACATCAAACACACTCTGGTTTCCCTGAATCTGTTGCCTCCAGGTGTTAACACAGAATTAAGCATCCACAATTGCTGAAAGTCACCTGGGGCATGGTGGGTTTTGATCTTCTTCCCCTTCTTTTCTTCCCCTTCTTCTTTCCTTCTTTGATCTTCTTCCCCTTCTTTTCTTCCCCTTCCCCTTCTTTTCAATTTCTGCAATAAATTCAGACATGGACAGACACATTAAGCTGATTCCCCTACACACATAACAATCCACTGTCTAATCCTCACACAGGGACCTCAGGCTCCTCAGCATAAGAATAGGACACTGTGAGAGATATATTTCAGGAGGCCTGAAGGCTGGTCATGATAGAAATTCCTCGGTTTTTCTCCCAGAAACTGTGGGTAAAATGTCCCTATTCTAGTAGATCGTTATCCCAATATCATTTGTCCCAAGTTTGTGCAAACAGTTATGCCATATTTTTCCAATCAATTTAAAGCAAATACCCTCAAATGATTTCTGGGAGAAAAACTGCAATATTTAGCCCTGTCTCATCAAATACTCAGATTGTTCATGGTTGTGAGGACTTTAGACACTGAAATTAGAGTGAAAAAGGAAATCTGCAAACCCTTGAGTCAAAATCATAGTTCTCTGAATTTGTCACATCTGCCCAGGTCCAATGTCATGAGAGTAGAATCAGAGTGCCACAGGTATGGCCTGAGACTAGGAAGAGAGCCATGCTCACTGACCCATCCCATGTCTGGGCTTCCAGGTAGAACTAGAGTTTCATTCAACCTACATGTGCCTATAGGTCCTCACTGCGGCAATGACATCTCTCAGCTCAGTAATGGCCACTTGGAGCAGGAATATGATCTTTATATGGAAGACTCAGTGGATGCTTATCACCTTCATAGAAAGGTACTCACCTCCCACGTCAAGAGAAAAGCCAACATGTTTTTCCTCCAATGCATAAAAGGAACTTCCATAGGGCTGGCAGGAGTCAGGCTGTTCAAGACAACTGGAAGGAGTTGAATAACATCTATCCAGTGAGTCCTGCAAGACTTCAGGCTCTACTACCTCCAGCAGCTCCCTGCTGAGCCTGGAAAAGGAGGAAAAAGTAAAGAATAAGCCAGGGGAAATCACACACAACAGAGCCCCAACTAGGTTTCATGGGTAGCATAGGGAAGTGGTTAAGAAACTAAAAGGATAGATCCATTAATGAGGTAACAAATTATTGCCTTCATGTTGGGACAGAACAGGGCCAAATGGAAAAGAATGAAAGAGAAAGACAGATAGACACACACACACACACACACACACACACACACACACACACACACACAGAGAGAGAGAGAGAACGAGCTCAGTGAATTGTCCAGGTGACACACTGATGAGGGAGTAACAGGACACTCTGAGTTAGTGCCCTCAGGACACACAGCATACAGTGATCATGAAAAGACTGTGCTCAATAATTTTCCATAAAATGTGCTCAAGTTTCCACGCAGTCGCCATGAGAATACAGTTTTTGAAGTCTGGTCCACCTACAGTAGGTTAGTAAATGATAAGGGGAGGAAGAAATGGAAACCTAAATATCTACTGCAATGAAAACCAACAGCAATGTTAGTAGGAATAATTCAGGCTTGCTTGAAAAGATGTAATCGATAATGTCAGCCCGCTCTGTTTTCCCTGAACCAGGAGTCTCCAGATGTCAACACAGAAGTAGCTGTTCACAACTGCTCAGTTACCTGGGGCATGGTGGGCCTTGGTCTTCTTCCTCTTCTTGGTCCTTTTTAATTCCTGCAATACATTCAGACAGGGACAGACAAAATAAGCCAATTCACCTACACCCATAACAGTCCACTGTCTAATCCCCACACAGGGATCTCAGGCTCCTCAGCATGAGAACAGGACAATGTGAGAGATATACTTCAGGAGGCCTGAAAGCTGGTCATGATATTCTTTGGTTTGCATCTCAGAACCAAGGGTGAAATATCCCCATTCTGGTAGATCGTTATCCCAAAATCACTTATCCCAAGTTTGTGCAAACAGTTATGCCTTATTGTTCCCATCAGTTCAAAGAAAATGCCCCAGATGATTTCTAGGAGGAAAACTGCAGTATTCAGCCCTGTCTCATCAAATGCCCAGCTCGTTCATGGATGCAAGAATTTTAGACACTGAAATTAGAATGAAGGAGGAAATCCACAAACCCTTGAGTCCAAATCATAGTTCTGTGAATTTTTTACATCTGCCTGGGTCCAATGTGCTGAGAGCGGGCTCAGGTTGCCACAGGCATGGCTGGAGACTAGGAATAGAGCCTTGCTCACTGACCCATTTCATGTCTAGGCTTCCAACTGAGACTACAGTTTCATTACAACCTATATGCGCCCATAGGTCCTGCCTGCGGCAATGACATCTCTCGGGTCAGTAAGGGCCACTTGGAACAGGAATATCACCCCTATCTGGAAGACCAGGTGGAGGCTTATCACCTTCATAGTAAGGTACTCACTGTCCACGTCAAGAGCCAAGCCAAGGTACTGTTCCTCCAATGAGTAAACAGCACTGCTGTAGGGCTGGCCTAAGTCAGGCAGTTCAAGATAACCTGAAGGAGTCGAATAACATCTATCCAGTGAGTCCTGCAAGACTTCAGGCTCTTTCTCATCCAGCAGCTCCCTGCTGAGCCTGGAAAAGTAGGAAAAAGTAAAGAATAAGCCAGGGGGAATCAGAAACCACACAGCCCCAGCTAGATTTCATGGCTAACATAAGGAACTGTTTAAAAAGAAAAAGGACAGATCCATTAATGAGGTAATGAATTATTGCCTTTATGTTGGGATAGACCAGGGCCAGGTAGAAAAGAATGAAAGAGAAAGACAGGGAGAGGGAGAGAGAGAGAGAGAGAGAGGAGAAAGTGAGCTCAGCGAGTTGGCCGGGTGACACACTGATGAAGGGGTCAAAGGACACTCTGAGTTAGTGCCCTCGGGACACACAGCGAACAGTGATCATGAAAAGAGTGGGCTCAATAATTTTCCATAAACTTGCTCAAGATTCCATGCAGTTGCCATACAGCCTTTGAGGTATGGTCAACCTATAGTAAGTTAGTAAATGTTAAGGGGAGGAAGAAATGGAAACCTAAACATCTACTGCAATGAAAACCAACAGCCATGTCAGTAGGAGTAATTCAACCTTCGTTGAAAACATGAAATTGAACACACTCTTGTTTTCCCTGGACCTGGCATCTCCAGGTGTCAACACAGAATTAAGCATCCATAATTGCTCAAAGTTACCTGGGGCATGATGGGTCTTGGTCTTCTTCCACTTCTTGGTACTTTTCAATTTCTGCAATAAGTTCAGACATGGACAGACATATGAAGCTGGTTCTCCTACACACATAACAATCCACTGTCTAATCCTCACACAGGGACTTCAGGCTCCTCAGCATGAGAATAGGACACTGTGAGAGATATTCTTCAGGAGGCCTGAAGGCTGATCACCATAGAGATTCCTTGGTTTTTGTCCCAGAAACTGTGGGTAAAATTCCCTATTCTGGTAGATCGTTATCCCAATATCATTTGTCCCAAGTTTGTGCAAATGGTTATGCCATATTTTTCCAATCGATTTAAAGCAAATACCCCCAAATGGTTGCTAGGAGAAAAACTGCACTATTCAGCCCTGTCTCATCAAATACTCAGATTGTTCATGGTAGCGAGGATTTTAGACGCTGAAATTAGAGTGAAGGATGAAATCTACAAGATCTACAAAATTGAGACAAAATCAGAGTTGTGTGAATTTGTCACATCTGCCCAGGTCCAGTGTCATGAGAGTAGGATTAGGGCGCCACAGGCATGGCCTGAGACTAGGGAGAGAGCCTTGCTCACTGACCCATCCCTTGTCTGGGCTGCCAAGTGGAACTAGAGTTTCATTCAACCTACATGTGCCTATAGGTCCTCCCTGTGGCAATGACATCTCTCAGCTCAGTAAGGGCCACTTGCAGTAGGAATATGACCCTAACCAGAAGACTCAGTGGATCCTTATCACCTTCATAGAAAGGTACTCACCATCCATGTCAACAGCCAAGCCAACACACTGTTGCTCCAATATGTAAAAGGCACTTCTGTAGGGCTGGCATGAGTCAGTCAGTTCAAGACAACCTGAAGGAGTTGAATAACATCTATCCAGTGAGTCCTGCAAGACTTCAGGCCCTTTCTCATCCAGCAGCTCCCTGCTGAGCCTGGAAAAGTGGGAAAAAGTAAAGAATAAGCCAGGGGGAATCAGAAACCGCACAGCCCCAGCTAGATTTCATGGCTAACGTTAAGGAAGAGTTTGAAAAGAAAAAGGACAGATCCATTAATGAGGTAACAAATTATTGCCTTTATGTTGGGATAGAACAGGGCCAGGTAGAAAACAATGAAAGAGAAAGACAGAGAGAGAGAGAGAGAGAGAGACAGAGACAGAGAGAGAGACAGAGACAGAGACAGAGAGAAAGTGACCTAGTGAATTGGCCAGGTGACATACTGGTAAGGGAGTAAAAGGACACTCTGAGTTAGTGCCCTCATGACACACAGCAAACTGTGATCATGAAAAGAGTGAGCTCAATAGTTTTCCATAAAATATGCTCAAAATTCGATGCAGTGGCCATGAGAGTACAGCTTTTGAAGTATGGTCAACCTATGGTACGTTAGTAAATGATAAGGGGAGGAAGAAATGGAAACCTAAACATCTACTGCAATGAAAACCAACAGCAATGACAGTAGGAGTAATTCAGCCTTCGTTGAAAACATGACATCAAACACACTCTGGTTTCCCTGAATCTGTTGCCTCCAGGTGTTAACACAGAATTAAGCATCCACAATTGCTGAAAGTCACCTGGGGCATGGTGGGTTTTGATCTTCTTCCCCTTCTTTTCTTCCCCTTCTTCTTTCCTTCTTTGATCTTCTTCCCCTTCTTTTCTTCCCCTTCCCCTTCTTTTCAATTTCTGCAATAAATTCAGACATGGACAGACACATTAAGCTGATTCCCCTACACACATAACAATCCACTGTCTAATCCTCACACAGGGACCTCAGGCTCCTCAGCATAAGAATAGGACACTGTGAGAGATATATTTCAGGAGGCCTGAAGGCTGGTCATGATAGAAATTCCTCGGTTTTTCTCCCAGAAACTGTGGGTAAAATGTCCCTATTCTAGTAGATCGTTATCCCAATATCATTTGTCCCAAGTTTGTGCAAACAGTTATGCCATATTTTTCCAATCAATTTAAAGCAAATACCCTCAAATGATTTCTGGGAGAAAAACTGCAATATTTAGCCCTGTCTCATCAAATACTCAGATTGTTCATGGTTGTGAGGACTTTAGACACTGAAATTAGAGTGAAAAAGGAAATCTACAAACCCTTGAGTCAAAATCATAGTTCTCTGAATTTGTCACATCTGCCCAGGTCCAATGTCATGAGAATAGGATCAGGGCGCCACAGGTATGGCCTGAGACTAGGAAGAGAGTCTTGCTCACTGACCCATCCCTTGTCTGGGCTTCCAGGTAGAACTAGAGTTTCATTCAACCTACATGTGCCTATAGGTCCTCACTGCGGCAACGACATCTCTCAGCTCAGTAATGGCCACTTGGAGCAGGAATATGATCTTTATATGGAAGACTCAGTGGATGCTTATCACCTTCATAGAAAGGTACTCACCTCCCACGTCAAGAGAAAAGCCAACATGTTTTTCCTCCAATGCATAAAAGGAACTTCCATAGGGCTGGCAGGAGTCAGGCTGTTCAAGACAACTGGAAGGAGTTGAATAACATCTATCCAGTGAGTCCTGCAAGACTTCAGGCTCTACTACCTCCAGCAGCTCCCTGCTGAGCCTGGAAAAGGAGGAAAAAGTAAAGAATAAGCCAGGGGAAATCACACACAACAGAGCCCCAACTAGGTTTCATGGGTAGCATAGGGAAGTGGTTAAGAAACTAAAAGGATAGATCCATTAATGAGGTAACAAATTATTGCCTTCATGTTGGGACAGAACAGGGCCAAATGGAAAAGAATGAAAGAGAAAGACAGACACACACACACACACACACACACACACACACACACACACACACACACAGAGAGAGAGAGAGAACGAGCTCAGTGAATTGTCCAGGTGACACACTGATGAGGGAGTAACAGGACACTCTGAGTTAGTGCCCTCAGGACACACAGCATACAGTGATCATGAAAAGACTGTGCTCAATAATTTTCCATAAAATGTGCTCAAGTTTCCATGCAGTCGCCATGAGAATACAGTTTTTGAAGTCTGGTCCACCTACAGTAGGTTAGTAAATGATAAGGGGAGGAAGAAATGGAAACCTAAATATCTACTGCAATGAAAACCAACAGCAATGTTAGTAGGAATAATTCAGGCTTGCTTGAAAAGATGTAATCGATAATGTCAGCCCGCTCTGTTTTCCCTGAACCAGGAGTCTCCAGATGTCAACACAGAAGTAGCTGTTCACAATTGCTCAGTTACCTGGGGCATGGTGGGCCTTGGTCTTCTTCCTCTTCTTGGTCCTTTTTAATTCCTGCAATACATTCAGACAGGGACAGACAAAATAAGCCAATTCACCTACACCCATAACAGTCCACTGTCTAATCCCCACACAGGGATCTCAGGCTCCTCAGCATGAGAACAGGACAATGTGAGAGATATACTTCAGGAGGCCTGAAAGCTGGTCATGATATTCTTTGGTTTGCATCTCAGAACCAAGGGTGAAATATCCCCATTCTGGTAGATCGTTATCCCAAAATCACTTATCCCAAGTTTGTGCAAACAGTTATGCCTTATTGTTCCCATCAGTTCAAAGAAAATGCCCCAGATGATTTCTAGGAGGAAAACTGCAGTATTCAGCCCTGTCTCATCAAATGCCCAGCTCGTTCATGGATGCAAGAATTTTAGACACTGAAATTAGAATGAAGGAGGAAATCCACAAACCCTTGAGTCCAAATCATAGTTCTGTGAATTTTTTACATCTGCCTGGGTCCAATGTGCTGAGAGCGGGCTCAGGTTGCCACAGGCATGGCTGGAGACTAGGAATAGAGCCTTGCTCACTGACCCATTTCATGTCTAGGCTTCCAACTGAGACTACAGTTTCATTACAACCTATATGCGCCCATAGGTCCTGCCTGCGGCAATGACATCTCTCGGGTCAGTAAGGGCCACTTGGAACAGGAATATCACCCCTATCTGGAAGACCAGGTGGAGGCTTATCACCTTCATAGTAAGGTACTCACTGTCCACGTCAAGAGCCAAGCCAAGGTACTGTTCCTCCAATGAGTAAACAGCACTGCTGTAGGGCTGGCCTAAGTCAGGCAGTTCAAGATAACCTGAAGGAGTCGAATAACATCTATCCAGTGAGTCCTGCAAGACTTCAGGCTCTTTCTCATCCAGCAGCTCCCTGCTGAGCCTGGAAAAGTAGGAAAAAGTAAAGAATAAGCCAGGGGGAATCAGAAACCACACAGCCCCAGCTAGATTTCATGGCTAACATAAGGAACTGTTTAAAAAGAAAAAGGACAGATCCATTAATGAGGTAATGAATTATTGCCTTTATGTTGGGATAGACCAGGGCCAGGTAGAAAAGAATGAAAGAGAAAGACAGGGAGAGGGAGAGAGAGAGAGAGAGAGAGGAGAAAGTGAGCTCAGCGAGTTGGCCGGGTGACACACTGATGAAGGGGTCAAAGGACACTCTGAGTTAGTGCCCTCGGGACACACAGCGAACAGTGATCATGAAAAGAGTGGGCTCAATAATTTTCCATAAACTTGCTCAAGATTCCATGCAGTTGCCATACAGCCTTTGAGGTATGGTCAACCTATAGTAAGTTAGTAAATGTTAAGGGGAGGAAGAAATGGAAACCTAAACATCTACTGCAATGAAAACCAACAGCCATGTCAGTAGGAGTAATTCAACCTTCGTTGAAAACATGAAATTGAACACACTCTTGTTTTCCCTGGACCTGGCATCTCCAGGTGTCAACACAGAATTAAGCATCCATAATTGCTCAAAGTTACCTGGGGCATGATGGGTCTTGGTCTTCTTCCACTTCTTGGTACTTTTCAATTTCTGCAATAAGTTCAGACATGGACAGACATATGAAGCTGGTTCTCCTACACACATAACAATCCACTGTCTAATCCTCACACAGGAACTTCAGGCTCCTCAGCATGAGAATAGGACACTGTGAGAGATATTCTTCAGGAGGCCTGAAGGCTGATCACCATAGAGATTCCTTGGTTTTTGTCCCAGAAACTGTGGGTAAAATTCCCTATTCTGGTAGATCGTTATCCCAATATCATTTGTCCCAAGTTTGTGCAAATGGTTATGCCATATTTTTCCAATCGATTTAAAGCAAATACCCCCAAATGGTTGCTAGGAGAAAAACTGCACTATTCAGCCCTGTCTCATCAAATACTCAGATTGTTCATGGTAGCGAGGATTTTAGACGCTGAAATTAGAGTGAAGGATGAAATCTACAAGATCTACAAAATTGAGACAAAATCAGAGTTGTGTGAATTTGTCACATCTGCCCAGGTCCAATGTCATGAGAGTAGGATTAGGGCGCCACAGGCATGGCCTGAGACTAGGGAGAGAGCCTTGCTCACTGACCCATCCCTTGTCTGGGCTGCCAAGTGGAACTAGAGTTTCATTCAACCTACATGTGCCTATAGGTCCTCCCTGTGGCAATGACATCTCTCAGCTCAGTAAGGGCCACTTGCAGTAGGAATATGACCCTAACCAGAAGACTCAGTGGATCCTTATCACCTTCATAGAAAGGTACTCACCATCCATGTCAACAGCCAAGCCAACACACTGTTGCTCCAATATGTAAAAGGCACTTCTGTAGGGCTGGCATGAGTCAGTCAGTTCAAGACAACCTGAAGGAGTTGAATAACATCTATCCAGTGAGTCCTGCAAGACTTCAGGCCCTTTCTCATCCAGCAGCTCCCTGCTGAGCCTGGAAAAGTGGGAAAAAGTAAAGAATAAGCCAGGGGGAATCAGAAACCGCACAGCCCCAGCTAGATTTCATGGCTAACGTTAAGGAAGAGTTTGAAAAGAAAAAGGACAGATCCATTAATGAGGGAACAAATTATTGCCTTTATGTTGGGATAGAACAGGGCCAGGTAGAAAACAATGAAAGAGAAAGACAGAGAGAGAGAGAGAGAGAGACAGAGACAGAGAGAGAGACAGAGACAGAGACAGAGAGAAAGTGACCTAGTGAATTGGCCAGGTGACATACTGGTAAGGGAGTAAAAGGACACTCTGAGTTAGTGCCCTCATGACACACAGCAAACTGTGATCATGAAAAGAGTGAGCTCAATAGTTTTCCATAAAATATGCTCAAAATTCGATGCAGTGGCCATGAGAGTACAGCTTTTGAAGTATGGTCAACCTATGGTACGCTAGTAAATGATAAGGGGAGGAAGAAATGGAAACCTAAACATCTACTGCAATGAAAACCAACAGCAATGACAGTAGGAGTAATTCAGCCTTCGTTGAAAACATGACATCAAACACGCTCTGGTTTCCCTGAATCTGTTGCCTCCAGGTGTTAACACAGAATTAAGCATCCACAATTGCTGAAAGTCACCTGGGGCATGGTGGGTTTTGATCTTCTTCCCCTTCTTTTCTTCCCCTTCTTCTTTCCTTCTTTGATCTTCTTCCCCTTCTTTTCTTCCCCTTCCCCTTCTTTTCAATTTCTGCAATAAATTCAGACATGGACAGACACATTAAGCTGATTCCCCTACACACATAACAATCCACTGTCTAATCCTCACACAGGGACCTCAGGCTCCTCAGCATAAGAATAGGACACTGTGAGAGATATATTTCAGGAGGCCTGAAGGCTGGTCATGATAGAAATTCCTCGGTTTTTCTCCCAGAAACTGTGGGTAAAATGTCCCTATTCTAGTAGATCGTTATCCCAATATCATTTGTCCCAAGTTTGTGCAAACAGTTATGCCACATTTTTCCAATCAATTTAAAGCAAATACCCTCAAATGATTTCTAGGAGAAAAACTGCAATATTTAGCCCTGTCTCATCAAATACTCAGATTGTTCATGGTTGTGAGGACTTTAGACACTGAAATTAGAGTGAAAAAGGAAATCTACAAACCCTTGAGTCAAAATCATAGTTCTCTGAATTTGTCACATCTGCCCAGGTCCAATGTCATGAGAATAGGATCAGGGCGCCACAGGTATGGCCTGAGACTAGGAAGAGAGTCTTGCTCACTGACCCATCCCTTGTCTGGGCTTCCAGGTAGAACTAGAGTTTCATTCAACCTACATGTGCCTATAGGTCCTCACTGCGGCAACGACATCTCTCAGCTCAGTAATGGCCACTTGGAGCAGGAATATGATCTTTATATGGAAGACTCAGTGGTGCTTATCACCTTCATAGAAAGGTACTCACCTCCCACGTCAAGAGAAAAGCCAACATGTTTTTCCTCCAATGCATAAAAGGAACTTCCATAGGGCTGGCAGGAGTCAGGCTGTTCAAGACAACTGGAAGGAGTTGAATAACATCTATCCAGTGAGTCCTGCAAGACTTCAGGCTCTACTACCTCCAGCAGCTCCCTGCTGAGCCTGGAAAAGGAGGAAAAAGTAAAGAATAAGCCAGGGGAAATCACACACAACAGAGCCCCAACTAGGTTTCATGGGTAGCATAGGGAAGTGGTTAAGAAACTAAAAGGATAGATCCATTAATGAGGTAACAAATTATTGCCTTCATGTTGGGACAGAACAGGGCCAAATGGAAAAGAATGAAAGAGAAAGACAGATAGACACACACACACACACACACACACACACACACACACACACACACAGAGAGAGAGAGAGAGAACGAGCTCAGTGAATTGTCCAGGTGACACACTGATGAGGGAGTAACAGGACACTCTGAGTTAGTGCCCTCAGGACACACAGCATACAGTGATCATGAAAAGACTGTGCTCAATAATTTTCCATAAAATGTGCTCAAGTTTCCATGCAGTCGCCATGAGAATACAGTTTTTGAAGTCTGGTCCACCTACAGTAGGTTAGTAAATGATAAGGGGAGGAAGAAATGGAAACCTAAATATCTACTGCAATGAAAACCAACAGCAATGTTAGTAGGAATAATTCAGGCTTGCTTGAAAAGATGTAATCGATAATGTCAGCCCGCTCTGTTTTCCCTGAACCAGGAGTCTCCAGATGTCAACACAGAAGTAGCTGTTCACAATTGCTCAGTTACCTGGGGCATGGTGGGTCTTGGTCTTCTTCCTCTTCTTGGTCCTTTTTAATTCCTGCAATACATTCAGACAGGGACAGACAAAATAAGCCAATTCACCTACACCCATAACAGTCCACTGTCTAATCCCCACACAGGGATCTCAGGCTCCTCAGCATGAGAACAGGACAATGTGAGAGATATACTTCAGGAGGCCTGAAAGCTGGTCATGATATTCTTTGGTTTGCATCTCAGAACCAAGGGTGAAATATCCCCATTCTGGTAGATCGTTATCCCAAAATCACTTATCCCAAGTTTGTGCAAACAGTTATGCCTTATTGTTCCCATCAGTTCAAAGAAAATGCCCCAGATGATTTCTAGGAGGAAAACTGCAGTATTCAGCCCTGTCTCATCAAATGCCCAGCTCGTTCATGGATGCAAGAATTTTAGACACTGAAATTAGAATGAAGGAGGAAATCTACAAACCCTTGAGTCCAAATCATAGTTCTGTGAATTTTTTGCATCTGCCTGGGTCCAATGTGCTGAGAGCGGGCTCAGGTTGCCACAGGCATGGCTGGAGACTAGGAATAGAGCCTTGCTCACTGACCCATTTCATGTCTAGGCTTCCAACTGAGACTACAGTTTCATTACAACCTATATGCGCCCATAGGTCCTGCCTGCGGCAATGACATCTCTCGGGTCAGTAAGGGCCACTTGGAACAGGAATATCACCCCTATCTGGAAGACCAGGTGGAGGCTTATCACCTTCATAGTAAGGTACTCACTGTCCACGTCAAGAGCCAAGCCAAGGTACTGTTCCTCCAATGAGTAAACAGCACTGCTGTAGGGCTGGCCTAAGTCAGGCAGTTCAAGATAACCTGAAGGAATCGAATAACATCTATCCAGTGAGTCCTGCAAGACTTCAGGCTCTTTCTCATCCAGCAGCTCCCTGCTGAGCCTGGAAAAGTAGGAAAAAGTAAAGAATAAGCCAGGGGGAATCAGAAACCACACAGCCCCAGCTAGATTTCATGGCTAACATAAGGAACTGTTTAAAAAGAAAAAGGACAGATCCATTAATGAGGTAATGAATTATTGCCTTTATGTTGGGATAGACCAGGGCCAGGTAGAGAAGAATGAAAGAGAAAGACAGGGAGAGGGAGAGAGAGAGAGAGAGAGAGAGGAGAAAGTGAGCTCAGCGAGTTGGCCGGGTGACACACTGATGAAGGGGTCAAAGGACACTCTGAGTTAGTGCCCTCGGGACACACAGCGAACAGTGATCATGAAAAGAGTGGGCTCAATAATTTTCCATAAACTTGCTCAAGATTCCATGCAGTTGCCATACAGCCTTTGAGGTATGGTCAACCTATAGTAAGTTAGTAAATGATAAGGGGAGGAAGAAATGGAAACCTAAACATCTACTGCAATGAAAACCAACAGCCATGTCAGTAGGAGTAATTCAACCTTCGTTGAAAACATGAAATTGAACACACTCTTGTTTTCCCTGGACCTGGCATCTCCAGGTGTCAACACAGAATTAAGCATCCATAATTGCTCAAAGTTACCTGGGGCATGATGGGTCTTGGTCTTCTTCCACTTCTTGGTACTTTTCAATTTCTGCAATAAGTTCAGACATGGACAGACATATGAAGCTGGTTCTCCTACACACATAACAATCCACTGTCTAATCCTCACACAGAGACTTCAGGCTCCTCAGCATGAGAATAGGACACTGTGAGAGATATTCTTCAGGAGGCCTGAAGGCTGATCACCATAGAGATTCCTTGGTTTTTGTCCCAGAAACTGTGGGTAAAATTCCCTATTCTGGTAGATCGTTATCCCAATATCATTTGTCCCAAGTTTGTGCAAATGGTTATGCCATATTTTTCCAATCGATTTAAAGCAAATACCCCCAAATGGTTGCTAGGAGAAAAACTGCACTATTCAGCCCTGTCTCATCAAATACTCAGATTGTTCATGGTAGCGAGGATTTTAGACGCTGAAATTAGAGTGAAGGATGAAATCTACAAGATCTACAAAATTGAGACAAAATCAGAGTTGCGTGAATTTGTCACATCTGCCCAGGTCCAATGTCATGAGAGTAGGATTAGGGCGCCACAGGCATGGCCTGAGACTAGGAAGAGAGCCTTGCTCACTGACCCATCCCTTGTCTGGGCTGCCAAGTGGAACTAGAGTTTCATTCAACCTACATGTGCCTATAGGTCCTCCCTGTGGCAATGACATCTCTCAGCTCAGTAAGGGCCACTTGCAGTAGGAATATGACCCTAACCAGAAGACTCAGTGGATCCTTATCACCTTCATAGAAAGGTACTCACCATCCATGTCAACAGCCAAGCCAACACACTGTTGCTCCAATATGTAAAAGGCACTTCTGTAGGGCTGGCATGAGTCAGTCAGTTCAAGACAACCTGAAGGAGTTGAATAACATCTATCCAGTGAGTCCTGCAAGACTTCAGGCCCTTTCTCATCCAGCAGCTCCCTGCTGAGCCTGGAAAAGTGGGAAAAAGTAAAGAATAAGCCAGGGGGAATCAGAAACCGCACAGCCCCAGCTAGATTTCATGGCTAACGTTAAGGAAGAGTTTGAAAAGAAAAAGGACAGATCCATTAATGAGGTAACAAATTATTGCCTTTATGTTGGGATAGAACAGGGCCAGGTAGAAAACAATGAAAGAGAAAGACAGAGAGAGAGAGAGAGAGAGACAGAGACAGAGAGAGAGACAGAGACAGAGACAGAGAGAAAGTGACCTAGTGAATTGGCCAGGTGACATACTGGTAAGGGAGTAAAAGGACACTCTGAGTTAGTGCCCTCATGACACACAGCAAACTGTGATCATGAAAAGAGTGAGCTCAATAGTTTTCCATAAAATATGCTCAAAATTCGATGCAGTGGCCATGAGAGTACAGCTTTTGAAGTATGGTCAACCTATGGTACGTTAGGAAATGATAAGGGGAGGAAGAAATGGAAACCTAAACATCTACTGCAATGAAAACCAACAGCAATGACAGTAGGAGTAATTCAGCCTTCGTTGAAAACATGACATCAAACACGCTCTGGTTTCCCTGAATCTGTTGCCTCCAGGTGTTAACACAGAATTAAGCATCCACAATTGCTGAAAGTCACCTGGGGCATGGTGGGTTTTGATCTTCTTCCCCTTCTTTTCTTCCCCTTCTTCTTTCCTTCTTTGATCTTCTTCCCCTTCTTTTCTTCCCCTTCCCCTTCTTTTCAATTTCTGCAATAAATTCAGACATGGACAGACACATTAAGCTGATTCCCCTACACACATAACAATCCACTGTCTAATCCTCACACAGGGACCTCAGGCTCCTCAGCATAAGAATAGGACACTGTGAGAGATATATTTCAGGAGGCCTGAAGGCTGGTCATGATAGAAATTCCTCGGTTTTTCTCCCAGAAACTGTGGGTAAAATGTCCCTATTCTAGTAGATCGTTATCCCAATATCATTTGTCCCAAGTTTGTGCAAACAGTTATGCCATATTTTTCCAATCAATTTAAAGCAAATACCCTCAAATGATTTCTAGGAGAAAAACTGCAATATTTAGCCCTGTCTCATCAAATACTCAGATTGTTCATGGTTGTGAGGACTTTAGACACTGAAATTAGAGTGAAAAAGGAAATCTACAAACCCTTGAGTCAAAATCATAGTTCTCTGAATTTGTCACATCTGCCCAGGTCCAATGTCATGAGAATAGGATCAGGGCGCCACAGGTATGGCCTGAGACTAGGAAGAGAGTCTTGCTCACTGACCCATCCCTTGTCTGGGCTTCCAGGTAGAACTAGAGTTTCATTCAACCTACATGTGCCTATAGGTCCTCACTGCGGCAACGACATCTCTCAGCTCAGTAATGGCCACTTGGAGCAGGAATATGATCTTTATATGGAAGACTCAGTGGATGCTTATCACCTTCATAGAAAGGTACTCACCTCCCACGTCAAGAGAAAAGCCAACATGTTTTTCCTCCAATGCATAAAAGGAACTTCCATAGGGCTGGCAGGAGTCAGGCTGTTCAAGACAACTGGAAGGAGTTGAATAACATCTATCCAGTGAGTCCTGCAAGACTTCAGGCTCTACTACCTCCACCAGCTCCCTGCTGAGCCTGGAAAAGGAGGAAAAAGTAAAGAATAAGCCAGGGGAAATCACACACAACAGAGCCCCAACTAGGTTTCATGCGTAGCATAGGGAAGTGGTTAAGAAACTAAAAGGATAGATCCATTAATGAGGTAACAAATTATTGCCTTCATGTTGGGACAGAACAGGGCCAAATGGAAAAGAATGAAAGAGAAAGACAGATGGACACACACACACACACACACACACGCACACACACACACACACACACACAGAGAGAGAGAGAGAGAACGAGCTCAGTGAATTGTCCAGGTGACACACTGATGAGGGAGTAACAGGACACTCTGAGTTAGTGCCCTCAGGACACACAGCATACAGTGATCATGAAAAGACTGTGCTCAATAATTTTCCATAAAATGTGCTCAAGTTTCCATGCAGTCGCCATGAGAATACAGTTTTTGAAGTCTGGTCCACCTACAGTAGGTTAGTAAATGATAAGGGGAGGAAGAAATGGAAACCTAAATATCTACTGCAATGAAAACCAACAGCAATGTTAGTAGGAATAATTCAGGCTTGCTTGAAAAGATGTAATCGATAATGTCAGCCCGCTCTGTTTTCCCTGAACCAGGAGTCTCCAGATGTCAACACAGAAGTAGCTGTTCACAATTGCTCAGTTACCTGGGGCATGGTGGGTCTTGGTCTTCTTCCTCTTCTTGGTCCTTTTTAATTCCTGCAATACATTCAGACAGGGACAGACAAAATAAGCCAATTCACCTACACCCATAACAGTCCACTGTCTAATCCCCACACAGGGATCTCAGGCTCCTCAGCATGAGAACAGGACAATGTGAGAGATATACTTCAGGAGGCCTGAAAGCTGGTCATGATATTCTTTGGTTTGCATCTCAGAACCAAGGGTGAAATATCCCCATTCTGGTAGATCGTTATCCCAAAATCACTTATCCCAAGTTTGTGCAAACAGTTATGCCTTATTGTTCCCATCAGTTCAAAGAAAATGCCCCAGATGATTTCTAGGAGGAAAACTGCAGTATTCAGCCCTGTCTCATCAAATGCCCAGCTCGTTCATGGATGCAAGAATTTTAGACACTGAAATTAGAATGAAGGAGGAAATCTACAAACCCTTGAGTCCAAATCATAGTTCTGTGAATTTTTTGCATCTGCCTGGATCCAATGTGCTGAGAGCGGGCTCAGGTTGCCACAGGCATGGCTGGAGACTAGGAATAGAGCCTTGCTCACTGACCCATTTCATGTCTAGGCTTCCAACTGAGACTACAGTTTCATTACAACCTATATGCGCCCATAGGTCCTGCCTGCGGCAATGACATCTCTCGGGTCAGTAAGGGCCACTTGGAACAGGAATATCACCCCTATCTGGAAGACCAGGTGGAGGCTTATCACCTTCATAGTAAGGTACTCACTGTCCACGTCAAGAGCCAAGCCAAGGTACTGTTCCTCCAATGAGTAAACAGCACTGCTGTAGGGCTGGCCTAAGTCAGGCAGTTCAAGATAACCTGAAGGAATCGAATAACATCTATCCAGTGAGTCCTGCAAGACTTCAGGCTCTTTCTCATCCAGCAGCTCCCTGCTGAGCCTGGAAAAGTAGGAAAAAGTAAAGAATAAGCCAGGGGGAATCAGAAACCACACAGCCCCAGCTAGATTTCATGGCTAACATAAGGAACTGTTTAAAAAGAAAAAGGACAGATCCATTAATGAGGTAATGAATTATTGCCTTTATGTTGGGATAGACCAGGGCCAGGTAGAGAAGAATGAAAGAGAAAGACAGGGAGAGGGAGAGAGAGAGAGAGAGAGAGAGGAGAAAGTGAGCTCAGCGAGTTGGCCGGGTGACACACTGATGAAGGGGTCAAAGGACACTCTGAGTTAGTGCCCTCGGGACACACAGCGAACAGTGATCATGAAAAGAGTGGGCTCAATAATTTTCCATAAACTTGCTCAAGATTCCATGCAGTTGCCATACAGCCTTTGAGGTATGGTCAACCTATAGTAAGTTAGTAAATGATAAGGGGAGGAAGAAATGGAAACCTAAACATCTACTGCAATGAAAACCAACAGCCATGTCAGTAGGAGTAATTCAACCTTCGTTGAAAACATGAAATTGAACACACTCTTGTTTTCCCTGGACCTGGCATCTCCAGGTGTCAACACAGAATTAAGCATCCATAATTGCTCAAAGTTACCTGGGGCATGATGGGTCTTGGTCTTCTTCCACTTCTTGGTACTTTTCAATTTCTGCAATAAGTTCAGACATGGACAGATATATGAAGCTGGTTCTCCTACACACATAACAATCCACTGTCTAATCCTCACACAGAGACTTCAGGCTCCTCAGCATGAGAATAGGACACTGTGAGAGATATTCTTCAGGAGGCCTGAAGGCTGATCACCATAGAGATTCCTTGGTTTTTGTCCCAGAAACTGTGGGTAAAATTCCCTATTCTGGTAGA
Organism: Homo sapiens; assembly: GCF_000001405.40. NCBI lineage: Eukaryota > Metazoa > Chordata > Mammalia > Primates > Hominidae > Homo > Homo sapiens. The sequence continues at coordinate 149,507,723 of NC_000001.11, read as the reverse complement.
TCGTTATCCCAATATCATTTGTCCCAAGTTTGTGCAAATGGTTATGCCATATTTTTCCAATCGATTTAAAGCAAATACCCCCAAATGGTTGCTAGGAGAAAAACTGCACTATTCAGCCCTGTCTCATCAAATACTCAGATTGTTCATGGTAGCGAGGATTTTAGACGCTGAAATTAGAGTGAAGGATGAAATCTACAAGATCTACAAAATTGAGACAAAATCAGAGTTGCGTGAATTTGTCACATCTGCCCAGGTCCAGTGTCATGAGAGTAGGATTAGGGCGCCACAGGCATGGCCTGAGACTAGGAAGAGAGCCTTGCTCACTGACCCATCCCTTGTCTGGGCTGCCAAGTGGAACTAGAGTTTCATTCAACCTACATGTGCCTATAGGTCCTCCCTGTGGCAATGACATCTCTCAGCTCAGTAAGGGCCACTTGCAGTAGGAATATGACCCTAACCAGAAGACTCAGTGGATCCTTATCACCTTCATAGAAAGGTACTCACCATCCATGTCAACAGCCAAGCCAACACACTGTTGCTCCAATATGTAAAAGGCACTTCTGTAGGGCTGGCATGAGTCAGTCAGTTCAAGACAACCTGAAGGAGTTGAATAACATCTATCCAGTGAGTCCTGCAAGACTTCAGGCCCTTTCTCATCCAGCAGCTCCCTGCTGAGCCTGGAAAAGTGGGAAAAAGTAAAGAATAAGCCAGGGGGAATCAGAAACCGCACAGCCCCAGCTAGATTTCATGGCTAACGTTAAGGAAGAGTTTGAAAAGAAAAAGGACAGATCCATTAATGAGGTAACAAATTATTGCCTTTATGTTGGGATAGAACAGGGCCAGGTAGAAAACAATGAAAGAGAAAGACAGAGAGAGAGAGAGAGAGAGACAGAGACAGAGAGAGAGACAGAGACAGAGACAGAGAGAAAGTGACCTAGTGAATTGGCCAGGTGACATACTGGTAAGGGAGTAAAAGGACACTCTGAGTTAGTGCCCTCATGACACACAGCAAACTGTGATCATGAAAAGAGTGAGCTCAATAGTTTTCCATAAAATATGCTCAAAATTCGATGCAGTGGCCATGAGAGTACAGCTTTTGAAGTATGGTCAACCTATGGTACGTTAGGAAATGATAAGGGGAGGAAGAAATGGAAACCTAAACATCTACTGCAATGAAAACCAACAGCAATGACAGTAGGAGTAATTCAGCCTTCGTTGAAAACATGACATCAAACACACTCTGGTTTCCCTGAATCTGTTGCCTCCAGGTGTTAACACAGAATTAAGCATCCACAATTGCTGAAAGTCACCTGGGGCATGGTGGGTTTTGATCTTCTTCCCCTTCTTTTCTTCCCCTTCTTCTTTCCTTCTTTGATCTTCTTCCCCTTCTTTTCTTCCCCTTCCCCTTCTTTTCAATTTCTGCAATAAATTCAGACATGGACAGACACATTAAGCTGATTCCCCTACACACATAACAATCCACTGTCTAATCCTCACACAGGGACCTCAGGCTCCTCAGCATAAGAATAGGACACTGTGAGAGATATATTTCAGGAGGCCTGAAGGCTGGTCATGATAGAAATTCCTCGGTTTTTCTCCCAGAAACTGTGGGTAAAATGTCCCTATTCTAGTAGATCGTTATCCCAATATCATTTGTCCCAAGTTTGTGCAAACAGTTATGCCATATTTTTCCAATCAATTTAAAGCAAATACCCTCAAATGATTTCTAGGAGAAAAACTGCAATATTTAGCCCTGTCTCATCAAATACTCAGATTGTTCATGGTTGTGAGGACTTTAGACACTGAAATTAGAGTGAAAAAGGAAATCTACAAACCCTTGAGTCAAAATCATAGTTCTCTGAATTTGTCACATCTGCCCAGGTCCAATGTCATGAGAATAGGATCAGGGCGCCACAGGTATGGCCTGAGACTAGGAAGAGAGTCTTGCTCACTGACCCATCCCTTGTCTGGGCTTCCAGGTAGAACTAGAGTTTCATTCAACCTACATGTGCCTATAGGTCCTCACTGCGGCAACGACATCTCTCAGCTCAGTAATGGCCACTTGGAGCAGGAATATGATCTTTATATGGAAGACTCAGTGGATGCTTATCACCTTCATAGAAAGGTACTCACCTCCCACGTCAAGAGAAAAGCCAACATGTTTTTCCTCCAATGCATAAAAGGAACTTCCATAGGGCTGGCAGGAGTCAGGCTGTTCAAGACAACTGGAAGGAGTTGAATAACATCTATCCAGTGAGTCCTGCAAGACTTCAGGCTCTACTACCTCCACCAGCTCCCTGCTGAGCCTGGAAAAGGAGGAAAAAGTAAAGAATAAGCCAGGGGAAATCACACACAACAGAGCCCCAACTAGGTTTCATGGGTAGCATAGGGAAGTGGTTAAGAAAGTAAAAGGATAGATCCATTAATGAGGTAACAAATTATTGCCTTCATGTTGGGACAGAACAGGGCCAAATGGAAAAGAATGAAAGAGAAAGACAGATGGACACACACACACACACACACACACGCACACACACACACACACACACACAGAGAGAGAGAGAGAGAACGAGCTCAGTGAATTGTCCAGGTGACACACTGATGAGGGAGTAACAGGACACTCTGAGTTAGTGCCCTCAGGACACACAGCATACAGTGATCATGAAAAGACTGTGCTCAATAATTTTCCATAAAATGTGCTCAAGTTTCCATGCAGTCGCCATGAGAATACAGTTTTTGAAGTCTGGTCCACCTACAGTAGGTTAGTAAATGATAAGGGGAGGAAGAAATGGAAACCTAAATATCTACTGCAATGAAAACCAACAGCAATGTTAGTAGGAATAATTCAGGCTTGCTTGAAAAGATGTAATCGATAATGTCAGCCCGCTCTGTTTTCCCTGAACCAGGAGTCTCCAGATGTCAACACAGAAGTAGCTGTTCACAATTGCTCAGTTACCTGGGGCATGGTGGGTCTTGGTCTTCTTCCTCTTCTTGGTCCTTTTTAATTCCTGCAATACATTCAGACAGGGACAGACAAAATAAGCCAATTCACCTACACCCATAACAGTCCACTGTCTAATCCCCACACAGGGATCTCAGGCTCCTCAGCATGAGAACAGGACAATGTGAGAGATATACTTCAGGAGGCCTGAAAGCTGGTCATGATATTCTTTGGTTTGCATCTCAGAACCAAGGGTGAAATATCCCCATTCTGGTAGATCGTTATCCCAAAATCACTTATCCCAAGTTTGTGCAAACAGTTATGCCTTATTGTTCCCATCAGTTCAAAGAAAATGCCCCAGATGATTTCTAGGAGGAAAACTGCAGTATTCAGCCCTGTCTCATCAAATGCCCAGCTCGTTCATGGATGCAAGAATTTTAGACACTGAAATTAGAATGAAGGAGGAAATCTACAAACCCTTGAGTCCAAATCATAGTTCTGTGAATTTTTTGCATCTGCCTGGGTCCAATGTGCTGAGAGCGGGCTCAGGTTGCCACAGGCATGGCTGGAGACTAGGAATAGAGCCTTGCTCACTGACCCATTTCATGTCTAGGCTTCCAACTGAGACTACAGTTTCATTACAACCTATATGCGCCCACAGGTCCTGCCTGCGGCAATGACATCTCTCGGGTCAGTAAGGGCCACTTGGAACAGGAATATCACCCCTATCTGGAAGACCAGGTGGAGGCTTATCACCTTCATAGTAAGGTACTCACTGTCCACGTCAAGAGCCAAGCCAAGGTACTGTTCCTCCAATGAGTAAACAGCACTGCTGTAGGGCTGGCCTAAGTCAGGCAGTTCAAGATAACCTGAAGGAATCGAATAACATCTATCCAGTGAGTCCTGCAAGACTTCAGGCTCTTTCTCATCCAGCAGCTCCCTGCTGAGCCTGGAAAAGTAGGAAAAAGTAAAGAATAAGCCAGGGGGAATCAGAAACCACACAGCCCCAGCTAGATTTCATGGCTAACATAAGGAACTGTTTAAAAAGAAAAAGGACAGATCCATTAATGAGGTAATGAATTATTGCCTTTATGTTGGGATAGACCAGGGCCAGGTAGAGAAGAATGAAAGAGAAAGACAGGGAGAGGGAGAGAGAGAGAGAGAGAGAGAGGAGAAAGTGAGCTCAGCGAGTTGGCCGGGTGACACACTGATGAAGGGGTCAAAGGACACTCTGAGTTAGTGCCCTCGGGACACACAGCGAACAGTGATCATGAAAAGAGTGGGCTCAATAATTTTCCATAAACTTGCTCAAGATTCCATGCAGTTGCCATACAGCCTTTGAGGTATGGTCAACCTATAGTAAGTTAGTAAATGATAAGGGGAGGAAGAAATGGAAACCTAAACATCTACTGCAATGAAAACCAACAGCCATGTCAGTAGGAGTAATTCAACCTTCGTTGAAAACATGAAATTGAACACACTCTTGTTTTCCCTGGACCTGGCATCTCCAGGTGTCAACACAGAATTAAGCATCCATAATTGCTCAAAGTTACCTGGGGCATGATGGGTCTTGGTCTTCTTCCACTTCTTGGTACTTTTCAATTTCTGCAATAAGTTCAGACATGGACAGATATATGAAGCTGGTTCTCCTACACACATAACAATCCACTGTCTAATCCTCACACAGAGACTTCAGGCTCCTCAGCATGAGAATAGGACACTGTGAGAGATATTCTTCAGGAGGCCTGAAGGCTGATCACCATAGAGATTCCTTGGTTTTTGTCCCAGAAACTGTGGGTAAAATTCCCTATTCTGGTAGATCGTTATCCCAATATCATTTGTCCCAAGTTTGTGCAAATGGTTATGCCATATTTTTCCAATCGATTTAAAGCAAATACCCCCAAATGGTTGCTAGGAGAAAAACTGCACTATTCAGCCCTGTCTCATCAAATACTCAGATTGTTCATGGTAGCGAGGATTTTAGACGCTGAAATTAGAGTGAAGGATGAAATCTACAAGATCTACAAAATTGAGACAAAATCAGAGTTGCGTGAATTTGTCACATCTGCCCAGGTCCAGTGTCATGAGAGTAGGATTAGGGCGCCACAGGCATGGCCTGAGACTAGGAAGAGAGCCTTGCTCACTGACCCATCCCTTGTCTGGGCTGCCAAGTGGAACTAGAGTTTCATTCAACCTACATGTGCCTATAGGTCCTCCCTGTGGCAATGACATCTCTCAGCTCAGTAAGGGCCACTTGCAGTAGGAATATGACCCTAACCAGAAGACTCAGTGGATCCTTATCACCTTCATAGAAAGGTACTCACCATCCATGTCAACAGCCAAGCCAACACACTGTTGCTCCAATATGTAAAAGGCACTTCTGTAGGGCTGGCATGAGTCAGTCAGTTCAAGACAACCTGAAGGAGTTGAATAACATCTATCCAGTGAGTCCTGCAAGACTTCAGGCCCTTTCTCATCCAGCAGCTCCCTGCTGAGCCTGGAAAAGTGGGAAAAAGTAAAGAATAAGCCAGGGGGAATCAGAAACCGCACAGCCCCAGCTAGATTTCATGGCTAACGTTAAGGAAGAGTTTGAAAAGAAAAAGGACAGATCCATTAATGAGGTAACAAATTATTGCCTTTATGTTGGGATAGAACAGGGCCAGGTAGAAAACAATGAAAGAGAAAGACAGAGAGAGAGAGAGAGAGAGACAGAGACAGAGAGAGAGACAGAGACAGAGACAGAGAGAAAGTGACCTAGTGAATTGGCCAGGTGACATACTGGTAAGGGAGTAAAAGGACACTCTGAGTTAGTGCCCTCATGACACACAGCAAACTGTGATCATGAAAAGAGTGAGCTCAATAGTTTTCCATAAAATATGCTCAAAATTCGATGCAGTGGCCATGAGAGTACAGCTTTTGAAGTATGGTCAACCTATGGTACGTTAGGAAATGATAAGGGGAGGAAGAAATGGAAACCTAAACATCTACTGCAATGAAAACCAACAGCAATGACAGTAGGAGTAATTCAGCCTTCGTTGAAAACATGACATCAAACACACTCTGGTTTCCCTGAATCTGTTGCCTCCAGGTGTTAACACAGAATTAAGCATCCACAATTGCTGAAAGTCACCTGGGGCATGGTGGGTTTTGATCTTCTTCCCCTTCTTTTCTTCCCCTTCTTCTTTCCTTCTTTGATCTTCTTCCCCTTCTTTTCTTCCCCTTCCCCTTCTTTTCAATTTCTGCAATAAATTCAGACATGGACAGACACATTAAGCTGATTCCCCTACACACATAACAATCCACTGTCTAATCCTCACACAGGGACCTCAGGCTCCTCAGCATAAGAATAGGACACTGTGAGAGATATATTTCAGGAGGCCTGAAGGCTGGTCATGATAGAAATTCCTCGGTTTTTCTCCCAGAAACTGTGGGTAAAATGTCCCTATTCTAGTAGATCGTTATCCCAATATCATTTGTCCCAAGTTTGTGCAAACAGTTATGCCATATTTTTCCAATCAATTTAAAGCAAATACCCTCAAATGATTTCTAGGAGAAAAACTGCAATATTTAGCCCTGTCTCATCAAATACTCAGATTGTTCATGGTTGTGAGGACTTTAGACACTGAAATTAGAGTGAAAAAGGAAATCTACAAACCCTTGAGTCAAAATCATAGTTCTCTGAATTTGTCACATCTGCCCAGGTCCAATGTCATGAGAATAGGATCAGGGCGCCACAGGTATGGCCTGAGACTAGGAAGAGAGTCTTGCTCACTGACCCATCCCTTGTCTGGGCTTCCAGGTAGAACTAGAGTTTCATTCAACCTACATGTGCCTATAGGTCCTCACTGCGGCAACGACATCTCTCAGCTCAGTAATGGCCACTTGGAGCAGGAATATGATCTTTATATGGAAGACTCAGTGGATGCTTATCACCTTCATAGAAAGGTACTCACCTCCCACGTCAAGAGAAAAGCCAACATGTTTTTCCTCCAATGCATAAAAGGAACTTCCATAGGGCTGGCAGGAGTCAGGCTGTTCAAGACAACTGGAAGGAGTTGAATAACATCTATCCAGTGAGTCCTGCAAGACTTCAGGCTCTACTACCTCCACCAGCTCCCTGCTGAGCCTGGAAAAGGAGGAAAAAGTAAAGAATAAGCCAGGGGAAATCACACACAACAGAGCCCCAACTAGGTTTCATGGGTAGCATAGGGAAGTGGTTAAGAAAGTAAAAGGATAGATCCATTAATGAGGTAACAAATTATTGCCTTCATGTTGGGACAGAACAGGGCCAAATGGAAAAGAATGAAAGAGAAAGACAGATGGACACACACACACACACACACACACGCACACACACACACACACACACACAGAGAGAGAGAGAGAGAACGAGCTCAGTGAATTGTCCAGGTGACACACTGATGAGGGAGTAACAGGACACTCTGAGTTAGTGCCCTCAGGACACACAGCATACAGTGATCATGAAAAGACTGTGCTCAATAATTTTCCATAAAATGTGCTCAAGTTTCCATGCAGTCGCCATGAGAATACAGTTTTTGAAGTCTGGTCCACCTACAGTAGGTTAGTAAATGATAAGGGGAGGAAGAAATGGAAACCTAAATATCTACTGCAATGAAAACCAACAGCAATGTTAGTAGGAATAATTCAGGCTTGCTTGAAAAGATGTAATCGATAATGTCAGCCCGCTCTGTTTTCCCTGAACCAGGAGTCTCCAGATGTCAACACAGAAGTAGCTGTTCACAATTGCTCAGTTACCTGGGGCATGGTGGGTCTTGGTCTTCTTCCTCTTCTTGGTCCTTTTTAATTCCTGCAATACATTCAGACAGGGACAGACAAAATAAGCCAATTCACCTACACCCATAACAGTCCACTGTCTAATCCCCACACAGGGATCTCAGGCTCCTCAGCATGAGAACAGGACAATGTGAGAGATATACTTCAGGAGGCCTGAAAGCTGGTCATGATATTCTTTGGTTTGCATCTCAGAACCAAGGGTGAAATATCCCCATTCTGGTAGATCGTTATCCCAAAATCACTTATCCCAAGTTTGTGCAAACAGTTATGCCTTATTGTTCCCATCAGTTCAAAGAAAATGCCCCAGATGATTTCTAGGAGGAAAACTGCAGTATTCAGCCCTGTCTCATCAAATGCCCAGCTCGTTCATGGATGCAAGAATTTTAGACACTGAAATTAGAATGAAGGAGGAAATCTACAAACCCTTGAGTCCAAATCATAGTTCTGTGAATTTTTTGCATCTGCCTGGGTCCAATGTGCTGAGAGCGGGCTCAGGTTGCCACAGGCATGGCTGGAGACTAGGAATAGAGCCTTGCTCACTGACCCATTTCATGTCTAGGCTTCCAACTGAGACTACAGTTTCATTACAACCTATATGCGCCCACAGGTCCTGCCTGCGGCAATGACATCTCTCGGGTCAGTAAGGGCCACTTGGAACAGGAATATCACCCCTATCTGGAAGACCAGGTGGAGGCTTATCACCTTCATAGTAAGGTACTCACTGTCCACGTCAAGAGCCAAGCCAAGGTACTGTTCCTCCAATGAGTAAACAGCACTGCTGTAGGGCTGGCCTAAGTCAGGCAGTTCAAGATAACCTGAAGGAATCGAATAACATCTATCCAGTGAGTCCTGCAAGACTTCAGGCTCTTTCTCATCCAGCAGCTCCCTGCTGAGCCTGGAAAAGTAGGAAAAAGTAAAGAATAAGCCAGGGGGAATCAGAAACCACACAGCCCCAGCTAGATTTCATGGCTAACATAAGGAACTGTTTAAAAAGAAAAAGGACAGATCCATTAATGAGGTAATGAATTATTGCCTTTATGTTGGGATAGACCAGGGCCAGGTAGAGAAGAATGAAAGAGAAAGACAGGGAGAGGGAGAGAGAGAGAGAGAGAGAGAGGAGAAAGTGAGCTCAGCGAGTTGGCCGGGTGACACACTGATGAAGGGGTCAAAGGACACTCTGAGTTAGTGCCCTCGGGACACACAGCGAACAGTGATCATGAAAAGAGTGGGCTCAATAATTTTCCATAAACTTGCTCAAGATTCCATGCAGTTGCCATACAGCCTTTGAGGTATGGTCAACCTATAGTAAGTTAGTAAATGATAAGGGGAGGAAGAAATGGAAACCTAAACATCTACTGCAATGAAAACCAACAGCCATGTCAGTAGGAGTAATTCAACCTTCGTTGAAAACATGAAATTGAACACACTCTTGTTTTCCCTGGACCTGGCATCTCCAGGTGTCAACACAGAATTAAGCATCCATAATTGCTCAAAGTTACCTGGGGCATGATGGGTCTTGGTCTTCTTCCACTTCTTGGTACTTTTCAATTTCTGCAATAAGTTCAGACATGGACAGATATATGAAGCTGGTTCTCCTACACACATAACAATCCACTGTCTAATCCTCACACAGAGACTTCAGGCTCCTCAGCATGAGAATAGGACACTGTGAGAGATATTCTTCAGGAGGCCTGAAGGCTGATCACCATAGAGATTCCTTGGTTTTTGTCCCAGAAACTGTGGGTAAAATTCCCTATTCTGGTAGATCGTTATCCCAATATCATTTGTCCCAAGTTTGTGCAAATGGTTATGCCATATTTTTCCAATCGATTTAAAGCAAATACCCCCAAATGGTTGCTAGGAGAAAAACTGCACTATTCAGCCCTGTCTCATCAAATACTCAGATTGTTCATGGTAGCGAGGATTTTAGACGCTGAAATTAGAGTGAAGGATGAAATCTACAAGATCTACAAAATTGAGACAAAATCAGAGTTGTGTGAATTTGTCACATCTGCCCAGGTCCAGTGTCATGAGAGTAGGATTAGGGCTCCACAGGCATGGCCTGAGACTAGGGAGAGAGCCTTGCTCACTGACCCATCCCTTGTCTGGGCTGCCAAGTGGAACTAGAGTTTCATTCAACCTACATGTGCCTATAGGTCCTCCCTGTGGCAATGACATCTCTCAGCTCAGTAAGGGCCACTTGCAGTAGGAATATGACCCTAACCAGAAGACTCAGTGGATCCTTATCACCTTCATAGAAAGGTACTCACCATCCATGTCAATAGCCAAGCCAACACACTGTTGCTCCAATATGTAAAAGGCACTTCTGTAGGGCTGGCATGAGTCAGTCAGTTCAAGACAACCTGAAGGAGTTGAATAACATCTATCCAGTGAGTCCTGCAAGACTTCAGGCCCTTTCTCATCCAGCAGCTCCCTGCTGAGCCTGGAAAAGTGGGAAAAAGTAAAGAATAAGCCAGGGGGAATCAGAAACCACACAGCCCCAGCTAGATTTCATGGCTAACGTTAAGGAAGAGTTTGAAAAGAAAAAGGACAGATCCATTAATGAGGTAACAAATTATTGCCTTTATGTTGGGATAGAACAGGGCCAGGTAGAAAACAATGAAAGAGAAAGACAGAGAGAGAGAGAGACAGAGACAGAGACAGAGAGAGAGACAGAGACAGAGAGAAAGTGACCTAGTGAATTGGCCAGGTGACATACTGGTAAGGGAGTAAAAGGACACTCTGAGTTAGTGCCCTCATGACACACAGCAAACTGTGATCATGAAAAGAGTGAGCTCAATAGTTTTCCATAAAATATGCTCAAAATTCGATGCAGTGGCCATGAGAGTACAGCTTTTGAAGTATGGTCAACCTATGGTACGTTAGGAAATGATAAGGGGAGGAAGAAATGGAAACCTAAACATCTACTGCAATGAAAACCAACAGCAATGACAGTAGGAGTAATTCAGCCTTCGTTGAAAACATGACATCAAACACACTCTGGTTTCCCTGAATCTGTTGCCTCCAGGTGTTAACACAGAATTAAGCATCCACAATTGCTGAAAGTCACCTGGGGCATGGTGGGTTTTGATCTTCTTCCCCTTCTTTTCTTCCCCTTCTTCTTTCCTTCTTTGATCTTCTTCCCCTTCTTTTCTTCCCCTTCCCCTTCTTTTCAATTTCTGCAATAAATTCAGACATGGACAGACACATTAAGCTGATTCCCCTACACACATAACAATCCACTGTCTAATCCTCACACAGGGACCTCAGGCTCCTCAGCATAAGAATAGGACACTGTGAGAGATATATTTCAGGAGGCCTGAAGGCTGGTCATGATAGAAATTCCTCGGTTTTTCTCCCAGAAACTGTGGGTAAAATGTCCCTATTCTAGTAGATCGTTATCCCAATATCATTTGTCCCAAGTTTGTGCAAACAGTTATGCCATATTTTTCCAATCAATTTAAAGCAAATACCCTCAAATGATTTCTAGGAGAAAAACTGCAATATTTAGCCCTGTCTCATCAAATACTCAGATTGTTCATGGTTGTGAGGACTTTAGACACTGAAATTAGAGTGAAAAAGGAAATCTACAAACCCTTGAGTCAAAATCATAGTTCTCTGAATTTGTCACATCTGCCCAGGTCCAATGTCATGAGAATAGGATCAGGGCGCCACAGGTATGGCCTGAGACTAGGAAGAGAGTCTTGCTCACTGACCCATCCCTTGTCTGGGCTTCCAGGTAGAACTAGAGTTTCATTCAACCTACATGTGCCTATAGGTCCTCACTGCGGCAACGACATCTCTCAGCTCAGTAATGGCCACTTGGAGCAGGAATATGATCTTTATATGGAAGACTCAGTGGATGCTTATCACCTTCATAGAAAGGTACTCACCTCCCACGTCAAGAGAAAAGCCAACATGTTTTTCCTCCAATGCATAAAAGGAACTTCCATAGGGCTGGCAGGAGTCAGGCTGTTCAAGACAACTGGAAGGAGTTGAATAACATCTATCCAGTGAGTCCTGCAAGACTTCAGGCTCTACTACCTCCACCAGCTCCCTGCTGAGCCTGGAAAAGGAGGAAAAAGTAAAGAATAAGCCAGGGGAAATCACACACAACAGAGCCCCAACTAGGTTTCATGGGTAGCATAGGGAAGTGGTTAAGAAAGTAAAAGGATAGATCCATTAATGAGGTAACAAATTATTGCCTTCATGTTGGGACAGAACAGGGCCAAATGGAAAAGAATGAAAGAGAAAGACAGATGGACACACACACACACACACACACACGCACACACACACACACACACACACAGAGAGAGAGAGAGAGAACGAGCTCAGTGAATTGTCCAGGTGACACACTGATGAGGGAGTAACAGGACACTCTGAGTTAGTGCCCTCAGGACACACAGCATACAGTGATCATGAAAAGACTGTGCTCAATAATTTTCCATAAAATGTGCTCAAGTTTCCATGCAGTCGCCATGAGAATACAGTTTTTGAAGTCTGGTCCACCTACAGTAGGTTAGTAAATGATAAGGGGAGGAAGAAATGGAAACCTAAATATCTACTGCAATGAAAACCAACAGCAATGTTAGTAGGAATAATTCAGGCTTGCTTGAAAAGATGTAATCGATAATGTCAGCCCGCTCTGTTTTCCCTGAACCAGTAGTCTCCAGATGTCAACACAGAAGTAGCTGTTCACAATTGCTCAGTTACCTGGGGCATGGTGGGTCTTGGTCTTCTTCCTCTTCTTGGTCCTTTTTAATTCCTGCAATACATTCAGACAGGGACAGACAAAATAAGCCAATTCACCTACACCCATAACAGTCCACTGTCTAATCCCCACACAGGGATCTCAGGCTCCTCAGCATGAGAACAGGACAATGTGAGAGATATACTTCAGGAGGCCTGAAAGCTGGTCATGATATTCTTTGGTTTGCATCTCAGAACCAAGGGTGAAATATCCCCATTCTGGTAGATCGTTATCCCAAAATCACTTATCCCAAGTTTGTGCAAACAGTTATGCCTTATTGTTCCCATCAGTTCAAAGAAAATGCCCCAGATGATTTCTAGGAGGAAAACTGCAGTATTCAGCCCTGTCTCATCAAATGCCCAGCTCGTTCATGGATGCAAGAATTTTAGACACTGAAATTAGAATGAAGGAGGAAATCTACAAACCCTTGAGTCCAAATCATAGTTCTGTGAATTTTTTGCATCTGCCTGGGTCCAATGTGCTGAGAGCGGGCTCAGGTTGCCACAGGCATGGCTGGAGACTAGGAATAGAGCCTTGCTCACTGACCCATTTCATGTCTAGGCTTCCAACTGAGACTACAGTTTCATTACAACCTATATGCGCCCACAGGTCCTGCCTGCGGCAATGACATCTCTCGGGTCAGTAAGGGCCACTTGGAACAGGAATATCACCCCTATCTGGAAGACCAGGTGGAGGCTTATCACCTTCATAGTAAGGTACTCACTGTCCACGTCAAGAGCCAAGCCAAGGTACTGTTCCTCCAATGAGTAAACAGCACTGCTGTAGGGCTGGCCTAAGTCAGGCAGTTCAAGATAACCTGAAGGAATCGAATAACATCTATCCAGTGAGTCCTGCAAGACTTCAGGCTCTTTCTCATCCAGCAGCTCCCTGCTGAGCCTGGAAAAGTAGGAAAAAGTAAAGAATAAGCCAGGGGGAATCAGAAACCACACAGCCCCAGCTAGATTTCATGGCTAACATAAGGAACTGTTTAAAAAGAAAAAGGACAGATCCATTAATGAGGTAATGAATTATTGCCTTTATGTTGGGATAGACCAGGGCCAGGTAGAGAAGAATGAAAGAGAAAGACAGGGAGAGGGAGAGAGAGAGAGAGAGAGAGAGAGGAGAAAGTGAGCTCAGCGAGTTGGCCGGGTGACACACTGATGAAGGGGTCAAAGGACACTCTGAGTTAGTGCCCTCGGGACACACAGCGAACAGTGATCATGAAAAGAGTGGGCTCAATAATTTTCCATAAACTTGCTCAAGATTCCATGCAGTTGCCATACAGCCTTTGAGGTATGGTCAACCTATAGTAAGTTAGTAAATGATAAGGGGAGGAAGAAATGGAAACCTAAACATCTACTGCAATGAAAACCAACAGCCATGTCAGTAGGAGTAATTCAACCTTCGTTGAAAACATGAAATTGAACACACTCTTGTTTTCCCTGGACCTGGCATCTCCAGGTGTCAACACAGAATTAAGCATCCATAATTGCTCAAAGTTACCTGGGGCATGATGGGTCTTGGTCTTCTTCCACTTCTTGGTACTTTTCAATTTCTGCAATAAGTTCAGACATGGACAGACATATGAAGCTGGTTCTCCTACACACATAACAATCCACTGTCTAATCCTCACACAGAGACTTCAGGCTCCTCAGCATGAGAATAGGACACTGTGAGAGATATTCTTCAGGAGGCCTGAAGGCTGATCACCATAGAGATTCCTTGGTTTTTGTCCCAGAAACTGTGGGTAAAATTCCCTATTCTGGTAGATCGTTATCCCAATATCATTTGTCCCAAGTTTGTGCAAATGGTTATGCCATATTTTTCCAATCGATTTAAAGCAAATACCCCCAAATGGTTGCTAGGAGAAAAACTGCACTATTCAGCCCTGTCTCATCAAATACTCAGATTGTTCATGGTAGCGAGGATTTTAGACGCTGAAATTAGAGTGAAGGATGAAATCTACAAGATCTACAAAATTGAGACAAAATCAGAGTTGTGTGAATTTGTCACATCTGCCCAGGTCCAATGTCATGAGAGTAGGATTAGGGCGCCACAGGCATGGCCTGAGACTAGGAAGAGAGCCTTGCTCACTGACCCATCCCTTGTCTGGGCTGCCAAGTGGAACTAGAGTTTCATTCAACCTACATGTGCCTATAGGTCCTCCCTGTGGCAATGACATCTCTCAGCTCAGTAAGGGCCACTTGCAGTAGGAATATGACCCTAACCAGAAGACTCAGTGGATCCTTATCACCTTCATAGAAAGGTACTCACCATCCATGTCAACAGCCAAGCCAACACACTGTTGCTCCAATATGTAAAAGGCACTTCTGTAGGGCTGGCATGAGTCAGTCAGTTCAAGACAACCTGAAGGAGTTGAATAACATCTATCCAGTGAGTCCTGCAAGACTTCAGGCCCTTTCTCATCCAGCAGCTCCCTGCTGAGCCTGGAAAAGTGGGAAAAAGTAAAGAATAAGCCAGGGGGAATCAGAAACCGCACAGCCCCAGCTAGATTTCATGGCTAACGTTAAGGAAGAGTTTGAAAAGAAAAAGGACAGATCCATTAATGAGGTAACAAATTACTGCCTTTATGTTGGGATAGAACAGGGCCAGGTAGAAAACAATGAAAGAGAAAGACAGAGAGAGAGAGAGAGAGAGACAGAGACAGAGAGAGAGACAGAGACAGAGACAGAGAGAAAGTGACCTAGTGAATTGGCCAGGTGACATACTGGTAAGGGAGTAAAAGGACACTCTGAGTTAGTGCCCTCATGACACACAGCAAACTGTGATCATGAAAAGAGTGAGCTCAATAGTTTTCCATAAAATATGCTCAAAATTCGATGCAGTGGCCATGAGAGTACAGCTTTTGAAGTATGGTCAACCTATGGTACGTTAGGAAATGATAAGGGGAGGAAGAAATGGAAACCTAAACATCTACTGCAATGAAAACCAACAGCAATGACAGTAGGAGTAATTCAGCCTTCGTTGAAAACATGACATCAAACACGCTCTGGTTTCCCTGAATCTGTTGCCTCCAGGTGTTAACACAGAATTAAGCATCCACAATTGCTGAAAGTCACCTGGGGCATGGTGGGTTTTGATCTTCTTCCCCTTCTTTTCTTCCCCTTCTTCTTTCCTTCTTTGATCTTCTTCCCCTTCTTTTCTTCCCCTTCCCCTTCTTTTCAATTTCTGCAATAAATTCAGACATGGACAGACACATTAAGCTGATTCCCCTACACACATAACAATCCACTGTCTAATCCTCACACAGGGACCTCAGGCTCCTCAGCATAAGAATAGGACACTGTGAGAGATATATTTCAGGAGGCCTGAAGGCTGGTCATGATAGAAATTCCTCGGTTTTTCTCCCAGAAACTGTGGGTAAAATGTCCCTATTCTAGTAGATCGTTATCCCAATATCATTTGTCCCAAGTTTGTGCAAACAGTTATGCCATATTTTTCCAATCAATTTAAAGCAAATACCCTCAAATGATTTCTAGGAGAAAAACTGCAATATTTAGCCCTGTCTCATCAAATACTCAGATTGTTCATGGTTGTGAGGACTTTAGACACTGAAATTAGAGTGAAAAAGGAAATCTACAAACCCTTGAGTCAAAATCATAGTTCTCTGAATTTGTCACATCTGCCCAGGTCCAATGTCATGAGAATAGGATCAGGGCGCCACAGGTATGGCCTGAGACTAGGAAGAGAGTCTTGCTCACTGACCCATCCCTTGTCTGGGCTTCCAGGTAGAACTAGAGTTTCATTCAACCTACATGTGCCTATAGGTCCTCACTGCGGCAACGACATCTCTCAGCTCAGTAATGGCCACTTGGAGCAGGAATATGATCTTTATATGGAAGACTCAGTGGATGCTTATCACCTTCATAGAAAGGTACTCACCTCCCACGTCAAGAGAAAAGCCAACATGTTTTTCCTCCAATGCATAAAAGGAACTTCCATAGGGCTGGCAGGAGTCAGGCTGTTCAAGACAACTGGAAGGAGTTGAATAACATCTATCCAGTGAGTCCTGCAAGACTTCAGGCTCTACTACCTCCACCAGCTCCCTGCTGAGCCTGGAAAAGGAGGAAAAAGTAAAGAATAAGCCAGGGGAAATCACACACAACAGAGCCCCAACTAGGTTTCATGGGTAGCATAGGGAAGTGGTTAAGAAAGTAAAAGGATAGATCCATTAATGAGGTAACAAATTATTGCCTTCATGTTGGGACAGAACAGGGCCAAATGGAAAAGAATGAAAGAGACAGATGGACACACACACACACACACACACACGCACACACACACACACACACACAGAGAGAGAGAGAGAGAACGAGCTCAGTGAATTGTCCAGGTGACACACTGATGAGGGAGTAACAGGACACTCTGAGTTAGTGCCCTCAGGACACACAGCATACAGTGATCATGAAAAGACTGTGCTCAATAATTTTCCATAAAATGTGCTCAAGTTTCCATGCAGTCGCCATGAGAATACAGTTTTTGAAGTCTGGTCCACCTACAGTAGGTTAGTAAATGATAAGGGGAGGAAGAAATGGAAACCTAAATATCTACTGCAATGAAAACCAACAGCAATGTTAGTAGGAATAATTCAGGCTTGCTTGAAAAGATGTAATCGATAATGTCAGCCCGCTCTGTTTTCCCTGAACCAGGAGTCTCCAGATGTCAACACAGAAGTAGCTGTTCACAATTGCTCAGTTACCTGGGGCATGGTGGGTCTTGGTCTTCTTCCTCTTCTTGGTCCTTTTTAATTCCTGCAATACATTCAGACAGGGACAGACAAAATAAGCCAATTCACCTACACCCATAACAGTCCACTGTCTAATCCCCACACAGGGATCTCAGGCTCCTCAGCATGAGAACAGGACAATGTGAGAGATATACTTCAGGAGGCCTGAAAGCTGGTCATGATATTCTTTGGTTTGCATCTCAGAACCAAGGGTGAAATATCCCCATTCTGGTAGATCGTTATCCCAAAATCACTTATCCCAAGTTTGTGCAAACAGTTATGCCTTATTGTTCCCATCAGTTCAAAGAAAATGCCCCAGATGATTTCTAGGAGGAAAACTGCAGTATTCAGCCCTGTCTCATCAAATGCCCAGCTCGTTCATGGATGCAAGAATTTTAGACACTGAAATTAGAATGAAGGAGGAAATCTACAAACCCTTGAGTCCAAATCATAGTTCTGTGAATTTTTTGCATCTGCCTGGGTCCAATGTGCTGAGAGCGGGCTCAGGTTGCCACAGGCATGGCTGGAGACTAGGAATAGAGCCTTGCTCACTGACCCATTTCATGTCTAGGCTTCCAACTGAGACTACAGTTTCATTACAACCTATATGCGCCCATAGGTCCTGCCTGCGGCAATGACATCTCTCGGGTCAGTAAGGGCCACTTGGAACAGGAATATCACCCCTATCTGGAAGACCAGGTGGAGGCTTATCACCTTCATAGTAAGGTACTCACTGTCCACGTCAAGAGCCAAGCCAAGGTACTGTTCCTCCAATGAGTAAACAGCACTGCTGTAGGGCTGGCCTAAGTCAGGCAGTTCAAGATAACCTGAAGGAATCGAATAACATCTATCCAGTGAGTCCTGCAAGACTTCAGGCTCTTTCTCATCCAGCAGCTCCCTGCTGAGCCTGGAAAAGTAGGAAAAAGTAAAGAATAAGCCAGGGGGAATCAGAAACCACACAGCCCCAGCTAGATTTCATGGCTAACATAAGGAACTGTTTAAAAAGAAAAAGGACAGATCCATTAATGAGGTAATGAATTATTGCCTTTATGTTGGGATAGACCAGGGCCAGGTAGAGAAGAATGAAAGAGAAAGACAGGGAGAGGGAGAGAGAGAGAGAGAGAGAGAGGAGAAAGTGAGCTCAGCGAGTTGGCCGGGTGACACACTGATGAAGGGGTCAAAGGACACTCTGAGTTAGTGCCCTCGGGACACACAGCGAACAGTGATCATGAAAAGAGTGGGCTCAATAATTTTCCATAAACTTGCTCAAGATTCCATGCAGTTGCCATACAGCCTTTGAGGTATGGTCAACCTATAGTAAGTTAGTAAATGATAAGGGGAGGAAGAAATGGAAACCTAAACATCTACTGCAATGAAAACCAACAGCCATGTCAGTAGGAGTAATTCAACCTTCGTTGAAAACATGAAATTGAACACACTCTTGTTTTCCCTGGACCTGGCATCTCCAGGTGTCAACACAGAATTAAGCATCCATAATTGCTCAAAGTTACCTGGGGCATGATGGGTCTTGGTCTTCTTCCACTTCTTGGTACTTTTCAATTTCTGCAATAAGTTCAGACATGGACAGACATATGAAGCTGGTTCTCCTACACACATAACAATCCACTGTCTAATCCTCACACAGAGACTTCAGGCTCCTCAGCATGAGAATAGGACACTGTGAGAGATATTCTTCAGGAGGCCTGAAGGCTGATCACCATAGAGATTCCTTGGTTTTTGTCCCAGAAACTGTGGGTAAAATTCCCTATTCTGGTAGATCGTTATCCCAATATCATTTGTCCCAAGTTTGTGCAAATGGTTATGCCATATTTTTCCAATCGATTTAAAGCAAATACCCCCAAATGGTTGCTAGGAGAAAAACTGCACTATTCAGCCCTGTCTCATCAAATACTCAGATTGTTCATGGTAGCGAGGATTTTAGACGCTGAAATTAGAGTGAAGGATGAAATCTACAAGATCTACAAAATTGAGACAAAATCAGAGTTGTGTGAATTTGTCACATCTGCCCAGGTCCAACGTCATGAGAGTAGGATTAGGGCGCCACAGGTATGGCCTGAGACTAGGAAGAGAGCCTTGCTCACTGAACCATCCCTTGTCTGGGCTGCCAAGTGGAACTAGAGTTTCATTCAACCTACATGTGCCTATAGGTCCTCCCTGTGGCAATGACATCTCTCAGCTCAGTAAGGGCCACTTGCAGTAGGAATATGACCCTAACCAGAAGACTCAGTGGATCCTTATCACCTTCATAGAAAGGTACTCACCATCCATGTCAATAGCCAAGCCAACACGCTGTTGCTCCAATACGTAAAAGGCACTTCTGTAGGGCTGGCATGAGTCAGTCAGTTCAAGACAACCTGAAGGAGTTGAATAACATCTATCCAGTGAGTCCTGCAAGACTTCAGGCCCTTTCTCATCCAGCAGCTCCCTGCTGAGCCTGGAAAAGTGGGAAAAAGTAAAGAATAAGCCAGGGGGAATCAGAAACCACACAGCCCCAGCTAGATTTCATGGCTAACATAAGGAAGAGTTTGAAAAGAAAAAGGAGAGATCCATTAGTGAGGTAACAAATTATTGCCTTTATGTTGGGATAGACTAGGGCCAGGTAGAAAAGGATGAACGAGAAAGACACACACACACACACACACACACACACACACACACACACACACACACAGAGCGAGCTCAGTCAATTGGTCAGGTGACACACTGATGAGGGAGTCAAAGGACACTCTGTATTTGTGCTCTCAGGACACACAGTGAACAGTGATCATGAAAAGCATGTCCTCAATAATTTTGCATAAAATGTGCTCAAGTTTCCCTGCAGTTACCATGAGAATACAGCTTTTGAGGTATGGTCAACTTTCACTAGGTTAGTAAATGATAAGGGTAGGAAGAAATGGAAACCTAAACATTTACTCTAATGAGAACAAAAAAGCAATGTATTAGGCATAATTCAGACTTGTCTGACAAGACAAAATCATTATTTTCAGCATGTACTGTTTTCCCTGGACTTGGCATCTCCAGGTGTCAACATCAAATTAACTGTCCACAATTTCTCAGACTCACCTGGGACCTGTTGCCTCTTGGTCCTCCTTTTTCACTTGATCCCAGCGATGTCCTGCAAATAAATTCAGATGGGCCCTCTTACATTAAGTTCTTCCTTGCACACAGAAACATTCCTCTGTCCAATCCTAACACAGGGACATCAGTCTTGTCAGTGTGAGAACAGGAGACTTTGAGAGAAATATTGCAGTAGGCCTGAGGTCAAGTCTTGAGAAAACTGGCTTGGGTTCTTTCATGAGCCTTGGGCAAAATTCCCCTGTGTTGGAATGTTATCTTCCCTATGTGCTCTGTCCTAGGTTTATGTACACAAATGAGCAATTTTTCCCCAATAAATTGTAGGCAAATAGTTCTAACACCTCATAGGAGAGATACTTCAATATTAAGCTTTCTCTCATCAAATACCCAGAATTTGATAGTTTATGAGATTGTGGACACAGAGATTTGATGAAGGGGTGCAATGTACCAGCTCTTGAGTCAAAATGAAACTTGGTTCTACACAGAAGCATCAGCTATTATGGCTTTTGTGGGTGAAAAGTCAGCCATTTATCTAGAAAACATACCAGGAACATGACGGACAGATGAGCTAAAACAAGCGAACTTAGAAGACACAGAAAATGGGAATAAACTCAGTGAAACCTGGGTCACATCTTTCACTGAGAGGTAGACAAGGGTGACACTGGCCTTGGGCAGGTAAAGAACCACACAGACATGCTTTGGGAACAAAACTCATAAGGAATTTTGTAGCTGGCAAAAGACATTTAATTCAGATGAGCTGATCTGACAGACAACTCCTGGGCATGTGCTACATAGTTTGGTGTGAGTTTGCCACACCTGCCTTGAGTTCAATGTCGTGACAGTCAGTCCAGGTTGGCACAGGCATGGCCTGAGACTAGGAAGAGAGTAAAGCTCACTGACCCACCCCATGCCTGTGCTTCAGACTTGACTCCAGAGTGACTGAAATCTACATTGATATATAGGTTCAGCCCACGGTGATGGCAAATCTCAGCCCAACAAGGGGCACAAGGCCCAAAGATTATGGGGTCTACCTGGGCCATGAACTGGAGCTTTATCACCTTCACAATGGAGTACTCACTGCCTATGTCAACAGCCATGCAGACTTGCTGTTCCTCTAATGAGTGAAATGTGCTGCTGTAAGACTGGTACGAGGCCAACATTTCAGGAGGAATTGAGAGAGTCGAATAACCTTCATCCCAGGACTCCTGGGGGACTTCCTCCTCTTCAGACTCCTGCAGATTCCTGATGAGCCAGGCAGGACAGGGATGATAGAAGATTTAACCAACAGACATTAGACAACAAAACCTCCCAGATGATCTGATGGGAGACAGAATGGAGTGGTCACAGAAACCAAAGGCATTTTTCCTTCAAGAGAAATAAAACTATCCTTCTAAATACAGGGTGGAGGGTGACTGCTCTGGGGACAGAGCAAAAATGGGCAGCATGTGCTCAGTACATTTGCCACAGATGAGCCAACTCAGGGCACCCGGACTCTCCCTGTAAACTACCATCATGACTTGCAGCACAGAGAACTGACACAGGGCTTCAACTACTTTGCATAAATTGGGTTGAATTTTACATGCAGCATTCAAGTGAAGAGAGTTCTTGACGCAGTGCAGACACAGATCTTGTGTATTAAGGGCCCCATTTTCCCAATATTTTGATATAATATATTTACTTTTTCAATTTCTTTTCTTGCAAAAATACTAGCCAACATACTACCAACAAATAGGAAGAAAGCATATATACACCTCTCCCTGGATTTAAACACATGGGAGAGAATAGGCAACACCAAGAAATCCCTGTTTGAGGGTCTGGAGTGGACTTCCAGCAAACTCCAACAGACCTGAAGCTGAGGGACCTGACTGTTAGAAGGAAAACTAACACACAGAAAGGAATAGCATCAACATCAACAAAAAAGACATCCACCCCAAAACCCCATCTGTAGGTCGCCATCATCAAAGACCAAGGGTAGATAAAACCACAAAGGTGGGGAGAAACCAGAGCACAAAAGCTGAAAATTCCAAAAACCTGACATCCCTTCTCCTCCAAAGGATCGCAGCTCCTCGCCAGCAATGGAACAAAGCAGGATGGAGAATGACTTTGATGAGATGACAGAAGTAGGCTTCAGAAAGTCGGTAATAACAAACTTCTCTGAGCTAAAGGAGGATGTGCGAACTCATCGCAAGGAAGCTAAAAACCTTGAAAAAAGATTAGACGAATGGCTAACCAGAATGAACAGTGTAGAGAAGACCTTAAATGAGCTGATGGAGCTGAAAACCATGGCACGAGAACTACGTGATGCATGCACAAGCTTCAGTAGCCAATTCGATCAAGTGCAAGAAACGGTATCAGTGATTCAAGATCAAATTAGTGAAATGAAGCGAGAAGAGAAGTTTAGAGAAAAAAGAGTAAAAAGAAATGAACAAGCCTCCAATAAATATGGGACTATGTGGAAAGACCAAATCTACGTTTGATTGGTGTACTGAAAGTGACGGGGAGAATGGAACCAAGCTGGGAAACATTCTTCAGGATATTATCCAGGAGGACTTCCCCAACCTAGCAAGGAAGGCCAACATTCAAATTCAGGAAACACAGAGAACACCATAAAGATACTCCTCGAGAAGAGCAACCCCAAAACACGTAATTGTCAGATTCACCAAGGTTGAAATGAAGGAAAAAATGCTAAGGGCAGCCAGAGAGAAAGGTTGGATTACCCACAAAGGGAAACCCATCAGACTAGCAGCAGATCTCTTGGCACAAACCCTACAAGCCAGAAGAGAGTGGGAGCAATATTCAACATTCTTTTTTTTTTCCATATGTATAGTTTTCCTTTATTATTTTTTGTGTGTATGTATATATATATATATTTTTTTTAATACTTTAAGTCTTAGGGTACATGTGCACAACGTGCAGGTTAGTTACATATGTATACATGTCCACATTGGCGTGCTTCACCCATTAACTCATCATTTAGCATTAGGTATATCTCCTAATGCTACCCCTCCTCCCTCCCCCCACCCTACAACAGGCCCCAGTGTGTGATGTTCCCCTTTCTGTGTCCATGTGTTCTCATTGTTCAATTCCCACCTGTGAGTAAGAACATGCGGTATTTGGTTTTTTGTCCTTGCAATAGTTTGCTGAGAATGATGGTTTCCAGCTTCATCCATGCCCCTACAAAGGACATGAACTCATCATTTTTTATAGCTGCATAGTATTCCATGGTGTATATGTGCCACATTTTCTTAATCCAGTCTATCATTGCTGGATATTTGGCTTGGTTCCAAGTCTTTGCTATTGTGAATAGTGCCGCAATAAACATATGTGTGCATGTGTCTTTACAGCAGCATGATTTATAATCCTTTGGGTATACACCCAGTAATGGGATGGCTGGGTCAAATGGTATTTCTAGTTCTAGATCCCTGAGGAATTGCCACACTGCCTTCCACAATCGTTGAACTAGTTTACAGTCCCACCAACAGTGTAAAAGTGTTCCTATTTCTCCACATCCTCTCCAGCACCTTCAACATTCTTAAAGAAAAGAATTTTCAACCAAGAATTTCATATCCAGCCAAACAAAGCTTCATAAGTGAAGGAGAAATAAATCCTTTACAGAGAAGCAAATGCTGAGAGATTTTGTCACCACCAGGCCTGCCTTACAAGAGCTCCTAAAGGAAGCACTAAACATGGAAAGGAACAACCGGTACCAGCCACTGCAAAAACATGCCAAACTGTAAAGACCATTGACGCTAGGAAGAAACTGCATCAACTAACGGAAGAAATAACCAGCTAACATCATAACGACAGGATCAAATTCACACATAACAATATTAACCTTAAATGTAAATGGGCTAAATGCCCCAGTTAAAAAACACAGAATGGCAAATTGGATAAAGAGTCAAGACCCATCAGTGTGCTGTACTCAGGAAACCCATCTCACATGCAGAGACACACATAGGCTCAAAATAAAGGGATGGAGGAAGATCTACCAAGCAAATGGAAAACAAAAAAAGGCAGGTGTTGCAATCCTAGTCTCTGATAAAACAGACTTTAAACCAACAAAGATCAAAAGAGACAAAGAAGGCCACTACATAATGGTAAAGGGATCAATTCAACAAGAAGAGTTAACTATCCTAAATATATATGCACCCTATACAGGAGCACCCAGATTCATAAAGCAAGTCCTGAGAGACCTACAAAGAGATTTAGACTCCACACAATCATCATGGGAGACTTTAACACCCCACTGTCAATATTAGACAGATCAATGAGACAGAAGCTTAACAAGGATATCCAGGACTTGAACTCAGCTCTCCACCAAGCCGACCTAAAAGACATCTACAGAACTCTCCACCCCAAATCAACAGAATATACATTCTTCTCAGCACCACATCACACTTATTCCAAAATTGACCACATAGTTGGAGGTAAAGCACTCGTCAGCAAATGTAAAAGAATGGAAATCACAACAAACTGTCAGACCACAGTGCAATCAAATTAGAACTCAGGATTAAGAAACTCACTCAAAACCACACAACTACATGGAAACTGAACAACCTGCTCCTGAATGACTACTGGGAAAATAACAAAATGAAGGCAGAAATAAAGATGTTCTTTGAAACCAATGAGAACAAAGACACAACATACCAGAATCTCTGGGACACATTTAAAGCAATGTGTAGAGGGAAAATTATAGCACTAAATGCCCACAAGAGAAAGCAGAAAAGATCTAAAATGGACACCCTAACATCACAATTAAAATAACTAGAGAAGCAAAGCAAACAAATTCAAAAGCTAGCAGAAGACAAGAAGTAACTAAGATCAGAGCAGAACTCAAGGAGATAGAGACACAAAAAACCCTTCAAAAAATCAATGAATCCAGGGCTGGTTTTTTGAAAAGATCAACAAGAAAACCCTGTTTGGCTAGTTCACCTGGCTCATCTGATGGCAAGTTCCTATCTTGAGAGGACTATGAAATTAAAACCAATACAAGTGCCACAAATAACATACAACATTGTAAATCAGCACAATTTGTAGCTGGGTGAATGGAAGAAATAGTTCTATTCATCACTTCCTCATTTTCCCTAAATCTACAATCTCCAGATGTCACTACTGAATTAACAGCCAACAATTCCACAACATTACCTGGGAGACACTGGCCCTTTTTCTTCCTCTTCCTCATCATCACTTTCATTTTCTGTAAATAAATTCAGAGAAGCAGGTCACATTAAGCAATTCATACTTCACATATGAACAAATCACTGTCCAGTCATAGCACAAGGACATAACTATTCTCAGTGCAAGAATAAGGATTCTGACAGGAATATTCTAGGGTGTCCTAGATTAACTTTGGTGAGAATTAGATGACCCTGCTTTCCAGACCCACAGGCCAAAATCTCCCTCTACGTGTAGACCATAATGCCATATTCCCTGCCTGAGTCAAAGTTAAACAAAATTTTTTCCCCAAAAAAATCTCCAAAAATTGGTCAAACAATTTTCTAAGAGTGTTGCTGCGATACGGACTTATATCACCAGGTAACATGGACATTAAATGTTTAGAGGCATCTATACATGAAACACGACTGATAGATAAATTTTAACAACTCTTGCTTTAAAAAGAATCTGTGATTTGGGAGGCCAAGACAGGTGAATCATTTGAGGTCATGAGTTCAGGACTACCCTGGCCAATATGGGGAAACCCTGTCTCTACTAAAAATACAAAAATTAGCCAGATGTGATGTTGTGCACCTGTGGTCCCAGCAACTCAGGAGGCTGAGGCAGGAGAATCACTTGAATCTGGGAGGCAGAGGTTGCACCAAGCCAAGATGGTGCCACTGCACTCCAGCCTGGGTGACAGAGCAAGACTCCATTGCAAAAAAAAAAAAAAAAAAAAAAAAATCCACGATGCTACAAAGAAACATTGGATCAGCCATTGCATTGACAGGGTGGAGAACCAGGGTCCAGCCTTGCTTTATGGAAATATATCAGCAAAGTAAAGAAGAAAAGTTTCCGTCCTGATTTCAGGGTGACTGTGCAGCTAAGCAAGCTGACTTAAAGGAGATCCAGATGAAAGCTGAGAGCAGTGAAGCCTGGGGAACAATATTTCCAAATACAAAGGCAAGGCTGCCAGCTTCCTTAAACAGGCATAGAAACTCCATGGACATTGTTCAGGGACAGATGACTTAATCACAGATGACAAGAGATACTGAATCGAAGATAGGAGGCCTGACAGATACTGCCTGTGCACCTCCTGCACTCAGGTGACTATGAGATTGTCACACTTGCCTGGGGTTGAGTAACTTGATACTGGGGACTGGCAGACAAAGTCATGACATTAGCTGAGAAGGACAAAAAAACTCCCTGATATCTGTTTAGAAACCCATCACAGTTTTTTATTCAAATGAATTTGTGTTTATAGAGCCTGTCTTCAGAGTTTATCTTTCTCAGCCTAGAGAGAGGTATGAGACACAAGGAAAACAGAGGCTACCTGGAATAATGTGTACAGCATCCTCCCATTCAACATGAGAGGATGAGCCAATGAGAGTTGAGTCGACTTTGTCTTCCTCAAATGTGATTTTGGTTTTCCTATGTGGCTGGTTGGAGTCATAAGGGCCATGGCTATTTGAATAAGTGATGGCACATTCCTCCAGTGAGTCCTCAGGGACTTCCTTTTCTTCAGCCTTCTGCATCTCCCTGATGAGCCAGGTGGGACAGAGATGACAGAAGATTAAACACAGAGGGATTGGACCCCAGGGAGTCCTAGCTGGTTTTGACAGGCGGCATTAAGAGAGTGGTCCCAGAAAGCAAAATGGAGGTTCCCATTAAGAGGGAACATGCAATCCTGTTCTCTCTGCAACAGAGCATGGCTGCCATGGGAACCAGAGAGGAAGAGAGCAGCTGCTGTTCATTGCACTGGACAGATAGGAGCTGAGGAGGATGAAGACTCAGCTATCCCTGTAAGGTGCAGACATGACACTCAGCACACATAGAGAAACATGACAGCTACCGCACCCTGTGTCTAAGCTGGATTATATTTCACATACTGTGGCCAAGCGAATGCGGGTTTTTGGCCCATCATAGATGCCAGAGAGGGTGTGCCTCCTAGATATTCCTCATATGTTACCATCCATTAATTGTTCCTGAGTATTCAGTGTTACCTGGGGGCAGACGATTTCTGCACTTTCTCAGCCACCTCAACTTGAACATCTTCATCGTCATCGTTGTCATTTTCTGTAAATACAGAAGTGTTCGTTCAGATATTTCCCACTTCACAGTCTGCAAGCACAGTCAGCCCAATGTGCAACAGAGACATGAACATCTAGGCATGGGTCACCGTTCAACTGAAAACTCTCATGTTTTATCTTTAACAGAATGCCCTGCCATGGTTTCCTGATCCATCAGGCAATGCATTTCTGATCTGGAGGGCCACCATCAAGATGTGGCCAAATATTGAAAAGACCTTTTGCTTCCCATATCACTGGAGGCTTGTGCAGCCTCTCTCTGGACGTTGGCAGCTGTCTCCCCCATCCTGCCAGATCTGATTCCCAGGCACAGGCTTGGTGTCCTGTCACGGTTTGCATTTCAAACCTCATTCTTTCTCTTAGGAGAGGACAAACTTGTCCCACAGTCCTCTATGCGTCATGAGACTGCACAGGCCCTCCATGTGGCTTCTGCTGTGTTATTCAGGGACATTCTATCCATGGGGAGTGCTCCAGTCTGAAGCACTTCCTACCACCAAATGCCCCCACATCAAGTGCCTTCTCCAACACCACATGGAGAGGGGCTTCATCTCATTTTGAAAAGCATTCGTAAGTGTTCCCATATTTGGATGCTTCAGACCCTTGCAAGAGACAATTTGTCTGCCTTTGCAGATGGAGAGAGAGAAACTCTGAAAAGATAAATCACTCACTGACACTTACTAAGAACACTGCCAAAAATACAGCCTGGGAACCTTCATTCTTAGCCCAGAGCTCTTTTCACTCCAACAAGCGCCCTTCCATCACAGCCTCCTTCCTGTCCTTTAAAACTAGATAGATGCTGCCTCTTGCTCCAAAGACCACCTTCCATCAAGGAAGGAGGGACACTTGCAATACTGTGACCTCCAAACCCATGGGTTTCCCATCTCTGTTCTTACCCAGGAAGTCCTGATCATGTCATGGCCACATAGGTGTAGTAGAAAAAAACCCCACTGATATAACTGTCATTGTGAAAGTATGGAGGTCTGGAGCCTCTCATAAGCCTGGGGTTTTGGGTCATCAGGGCCTATGGCCACCTTACCTGGGCTGAGCTTTTGGACAAGGTGCTGTGCCAGTCTACACCCCTCAGCCAGCTGTTCTTGGAGGTCCTGCCCCTGGGACTTGTCCGGCTCATCCGGAGTGAGGAGGGCCTGGAGATGCTCATTCAATGAGCGGGAGGCATCTCTCCCTTCCCGTAACTTCTCCCTTAACTGGGTCAGCTCTCGTTCCTGAGAGTGAAACAGGACTTTATATTGCCTAAGGTGAGACGGTAGAGAAAATTTAAGAGTAGAAAGGGTTGAGTGATCCGTTCAAATATTGCAACAGAGACTTCTGAGACAATGTCCTCAAGGAGACCTCCAAGCAGAAGGTCAGCACATGTTGAAAGGAATGACTGTGGCCAAGAGGAAGAATAGAAAATGGTCTACAGGCTTTCCCTCTATCAGAGAGGGCTCCTGCAAGATCCTCGATGATGTTCCATTCATCTTTCTCTTCTGTAAACAAAAGTAGGTGTCTTCCTAATTCCGTTTCAAAAAGACATCCTTTCAGTTCCTCACTCTGGCCATGGACATTTCCATGTGAAAATACACATAGTGCATCTTGCGGCCACTAAATACAAAGCCATGTACAGAAATGAGGCCAGGTGCAGATGGGGCGAATTGAAAAGATGAAAGAAGAAAAGAAGGACAGGGTCAAGAAGGCAACATTGATTGAGTGAAAGAATGAGAAGACGCAGTCAGTCAGGAGGTGATTCTCACTAAGGGTAAGTGGGGTGGTGATAGCACACCATTTTGATTATACTGAATGCTGCTGGGTGGTTCCCACTCCTTTGGTGAATTTTGTGTTATGTAAATTTCACCTCAACAATTACTTGTTTGAAAAAGAGAAAACAAGGCTCTAAGAAACAACTGCAACACAGAACTTATTATTATCCTTGTTCACTGATAAATATTTGTGTGTCATGAGCCTGTCATGGCAATTTCTGCCCTTCCCCTGGCCCAGCTTCGTTCTTATTTCTCCCCGCCGAGCTGCTGTACTTCAGAGATCTACACACCTACCCGCCTGCCCTCCCCCCACGGGGTCCCCTCACCTGAGCTCCTCAGCTTGCTTCAGCTGCTCTGCAAGCTTCTCCTCCTTGAACTGTCGCTCATTCCTCAGCATAAATTTTATGAGGTCTTTACACTCTTCATACTCTGAGAAAAGACAGACACGCCTGCCTCAGTGGAAGGCTGGACATGCTGCTGTGGTCACTGCCTACAGGGCAGGAGCCAGGTCCATCCCAAGGACAAAACTCTCCCCAGTACCAGGGTCTAGACAGGGATTTCCACATCTTTATTCTTCAGTCTCCTGACTTTCTGGCATCTGATCCTCCAAAATTTAAAGACGAAGAAAGAGAAACTCAAGGGCGCATCAAGGAAGTTGACAAGATGATTCAACCACAACGAAGTGGAGTCAGAACTCACAGCCCCTGAGGTCTGACTCTGAATGCGGGGCCACTTTCCCAAGTCTTGCAGCCTCTCCTCTAAAACACTGCACTGGGGCATGAAGTAGTGATTTCTTGTACAGTCGGGAAGGCCCCTAGGACTATGGGACTGATGGTTTCCCTTTTACTGGGTATTTCAAGGACAAATATGTCAAGGACTTTAAAAATATTTCATTTTTAAATCAATATTCAGATATGGTTTTAAGAATCATATCTGAAGCATAAAGTGTGAGATATAAGACAATAAGGCCATGAAGGAAATATGCCCAAATACTTTATTAGTATGAGAGGCAGCATTAAGATTTAGATTAGTTGTGTTAATTTAGAAACAGCATTAGTTTGTGTTAATTTAGAAACATCAGAATGAAGAACTAATAGATAGTGTTTCCACTGTGCCAATTAATGTTCAAGGAGATTGACAGGAAATACCTCATGTAATTCATTGCAGCAATTTACAGAGGTAGGTATTATTGTAGTACCCTCTGAACAGATGAGGAAACTGAGGGACAGACAAGACAAGCAACTTGGATGGAGCCCAGGAGACAGGCTGAGGGTCCCTGCTTTGCACACTGCACTGCTGCTTCCACACATTCTCCGGTGTGATCTTTCCTCTTTAGGAACAAGAGCCTGTGCACCAGGAAGCAGGACTTCACTCTCACCAAGGTACTCTCTGCTTTTTATTTTTATTTTTGATTTATTTATCTTTTTGTTTGTTTGTTTTTTGACGAGTCTTGCCCCGTCACCCATGCTGGAGTGCAATAGTGCAATCTTGGCTCACTGCAACATCTGCCTGCTGGGTTCAAAGGATTCTTCTGCCTCAGCCTCCCGATTAGTGGTGATTACAGTTGCCCGCCACGATGCCCATCTACTTTTTGTATTTTTAGTGGAGATGGGGTTTCTCCATGTTGCCCAGGCTAGTCTCAAACTGCTGACCTCGTGCTCTGCCCGCCTCAGCCTCCCAAAGTGCTGAGATTATAGGAGTGAGCCACGTTGCACGGCCCCTACTCCCTGCTCTTGATGCTGTCACTTATAGATAGCACAGGTTCTATTAGGAGCAGACTCCCCTTGAAGCCCCTCAGAGCAGGTACTGGCTACTATCACCAAGTTCCCCTCAGAGTCACTAGAACAGAGCTTTGCCTGTTGGGCCTCAACAGAAACTTGAACTGAATAAAAGTTCACTAGTCCTAGACATTTAGAACAACAGACTAGATGTTATTTGTCTGCAGGATCTTATATGGTACAGAGAGGATTCTTAAAAACATGATTGAGCCCCTTGGAGAAAACAGGTCATTCTGTGCCTGTGTTAGAAATCAATAACTGTGAGTTTAACTCTAGTTCCACCCCCATCTGATTGCAAACATGGAAAGTTGCTAAATACTTTGGCACCTCTGTCTTCCAACTTTAACAAAATGTTAAAATACCCATTTCTGTTTTCCTAGAAGTACAGGAAGGATGAAATTATTTTTGATGGAGAGAGCATTTAGTGTCTCAGAGAGAAGACAGGATATCATTCATCACTTTCATGATGGTGAGCCTATAGATCTTACTGTATTTCTTCTGTCGGTTGGCCAGGAAGCCGGCCAGTTGAGTTAGAAAACATTTCTCTTTGAGGTTTCTGAACTGCTGTTTCTTCTCTGCCAGCTGGGGGCGCAATGTCTCGTTGATTTCTAGAATGTTCATCTCTGCCTTCTCACTGGACCAAGGGCCGGCTGATACCACCATGCTGACGTTTGTGGCAGAAGAGGTGGAGTCAGGGACTGGGGAGAAGAAACCCAAACATATGATGGGTTAAAAACTGGTGAAATCAAATCGGTTTAATCAGGACTGAGGGATGTCAGTAACTGAAATTCTTAACTTACTGTTGTGAAAAATGTGATCACTCCCCACAGCACTTTAGGATCCTTCACCACAAAAACAAGGTTCGAGGTGCCTCAACTCAGAGCTGAAAGCACTGCCAGTAGCTCAGACTCTGATAAGAGTGAGGCAGAATGTGGCCAGCGTGCCAGGTAACCGTCTGCAGTTGCAATAACAGAATTAGAAGGTGGGGGTGTCATGGAATCTTAGGAGCTCTGCATTCCAATTGCCCAGGCTTTGCTGAAACACAGGCACCCTACTTTCACCTGAGGGTCACCACCAATGGGGATCATTCCTTCAGCATTCACTCTCAGTATTCGTGTACCCTTGTGACAATGCCACAGACCCATGTCTTTCCCAATACATCTAAGCATATTCCTCACTGTTTATCTCTTGTCTGTACAACATCATCAAGGCAGAAACAGTTTCCCAACAGGTTATATTTTCTTAATGGTAGTCATGAAGTCACCCCACCTGCTCTCAGTTAAAACAGAGCTTAAGGCTTTTCCACAGGTGTAAGATATCAAACTTTTAGCCTGCCCTGATATCCTCTGGGTCTTCTGCAGTTTTTTCTGTATCCACTAGAAAGTGAATGAATAATTCATTTTTTTAAAATATTTTCTTTCCTGTCTCAGTATTCTTGCTGCTGCAT
Organism: Homo sapiens; assembly: GCF_000001405.40. Lineage (NCBI taxonomy): Eukaryota > Metazoa > Chordata > Mammalia > Primates > Hominidae > Homo > Homo sapiens. The sequence continues at coordinate 149,475,148 of NC_000001.11, read as the reverse complement.
CCCATTGTTAGATTGATTTCCTCTTTCTTACTGGGGCACCTTCTTGGGTTTTCATTACATTCTAGACCAGTTTGACATCCCTACGTCCAAAGCTCTTCCTCTATGTGGGTTGATTTGTTTTTTAATGTCACTGAGCACTACATTTTATACTTGTCACTTATAGATGTCATTCTAGTGCCACAAGACCTCTTTTCAAGGTATCAAGTGATCAAAGTCATTTATATAGAGGTCTCCTGAAAACATGTGTGACCATCTATCTTGGGAAGTTTTGTAAACCTGATGCTATTTTGTTGTTTCCATTTTGTTTTCCCATATACTGAAAAGAACAGGGCCACGAGCAGTTCTTATGGAATATGGTTTGATATATATTTTGTTGAGATGACCTAACACCATTGATTTTGGGTTGCATTCCACTAACAGAACATGGCAAGATCAAGGTTATGGTCAGGGTTGGTTGGCGATCCTCAGTGTTGCTGTGCAGTAGAAGGTGAGTTTGAGGTGAGAGGAACAAGTAGGAAAGAGTGATCCCCTGAACCACCTCTTCGCTTTCTCAGCTTTCATCCCCACCTAGGTTTTGTGAGCCTGGAACTTGAGAGACTGTTCTGTAGCCCAGGTCTCCTAAGATTGGCTGCTGGACTTGCCTGAGTTGAGGGTGCAGTGGGTTGACCCTGGGCTGCCCAGCATTCATGTGGAAGTGAAGGAAGGAGGACTGGTTAATCCCATTTGAAAGCATCCCTCTCTGCAGCCCGCACCATCTTCCAGTGACACTGTAAGGATACTGCTTTGAGATGTATCAAAGGCTTTAAGTCAATGTATTTTCTAGGGTCTGGGAGACCTGACATTCTGTGTCAGAATGAAAATCTGTCAAGTTTCTAAATGAAAAAACTGCAGGTTCACAAAGTGTCATGGGTTACTTGAGGTCACAAAGGGATGAGTTTTCAGCACTGCCAATAAAAGCAATCACAATAATTATTCAGTAATTATTCATAGGATCCATACAATCCAGTAAATATTCACATATTTAGTAATTATTCATTGACCAATTCGTACAAGGCATTTTGCTCAAAACTGTGTTTATATTTGGACATTGTATCTTCATCATAATCCTTAAGGTAATGCTATTATCTATAAGTAACAGATAAGAAACCTGAAGATGAGGGACAGCTAATCACGTATTTGGCCATATTTCCATTTTTTGGTTTTTGTGATGCTGGAAGAATGACCAGAATGGGTCACGGGAAGAGTATTCATTCCTGTATTATTTTCCAGGACAGAGGTGTGCCCTTCTAGAGTACTGGGACCAAAATTCAGAAGTGTCTGAAACCTTGCTTTAACAGTATGGGAAATAACCTCTATCACCTGGAATTTCCCTGGAACTTTGGAATATACAAGAGAAGTATGAGACGTGGGTCTTCCCTTGGCTGTGTTTAATTCACTCTTCTATGGAATACCAATGATTCTCACTAAGACTTTTGCCTTTTTATAACCACAATGTATGTCTTATGGAGAAGATTGTACACTTTGCTCTATTTAGAAAGAATAAATATGAGCAATAGTTTTAGGTTTTATGCCCTGGACTTCATATTTTTCTGATTTCTGTTTTGAGATTAAATTCTCATGTAAATAGAAAAATACTTATTATTTCTCATCAGGCCAAGTTTGTTATCAGCTTGAGTTTTTGAAGATGAAGCACAAACTTTTGATTTTATCTTTGTCCTCATCAGCGCCACTCATTGTCTCTCAGTATGACCTGGACTTGCCCCTGCATTTACCCTCATCCTGCTGAGCCATCTCCATGCACTGCCCAATTCCATCAGTGATTCGGGGTCCTCCCAAGGCTCCCTGAAATGTGCACAGGGATCAGGACGTCAGACACATTCCAGACACAAAGGCAACCCACACTGTAGAGTGAGCAGCTGTGTTCCCACTTCCCTAATGTTCCAGTGATGTCCTCAAACTGAAGGGAACACTTTCCCTTTTTAAGGGTCTGTTCTTCATGTCTCAATGCCTCTGATCTAGTGAACACAACTGTCCTGAAACTGAAAGAACCTGCTAAATTTCGAGTTTCTGGTTAGGTGGCTAGAATAGGTTTATAAGACTTCCTTACTTACCTATGACTGCTGAAGTTTGAATTCTTAGCAGTATGATTCCTTTTCTTGTAAGCTGAGCAGCTTAGGAAAGATTGGCCATGTTGCTGTGCAAAAAGAGGTAAACTTAATTTATACTCAAAGCATGCTTGAATTTGGAACTAGGGCTTCCACTCTTCCAAAGCTGGACTGTCACTACCTCAGGCATGTGTCCCAAAGGGCTCATGTCTCTGTTGTACTCAAAGTTCAAATGGAGCCCAGCAAGCCAGATCTCCTTTACTTCTAGGTTCCCTCAACAGTTTCTCCTCTGCTTTAGAGACTGCCTTGAAAATATTCTTGTCCTGCTGTTGTGTTTTGGCTTTGGAATGATGTGATGCAGCTCAATGGGTCCTACCCCCAAGTTGATCAGAGTAAGAAACAGCTGGGAAAGTCAGTGCAAATTCAAGTTCATCGTCCTCCTTACAGGGATTCTGATTCAGAGGGCTCAGGTGGGGCCTGGAATGTGTTTGTTAACATGACTCAGATGTGCAGTCAGTTTGGGGACCCGCTGATACCATCGACCTTATAGTTTATGGGATGATTCTGTTTTGCTGATAAAGAAACTGAGGCATAGACAGTCTGTAACTTGCCCAAGTTCCCCTTGCTGTAAGTCCTGGAGCCAGATCTCAGGTGGAGCAGCCTCTTCCCCATCCCCTTCCCACATTTTCCAATTCAGCTGGGTCAATTCTTTCCAAGTACGTGTTTCTCTCCCCTATACCTCATTTCTGAAAAAAGGAGAACTGGAATTTAACTTCTTTCATCTAATACATTTCCTCACAACATGCTGCCAGCATCATATTCTGGCCTCTTACTATTAAAGTGAGATGCCTTTTTTTTTTTTTTTTTTTTTTTTTGAGACAGGGTCTTGTTCTGTCACCCAGGCTGGAGTGCAGTGGTGATTATAGATCACTGCAACCTTGAACTCCTAGGCTCAAGTGATCCTCTTGCCTCAGCTTTCCAAGTAGTTGGAACTCTAGGCACACATCACCATTTCTGGCTAATTTTTTATTTTTCATGGAGACAAGGTCTTGCTATGTTGCTCAGGCTGGTTTTGAACTTCTGGCCTCAAGCGATCCTCCCACCTAGGCCTCCAAAAGTGCTGGGATTACAGGAGTAAACCACTGAGCCTGGCCCTGAAATGCTTTTTTTTTTTTTTTTTTTTTTTTAATGAAAATACAAGGCATGGAGATGTGGAAAGACACCTTGCTTTATTACTGTTATTATTAGTTCCATAGTATAATTCATATATCACAAAAATCACCATTTTTAAGCATATATTTCAGTGTCTTTTACCATATTCCAAAAGTTCTGCAACCATCACCACTACCTAATTCCAGAATATTTTCATAATGCCAAAAAGCATGCCTGTACCTATGGGCAGTCACTCTCCAATTCCCCACTTCTTGCAGTCTCTGACAACCACTAATCTACTTTCTCTATATATAGATGTACTTGTTCTGGGCACTTAATTCAACAAATGGTCCTGGGACAACTAAATATCCACATGTAAAAGAATCAAGTTAGACTCCCTCCTTGCACATAAAAATTAACTCAAAATGGATCAGAGACCTAAAGGTAGGTGGTAAAATTATAAATCACTTAGAAGTAGTAAATCTTTGTAATGTGGGATAAGCAAAGTTTTCACAAATATGACTGAAAGCACAAGCAACAAAAGAAAAAATAAATTGTATTCCATCAAGTTAAAAACATTTGGGCTGAAAAGTATATCATCAAGAATGTGAAAAGACAGTACATAGAATGACAGAAAATATCTGCAAGTCATATTATCTGATAAGAGACTTGTATTTAGGATATATTTTTTTAAAACTATTACAGTTCAATATTAAAAAGATAAACCAATTATAAAGTAGGTAAAGGATCTGAACAGACATTCTCCAAAGAAGATACATAATGACTAATAAGTATATGAAAAGATGTTGAAAATCATCAACCATCAGGGAAATGTAAATCAAAACCACAATGAGATAAACACTTCACATTACAGATGAATATAATAAAAAAGACAGACAATAACAACTGTTGATGAGGATGTGGATAAACTGGAATTCTCATACACTGCTGGTTGGAATGTAAAATAATGTACCCACTTCAGAACAGTCTGACAGTTCCTGAAAAGGTTAAACAGCATTACCATCTGACGCAGCAATTCTGCTCCTAGGTATATATCCAAGAAATATGAAGATAAATGTCTACCAAAAAATTATACAAGAATGTTCATAACAGAATTATTGATAATACTCAAAAAGTAGAAGCAACTCAAATGTCAATCAACTGATGATGGATAAATAAAATGATAAAATGTGGTAAATCCATATGATAAAATATTATTCAGCCATAAAAAGGCACAGAGTACTGATAAATGCTACCACATCAATGAACTTTGAAAACCTCATGCTAAGTGAAAGAAGCTGTCATAAATTACTACATGCTGCATGTTTCCATTTGTATGAAATGTCCAGAAGAGGCAAATAAAGACAGAAAGTAGACTAGTAGTTGCCTAGGGCTGGGAGGGAGTTAGGAGGAATGGAGAGTAATTGATAATGGGTAAAGGGTTTCTTCTGATGTATAAAAATATTCTAGAATTGACTGTGGTGATGGTTACTCCTATCTATTAAAATTACTGAATTGTGTACTTTTTTAAGAAGTAAATTGTATGGTATATAAATTATATCTCAAAGCTATTGTATTAAGGGAAAAAGCACTAAACACAGTGCCTTACACATATTAGCTAATATTATTATTTGTCAGTGGTATTATAGCATTTGTTAGAGATTGTCTGCTCTAATCCTTTTATGTTACAGATGAGGAAGTTGAGAGCCACATGGCTGACTTGACCAAGATTAAACGGCTAGTAAGTAGGAATAAGTACTGAAACAGAAACTTTACCCAATTGCAGTCCATATGTTTTCTGGGATCCCGGAGTTCCCTTTCAACAATGTAAAATACAAACTTAGGTCAAAAGTTCCCATGTCTGAGAAAACTCAAGCCAAATCAGTTCTCCTCCAAAGTTGACAGGATTTATGCTTTAAAAATAGAGATACAGAATTCTCTTTGGAAAGATCTACCAAATTCCTGTAAGAAACAGTCTACCCAAAGTAGGGGAAAGGCTATATGAAAAGTTACAAGGCACTTCTTAAAAATATATCTTAGGTTTTTAGGGAAAGGTAAACAGACAAGTTTCCAGACCCGTGGGTGGAATGGATGTAGCAGATTCACTGAGAGGCTCACAGCGCCGTACTAAAGGGAGTCTACTGCTTAAAGCCAATTCACATCCTTAAAAGGTCAAATGGAGAGAAATTAAACTTGGGAGAAGCATTTTAAGACTGTGCTGTTACAAAACCTCGGGCCACTTAACTGATTAATCATGGCAATGAGGGCAGGGACCAGAAAAGAGTCTTTAGAACCTGTCATCCCCACACAGAAGAGCAACTTTCAGGGAAACACCCTTATCTTTCCATTTTCAGACCCCGGGAGGTGTGAGGGTGGAAAGGCTAGGTAGAGAAGAGAGCAGAAAGGAGATGAGATGACACAACCAGGATTCTCCGAAGCTGGGCTTGAAGTCCTCAAGAAAAACTCCCATGAACAAGGAAGGAAGAGTGAAGAAAAAAACAGGGATACCTGGAACTGGACAAAAGTAAAAAGATAGAAGGATACTTTTTTTCCCCCAGAAGAAGTCTGTCACAAAAGCAAACCTGCAAATATACGATCAGTATAACACCCAAGAAAATGACACATGCGGCCAGGCATGGTGGCTCATGCCTGGAATCCCAGCACTTTGAGAAGCCGAGGCAGGTGGATCACCTGAGATCAGGAGTTCGAGGCCAACCTGACCAACATGGTGAAACCCCATCTTTACTAAAAATACAAAAATTAGCTGAGCATGGTGGCAGGCACCTGTAGTCCCAGCTACTTGGAAGGCTGAGACATGAGAATAGCTTGAACCCGGGAGGTGGAGGTTGCAGTGAGCCGAGATAGCACCATTGCACTCCAGCCTGGGAGAAAGAGCGATGCTCCGTCTCAAAAAAAAAAAAAAAAAAAAAAAAGAAAAGAAAAGAAAATGACACATGCCCCCAAGTGTGAGAATGCAAGAGGGAATCCCTGACCTATCCCTATCCAACCAGTTTTCTTGGCACACACCTTCCATTCTCTGAATGAGCCCAGATTAACTCACTGACCCCTGTGCCACGTATCTCCCACTCCATCACCCGCCCAGGCTCACTGCTTCCACTTGCGTCCCTTCATATCTCCCTACTGACCTCCACTTTTTTCTAACTTTGTCACCAAAGAAGTCACAGAAATAAATAGGAGGATTCAAAAAGAATAATTTCAGTACATTTAAAAAATTGTAGAATATAGGATTCTCATCTATGTTTATCACGTTCATTCATTTTTCAAATTTTCATTGTGGCACCATTTTATGACAGGCACTATGCTGGGGATGCTGGCGACTAGGGTAGGGAGTTAAAATGAGAGTGTCTACTTGGAAAGATGAACAGATAAATAATCACCGTGGTAAGTGCTGTGCTAGAGATATGCAGATGTCAAAAGACCTTAGAAGGTCTACAATCCACTTGGAGGGTAGGGAATATAGAAGGCATTTCAGTGAAATAGGGTGCCTTTGACAAATCATTAAGAATGAGTTCTACATTAAAAAGGGGAAGAGAGGGTGATAGCTGAGGAGGCAGCATAGGCAAGAACATCCAGCATGAAAGAACAGTGAAGGACATCAGGAACATCTTTCAGGAACATCAGGTAAAACAGACTTAGGGCCCAAGTCAAAGGAGCTAAAATAATACACCCTGGAAAGTGGTATGATCATTTCTGCATCTGCTCCAGAGAAACCTGCCAAAATATGATTAGCATAATACCCAAGAGAACATCACATTCCCCATGTGTGAAAATGCAAGAGGGAGTTATTTCTAATAGTTCATAAGCTCAGCAACAACAGAGTAGACACAAAAGCCACAGAATGTGCTTAGGCTTTACTTTAATGATATAGGGATATCACATATCATCAGCCTGTGGAGTACAGAGGTAGTTTACAAAGGATAAACCTTCATTGTTTGGAAAGGAAAGATCAGAGAGCTCTTTATGAAGTTTAAACAAAATCAGAGAAATAAAGAGATGTGGGAAAGAAAGAAAAAAAAGAAAGTACATTGAGGACAGTCCAATCTAACTGTGAACTCATAAGGGACAGCCAGTAAATTCAAAACAGCCTACTGTTTTTTGATTACTTGTGCTACTCTATTAAAATAGCCACAAACACAAAACTAGTCTACCTCTTTCTCTCCCCATTATTGGCCCTAACCCAAAAATAGTGGGAGTAAATGATTTAATAATTTATTTTCATGCTCCATTTTGTTCTTAAGTTAAAATTACTGTGGTTGGTGCCCCTCCTTTAGCTTCTGCTAAAGACTTTACATAATGAAAGCTCATGAAGTGTCTGGATTACTAACAGTTACTTATCCAAAAAGATGAGACATGGTTCATTGATTTGATTCTATTAGTTCTCTCTTGAAGATATTTTTCTCCTCCCTCTGTGAAGAAACATTTCTTTCTGTGTCATACAAGACGCGTCATTTTTGTAGTTTTAATTCCCTCTTGAGTCCTACAGTAATACTAAAATACTCACAGTGACTACAGTATCCTTTGCAGGGAAAAAATTGTAAATTAACCATTTAAATATAGTCACTAAGTTATGTGGCATTCACTGACTCAGAGTTGAAAAAGACTCCAAAATTCTTATCCAGTATTAGAGTATACAAGGACAAAAGGAGAGGCCAAACTAAGTCTAGGACGCACAATACAAAGAAGAAAATGAGAAGACCAAAGTTACAGTCTCAATACTATGACATGATACTAAACCATACAGTCAGTCAGCCAATATATATTTGCGGGCCTAGTATATACTGGGCACTGTTTGTAGGTGTTTGGGTTACATCAGTAAACAAAAACAAAGATACTAGTTTTCATTCTGGAGAGGGTAAGAGGCAGTAGAATTTGGAAAAGACAGACAATAAACAATAGACATAATGAAGTAAATTATATAGTATAAATTATATAGTAAGAAGATAAGAGTTACAGAAAAAGAAAACAAAAAGTAGACCAGGGTTAGTAATTAAGGGGGTGGGGGACAGTTACAATTTTAAATAGGGTGGTTAGAGTAACCCTCAATTAGAAGTGCCAAGACGTGAAATGCAGTGGAAGCAACCATTTGAAAGTTGCAGAATACTTTAACAAGCTACTTTGCCTCCTGCTGACTTTGTTTCCCCATTTTTAGAACTGAAATAATAATTCTCATCAAATAAGGGTGCTATTTACATTGAGATAGTGACTATTACTATAAGTAACATTTTAGTCTCTTGACAAGCATGGGAAGCAATGGAATGAAGGGCAATGGAAGGAAGGGCACTGCATTATGAAAAGGACTTTTTAAAAGAAAACCATCTCTAGGCACTATTTCCCTTTGTGGAAATGAACTGAATATTTTCTGAACTCCACCTGGGACATACGAACAATGAGCATGAAATCTTACAAACTGTATAAATAACATTTATTCACAGTGTCACTGCATCATCTATTGTTTTGAATTCTCTTTAAATTTCCTTCTATATATTTATCCAAAGCTGAAGTCATCTGGTTTAGATTATGGGACCCTGAAAAGCAAGAACTAGTCTATGTAACTACTTTTAAACATCTGCACAATGCGATATATATATATATACCACACACACACACACACACACACACACACATATTGATATGTAACAAGTACTATTTGATTATAATTAGGAGTGTCTTGGTTTTCTTATAACATGAACATATATTTTTAACCCAAACAGCTTAAAGCATTTAACGAAAAGTTTTACACACCTACAAAGTGCTTTCAGGAAGCAGATGTGCAGTGCAATGTGGCGCAGTAAGATGCACAAAGCAAAGGCTTTGAAAATAAACTGCCTCGGTTTCAGGACCCAGCCTAACCACATATTAGCTGTACAACTTTGGGTGAATCACTTAACATCTCCAAACTTCAGTTACTTCATGTGGGAAGACTTGAAAAATAATACCTGGTCCCAAGATTTTTGTGTAATTGAGCTAATAAGCATGGAAGTACCTGGCACAGTTCCTGAGTCACCAAAAAAATGTTAGTTTTCTCTTCATCAAATCTCCCCATTCCCACCCCTCATGCTAATCTCCCCTCCCACACACACACACACCATCAGTGAGTAAATAAGTGTCTTGCGTTAAACTACAACCAGAGAATAAGAGACAGCCAAGATTTCCTTACTCTATTTCACTAGCCCTGGCAGCCTCTCAGCTGCGGAATCCTTGGTTATTTCCTTTCTCAAGGAGGAGATACTATTCTAGTTTGACAGATCCTTTCCTGGACACACTCTCAGAATTCCCTAAGGTTCTTATCGTGGCTAATGGATAACAATGCAGAGGCTATGGGAGTGAATAATCACTCTCTCTCAGCTAAAAACTTCCTTTATTGACTTCTCTAACTTCCCGTCAACATCTTGCTGCCAAATCAACCTCTTGTTCTAGGCAATTATTAAAAGCAATTTTCTTGAAACTGAAAAACACATTTAGCCTTCAACAATAAATCACACTAACATCAATTACTAGCCAATTAGATTACTAGAATATCAGACCCAGAGATATTTGCAGTGTTGAAATATTTTCAAAATAAAGTTGTTTACATTTCTATTTCTGTCTTTAATCCTTAAAATGCAAACAAATACAGGAGTGAAGACAGATGTATTTTAGTTATTTCTTCTACAAGATAAAGTGGATAGTAATATTATGTTAAGAAAATACTTATTTAGTATCTAGAATGATAGCATTATCTATTCTTTATTAAAAGAGAAACTAAAAGTAATATAATTAAATAGCTTGTTCTTGTGACTTAAATAATATAAAATTTTCATTTCAATTATGTGACAATGCTTTGTATAGCTGTATTCCAAATACACAGCATGGTGCCTAGAACATAGCAGGCAGTCAATACATTTTTACCAAATGAAATGAACAAATTACCAGTTGATTTTATACTGAGGACCAAACTATGACCTTTAATTCCTCCAAAATAAAACACACAATCCCATTATATGTGAACCATATCCACAATACCAGAATCTAAGATTCCCACTCTGAAAGAGTAACTAGAACAACTTCTTTTGGAGGCAATTCTGCTTACTTAGCACATTACTCCCCCCTACAGTTTTCCTTCTTTTGTTTTTGTACTAAGGATATTTGTATAAAAACAGGATCTTTGTTGCTTAGTAATTCATCTGCTTCAGCTGCTTGTATTCTGTTCCCAATCAAAATTCTTGGTTTTCAGCCTCCTCATCATTTTTATAAGGAGTTGAATGAATTGGCCAAGCTTGTTCCTTTCTCCCTCTCCATGGAACACCAGGCCCCAAGCTCCCCGACACTGCTCCTCTTTTTATTTCTATCTTTGGGTTGTGTGTGCACTCTAGAACACTTGTATCAGTGAAGAGTGTAACAAAGTATTGTGCCACGCATAGTCTCTCATATATCATCTATCAGCTCATCAAAAAGTGCTCACTGATTAACAGAGGATCCCCTCCTCAGTTTCAGAATTCTCTAGCTTTAAGTTAGGGGAGGGTTACCCCAAAGTCAGAGAGGGTACATGGGAGAGGGTTGTGAAGGCCAGTAGCCCAGAGAAAATCAAGGGCAGCTGGGTGCATTTAGGTGGATAAGAAAACAATGAATTACTCCATCAAAAGCAAAAGCACAAGCACATAGTAAAGTTGATCACCTACTGTTAATGTCAATTCAGTTTAAAGCACTTTATTAACCACACATACATATTTTCCAGTGTCTAATTCTCATCGTGTTCTTTTCCATTCCAGACTTCCCTGTCTCTTTCCCAGAGCTCTGTTCCTCTTCTCACTGTTTCTACAAAAGGGACAATAAACAATTTTCTAGCCACTCATCATCATAAACCCTGACATGCTAAATTATCCCCTGCTCAGTTTATGGACCACAGTGGGCCCATAAAACTCCTCCCTCACTAGCAACCCACCCCACACAAAATTCTCACTTCCCTTTTTCCTTGCGCTTCCTAAAAAAAGCAATTGAGCCACACCCACTACCTCCTGTGCTAGGGGTTTGTCCCCTAATCCTGGGACACTAGGGAGCTCCTTACCTGGAAGGCAGTTGCACTCAAAAGTGAAGTCACCAGTCTGCCGACAGGTGCCTCCATTGACACAAGGCGAGGGTGCACAGGGCACATACAGGCTGTCACAGTACTGGCCTGTGAAGCCCTGAAGGCACTGGCACTGGTAGGAACCAGGCAGGTTGAGGCAGGTGCCACCATGCTGGCAGTGTCCTGGAATGTCACACTCATTGACATCAGTCTCACACTTCTGCCCTGTGAAGCCTGTGAGGCATTTGCAGGAGAACTGGTTGGCCACAGTGGTACAGGTACTTCCATTTGCACAGGGATGAGACAGGCAGGCATCGGTCCATTGGCACTCCTTACCTAAAGGAAGGATAACAAAACTCAGTACTGGCCACAGAAATAGGAGATGGCCCCATCCTCAATACCTCATTGACATCAGCGAGCTCTTGCGTGGAGAAGACCTCAACTCTTTGCATTTTACTAAAGGCTAAATCAGAGCCTCCTCAAGGTCATCTGACACAGAGCCCTCTCCAGTAACTCTCCAAGGACCTCAGCAGAGACACAAGGACTCAGTGGGTGGAGCACCTGGAGGCAATTGTAGGTTAGTCACATTGAAGCCCAATCCTGCAGGACGCTATCAGCAATAGGAGTCTGGATCCATCTACTCTCTCAGAGCTGTCTTTGCATATGCTGCTCCTGTTTGAATATCAACTTCCGGGCCAGGAGCAGTGGCTCACACCTGTAATTCCAGCACTTTGGGAGGCCGAGGCAGGCAGATCATGAGGTAAGGAGTTCAAGACCAGCCCGGCCAATATGGTGAAACCCTGTCTCTACTAAAAATACAAAAATTAGCTGGGCATGGTGGCGCGCACCTGTAATCCCAGCTACTTGGAAGGCTGAGGCAGAAGAATCACTTGAACCCAGGAGGCGGAGGTTGCAGTGAGCCGAGATTGTACCACTGCACTCCAGCCTGGGCAACACAGCAAGACTCCATTTCAAAAAAAAAAAAAAAAAAAATCAACTTCCCGTCTGTTTTCCTAGTGAACTCTCCCTATCTTGGCAACTCTAAAGTTCCAACCTCTGTAAAGTCATCCTTAGTGCCCCTCACATACATACATGTGCGCAAACACAGATACACCAAGTTTGCTATTTTCTTCTATTATACCACCTGCCACACTGGCAGGGTTGGGTCTCCATGGTATGCTCTCAAATCATGTCTGTTGAATGGATAAAATATATCGATATTTTCCACAAAATATAGTTACTAAATAGACCTCTGGTGATAGAAACAAGTCAATACTACTTCTGTTTCCTCTAAATGTAACACACACATATATTCTGGGAAACATTTTATTAATTGTGGCCTTGCTATAAATATCTGTTGATGTGTTTGAAAATGATGAAGGACCTCTGGGTCCCTATATAACAAATGAAATAGAAGCCATCAGGAGGACAGAGGTCTCGAAGGTATTCCGTGGACTTTCTCAAGTAGGAAAGTACCAGCACTAGCAGGAAGACTCTGACGGGTTGAAAACTAAATCATGATGCCAGGGGAAGCAAAGCAGATTCTTTGAGGCAGAAAGAGAAAGAGAAAAAAATATCCTCACAGAACTAGTAAATTTGGTATTCACATGGCTGGCTTTTTGTTGTCATTAGTCTAAGTCGCTTATTATTTAAACTACAGAGATGAGAACTCCTTGAATTATTATTATTATTATTATTATACTTTAAGTTCTAGGGTACACGTGCACAACATGCAGGTTTGTTACATATGTATATATGTGCCATGTTGGTGTGCTGCACCCATTAACTCGTCATTTACATTAGGTACATCTCCTAATGCTATCCCTCCCCCGTCCCACCACCCCACGACAGGCCCCGGTTTGTGATGTTCCCCTTCCTGTGTCCAAGTGTTCTCATTGTTCAATTCCCACCTATGAGTGAGAACATGCGGTGTTTGGTTTTTTGTCCTTGCAATAGTTTGCTGAGAATGATGGTTTCCAGCTTCATCCATGTCCCTACAAAGGACATGAACTCATCCTTTTTTATGGCTGAATAGTATTCCATGGTGTATATGTGCCACATTTTCTTAATCCAGTCTATCACTGATGGACATTTGGGTTGGTTCCAAGTCTTTGCTATTGTGAATAGTGCCGCAAGAAACATACGTGTGCATGTGTCTTTATAGCAGCACGATTTATAATTCTTTGGGTATATACCCAGTAATGGGATGGCGAGAACTCCTTGAATTTGTTAATACTCCAGTTGACTGTCTAGGAAAGTATCTAAATCTCTGACCTCATAGAAAGGTAAATGGGAGACACAAGAGTTTTTCTATAAGGGAAAAAGATGCGAGATGTGACATATGAGCACAGAAAAGTGCTCTCTGCCTATCAAGGAATGTCAAATCAAAGGAGAAAACTATAACACAAATTTAGGCACAGCATATACATCTCAGGGAGCTAAGACAGAAAATGAAGGAACTGCAATTCTTCTTGTCTTTCCACTCATGTCACTAAGAGGCACTTATTTACAGTGGAGAAGAGATATAAATGCTCACTTCTAGCAAGTGTGATTTTCAGAGTGATGCCCACAACTGAAACGGAAAGATCCCTGGGCCGGAAGTGGTGGCTGATGCCTGTAATCCCAGCACTTTGGGAGGCTGAGGTGGGCAGATCACTTGTGGTTAGGAGTTTGAGACCAGCCTGGCCAACATGGTGAAACGCCATCTTTTCTAAAACTACAAAAATTTGCCGGGCTTCATAGCACATACCTGTAATCCCAGCTACCTGGGAGGCTGAGGCACAAGAATCACTCGAACCCAAGAGGTGGAGGTTGCAGTGAGCCGAGACTGCGCCACTGTACTAAGCAACAGAGTGAGAAGAAAGAAAGACAGAAAGAGAGAGGGAAAGAGAGAGAAAGAGAGAAAGAGAGAGAAAGAAAGAAAGAAAGAAAGAAAGAAAGAAAGAAAGAAAGAAAGAAAGAAAGAAAGAAAGGGAGAAAGAAAGAAAGAATCAACCCTGAATTTGGTTTCCATATACATTATGTATAGGCACTAACTTGCTGCCTATGCTTCTTCATCTCTGAGTGGAGATGAGCTAGTAAGCTGACTGAGGTATAGCGCTATCACAAAAACCAAAAGGATGACCTTGATCTGTGATGATTCCTAAAGTGATAGACAAAAATAGCATATGTATAAAAGATGATCAGAATCGGCCGGGTGTGGTGGCTCACACCTGTAATCCCAGCACTTTGGGAGGCCAAGGCGGGTGGATCATGAGGTCAGGCGATCCAGACCATTCTGGCTAACAAGGTGAAAGCCCATCTCTACTAAAAATACAAAAATTAGCCGGGCATGGCGGTAGGTGCCTGTAGTCCCAGCTACTCAGGAGGCTGAGGCAGAAGAATGGCGTGAACCCGGGAGGTGGAGCTTGCAGTGAACCGAGATTGCGCCCTGCACTCCAGCCTGGATGACAAAGCAATACTCCATCTCAAAAAAAAAAAAAAAAAAAAAAAAGGTGATCAGAATCTTGCAGAACACACCAAAAAGAGATCCTTCTTAATTTGGGACCATTTCAGAGTGACATTTTAATTATGAAGAAGGCATTACTGTCATTTCCACTAGCCAGAATTAAAATATTTTAAGTGGGTATATGCCCCCCTACTTTGCCTCCTAATAGCAAAACAACTCAAAACTGACAATCAGGAAGAAATTATTCTTATAACACCAAATATTTTCAGTGACTTACATCATCAATACCATCATCATCATGATGGAGATCATGGATCATCCTAACTACCCTCTACCCCACCAACACCTTTTGATGAATGATATGGTTTGGTAGTGTCCCCACCCAAATCTCAACTTGAATTGTATCTCCCAGAATTCCCATGTGTTGTGGGAGGGACCCAGTGGGGTAACTGTATCATGGGGGCCAGTCTTTCCTGTGCTATTCTCATGATAGTGAATAAGTCTCATGAGATCTGATGGGTTTCTCAGGGGTTCTGCTTTTGCTTCTTCCTAATTTTCTCTTGCCACCACCATGAAAGAAGTGCCTTTTGCCTCCCACCATAATTCTGAGGCCTCCCCAGCCATATGGAACTGTAAGTCCAATTAAACCTCTTTTCTTCCCGGTCTCGGGGATATCTTTATCAGCAGCGTGAAAATGGACTAATACAGTAAATTGGTACCAAGAGTGGGGTTTTTGCGAGAGTGCCAGCTATCCCGAGGGAAACTTTGGAGGGAACCAGCTACTAGATGGTTCAATTAGTCTTTCGCCCCTACACCCAGGTTGGATGACCGATTTGCACATCAGGACTGCTACGGACCTCCACCAGAGTTTCCTCTGGCTTTGCCCTGCCCAGGCAGAGTTCACCACCTTTCAGGTCCTAACATTTGTGCTCATGCCCCACCTTCCCAGTGCAGAAAACAAGATGGGCCGGTGGAAAGCTGACCTGGCTACTGCCACCGCAGAGTGCCCAATTTGCCAGCAGCAGAAACCAACACTGCGCCTTTGATATGGCACTATTCCTCAGGGTGATCAGCCAGCTACTTGGTGGCAGGTTGATTATGTTGGACTTCTTCCATTGTGAAAAGGGCAGATGTTTGTCTTTACTGGAATAAACACTTACTCTGGATATGGGTTTGCCTATCCTGCATGCAATGGTTCTGCCAAGACTACCATCCGCGGACTCATGGAATGCCTTATCCACTGTCATGGTATTCCACACAGCATTGCCTCTGACCAAGGCATTCACTTTATGGCTAAAGAAGTGCAGCAGTGGGCTCATGCTCATGGAATTCACTGGTCTTACCATGTTCCCCAACATCCTGAAGCAGAACGGTGGAATGGCCTTTTGCAGTCACAATTACAATGCCAACTAGGTGAGAATACTTTGCAGGGTTGGGGCAAAGTTCTCAAGAAGGCTGTGTATGCTCTGAATCAGCGTCCAATATGTGGTACTGTTTCTCCCATAGCCAGGATTCACAGGTCCAGGAATCAAGGGGTGGAAATGGAAGTGGTACCACTCACCATCACCCCTAGTGATCCACTAGCAAAATGTTTGCTTCCTGTTCCCGCAACATTAAGTTCTGCTGGCCTAGAGGTCTTAGTTCCAGAGGGAGGAACGCTGCCACCAGAAGACACAACAACAATTCCATTAAACTGGTAGTTAAGATTGCCACCAGGACACTTTGGGTTCCTACCTTTAAGTAAACAGGCTAAGAAAGGCGTTACAGTGTTGGCTGGGACATCAAGGCTATCAAGACCCAGGCTATCAAGATGAAATCAGTCTACTACTCCAGAACGGAGGTAAGAAAGAGTATTCATGGAATACAGGAGATCCATTAGGGCGTCTCTTAGTATTACCATGCCCTGTGATTAAGGTCAATGGGCAACTACAACAGCCCAATCCAGGCGGGACTACAAATGGTCCCGCCTGGATGAATGAAGGTTTGGGCCTCTCCATCAGGAAAAAAAAAAACACAACCTGCTGAGGTGTTTGCTGAAGGCAAAAGGAATACAAAATGGGTAGAAGAAGGTAGTCATCAATACCAGCTACTACCATGTGACCAGCTGCAGAAATGAGGACTGTAATTGTCCTCAGTATTTCCTCCTTCTTTTATTAAAAACATGTCTGTGCTTGCACACACTTGTACTAAGAAAATATCTTCATTTTATTTCCTTTCTCCTTTATCATGTGACATAAGATTTATTGACTTCACATCAGCATTTAAGTATCGTTAACTTTATGTAAGAGTGTTTCAGTTGGGGACTGGTGTGTTTCCGGATGTACGAAGAATAGTTGTACTACATCAGGTGTAATTATGACCTAATTATTGTCTTTATTTGAAGATTATGTGTGATCTCAGGAGATGTGTATGGGTTCAAGTTGACAAGGGGTAGATTTGTGGTGGTTAAAACTGAGTGTGTCAACTTGATTGAATTGAAGGATACAAAGTATTGATCTTGGGTGTGTCTGTGAAGGTGTTGCCAAAGGAGATTAACATTTGAGTCAGTGGGCTGGGGAAGGCAGACCCACCCTTAATCTGGATGGACACCATTTGATCATCTGTCAGCAAATATAAAGCAGGCAGAAAAACATGAAAAAGCGAGACTGGCCTAGCCTCCCAGCCTACATCTTTTTCCCGTGCTGGATGTTTCCTGCCCTCAAATATCGAACCCCAAGTTCTTCGGTTTTGGAACTCAAGACTGGCTCTCCTTGCTCCTCAGCCTGCAGACAGCCTATTGTGGGACCTCGTGATCATGTGAATTAATACTTAACAAACTCTCCTTTATATATATATAAAGATTGCCAATATATATATATTAAGATTGCCACCAAGACACTTTGGGTTGGAATATATATACATACATATATATTCCATTAGTTCCATCCCTCTAGAGAACCCTAATACAATGAAAAATTAATATAACAGTATTCTACACTAACTGATCCAGTATAGTCTTCTGAGTACATTTTTCACTTTTTTGCTTATTGCATTTATAGAACTCTTGGTTTAGTGCTTAAAGCAGGAGAAAAAATGAAGAATGTTCCTCCTTTTCTCATCTAATTTAATAAACACTTTTGAATAAAGCTCAGACCCACCTAGAAAAACCCACAATCTATTCAGGTGAGATATGTGTAAAAAAAATTACAATAAAATGTGATACATAAAACTAATAAAACTTAGAGACCATTTGCCTAAAGGAATCATGAAAGGGTCACTAAGACACAGTTTTAAATAACATTGGACAATCACCAGTTGTAGAAAAGGGCATTCCAGGCAAAAGGGTGTGTAACTGTATGGAAGCAATAATAAGTACAACATTTTCAGGAAATAAGGAGAATTTGGTGTGACTAGGCCTAGATGCTTGTGGGGAGGCCAGGCTATAAAAAGATGTAAAGTCTAGGCTGTAGAGAGCTATGGAAGTCATGTAAAAGAGTTTGCAGTTTATTCTGCGGATGATGAAAAAATATTAGACATTGTAAGCAGGTGAGATTGTTAGAATATTTGCATTTATAATCAAAGATGTAGTAATATCATGGGTGAATGAGATGGGGAGAGAATAAAGGCAAGAAAACGTATTCAGAAACTACTTCAGAAGCCCAGGTGAGAGATAACATGGCCTTCAGCTACAGGGTAGCAGAGGAAATGGGAGGAATAGACAGGTGAAAGGCAACTCAGAGGTTGGCTTGGGTGACTGAGTTGAAATGAGGTCAGAACAAGGGACAGGGAGTTTCTAGCGTGGGTATTTGGGATGTACATGGTTGCTACGTATTTCTGTCAACAAGGTGAGCTGAAAGTACCTGTAGAATATCTCCAAGGAGAACATACAAAGGATAGCTAGAAACATGAGCCTGAATGTCAGGGTTGGGTGGAGCTAAGGGAATGATGGTGAGATTCATCAGCAAGCTAATGAAGACAGTGGCAGTGGAGGCGAATACAGACAGTGAAATTCCCTAGGGAGAGCTGTGATGTGGCTCAAAAGAGGGCGAAAAACAGTGCTCCAGGGAGCACAAACATTTAATGGATAAGAACAAGGTAATGAAGAAGCAAAAGGAACAGGGTTCAGAAAACCAGAAAAGCCAGTGCCCTGAATGTCTAGGGAGGGAGATTTCTAAAAGCAAATAGTCAATAACATCAGCAACTTTTCCTCTGGTGACAGTGTACTTATTTCTTTTAGTGAAGTAAACTCTGATTCCCCATCCTGGTGTACATATTTTTTTTTTTGAGACAGGGTCTCACTCTGTCACCCAGGCTAGAGTGCAGTGGTGCGATCATAGCTCACTGCAGCCTCAAACTCCTGGGCTCAAGCAATTCTTCCACTTCAGCCTCCCAAGTAGTTAGGACTACAGGTGCACACCACCACACATGACTAATTTTGTTTTATTTTTATTCTTGTTTTTTTGTAGAGATGGGGTCTTGCTATGTTTCCCAGGCTGGTCTCAAACCTCTAGCCTCAAGTGATCCTCCTGCCTTGGCCTGCCAAAATGCTGGGATTGCAAGCGTACGCCACCGCACCTGGCCCTGACATATATACTTTAAGCAGTCAAAGTATTTGGTCCTTTTTCTTTCTCTTTCTCTGCCCCCTGAAACTCTTAAAAGGAAGTTAGGGATAGTTGTCTGGAACATCCCAGTTCCTTATCATAATGTTAAATGTGCACCAGAGCTGGGGGACATTTAAGAGCCAGATACCATGATCTAAAAGATGCTAAATAAAGGTATCTGCTGAAGGTAGGAAAGCACTGGCTTTGGTCTCATTAGTTACCTGTAAACCCGACTTGACAGGTGCACTCATAGGTATCCCGGCTGAGCATATGGCATGTGCCGCCATTCAGGCAAGGTCGAGACACAAAGCATGGATGAGATGTCGAGTACTGGCAGTCCTCTCCTGTAAACCCTGAGGCACATCGGCACGTGGCTTTCCCCAGCATGGCCTGGGCCACACAAGTCCCACCATTCTGGCAGCGGTTCTTCTCACAGGGGTCTCGATGTTGACAATATTCCCCCAAGAAGCCTTCTGGACATCTGTATGGAAAAGAGAAGAGTCCATGAAAACACCTGACTTCTTGTAAGTCCAAAAAATTACAGTAAAACAATACAGTCCAATCAAGAAAGCACGAGATTGTGAATCAACAGACCTACAAGGACCACCTATAAAACTGCTTCCCTTTAGAAGAAAGAGTCCTTAGAGAACTTAACCACATACTCCCATGTCCTTTTGAGTCCTGGCAGGTGACAGAGTATCAGCTGTATGGTCTAGCAGGGTCTGCCATGGCCAGTCAACATGACCCTTATTCAAACGCAAAATGCACCCCAGCTTTTTTTCATGTGTGTACAGGTTGGGATGGTGTAACAGCACCTTTTTTAGAGCACTGTTCGTACTTGTCTGCTTAAATTCATTAACTTTCTCATTTTGACTAAGCCATTTGATAGGATTAAGATGTCCACAATATAATGCATGAACTTGACCCTATTATCCCCTCCAATTTAAAATATGTAAGGTATCATGTGCTTTTCCTCAATTAAGCATTGAGAAATAGTAAGTGCTTCTTTCTCTTATTTCCACTGAAACATCAATTGGCTGATACCTAGTTTTCTGGGTTATGTTCAGGTGGCTGACATTACAACAGAAAAAGGGAAAGGAGGTACAGGAATGGGGAAGAGTTCAAAGGGATATTTAAAAATCTGTTAATATTTAAGTAGGCATTTTTAACCAAATAAAAAGGCACAAAATATAATTAAATAACATAAAATATCTAAGATACCATATAAACACCAAAGTGAAGGAAGGAATCAATTGAAGAATAACATTCTATGATATTTTCCACATTGAGGCACTGAGGAACCTTTTTACATGCCACCCCTTGATTCATAAGATGTACAACCATTTCAAACTGTGTGTATTATTTATGACAATTTTCTCTGAACAATATCAAAAAGGCATGGTAAGTCTCCATTTTCATAATGAAGTTGTTTAAATGGAATCTCTGAGAAGCATTTAAATTAAGAAACACAAACACTTTGATTCTAACTATAAATGCTGCTATATATTTGGCTGGTGCCCCAAATATGTGATTCAACTTATTCCTCGTTTTAGTTTTCAGGGACTAGAAAACTGAATCTAGTAGGCTGTTCCACCATTACCTCAAAGATTACACATTTAAACCAAACTCTAAATCCCCCTCTCAAAAACCAGCTTTTCTGTGCCCAAGCCTTGTTGTCCTGATTTTCCTAATCATTGTGACCTGAAACATTGGGGTCATGAGTGCTTTTGTCTTTGACAGTCATATCCAAGACCTTTCATTAACCATTGGTTGGCAAGGCTAGCTAGCAGGGGTCACAGTTACTGAGAAAAGAAGGAAGGCCAGATACTAGGGAACTAAGACAGAAAATGCCCAGAAGAATTGTGTAGTAGCTAAAATGGCTAAAGGAGAAAACAGGGTGGTGAATAGCTATAGTGGTAGTGAGGTAACTGGCCACAGCCTCTTCACCCCTCCCAGAGCTGCATAAGATAAGCATGGCAGAGCAAGGAGCGGCTAAGGCTCTGGGCATCTTCATGAGTAGGTGTAGCTACAGACCAACAGGCAGTGAAGAAAGTTCATAGCACTGAAACCAAAGATGGCATGCAGGTGACTGTGAGGAGTCTGTATCAAGAAGGTCAGAAGGTCTGGTTTGGAGTTCTGGTGCTGTGACCTTGGACAAGTTACTTATCTTCACTGACTATCCATTTTCTCACATTGTAAATAGTTAATAAGGTCACCTACATCATGAGATTATTCTAAGAACTGAACAAAATCAAGTATGTAAAAAACCTTATAAATGTTAAAAAGTTTTGCAAGTGGGCTGGGCACAGTGGCTCACACCTGTAATTCCAGCACTTTGGGAGGCTGAGGTGTGAGGACCATCTGAGGTCAGGAGTTTGAGAATAGCCCGGCCAACATGGTGAAACCCTGGCTCTACTAAAAATACAAAAATTAGCCAGGGTGGTGGTGCACGCTTGTAATCCCAGCTACTCGGGAGGCTGAGGCATGAGAATTGCTTGAACCCGGGAGGCGGAGGTTGCAGTGAGCCGACGAGATTGTGCCACTACACTCCAGCCTGGGCAACAGAGTGAGATTCCATCTCAAAAAAAAAAGTTTTGCCAAGTGAAAACATCTTTTCTCTCTTCTTTGTGCTTATTGAGGAAAATACAATGCCCCATCCAAATCACAGCTTGATTTGAGAATAGTTTCTTGTGTTGGTTTTTTGAAGTGGAGGAGCAAAAAGTGCCAATGTAGCATAGCTAAAATTAACTCTGAGATATATTATTAAAAGCATTTGCAGCTTATTCAAGAAATGTGTTATGAATGTTAAAAACTGCAACACAATTCTCACTCACAGTGCAGCCCTCTGGGCATTATTAGATGACTCTTCATTCTCCCATATGGGAATTATGCACCTTCTAAATAATGGCAAATTTTTAAACGTGGGTGGGCTTTGCTCAGCTTTGCTCCTGAACTATTACACCACCCTAACACTATCATGTGGCATATGCTAAGAGAATGCAAAGTCATTTAAATGGTAGCATCATAAACATATAATGGAAATATAAGGTTCCCAGGAAAACAAAAATGAAGCAAAATGGAAGTTTCTAAAGCTAAACAGATGTATTTCTGAATTATTTGTTTCTACAGTTTAATTCACATTGTTGCTCCCTATCAAGTATGGAAAAATAAGTTTTAACCTAAGATATATTTAAGAAATCAGTAAAACCAGAGATTGACAAAGTACAGTTTGCAAGTCTAATTTGGACCACTGCCTGTTTTTGTTTGGCCTGTGAATAGTTTTTTACATTTTTAAATGATTAGAAAAAAAGAACAAAAGAAGGATATTTTCTGACATTTCAAAATTATATACAATTCAAATTTCAGTGTCCATAAATAGTCTTACCGGAACACAGCCATGCTCATTCATTTATAGATTGTCTATGGCTGATTTTCCACTACAACAACAGAGTCAAGTAGCTGTAATGAGACCACAAAGCCTGCAAAAATAATTACTCTCTGGCACTTTACAGAAAAAGTTTGCCAACTTCTGAGTAGAGAACATATGAAGGCTAATTCTATAAATACCATCCAATATGCTTATTAATAATGATCGGTTTCTGATAGGAAATCAACCTTATTAGTTTCCACAAAGAATATTAAACTTATAATCGTTCATTCACACAACAATTAGTAAATGCCTATTATGTGCCAGGCATTTTTCCAGTGCTAGAAAAATTCTTACACTCTTGGAGTTTACATTCTAATAGCGGAAGACGAAAACAAAATTACTAAGTAAAAGATGCACAATAGATGGAGTTAAGTGCTGTGAAAAAAAATTAAACAGGAAGGAATGGAGCTGGGGATGAGGGTGTGGGGTGAGCAAAGAGAAGTATCTCAGTTTAGAATAGGAAAATCAGAGAAGACCTTCACTGACAATACTTGAGTTGAGACCTAAATAAGGTGAGAGTAATCATGCAGGTATCTTAGGAAAACACATTCATGAGAAAGGGAACAGCAAATGCAAAGGCCATAACACAGAGAGCAGCCCTAGCGTGTTTGAGAAACAGCAAGAATATCTGGAGCAGCAGAAAATAGATGAGAGCTGTAACTGGGATGTGGATCAATTGGGGCCTTTAAGCCACTGTAAAGAAAGACTTAGGGTTTTCCTCTAAATGGGATAATACTTACATATGAGGTACAACAGACTTACTCTCCTAAAGCCCGTGTACAGAACCACATATTTGCTTTACGTGAAACTAGACCTACTGTATTAATAAAGTTTGATTTCTATTTAAAATGTTTTAGAGGGCTGGACATCAGCTTAGTTCTTTACTTTTACCTTAGAAGATATACAAGTCTCTTTTAACCCACACTTTCATGAGGTCCCATTTCCCTTTCCAAATTATTGTTTCACAGCTAACCTTCTATGACTGTAGCCTAATTTCAGATATTTCTCTTTCTTTTCCATCTACTTCTTACTTATCCCTCTGCAACAAAACTTTAATTCTAATTATTGCTTAGAAACTGTTTTCTAAAAACAATGACTTTCCTCTAGTCAAGTTCAGTGGTCTCATCTGAAACTTCATAAGGAAATTCTCTCTCCTATAGGGAGAATTGCTAACCACTCCATGTACCGTTTTAATCATTTTACCTTGGCTTCTATGACTCCCTCTGTCTAACTCAAAACCCAGTGAAGTCTTAGTCTGGATTGCTGATTTCTCCTTCTTCCCCATCTATTATGGCCACCCTAATGTTTAAGTCTGGACTGCACTGCTCTTTCTCTCAAATGCATTTGTTACTGTTGTTGTTCACTTGGTTTTAAACAACTTCCTTCCTGTAACTGACTCCAAAATACACTGTTCCAGTCCCATATGTTCAGTTTTCTAGAAGTCATCTCTCTATCCTAATATGTGCTGCCACTATTTGAAACTAAACATTTGTAAAAGGAGATCATCTTCCCAAGAAACTTTAATTATTCAATTTTTCTAAGGCTTCCACACACAATTTAAAGTAACTTCATCTCTTTAAGTTGTATATAATTTATTACCACATTCTGACAAGACTTGTTAACTGAATTCCTATAATACTTATCATTCGTGTTCACAGTTTCCTTTTTGATACAAATTCTGATCATCTTAAAAGCCTCAGGCCAGACATCATCTTGTTGCTGGCTTTTCCCCCATTTCCAGCCATCCTTGGAAAAACAGAACCTTCAGATTCAAGAAATTTAATTTCTATCCAATTAAGTAATCATTTCTAAAATATTTCTAAAAGATGATCACCAGCCTCTGCTTGAATACAAGCATGTAGCATGGTGCCGGATAAATCTTGAGAATTTAATAAATGCTTGGAGTTATTATTGTTCTGCTCTTAAGAGTACAGACTCTGGAACCAGACCACCTGGATTTCAATCCCAACTCCACCATTTACTCAATGTGTAATCTTGGGCAAGGTACTAAACTTCCCTGTTGTAAAAGAGATGTAATAACAGTGCCTACTTCATAGGATTTTTAAATAAGGGTAAAGCACTTAGAACACTATCCAGCACATAGTAAACACTATGCATTTGTTAAGTGAAATTACTGGCTGACTACTTCAACAAAAGAACAGTCTTCAATGTGGTGGATTCCACTGTGAGAAAGCTCTTTCTTAATTCTTCAAATTCTGCCTCCCTTCCTAGGTATATACCCGAGATAACTGAAAACATATGCCCACATAATAAAAATGTTCATAGCAGCATTATTCATAATAGCTAAAAAGTAGAAACAACCCAAATGCCTATAAGCTGATGAACAGATAAATAAAATGTGGTATATCCATAAATGAAATATGTGGCCATGAAAAGGAATGACATTCTGATACATGCTACAACATGGATGAACCTTGAAAACATGCTAAGTGAAAGAAGCCACACACAAAAGGCCACATATTATATAATTCCATTTATATGAAATGTCCAGAATATGCAAATCCGTAGAGATAAAAAGTAGATTAGTGTTGCTAGGAGCTGTAAAGAAAGGGAAATAGACAGTGACTACTAAGCAGTAGAGAATTTCTTTCAGGGTGATAAAAATGTTTTGAAATTAGATAATGGTGGTGGTCTCATAACTCTGGAAATACTAAAGTCTACTAAATTAAACACTTTAAAAGGGTAAATTTTATGATACATAAATTATGTCTTAATTTTGAAAAGAACAAACTTTGTCTCTCTACAATTTCCAGGTTATCTCTACCCTCTAGAACAAAAAAGAACAAGCCTTCTGCTTCTCTTACACGTAGCCCTTCAAGAATCTGAAGATAGTTATGTGGGCCTTTTGTTTTCTTTTTTCCAGGATTCAATGGTTTGGCGTATTCCTCAGTATAGGGTTATTTCCAGGCTTCTTCACCTTTTTAGTGGTGCTTCTATGCTTAATAGTAGTAATAATAATCAGAATGACCAAAATTTTCTGCCTCCCTTCCCAGGTATATACCCGAAGTAACTGAAAACATATTTTCTAAGTACTTAACTATGTATTGTATATTTGCTAAGCATTTGATAGCTATTGTCTCTTGTATTACTCGCTCCAGTGCCGTATTATAATCTCCATTTTATATATGAGGAACTCGAAGCTTAGAAAGATTAAGATTTTACAGCTAGGCCAGGTGCGGTGGCTCACACCAGTAATCTCAGCACTTTGGGAGGCCGAGGCAGGCAGATCACCAGGTCAGGAGATCGAGACCATCCTGGCTAACACAGTGAAACCCTGTCTCTACTAAAAATATAAAAAATTAGCCAGGCGTGGTGGCGGGCGCCTGTAGTCCCAGCTACTCGGGAGGCTGAGGCAGGAGAATGGCATGAACCCAGAAGTTGGAGGTTGCAGTGAGCCAAGATCGCGCCACTGCACTCCAGCCTGGGCGACA
Organism: Homo sapiens; assembly: GCF_000001405.40. Lineage (NCBI taxonomy): Eukaryota > Metazoa > Chordata > Mammalia > Primates > Hominidae > Homo > Homo sapiens. Next base: position 149,448,916 of record NC_000001.11, on the reverse strand, counting down.
GAGCGAGACTCCCTCTCAAAAAAAAAAAAAAAAATTCACAGCTAGTAGATGGAAGAGGCAGGATTCAAACCCAAGTAGACTCTAGAGTGCGTGTGCTTCAACACTAGGCTATCCTGCCTCCCCATCACTGGATGACTCCAGTTCATCAAAAACCTCTTTAAAAAGTGAGGCTCAAAATGGAAAAAGGCTTAACACATGTTCTTACCAGTGCAGCACAGAGCTGAACCATGACCTTCTGATCTGGACACTATGCTTTTACTATTTCAGAGTAAGTTCTTAAACTGAGAAGGCATCGTGAGAGCGCAGTTCAAGAAAGAATAATGCTCCGACTCATACCCAATGGATATGTGTACTTTTTTAGAAGCCACAAAATACTACTATGTGCTATGGAATACACACTCAGCTAAAATATTCAGAGCCTTATTTCACATGAACTACTAGTGTACCCTATTTTTCTCATCTTATACTTGTAGCACATGTTTTTTGAACCCAATAATTGGAACTATCATTCATTCCTTTTAAATCCATCATATTGAGTCTTTACTCCAAGTTTCCTTGATTGAGACAACTTTTACATTATACTCATACAATCACAGAATTTCAGCAGTGATCTCAGAAACCAAATGGTCTGAACCCCTATAGCACTGAAAAGGACACCAAAGCTAACTGATCTACCCAAAGTTGGTTATCTGTGAATCTAGCAATTTCCCCAGTTTTACAAATATATCCCTATCTTCACCTAGACCTTGCAATGAAACAGTACTTAACTGAAAGTGTATGACTAAGTCTTGCCCCAAGACTAGCACCTATTCAATCAGCTCTAACATCCTAAATGGACCAGCATCCTATCCATACCTCTCCTCTCCCTAAGGACAGTCTGGAAATTCCTTGCTGAACCTAAGCATATGACTAAAAGAATAATCTTTCCTAAGCATAATTTTCATGTCATTCTTCTGCTCAGAAACTAGCAACAGTATTAATACCAAGCCTTTCAAATCCAAGTTCTTTACAATCTCTGATCTGCTTGTCTGTCCCATTCCAATCATCTAACCATCTTACTCTTTAGTAATCCATAACTCGAACACTCCATATTATTTCCACAATCTTGTTTACTGTCCCCCATATTAAAATCTTTTTAATTTCCAGTGAGAAACATCATGCTTCCCTTCTGGTATATCTCCAACTTAGGTTCCTTTCTTCCACCCTTTTTTCAAAAATCTGCTGTAAACCTGTCCTATAGTAAGCCTTCTACAAATCATCCCACCTGTCTCTGATCCTTCCAACAGCAGATGTAGTGCCATGTCATGCACTACATTGTCTCCACTGGTATGGTTCTTCTTTATTTAAGCCACTGTTATGTCTTTGCTGTACCTTTCTCAAACTCCCATCTAGATAGTTTTTGTGGGGAAGAGCCTGTCTTGAACCCTTGGTGTAGGTTCCCTGAATACCTGAGTACCTAAACCCCACTAAGCAGCTGGTTCCAAAGCAGGCTAAATTTCATGTGATGGATAAAGTCAGTCTCTCAATCCAAATGTTCCACAAAATCCATCTCTACTCTGTGATCTGTCTGGTAGAATAACAGGCCAAATCAACCTAATAGTCATCCTGAGGTATAGAATTATCCTTCACACCCCAGGAAGCTAAGCAGCATTATGGACATGGGAAGAAAGGGGAGTAATAGGTAAGACAGTCAGAAATAACAGACCCTTGTTTCCTAAGGCAGGAGATCTTTCAACTTGCAAATCCCTGTTCAACTGTGGTATAAGGAGAACATATACTCTGTTAGTCTTGGTGGAAAGTAAGGTTCTCTGCTTGAAAACAAGGGCTTAAATAGCTGTCTTCTTGAGATGGCTAAAGTTGAATTTGGTTAGAGAGTGAAAACATGGCTAAACACCCAACATCCCTTACGTATCTATAATTCCATTAAGCTACCCAGCACACATTTTGGAAAATAGTCTACCACTTGAACTAAAGGTGTATATTCTAAAAAATAACCACAAAAATCTAACAGATGCCTTTCATCCGCAAAACTATATGAATGTTTCCCTCCTGTAGGGAGTTTATTAATTATTTTCATAACTGTCTCTTCAATGTCTCTCAGTGACTTCTACTTACTCTCTCTTCTCTAGCATTGGAACTCTGAAAGAACATACTTCGCAGATGAGGTTGTGAATACAGAGAAAGGTTTGGGGAGAATTTTTCCATTTTAAACTCTATAAACTAATCTGAATACTTACCAGGTCCATAAAGATATATTTATGACTTTTTCTTTAAAAGTCTCAGCTGGGCACAGTGGCTCACACCTGTAATCCCAGCACTGTGGGAGGCCAAGGTGAGCAGATTGCTAGAGCGGAAGTTCGAGACCTGCCTAGGCAACACGGGCAACATGGTGAGAACCCCATCTCAAAAAAAAAAAAAGTGTCATTTCTGACATTGAGAGGTCCACATTTCCATTGTTACTGTTCAAACATACGCATGGGGTTGGATGTAGAAAAGCAAAGGAAGGAAGAAAACAGAGAAAAACAAGGGATTCCTCCTAATGGAACTAGAAAACATTCCATTTGAAGGATACCCCTACAGTTTCCTCTCACTTAAGCAGATGAAAACCAGACCCCAACCCTCACATCTCACTAGCAGCCTGGATTAGTTTACATGTAGCCACTTTACAGATTTCAACGAAGCTGGGATCTGAATAGCAATTCCAATCTATCTGGCAATGGCTGCAGTTCAGGATCAGTCTCCCTAGTAATACAGGACAGAAAAATTTGTTCTTTCACGTTTCCTAAGTGAATAGCCACTCGTCTACAGAAAAGCTTAAAACAGTGTAGCAGCTTGTGTCAGCTCCAAGATGACTGAAGTCTGAGCAGGAAATAAGCCCCTTTTCCAAATAAAAGCCAGTGTTCTCTCCCCTTGTTTTCTCCACCGAATGTTCTGTATCAGCAGGGTGAGGCCAAATTGCATCCAGGGCTTTGCTGCAGCTCTGTCTTTAGCTTTTTTTTTTTTTTTTTTTTTTTTAAAACGAGGATTTGGCCATTCAAAAAAAAACAACAACAACAAAGCAAAACCCCACCACATACAAGAAGAAAAAGAGAGGCATGCTTTACAAAACAGCTATTTCAAAGTCATGATTTTTAAAAAAACTATACAGAATGTGGAACGAAGGGGAAAAAAAAGTCTCATGTGGGTTGCGTCGGCACTGCAGCTGCTCCTCATTAAAGTTCCTCTTTACTCCCTCTGGGCTAGTTTCCAGCAGAAAATTCTTTAAACAGAACTCTGCTTTCAACCCACTTTCTTCTTGCCCTGGGCCTCTTGGCCCCCCAATCCGCAGTGGCAGCCTGCCCTAGCTGAGCTCTAGAGGGGGGAGCTGTCGTTAAGGTAAATGAGGTAAGGGCAGGGGAAAAAACTAACAAAACCCAGAAACCAAATTAAGCATCGGTCAGTAACAAAGGTCTGCAGTTTGAAAGGCTCCAAATCAGTCTGTTCTTTCCTGTGACCATAATGCCAGCTTAGTTTCCTGCCCCCCTACTCTGTCCCCCCTGTTAAAGTAGATAAAAATAATTGCTAACAGCCAAGGCTAGCTGGAACCAGTGAAAGTTCCTATGTAACATTCAATTCCCAAGGCTCCGACTACAAACTTGTAGGTACCCCAGAGCCTATAGAATCAAGTCTAAACTTCTAGGCTGGCATTCAGGAGGCCTAACCCACCTATTGGTCTAGACTCACTGGTCTCCCTCCTTTCAGTACCTCCTGGCTGAGGTCTGATGGGCTTGTCAACTTTTTAATTCTGTCACTCTGTGTAAAGGTAACTAACTAGGTTATGCTAATTACCAACTTTGTTTTAAAAACATGCATGAGGACTTCTAGTTAACTTCCTGGTAAAGAGGGGAAAAAAAGAGAAGAAGCTCTGTCATACTACTTCTTGCCATTCCCACTCTACTCTCAACCCCCCCTTTTCTCAAATAAAAAGAAAAAAAAAGGAAATACTATAGCTTACTCAGCAAGAAGGAAAAACAAAAAGAACTTTAAAAAAAAGTATTTGTGTATAGATTGGTGTCCAGAACTGGGACGCTTGTGGTAAAACACACTTTCTAGTGTAGTTTTTCTAGGGCCTTACTAGTTGTATGTGAAGGAAACAAAGACAAGTATACAATCTCTCACTCTCACACACGTACACACACACATACACACTTTTATCACAACTAATACACAAAGACTACCAAATACTGCAGGGCAGCTCATTTTTCTACTATGTAAATTCAGCTTCCTGGACAGAGCATTTCTGCTTTTCTTGTAGAAGTATTTCAGAAAATGTTAATCTTGGTTCCCACATTAGGTTGCATGCTTCCAAATTAAAAGTTTCCCACAGGAAAAGAACTTCATGAGGAATTGTGAGGCTGGGAATTATCTCTGAAACCCCACCTCACTTAGTTTACATGTGTTAGGTTTTTCACCCCCTCATCTGAATAAAGCATTAAATACACACTGATTTTAAGAAACCTAAACCAAAAAGAAGCTGAAGTGGTACGGACTTTAAAGCTGTTGATTCACAGCATCATTCATCTTCACTCAGACTATGAAATCAGTAACCACTGCAATGAGAAACCATGCTTTATTTATACAAGAACTTTACAAACATCCTTATCTTCCAGTTTACAGTCTGGGCTCATTTATCAGAACTCAAAGGCTGAGCTGAGCACCTAGTCTCTTCAATCATCACTTGAAAGATTGGGAAGGGGCACACAGTGTTAAAAGACTTGTGTTGTTGCTATAACAGAAGGTGGTCTTTCCTCTGTGTTCCAGAACACAATCAGGATCTTACCATACTTCACTGCACTGGACCCTGAGAAAATATCTACTTGTGATTAAAACATGGCAAACACATTCTAGACATATGAGTTTACAAAAAACACCCTTCGATGTAATGGACAAAACTGAATGAGTTAGCTCAGTTGTTCCCAAGGTATGGGCTGTGGAGTTATTGCAAGGGATTGCAATCCTTATAAATCACTTTCTAAACTACTAAACAGTATCTTGTCCATATTTAAATATATGTATATGCTTTTATGACTAGTAAAACATAAAGATATATTAAATGATTCTTGAATTCTTAGATTTTGACAGTATACATTGTATTCAAACAACACACTGAGAAATTGTTTCATCTCAAGCTCTCTCCTTTATGCACTATACTCTTGCTAAACGCCTTTCAGCTCCTAGAAAATGCTATAGTACACTACTTCTCACTTCCAGACCTCTGTACACGCTGTTCAGTCAGCCCAAAATGCTTTTCCCCACCTTCTCATGGCTAAGCCCTAAAATTTCATTAAGTCTCAACTTAAATGTTATTTCCTGTGAAAAACAGCCTTGACACCCCCTCTGTTCTTATAACCCTGAGCCTGTGTTACTCATTAGCCCTTATTATGATTATCTGTCAACAGACTAAAATTATTAATTCTCATACTCCCAGTGCCTAACACAATGACTGGCATATAGAAGGCATTCAACTATTCAGTGCAGAAGCAAAAGGTCAAAATGAAGGGCTCTGTGGAATCTTTACCCCTTAAAAAGACCCTATAAATACACTTGAAGTTTGGGAACAACTGGGTTGAGCTATTTACCTAAAGGATTTTCAAAACTAATTAAGATTCCTGATATATAGACTACTTCTTAACCCCCACTCACCCCTATATCAGTCAAATTGGGCCAACTCCATGCAAAGTAGATTATTTTTTAATCACCTTCCCTCCCACCTACCAAATATGAAGTTAACCAACACACACAGAGAGGCATGTGTGCATGTGCAGACATACACACACACAGTCCTCATTCCCTCTTGCACTTTTATTGGTCTTTCATCGGTTGTTGATAAGACTGACTACATAAACCACCAGGGACCTGGAGCCCTGACTAAAAAAAAAAAAAAATCCTACAAAGTGGCCTCAATAGCATGAACTGCTAGATTCTGTAGTGACTGCCATTGAAAATTAAAGAAGATCTCTAGAAAGAAAAGTGTTGGAGCCTTCTTTCCATTCCCCAATGTTGGTGGATGACCACCTTCAAAGTTCTGAAGTCCAAAAAATATCTAAAAGCAGAGTAATTTAAAAAGCTTACTGTTTAGTCTAAAAGGATTTTCCTAGATCAAAAACAACTGTACCTATTTGGATACCAAAAATGAAAAAGAAATAGTGCAGAATCTTTAGATTGCCTAATGGGATCTGGAGAAACAGCTCTTAGTCCCAGTCTACATCCTAATGAGTTATGTAATAAAGGCTAATTCGCTTAGCTGTATTACACCTCAGCCTCCTCACTTATAAAACAAAATGAGTGACAAAGGTGCTTTCCAAAGTCCCTTTGACCTCCTAAGTGTGATGACTCTATAATCTTGGCCTTTGAAGTCCCTTGGCAATACCACCCAAGGATGTAATGATGCTTGCTGATGTTAATGTTTGGGTGTTTGTGGTTGTATATGTCTTGACCACTGTCCCACTCCAAGCAGGGGATCCTAGGGTAAGAACTGTACTGTGTCTCTTTTTTAATATCCCTCACAGTGCCCATCACCCTCTAGGTGCACAGATAATTCAATATACACTTATGTAAAAGAATTGTTCCACAACTCACACTTTCAGCTAGCCCCTCACAGATGCATAAGAAAGCAAAGAACAACCAAAGAGAAGGAACAATATATTTAAACAAGATAAGGGGAATGAAAAAGAATCTTGTGTTTAAAAGGGATAGAAAGGTCTAACCATCTTCTATCCCAAACAACTGGCCAACATGAGAGCCTGTTTTCTTGAGCACAGAATGGAGGTAGGTATTTCAGCCTCGATGGAATCTGACCTGCTGATTAGTTATACAAGGCTAAAACTGACTGAAGTGTGTATGTAAGACAACGGTCTGGGAAGAGAAGCACTAAATTTAAGCTCACAGGGAATCAACCACTTAAAAAGGTAAATTCAGATAGAACTTTATCCAGATTTCATTTTTATGCATCCTCTCTACAAGCATAAACGCTTATCTTACTCACTTCCCATCTCATGATGCTATCATCAATTCTTATAAAATTTAGAAAAGAATAGGTGATGTCTCCTAATTAGAGAGTCTGCTTCTGTCACAAACTGTGACAGTCAGTGTCAGCCTTTGCCTGGAAGAAAATGAGTCACTTTTTCATTAGTAATCAAGTTATGTCTATTTTTTAAGAGTGACCCAGAAATTCAAGGCCATGAGTTTCAGCAATACGAGACAGAGAATCAGACACCACAAACATTGTATACAAATAGAATTAAGACAGAAAAATTAAAGTCAAGGAGGTACAGAGTTACTTTTCAGGATGACTGAGGTTTCAGAAAGGGCAAGTTGCCCCGTAAAATATTCTCAAGATGTGTCTGGCTTACACAACGAGAACCAGTATTTCAAAATCTTAAAGTGACAGGCAGTTAAACGACTAAGGCACTACCATCGTCTAGGCAAGAGAATCTTAACCACCATCAAATGTTTTCCACACAGAATAGGCAGACCTAGTTTATTCTGGAAAATTGAGGGTTTGGATATGTACTATATAATCAGAGGAAACAAGCAGTAAAGGACCTGAGCTAATTTGGGGTAACCAAAGACTTGGCTAACAGATGCTTCCTTACTCTGGATCCCTCATATGAATCAGATCTGGCCAGTGATATGCTGGACAGAAGATATCTGAGGTTGAGATACCTGATTTCTCAACTAAGGGAATGAACTATGCAGTACATGAAAACCAACCCTCTTCTTAGTGCCTCTGTTTTCCTATCACTTCCCCTATCCCAATCCATTCTTGCTCTTGCCTTAGAGATTCTTAGATTCTGATTTTCCTCGCAAAACATGGCCACAAGCCTACCGCCTCTCTGTCTGGTAGAAGTATAAGAATCAAGAGTCAAGGCCAAAAAGGTCTGAGGGAAGGAGCACAATTGCTCCCAGCTGCCCTCTCTTCCTGTCCCCAGGTCCTCTCCTTCACCCTCACTCTAGGCATTCTACCTCCAAACGTTCAAGTTAACATGTGCTAAAGGAATGATTTTCTAAATCACTTACCTGTCACTGTGAAACTAGATTAATCCACATACTGGTTTAGTAAAACCTCACACAAACCAGCATATACACAGAAGACAGCAATCAAGATGAAGAAAACGTTTGAAACTGTGTCATTAAGAAAACGTGATGAAGAAATTGGTAATGATTATTCCAGGAAATAACAGTCCCTTCTAGTCTCCTCAGCTCCCTTCCTCTCACCCTTCTCCTACCTATCCATCTTCTAAGGCACCACTAATATTCAAAGATTTAGGATCTAAGCAGTGCACCAAAAGTCCTCTGATTTTACTCTTTTGTCCCACAGTACTTGTTCCTTTGTCTGAGTGTCCATAGTTATTATCTGTGCCCCTACACTGGGATATTACAAACTGTTTTATTTTACACATCTCTGTATGCTTCATCTCCCCAGCAAGACTTCAGAAGACTGCCACCATGTCTTATGCAGGAGAAACTGCATTCACTGTCAGACAGTCTCTGGGTACGTATACTTGTGAATAAAGAAGTCAGGTAACACAGGCCTCTTGGGCTTTTCTGTCTATTCACAATACCCAGTACAGTGATCAGTTATAGTAGCCTGCTCAATAAATACTAGTGTGATAAAAATTAAACTTTTGTTTGAAAAGTGAGGATTCTATAGTGCTTCAGAGTCCATCTAACTTTCAGTGTTCAGCACACAGGATTATAGACAGTGACTGCAGGAAAATGACCTGAATCTATACAGATTTAATACGCTAAATGCTACCATTCTACATAAATCCTAATCAGATTATTTTCTTATTAACACCTACCTTTCTCCTCATATTTACGTGAAGGCAAAAAAACTGGATAGAATGCTCTAGTTGAATGTGTTTGCTGAATAATATCACCCATCACTTAAATAATGCCTTTCTTAGTCTTTATTTTCACTTTTCTTTCATAAAACTCTTTTCATAAAGATCAAGTAGAAGACTGTTTAGGAGAAGAGCATTTCGAGCAGAAATTAACTGCATTACTTTTTCATAGGAGAAGGCTGATGGAGTCTAAGAATTGGCAATACATTTTTGGACACAGAGGACTAAGTGCTAGTGAAGGTCACTGACAGTGAATAAATAGGATCTAGAAAATGTGTGGAAATCCAATAGAAATTTTAATTTACCTTACGTTGGGTTGTAAGGTAAAACTCAACTAAAAGAAATATGAAAACAAAATGCATAACACAGTCGCATGTGCACACATGTGTGCATACACACATATGACAGGAGGACGGAGAGACACTAAACTTCATTCCTAACTACTGTATGTTGAGAGGAGGCCTAATGAAAACCTCTATCACACCCACATATTTATGCTAGCTTAATAAATTTTAAAGTGCTTGGAAATTTTTAGATGATTACTTTTTCTCATATTCTGATATCCCCCATTCCTTTGCTATCATTCATAAGGGCAGATGTAGACAAAATTAAAGAATTTAATTAAGCCTCTCCATATCCTGAAAGAGAAATATTTCTCATTTTGCTTAGTCACAAAAAAAGGGAGAAAAAAAGAATTCCTGTGTGAAATTAATGGTGCTAACGAGACATGCCTGAATAAGAAACTTCACATAAGATTACGATTGACCTGGAGACTGTGTTGAAAGAAACCTAGCTAAATTCACATCTATTAATGCCAGACTGCAGGCCAAAATTTGTTGATTTAATTTCTTGGCAGTTACCCAAGACAGGTAAAAGGATATAGGCAGAGCCTAAGAACCAGATTCTCCTACTTCTTCACTGAACACTGAAATATATAAAGGTCCCAACTGAAAGAATAAAAATTAGTTGAAAATAGTATGGAAATTATGTTGCTATGTGTTAAGAAGCTACTAACTGGCCAGGCACAGTGGTTCAGGCCTGTAATTCCAGCCCTTTGGGAGGCAGAAGTGGGAGGATCACTTGAGCCCAGGAATTTGAGACCAGCCTGAGCAACATGTGAGACCGTATCTCTATAAAAAGTTTTAAAAATGGGAGACTGAGGCAGGAGGATGGATGGCTTGAGCCTAGGAGGTGGAGGCTGCAGTGATCCATGATTGCTCTACTGCACTCAAGCCTGGGCCACAGATGGAGATGCTAGTAACCAAGACTTCCTTTACAAAAGACCCCTTAGGGAAACATCATATTTGATAAAGGATTTTAATAGGACATAAGTATTAATAAGAATCACTTAGGAATGGTACTGTTAAAGGGTCCAGATCTCAAGTCCTAATACAAGGAAAAGCCTCACAGGACATACTCATATGCATCTGTAACTCACTATGCAAATGTAAGGTGCCATATTCAACAACTTGTGACTTTTGTGCTGGCAACAACATTTATCAAAAATCACTGAATTTAACCTGTCTCAATTTCACAACTGCATAAATCTGTCTGGACTTGCTCCTGTTCCATTAGTAAAAAGAAAGGAGAAGTTTCAAATTAGTTCTCTCTACTGAAGCACACTTTAATAGACAATATCCTCTATCCCCACCTTCACTGCCCTCTTCTTCTATTTCATCCACAGTTATTACATTGAGCTTTCATGTTAAAGGCCATTTCTCAGAAATGCAGTATTCACCAAACCTGGCCCATGTACACTCATGTAACTATATGCAGATTTAGTGTTCTAGAATGATATGAGGTACTCAGGCCTACCTAATGCTACTGTCTTTAAATTTAGAAATTACATAAAGCAGTGTTTTAATCATATTCCTGATCTGAAAAGTCCCCTTTTTGTATACTTTCAAATGTTCCACACTTCCATTTCAGAAGGTTCCATTTGAACTACCAACTTAAAACAGGTAATTCTGTCCCATTTTATTGACAGGCAAACTGAGACTCAACGTGACAGTACATTTTCCACGAGTATATCTCAGGTTAGCTACAGAGTGATGGGATCTTGAGTGAATTATTTAACTTCTCTTAGCTTCCATATAGTCTCTCTCTCACATGAGGACTAAAGTAAATACATGTAAACTACTTGAGAACAGACCCTAATATGCAATAATGTTAGCTAGCATTATAGACTTTAACTTGCCAAAGATCCAATTGTTAATAGGAATCAGGACTCAAACTTAAGTCTATCTGGCATAAAAAAACCTATGTCCTCAGCTGGGCGTGGTGGCTCACGCCTGTAATCCCAGCACTTTGGGAGGCCGAGGCGGGCAGATCATGAGGTCAGGAGATAGAGACCATCCTGGCTAACACAGTGAAACCCCGTCTCTACTAAAAATACAAAAAATTAGCCGGGCGTGGTGGCGGGCGCTTGTAGTCCCGGCTACTTGAGAGGCTGAGGCAGGAGAATGGCATGAACCCGGGAGGCGGAGCTTGCAGTGAGCCAAGAAAGCGCCACTGCACTCCAGCCTGGGCCACAGAGCGAGACTCTGTCTCAAAAAAAAACAACAACAAAAAACTATGTCCTCTTCATGTCACCAGTCAAGGATCTTCCAGGACCCTTACTCCACTCACCAGTGCAGGCTGAACCATACTAGGTCATAAGGCAAAAGAAAAAATCAGTACTACTGATCTCCTTATTTAAAATTTTGATAATTTTCAACTTATTTTGCATTAATTTTGATTTTTTGAACAACTACATACAAACATTATTTTGATTAGTGAGTTTTTTGGCACTCTCTTAAATTTCACAAGAGAGGCCTGTGCCTTACTTGCCTCACCATGGTCCCAGCCCTGCCATTCACTGGCAGCCCCTGTACAGAAGGCCACATTATAGTCAGTTTTTTTCATACTTGGCTTTACTCTGAACCTCTCTAAGAAGCCCAAGTTAATGAACTGGTAATTATTTTATGACTTCCCAAAGAAGTGTGAAATAATATGATAACAATATTGATTAACTGCAACTACTACCACAGACTTGAGTTATCTGTTATATGTGGTACGCATAAATAGCATGCAATAAATAACTCTTGAATTAATAAAACCTGAACATATTACATTTTAAGAAAAGATTACTCTATGAGAGGTATTTAATGAGCCAAAAAAACAGCATTCTTTGTTTTATGTTAAAAAGATAAATGAACTATGGAAAACTGGCCAAGCTTCTGCTATCATTTTCCAGAAAAACTATATACACAATGTTCAGCTAAATAGGCACCGTACTTGAAGGAACTAGGCTGGCAGAACCAGTTTCAGCTGAGAAGAAAGAGAAAGCAATTTAACAGTTGATATTTTTCCCTGTCTATTTCTTTGATCTGACAATGCCCCTGTGCCTCCCTGAATGCACTCACAAGAAGGTGAAGGAAAGGGGGAAATGCTGAGTCAGCCATGACTTCTGAAAACGCCTTTTTGGGGGAGAAGCACCACAACAGAAACATTGCGAATGCATCCTCCATAAAAAGCTAAGTTCTAAGGGATTATGAGTGTCTCTACTCTCTACTTACTATACAGACATTTACCAAGAAGACAAAGAAGGCAATGGCTCTAGTTTTTCTTGGATGGATTCAGGAAATCTGGACCACCAACATGACTGCCTAATCCTGGCAAGGAGAATTGTTAGCTGTTAATGTTTAATGTTTATTACAGCTAGCAGACAAGTTTTAGACAAAATGTGACACAAAGTTATATTTTATAACACTTTATATTTATAATAATTTACCTTAAAGTGTAGTTTTTAGATCAGCACTTTAGCAAAAAGTGGACATTCTCAAATGCAAGCACCCATCTACAGGAACGTATACAACTCACGGTGACTTTCTGCTGTTTTACAAACACTATGTTAGATATTTACCAAGTGGTATGTATGAAATTCTGAAAGGCCCCTTTATATTTCCAATTTTCATCATTAAAAATAATTGCAGAGTAACTTATATCAGACTAGCCCTCTTGCTCTGGACAAAATATCAAAGGCACTGGAGAATCACTGAAAGCAGGCATAAACTAGAAGGGATATAAGCCTCAGAAAAAGCAAAGCAAACTATATGAAACCCACATTTACAGTTTTGTTTTTGTTTTTTTTTATCGTGAAGGTACACCCCAGTTCATGCAGCAGAAGAGGAAGAGTGTGCAAGCAGAAAACGGAAGTCCTGCGATACTGAGGAGTCAGAGGTATCTGGAGCTGTCACAGCAGCTAGAATATGAGGAGAAAAATTCCTGGAAAAGACAGAACCACAGAGTGGGTAGCTTCAAAGTATGCATACAACTCTGCTCAAATCCTTAAATAATTCCTGACTATGCATGAGCAAGATAAGATTCAGAAACCCAAGAGAAAGTAAGAGCTGGACGGCTGAAAAGACTGAGCAGAAGGCTCCTGGGGCTGGGAGGACAAGTTCTGCCTTAGAGGGGCTTAATGAACACCTCAGGGCTTGGTAGGCCCCTCACACTTTCCACTGAACCCCTAGAAGGGTCACATCTTGGGAATAAGAGCCCTATCTCATGACTAAGATTTGTGTCATCGGACTAAGGGCAGAACAGAAGTAGGCCCACCCTAACGTGTCCTAAAACCTAGCATCCATAAGATCAAGATGATCTGCCAATCTTGACAAAATTCAACATTCTTTAGTGGGAGATAAACTTTAAAATCTATCACCCACAATGTCCAGTAAGTAATGTAAAACTACCATACATGTGTAAAGTAAAGGGAAGTCATACCCATGGTCCAAAGAAGGAGCAGTTGATAGAAACAGAAACACATCCATAGACAACCCAGATGTTAAGAACCAGCAGACAAAGATTTTAAATAACTACAATAAATGTCCTTAAAATACATATTTTGTCAATTATACAAATCATAACCTAACCTACCCCCAGAATCCTAGTGAACTTGAGTTGTCCATGATCTTTAATCAAATTGGGATTTAGAATGGTTTATATTTGAAAGTCTGAAGCAAACAACTTGAAAGTGATTAATGACATCAAATTTAATTACATATTTACACCTCCCAGTAGGACAAGGGAAAGAATAAAATATCTTATCTCCCTGTAGTGAGAGGGCTTTATTAAGATTTGACAGTAGTTATTTAACAGCAATAATTGAGTTTTATGCAAGATTATACACGTTCTCCTAATCTGGCATCAAAATCTAATCACAGACTGATAGGGTACTTAGGCTCCTAACAGTGAGAAAAAACAGTGGAGCTGAGTACAAAACTAATCTTCAAAAGTAGTTATCTTCATCTGTCAATGTGATCTTATCAAGGATTTTTATAATTTCTATAAACAATCATTATATTTTAGCTGAATCAGTAGCATTATGCTGTCTAAACAGATAGTCAGATTCCTTCTATTTTAAAACACTTTCTACCAGTTCCCATCCCACCACTCACCACTCA